>NC_000008.11:103214222-103839222 GCF_000001405.40 Homo sapiens
GTTGAAGGGTCAGTGATCTCAACTGGCTTTAACTGGACAAGAGCTAAGCCCAAGTTCCTGAAAAACAACTTTAAGCAACTGTTACAGTGGTGATCTATATGTCAGATATGTAGTCTGTAACAAAGCTAGTGGATTGGTTAGCTATGGGACTTTCAGCTATATGGGTTTTAAGATTAACTAGAAGTGAGTGATTAAAAGCAAGCAATGCAGGTTAAGTTTGATAGGCTTAATCAGGTTAGTCCCCAGTTCCAAAAACTTACTGGTCCTGTCCCCTCGGGCCAATGCCACCTGTTTTCTGAGAGTACAACTCATTATCTAATGATGGAATTCTTGCTCATATCAGTGAGTTGCCTCTCTAAGTTTTGGTCAGAAAACCTGTTGCAAATTCATCTCTAAAGCTCACTAACTAAAGGCCTTTCAGAAATGACTTAATCTCTCAGAATCTCACGTTCATTATCCACACAATGGAAATAATACAAAATGAGTGAACAGATGAGCCTCCTCTTATAAACTAGGATATAGATAAGAATGGCAGTAAGGATTAACAGGGGATAGTTAGGCACACAGCACCATAATCCACTTAAATGAAACACTAATGGTGGCCCTGCAGACACTGGAGAAGGTAATGAGGGGTGTAGACTTCAGGGTTGTGGTGTCCTTAATAGAGTTCTGTATTGTCTACTTTGCCTGTGCATTAGGTGGCCTTCTAGAGACCTAATCATCATTGCCATCTCTCAAGACAGTCTGGACCCACAGAACTACGTTCAAAAGCTTGATGACTGCTCTACCACAGGCCCAGATATTTGTCTTCTAGTCTCCTTCCCACACTTGTGCCCTTACCCTCTGAGCCAGGATAAGCCGTGGTCAAGAGGAAGCAGCTTTGCCTGGTGGATGGCATGATCCATACACTTGTTTCCCCACCTCATTTCCTGCCCCCCCATCCATCACTTTAAAATTATGTTTTGCAGTTTACAAAGTGCTTTTAAGTCTACTGGCTCCTTAAGTTCCCCTAAGAGCATTGTGAAGTAAGCATTATCCCCATTTTATAGACAAGGAAACTGAGGTTCATTTGATTGAGTTACATGAATAAGGCCATATAAGTGTTGTAGAAGGATATTGGTAGCTTTAAATCAGAAAAGGTTTCTATTAAGAAGATAGAACATAGCTTCAAGTACATTTTAAAAATGAATAGTGTATTAGTCAGTTGTTGCCTCAATAATGCTGCATAACAAAACACAGCAACATTCAGTTGCTTGAGACAACACCCTCCCGCCACCCCCACCACTGCCACCATGGTCAGCTGTAACTTAAAAAGGCTCAGTCTGACTTTTCCAGGGCTGGCTCAGTCTGTTCCATATATATTATTCTGGAAACCAGGCCAAGAAAGCAGCAGCTTTCTGGGGTATATTCTTATGACTATGGCAGAAACCCAAGGGGGCAAAACCAAACTACTTGAACGCATTTCGTGTCTCTGCTCACATCATACTGACTAATATCCCATTGGCCAAAGCAAGTCAAATGGACAAGCCCAACTTTAAGCAGGGAAACATACTCCGTCCAAAGTGGAGAGAGAGCAAAGAATTAGGAGCAATAATGCAGGCTACCACATACCACATACATACACAAAGAAATGCAACTCATAACTTCAATGAATTCTTATAAGGTGGCACATCCATGTAACCATCATGCAGATGAAGACATAGAACATTATCACCAGCCCAGAAATCCACAATGTCACCATTCTTCTCACTCCTAGTATTATAGATCAGTTTGGTTTGAGACTTATAAATAGAATCATACAAGTGTGAGCTTTTTCATGTCTGGCTTCTTTTGCTCAACATTATCCTTGTGAAAATCACCCATATTGTTCTGAGTTGCAATAATTTTCTCATTTTCATCGTTATGTATATTTCCTTATATGAATACACTGCAATTTACCCATTTTACTTGATAAACATTTGGGTTGTTTCCAGTTTGGGGCTATTGTGAACAATACAGCTTTTAATGTTTGTGTGCATGGTTTGGTGGACAGCACTTCTTTTGGGAATATACCTAGGAGTGGAATTGTTGGGTCACAGGACAGGGGTATATTTGACTTTCATAGACATTGACAAATAGTTTTCCAAAGTGGTTATGCTGCTTTATACTCTAACTAGCAGTGGTTGAGTTCCAGTTATGGAACAAAAGAATTAAAAATCAGTAAGTTGTGCTTAGTCTGTCTTCCTTGTGGTAGCAACTACTTATTAATTAATTAATTAATTTATGTATTTATCTATTTATTTATAGATGGGGTCTCACTCTATCACCCAGGCTGGAGTGCAGTGGTTCGGTCACTGCCCTCTGCAGCCTCTAATGCCTGGGCTCAAGCACAGCCTCCCAACTAACTGGGACCATAGGCATGCACCACCATGCCCAGCCAATTTGTTAATTATTTGCAGAGAGGAGATCTCACTATGTTGCCCAGGCTGGTCTCAAACTCCTGAGCTCAAGCAATCCTTCTGCCTCACCCTACCAAAGTGCTAGGATTATAGGCGTGAGCCATTGCACCCGGCCACTACCAAGTATTTATTCATATGTGGTCTAGGTATGACATAGGGTGCAAAGCACTTTGTTATGTTATCTCTTAATCCTCACACTAACTCTATAATGTTGACATTGTTGTCTCCAATTTACAGATGGGAATTGAGACTCAGATATAGCTAGGGAAAGCATGCCCCCATGCCGCACATACACACACACCCCACACACTTTGGGAGCTCATGGGGCTTTAAAATGGGGCGGGCAGAGTCAGCCCCCGTAGGGCTTCAGCAGCAGTGGAAACTGTCACAGAGGAGTGATGACCACACACACCTGCCCAACGCAGCACCCCTGGGCAGATGATGCATATCAATGAGCAGCCTGTGCAGCTTTTGTTTTCATAATTAAATGAACATGGCTGTGTTGTAACTGTTTTCAAAATAAGATCAGGGAGCTGATAACTTTAGTTTTAACGGTTTATATTTAAAAGATAATCAGTGGTCTTTACATCCTGCGACCTCACCAGTCACTGGCCATTCTGAGTCCCTCAAAGGCCAACGCAAAGGTTTTCTGTCTAAGATGTTTAGAAGCTAAGTTTACCTGTGATTGATGCTTCTGTCAGCAGAGCTACCTCATACCAACACTCAGGCAGGCTCTCAACTGCCTACTATTTGCCCAAAGAAAATACTTTTCTTCCTATTCCCTCCTGGGCCTTTGATATACTGTTTTTTTCCTAGTGTGTCTCTTAGACTCTGGGCCTAAGCTTTGTGCATTTTCAGTATCTGGCTCAGTCAGTATCCACTTGCCTCTTCCAGTCTTCCATTGCACCCCTATATGAGCTACTAGCATTTCACCACGCTCCCCTTAGGCACCATCAGGCCACCTGGTTGGTGGTTCTTCGGCATTTTTTTTTAAAGCTTTCCTTCTCTAGAAGATCCCTTTCATGAAGCATGTGTCCTCATCCACAGGCCTACTGCAGTGCTGCCATTCAGATTTACAAAACAAATTTGTATGTGAAAGGCAATCCTTGCGAGGCCTGGAAAATTTTTTAATCAGTTCCTATAACTACTCTTAAGATTCATTCATCAAATGTTCATTGAGTGCTGTCTAGGTGCCAGGCACTGTTCCAGTGCCAAGGATCCAGGGGTAGAAAAGACAGACATGGCTTTTGCTCTGAAGCAGCTGCTAGTTTTAATGGAGGTGGGTTGGGAGCCAAATAATATAGAATAAATAAAGCATTTATAGACTCTGAATGGTGCTATGAAGGAAGTAGAAGGTCACTAGTCAGGGGTAGCAGCTACTCTATTTAATGCAGATGCCACCTCACGTTTAAACTGCTTTCCAAAGGGTGATGGGGCAACTAATGTTGCTTATGGCTGTGAGCAACAGCACCTTGTGTTTGGAGCCCTTCTCCACTTCATGTCCCATCAAACAAACCATATCTTCCTTTTTGTCAATTCCCTCCAATCCCCCCGCCTTATGCCTGGTGTTAATAGGTGTTAACTGGCAAGAAGATTGTGGCAAAAATGATCTTTCATAAATTGGAACTGACTGTCTCAGTGGGGAGCTCTTTCTCTTTCTCTATTGCACCTTGATTTCCCCAGTCATTTGGGGCCTTACTGACTCCAGAGTGTCTGATAAATCATTGGCTTGGTCTCCTTCATCCTACTCCCTACCTGAGCTCAACAAACAACACGAGAGGCAGCGCTGTAGTTGCTTGTCTTCTCCCACTAATTAGTTGTTCAGGAACTTTGGGCTGCCTCCAAACATTTACTCTCTAACCTGAATGTGCCATTTCCTTAGGCTTAGGACTCTTATTCCCCCCCACCCCTTAAAATACCTCCTCAAGTATTCAGCTACAGTAAAAATGTATATGTGGCCATAGCTCAAGTAGAAAAGGCTCTGACATGTGGCTGGCCTTCCAGGGAACCCTCCTGTCTTCAGAAGCTGCATATTTTCAAGTTGCTTTATTATTCTTGACAAAGTGACTGGACCGTGCTAAAGGAACTAGCATGGGGACTGATTCTCAGCTAAGGAGTTTTCTCCCGCTCCTCCTCCTGTCCCCTCCCCCAGTGTCTGGTCAACATCATTGGCAAGGCCTGGCCCAGTCTGGGAAAGACAGGTGAAGGTCCACAGAGATAGGAGACCTGATCAAGACAGGAGGTTAGGACCAGCCCAGGATTTCTCCTGGATAACACTAATATGAGACATATCAAGGGAGAGTTTGGAAAGTAAATATGAGTCTCTCCCAGAAAAACAAAAACAGGACATTAAAAGGAGGGAGCGAACAACAGAAACCTCTGGGAAAACCAGAGAGGGGAAGCTATTAGAAGGGCACTTTGGTGTCCTTTCTAGTGCAAGCCTGGGGAAAAAGGAAGGAATTTAGCAATACAGAGATGTGCACCTACCTACTGGCTGCTACCTCTTGTAGAGATTTGTAAGACTCGGTATTCATGTAAGGGTCTGCAGTCAAACCAGTTCAACTGGAAGGCTCTCAGGGCAGACACTGCCTTATTTTTCTTTATATTCTTCCCTTGACTCCTGAGCCTACTTTAGGGTTATGAACCTAACAGGTACTCACTACCTACGTGTTGATTAACTGAGACAGCCTAGTCATCACTCAGATTAGAAAAGGTTCCCATAGCTTCAACCCCACCCATCCCAGCTCTGCACCACTATCCTGTGATGACTGTTCTGTGGTTGCCCAGTTGCTTTTCTAAAGCAGGTTCTGCTGCCTTCCTAATGTC
Organism: Homo sapiens; assembly: GCF_000001405.40. Taxonomy (NCBI): domain Eukaryota; kingdom Metazoa; phylum Chordata; class Mammalia; order Primates; family Hominidae; genus Homo; species Homo sapiens. The sequence continues at coordinate 103,219,487 of NC_000008.11, forward strand.
TGATCTTCTATCTGAAGTTCAAGTTGAAAAGCAACAACTCCTTTTGGCACTCGATACAAACTCCCAGGGTGAGTAAGTCTAAGTGTAGATGGGGAAGGGGGCTGCGGTCTGCACAGAATGTGCTCCAGGCTTGGAGGAATCTTAAGAGTTTTACCTGCAGCATAGTCTGACCCCTGCGTTCTGAGGCTAGCAGCTGGCCCTTGGTGGAGTTGCTAAGATCAAATATCCCCTGACTGACCTTGCATTAATGCCGTACAAATTCACAAAGCAGCAGCAAATACATTCACAGAATTTGAGAACAATTAGGGTGTGTTATTGTGTATCTTCCTTTCATGAGACCTGTCTGAAAAGAAGTCAAACATCTGGAGTTGCAGCTGCCAAAGCTCTCGTCTTTAATCTTTTGGGAAGGAAGAGAGGATAAAACTAATATTTTGACGTGCCTACAACGTGCCAGACACACTATGACATCATTTTTAACCCTTACAACTCTAAAAGGTAAGCAACATCATTTCCTACCTGGGAAAACAGAGGCTCAGAAACTAGATATCTGGTCAACATGGCCCAAGGAGTCATGATTTGGCTGTGTTCAAATTCAAACCCAGGTCTGTCTCCATCTAAGCCCCAAGTTCTTCCTTCCCATTATCTGAAACTTAATGGCGGAGAATTTAGAGTGAGCTTTGGCAGAGTTGTGAGAGGTGGGATATGAAACCTGGGGCCACCATCTTTAGTTTGACTCATCACCCATATTGACATTGGCCTTGAGTTAATTGCATTTGCCTGAGTGGTTTCAGCTGCCTCATTGGGAAAGCGAATACAATAACATTCCCACCTGTCTCTCAGGGATGGGGCAAGGAATGATTAATCATGGATGTAACTGAAATCTTGTAGGAAAGTTCTGGGACACTGAGGCAGGGCAATGCACACAGTTTCTGTTCCCAGGGATTTTTCTTTTCTTTTCTTTCTGAAGATTTGTCTTCACACATGTGTTCATGGTCAAATTATTTACTGAGTGTCTATTATGCGACAGGCACTAAATTAGAGTCTGGGCAATACTATAAATGAATGAAATAGACTAGGTTCCTACTGTCTTGAAGTTTACAATATGAGGAGGAAGCAAAAAAGAAGTTAAAAAATAAATGCATAATTTAAACTGTGGTTAAAGGCCAGGAAGGAAGTAAAGAACATAGGGAGAGAGAATAACAGAGCCCTATGCTTCTATATGCCTAGAAAATCCCTGCAACATTCCATAAGAAAATATTAGCCATAATTATCTCTGGGGAAGGCACTAGAAGCCCTTCTCTACTCTTTGAATTTCTTTTTGCCATAATTATGTCTTCCTTTTATAATTAAAAATACTACTTATACAGAAAAATTGGTGTCTCACACATCATAATCTCAGAAGCCATGTTTTTCTTTGTTGTCTGCAAAGAACTATGAAAAGGTTTGTATAATCCCATGTTAGGTACAGATATATTTGTGGAGTTCAAGCAAAGCTGAGAACATCTCTATTTCCATTTGGGGGGAAAGTGAGAAAAGGCTGAACAAAGGTATCTGCAGTCTTGAATCCAGGTCTCCAGGAGCAGCCAAGCTGTCCCAACCTCCACAGGAAATGGGCTGATTATTGACATCTGAACCCCAAGATAAACAAGTCCATCTGGGTCAGAGACTGCCAAGAGGTTATCACGGTCAATCTGGTTACCCTTGAGAAATGGCAGGCTACTTTTAATTAAAGAGGCAGTATCAAGAAGACTAAAATCTATGATTCATGGGGTACTAAAGCTGCAGAAATTAAAATGAGGTAAGGAAAGAGTTGAAAAGCTGTAAAACTAGGTGAGAAGCCAGAGGTGGCCCATTAACAAGAGTCAATGGTGATAAAACTCACAAAACAAGAATGTTAGAAGTAGAGGAAGGATTGGCACAGCTGCATGAGAAAAAGGTGCTAATTAGGCTCCTCTCATTATGGAATTGGGGGCCATACTTTTTTTTTTTTAAGCCAGTAATTGCAATAGAAACACATTTTCTTTTCCTGTCATTAAAAAGGTATGGGGGGTGATGTTAAAAAAGGTTTGGCTGGCTGGAAACTACATCAGAGGGGAAAATACGTTGTATAAAGCATCACAGGCACTGAGGGACAAAATGGTGTGATTGTTTCTTGTGTTTATATTGCTCTTCTCAGCGGAGGGCAAAACAACTCACTTCTCCAAACTTCTAGATAAAATATCTGGCATTGTGATTCTTTTTCTCATCTTCTTTCTCTCTCTTGCTTGGGCTTGAAATCTAAGGTTTTTGAGATGTAACTAGATTGTGTTGATGAAAAGAGTCAAACTCTACAATATTTGAAGAGATTTATTCTGAACCAAATATGAGTGACCATGGCCCATGACACAGCCCTCAGGAGATCCTGAGAGTATGTGCCCAAGGTGGTTGGGGCACAGCTTGGTTTTATATATTTTAGGGAGGCATGAGACATCAGTCAAATACATTTAAGAAACACATTGGTTTGGTTTAAAAAGGCAGGACAACTCAAAGCAAAGTGGGCAGGTGGCGGGTGGGGGGCTTCCAGGCTATAGGTAAATTTAAACATTTTCTGGTTGAGTTTGTCTAAAGACCTGGGATCTGCAGAAAGGAATGTTCAGGTTAAGAAAAAGGATTGTGGAGACCAAGTTTTATTGTGTAGAGGAAGCTCTTAGATGGCAGACTATAGAGAGAGCAGGTTGTAAATTTTTTACAGACTTATAGGGGTGGCTGGCTCTTAGTTGATTATCTCCTGGATCTGGGAAGGAAGGAAGGAAAACAGAGGAAAAAGGATTCTCTATAGAATGTGGATTTTTCCCACAAGAGACTCTGTGGGGCAATTTCAAGATATGTCAAGAAAATATATTTTGGGGTAAAACATTTTGATTTTCTTCCTTGTTATGCCAGAGTCAGACTGGAAAGTAAAACACAATATACAGGGTCAAACAAAACCTATCTGATGAGAATTTATGGTTTGTAGGTTATGACTCCCCAGGCCCCTTAGATAGGAATTTGGGCAAGATAAAAAAATCAGAGTTTAGTCCTCAATTGCAACGACTACCAACCTCTTAAACATCCTCACGACTGCTTTTGGTTGGGTACTTTTCCGGCAATGTCTCAAATTCAAAAGCTTCTCTTTCATAAAACATTTCTGAGAAAATGCATTGTTGTTCTAATTATTTAATTTGCTAACTTAAATACAGTGTCATTATTTGAAAGTGGATTTGTTTACGGCTTGGAACTTTTTGAGCCCATATCATGGGAGTTACAGAACTTTAGTTTGTCCTTTATCTGGAAGCACAACTTTTAGAGTTATTGTTGTTGCCATTTAGAAGTAGTAGTAGCAGTAGTCATCGTTTCAGTATAATGAGGCTTTATATTTTAATTTGCTGTTTGACTGACATCATCTTTTTACAAATAAAATTAATGTTAATAGCTATAATTGAGGTGACTAACCGTCCTGGTTTGCTGGGGCCTGAGTAGGTTTCTGGGATGTGGGACTTTTAGTTTTAAAACTTTTTGGCGGGCCGGGCGTGGTGGCTGGCTCACGCCTGTAATTCCAGCACTTTGGGAGGCTGATGCGGGTGGACCACAAGGTCAGGAGTTCGAGACCAGCCTGGCCAACATGATGAAATCCCGTCTCTACTAAAAATACAAAAATTAGCTAGGTGTGGTGCACGCCTGTAGTCCCAGCTACTCGGGAGGCTGAGGCAGGAGAATCTCTTGAACCTGGGAGGCAGAGGTTGCAGTGAGCAAAGATTGAGCCACTGCACTCCAGCCTTGTGACAGAGAGAGACTGTCTCAAAACAAAACAAAACAAACAAACAAAACTTATCGGCCCTGGATAAACCAGGATAAACTAGGAGAAGTTGGTAACCCTCTCAATGTTATGTGACATACTTAATTCTCTCAAAGAAAAGTAAAGAGCAGGCATTATTTCCTTCATTTTTCAGATAATAGAACTGAGTCAAATGTCAAAGCAACATGTCTTGCTGCAGCTAACTGGTAGCAAAGGCTTGCTCCATGTCCAGATCTATCTGGCCCCAAAGTTTGTGCTCTGAATATTTCTATTGTGCAGGCTTATGATATACAGATTTAAGAAATGACCCTATTGTAATTGGGATTACAATTATATATATATATCTGTGGCTGTTATAGGAATGACTACTTTGTAGCCTCTTAAATAGGCTTGGAAATCCAACTACTGGATTTTTTGCTTAGATTTTTAAGCTTAGAAGTACAGACTGAAATAAAGAGCTTTGTATCATCTGTGTATCATCTTTAATAAACTTTTGTGAAATCTTACCAACAGTCTTTTCTAAAGAAAAGCACTTCTGCAGTTTGGAACATTTCCATTTCCATTCTGGAAAGCCCTCTTACCTCCCACCAATTTGAGGGGAATGCTACAGTCAATTTAGCTCACTTTAAAGAAGGCCTCTGCATTCTATTCCATGCCCCAGTCCTCAAAGCTATTTAGTGACACCCGGAATGGAAGTCAGATGGAATTGGTCTCATAATTACCACGGTTTTCTTTAGGAAACAGAATCACTGCCTTCTTTTCCTTCACAACGCTTTGTGCGTGTGTGCATATGTGCATGTGCTTCTGCGTGCGTCTGTGTGTGTGTGTGTGTGTGTGTTTAGCAGGCATGGGGCAGTCCAATGTGAACTCAGAAAATGAAGTAACTACTGTTGATGAAAAGAGTCAAACTCTGTAAAATATTTGAAGAGATTTATTCTGAGCCAAATATGAGTGACCATGGCCCGTGACACACCCTCAGGAGGTCCCGAGAACATGTGCCCAAGGTGAGCGGGGCACAGCGCTTGGTTTTATATATTTTAGGGAGGCATGAGACATCAATCAAATACATTTAAGAAATACATTGGTTTGGCTCAGAAAGGCAGGACAACTCAAAGCAGAGTGGGCGGGTGGGGGGGCAGGGGCTTCCAGGCTATAGGTAAATTTAAATATTTTCTGGTAGACAATTGGTTGCGTTTATCTGAAGACCTAGGATCAATAGAAAATAAATGTTCAGGTTAAGGTAAAGGATTGTGGAGACCAAGTTTTGTTGTGCAGAGGAAGCTCTCAGCCGACTTCAGGGAGAGCAGGTTGTAAAATGTTTCTTATCTGACCTAAAAGGGCACCTAGCTCTTAGTTGACTATCACCTGGATCTGGAAAGGAAGGAAGGAAAAAAAAGGAAGGGGAAAGGGGATTCTCTATAGAATGTGGATTTTTCCCACAAGGGGTGGCTTTGCAGGGCCATTTCAAAATATGGCAGAAAAATGTTTTGGGGTAAAATATTTTTATTTTCTTCCTTGTTATGCCAGAGTCAGATTGCAAAGTAAGTCACGATATACAGGGTTAAATAAAACCCATCTGATGAGAATTTATGGTTTGTAGGGCATGACTCCCCAGACCCCTTAGATAGGAGTTGGGCAAGATTAAAAAAAATCAGAGCTTAGTCCTCACTACTCTTAGAAAGAATGCTTTAAAGGACAGGAGGAGTTAAAGACAAATAACAAGAGATGCTTAGTTTCAAGGTCGTGTGATTTTATCAGTTCTCTGCTTTTGGGGAAAAATAAGCCCATAAAAGTCTTTGCTAGCCCTAGTGCCAGTTCAGGCTCAGAAAACCTGAGTGTAAGACTGAGCCCTAAATAGTATTGCCTACTGGTTGTTAAAGCAAGGGTACACTGACAAGTGTGGTGCATTCATTCATTCATTCATTCACTTATTCAAACAAAGTTAAACTGAGAGCTTATGATGTCTCAGAACTGTGCTAGGCACTGGGAACACACAGAGGAAAGCAATGACATCCTATCTCATGAAATAAATAGATAAGACTAAAATTATGTAGAGTCAAAATTATCCTTAAATGTTCCTCAAATCACCCATAAAGTATGATCTTTGGTTAGGTTCCCTAAACGCAGAACCTGAGATAAGGATGTAAGTAATTGAAAGGATGCAAGTAATTCTCATGCAAGTAATTGAAAAAGTACACTCAGGTGAAACCTGCATGGTAATGGAGGAAGCAGGGCAGGGCAGGGGATCAGATTCAGCAAATGTGTGAGTTCAGTCAGCGGAACAGCTGTAGTCTAGCCTCAGCCAGATCCCACAAGGAGACCTGGGGCAAGCAAAGCACCATGGATTTGTACCCCCAAGAGGCTAAGGGGCAGCCTTTTTTATCCTAACAATCAGGCATGGGATATGGGCCTATCCAGGATATGGGCCTCTTTGGCATTCCTGGAGGAGGTGGCTCCAATCAGATGAGGGCAATTCTCAAAAGAAGGGTGTGCTGTGAGCAGTTAGCAGCCAACAGTCACAGCAGCTGGGAGGGATGCTCTGGCAGAGTAAAGGGGATCTAGAGAGGGGTGTCGCCATCAGCTACACAAGGACACAGGATTTATGTGACATATTAGAAACATACATATCGTTTGCTAATAAATACAACAGAACAATGGATTTTTCTCCATCAGTGCAATAGTTCACCATTTATTTGGATGCACTACAGAGGAAGTAGTTTGTGTTCAGGGGCCATGTTGTTTGAAAAATGTGCATCTCTCAACACCCAGCACAAGGAGGTGCTCATGCCTGGAGGGGTGTTCCCACAGGATCTGAGGCAGACTATGTTCCCAGGAGGCAGACCAAGATGTCATTATACAGGATGTTAGGAAGTGCCCTTGAGGCCAACGCCTGTGGAAAGGGATGATGGAAGCAGGAGTGGGTTAAGGGAGAAGTCCAGCCACAATGCAAGCTGACAACAGCTTCAGCGACCCCTGCTCCATGCAGCTAAATGGCTTGTGGGAGCTGACCTGTTTAGGGCCCAAATGGTCAGACCTTTATGCCCTTCCATTTACCTGCACATTGGCCCATCTTGGGAAGGGCACAAACTTGAGTGAGGTGGCTCTCTGCAGCTGATGCTGTCCCCAGCTGGAGGCTACTTGCTGACTGTTCTCCCTGCAGCGAGGCAGCAGGTCATTTCTGGAATGGGGCTGGGCAGCAAATAACTGTGTCCATCCACTAGTGGAGGTGACTCACAAGCCCACTCGTGTTCACCCCCAGCACACAATCACAAGAATAGGCACAACACTGCCCCTCACCAATGCTGTTTTCTCTTTTAGGGGATGGAGAGTCAGGGACTGGACACATATACTTAAAGAACCTACAATTTAATTAATGCTTTAATGTTTAATATTAATTCAGAACTTTTGTCATTGGTTTATCCTTAGTTAGAAGTAGATAGTCTATCCTACTTTTTAAGCTTATTTTTTTCCCATTTTCATTTAGTGACAGTCATTGTACTAAGTACCTTACATGCATTACCTTATTTAATCCATATAAAAACCTTATGAGAGAGATAATATTATTATTCCCCATTTTACAGATAAGGGTTAGAGAGTTGGAAAAACTTGCCCATAGTGAAATCATATAGCCAGTATTTGAACCAAAGTCTCTCTGACTCCAAAGCTCAAACACTTAACCACTCTACTAAAGCCAACTATGAAAACTTTCACATTACCCTTTGATGGACCATAGCTCATTCACTCAACAGTGTTTTAATAAACATGCCCTATTCCAGGCTCTGTGCTGTGTTGGTATTAAAGATTCAACAAAGAAACCTCTGATAGGAAGCATATGTGCATGCGTTCTTGTGGGTCATTCTTCCTGACTGTGTGTGTGCGTGTATGTGTGTGTGTGTATTTGTGATAATCTCAAGAGATTAATGCAAATTGTGAGGACCTTCGTATATTTCTGTGAAAGGAAAATAAAAATCTCAGGACCCCAAACTCACTATGGAAAGGGAAAGTTAAGCTTAGGAGCTAAGCCACCCAAAACTGCCTTCCATTTTGTTCCTAAACAGATAACTGCAAAGATAGAAGGCCACATACCTTCCAGGGGGACTCCCTCACAATTTCTTACAAAGAAATTCCTTGTGGGCCCTAAGATCTTTACCCTAAAACAGAGTTCTGTTGGATTTCACCCCATGTAAATTAACAGCTTATCTTCACAGGTATGGGACAAAGACAGGACTAGGAGTCATCCCTCTGCTCACTTGAGACAAATGCATATTTTACTCATTAACTATTCTATGTTTCTTTTATCTTATGTAAAAAATGCAAGTTCATTGAGCATGAGACAAATGCATATTTGACTGTTCCTCTATCCCCTCCTTTCACACATAAAATGTGGATTCAGTGAATGCTCATCAAAGCCTCAAAAGAATGTAACTGTTTGCCCCTATTCTCTACCCTCCCTTTTCCTTTCCTCTTTCCCTTACTGCCCACTCTTTCCCCCTTAAATAGTGAAGTCCTCAAACCCTCTTTGGGAATTTTTGCACAGATCACAAATGTTCCTGTGATTTATGTTCCTTTTTCCCAGGCACATTCTCAACTATGGCACAATAAACCTCTAAATTGATTGAGACTTGCCTCGGTCATTTTCTTTGGTTTACATTTCCTAGTAACTCAATTCACTGTTTTCAACTTAACAGGCTAAAAGAGATGCTAAGAGAATGCCTGCAAAAGAAGTCACCATTAATGTAACAGATAGCATCCAACAGATGGACAGAAGTCGAAGAATCACAAAGAACTGTGTCAACTAGCAGAGAGTCCAAGCAGAAGGGCAGATGGACTTCTTCAGTGTCCTTCACGGCACTGGATCCCATCAAAGAACCTTGAAGAAGTGGCTGCCCCTTGCTGGACCTGAATTCTACTGAGTCCCTGGCAAGACTGTCTTACCTGGCAGCAAACTGCTGCCTGATTTGTTGGGACCTTCTGAGCCTTCTACTTATCATGTAAATGTATTGGCACAGTGCTTACATATGTTAATAAACTGCAAATGTGCAGTTCAGTTTGTCTCTTTGCAACTCCTGTAATACGGTCTGGTGTAAAAGTAGTGAGTTAAAGCTACAGGTCAGTTTATGAAACAGAAAAGTAGGAATGCATTTTCTGGGTGAAAGAGTCACACCTTAGTGCTATAACTCTCCTGCCCATGATAGTGTATTCTGTTTCAGGCAAGCTTATTCTTTCCTTCTTTCATTTTAAATATTGTCATTACAAATCTTACCAGGTTCACTTAAAAGCTGGCTTTCATCCAACTCTAAACCCACATATTGAAAAAATCAAGGTACAGGAAAACTCCTTGTTATCCTTGTTTCCTTAGCTTGGTATGAGACAGATCGGATCCAGTTTCCCATGCACCAACCCACTGCCCATGGCATGTCTTTGGGAGGTGTCTGTGAAGCAGTCATACCTGCTCCTCATCTGCCTGGAAAGTCCTCCTATTCCAGTGTCCATGTTGGCCTCCAGTCCTTAATGTCACCATGCTTGTGGCCAATGCATCCAAATAAGGATACCCCTCAGGGCTCAGCTAGACATTGCAATTTTGCATAGCTTTCCAGTTCCCTTTGCTTGTCTTCTTGACTGTCTTCCCTCTCTATCGGGGTCACTTGCAATTGTTAATCAAAGATTGAACACTGCGTAGGAGAGGGAGATGATCCAGAGACATGTGGCAGCAGGCATGGCTTCCCCTTGGCCTCTCTGTACACTGCCCCAGGACTGTCATTTTGGCATCTGCAAAGGAATCACTTTAGAAAGCCAGCACCTGGTTGATGTGTATTCATACTGACATTAGATTGATGTGCACTGCATTAGAAATGAGGTAGCTGACACAGAAAAAGGATGTTTTGATAGGAATAATTTTCTAGTATGTCTTGAAACATGTTCATCTGGAAGTATTTTCCTCCAAAGTAATGTAGCATGATTTTTCAAGGATTGTTAACATGCCTGGGATTGGGAAAGATAGGACTAAAGTTGTGCCAAACTATATCAATAAATTCCATGTTTAGCAGAAATAGGCAGCCTATTGGTGTTATGTTTATGTAACATAGTCCAGAGAACTGACATGCAGGTCAAAAGTCAGATACGCAACCTCCTTATCTGCTAACTCTGTTATTCTTCAAACACAAGTGGGTAGTGTCATTTTTCCTTCCTTCCTTCCATTGGCAGATTGTATATTTATTCACAAAACATTAAATGTCCATCCTGTGCCAGGTACTATGCAGATGTTGAGGGATTTGGGGTCTGGTTAGTCGTGACTATCTATCCTGAATCTAACAGTGACTTCATAACTAGGAGACTGAATTAGACCCTTAAGGTATAGTGTGTGTTGCAAATCACTCTGCAATGGAAACTTTTATATTCAGGGTAGGTTTGTGTCTTAAACTAGGTGTTCTAATCAATGTACAAGACTTTACCATACACGCAACTATAGTTTTTCTAAACCTTCATCATTTTGTGATTCTTTGAGAAAGGGCTTTTAGGAACTTTATGTTCTAAAAAATGTTTTTAACAATAATAAGATAAAAGAAAAACCTGTGATTCATATGTCCCCACTGGCATTACTCAGCAGGAGCCCCCAGCTGCCAAAGGTTGGCAGTGATCCTGCAAGTTCAAGGGCTCTTTCTCCCTGGGGATGTGCTTTGTGGCTTCTCTTTACAGCTTTGTTTCTGCATCAGTTCACTGCTGCATGTTGTTTGGAATTTATCACCTTAAGAAAGTGTCTCTGTTTTATATAGAAACACTTTCTCACTTACAGGGGAGAAGGAAATGCAGGGCACATGATCTGGCCCTCCCCAGAACAATCTGGATTTCACGGAGACAGCAACCAGAAGTTAAACCATGTGACTAAAAATGCATCTGGCTACTTTTTCATGTATGTATGAGACAGAAACTAATCCTTACTATCCTATTAGGATACCACTTTTCATTGCAAAGTTTGTGTCAATAAAGTCATTAATTTTAAACATATATGGGCAGTTACAGAGAATCTTTACTGAAACCTTAAATTTGTATGCAGAACTATTTAGACTAGTTTTTAAAAATGAAGACCTTTTACATAAGTGAACCCTGTGAATCCTCCAAAAAGCCTTGTGAAGTAGGTAAGAAGAATGCTATTAGCACCAATTTACACTTATGGAAATATTTATAGTCCAGTCAACTAGTAACTTTTGGTGCAGAAATTCAAGTGGGGGAAGCCTGTCTGCAAATTTAGTTCTTTTCCTGCCACCACATGGTGCCACCATGGCAAGAAGGTCTGGTGTAACTGAGAGATGAGGCCATTTAGAGGGGAATTGTCATGGAGCCTCAGGCTGGGCTGAGTCCAAGTCTAAAAGGATAATTTGGGTGATTGGAGGGGGCTAGAGAGAGAGGATTGAAGAGGGCTGGTAGTGAAGACAGTGATTGGAAAGGGCCAGTGAGTTCTCAGGGAATTTGGTTCTGGTTCAGGCTCACTTATCCCTCCAGAGAGAGTGACCTTGACCTGGTGTGAGAGGTCAGAACACTGAGAGGGACTTTATAATTCAGAGAAAATAGAAATTGCACCCCTTGGGATATCTGCTTAGACCTAAAGGTAAGGGAAGCCAGGGACCTCCCACGTTGCTGCCAATGTCCTGAGCACAGCTTGGATGTACAGGTAAGAGACAGTAGCCCCTCACCCTTTATTCATGGCCCACTTTCACAGTGCTTTCCACAACCCACCCCCACCTCCCAGGGTACCTGAACACACCCCCGTTTGCACTGCCTGTCTGAGTCCTGCTAACCTGCATCTGTTTTTGATCCTCACCAGCCAGACTTGCGGGCTGCCCCATGTGACACTGAAGTGCATCCCATTCACATTTACTGCTCTAAGCACGGTTCACAACACTGGAAGCTCCTCTGCTGAAATCAGGTGACAGAGCTGCTGTGTTTAGCCGTCATGGTGTCAAAACTTACTTAGGAATTTCACATAAATAGCCAGCTCTGGCATAGACTCCTACTTTAGAACTCCAGTATCCATCCTTCTCTTCTTTCTTAGTTGAGCACATGTCCACTTAGAACAAACATTACACTTTCCAGCCTCCCTTGCAGCTAGAAGTTGCAGCATGATTAAGTTCTAGATAATGAAATGAAATAAAAGTGAGGCATAGAAGCTTCCAGGAAGTCAGGCTCTTTCTTTCCCCTTTTGCTTCCTGGTGTGCAGAATGAGGAGGTAATGGCTGGAGTTACCTCAGTCCATTGGGCCATAAAGCAACTTCGAGAATGAAAGCCATGCCAAGATGAGCAACAAGTTAGAAGAAGCATGGGTCCCTAATTCCATAGAGTTTCATGAGTCTTGGACTATATACCACAAACCTCTTTTTGTGGGAAAGAAATATACTTTACTTCATTTAAGTTGCTGTTTCAAATGATTACTCACAGCCAAAACTGATTCTTTTTCTTTTCAAGTCTGAGAAATTGAACAAAACTAATTCTAATTTGTATGCATATACTTCCATCTTTCAAAAAATTGGAAGATCGCTCACCCTTGGGGCCTTGGCTGCTTGGCCACATCTGGCTGGAGCTGATGAGTCTGCATTAGCTGGAGCTGGGAGGGTCTCCAGATTGTGATGGTCGCTACCACTCATTGTGGCTTACACATGGTAACCTCCCCATTTCTGTTACCTGCCAGAACCCAGAGACATTTGAGCTTGTAACTCCTGCTCCACTGTATGTTCCCAAACATGTTGTTTTTACACTCTTTTCAGGAGTCATTGAGATATACAAGGTCCTTTTCTCCTGTTTCACCAGTCTGGGAAGTGGCCAATCTCAGGAGAATTTTCTGAGCAAATTATGAATATTACCTAATATTTAAAATCATGCATTCACTTGCTCATTTATTTAATCCAAATGTATTTACTGAGACTCTTCAATGTGCCAGAAGTTGGGATGTGGTGAGAGATACAACATATCTGGTCCCTACCCTCACGGAGATGGCAAAATAGTAGAGGAAACAGAAAATAACGACATAAAGAAATAAGTCATTACAGTAACTTAAGATGGGGATAAATGCTGAAAAGAATGTTAATAGGAGAATGAGCTGGACGGAAGCAGGAAGGGAGCAGGAGACCATTTAGGAGGCTACAGCTATAGTCCTGGGAAGAGATGTCAGTGCAAGGAATAGGGTAATGGTTGCAAAGACGGATGAAAATAGGTGGATGCTGAGAACATTTTGGAAATGGAAACATTGGGACTTGCTGATGGACTGGGTGTAGAAAGTGAAGTCAAGGGAGAAATCAGGGTGATTCCTAAGTTTTTTGGTTTGAGCAACAGGGTTTTTGGCAAGATAGGGGAAAACAGGGTGGGAAAAGTTTTTTTTGGGGAGGCAGTGAAAATCAAAAAGAACCATTTTGGACCCATTAAGTATGAAATAACCAAGGGGAGGTGTCCAGTAGGGAATTGGATGTACGAGTCTAAAGTTCAAGGAATTGGTCAAGGGTAGAGCTGTGCATTTGGGGGTCATCAACACATGGAAGATATTTAATGGCACAGGAGTTAGTTCACCTGATGAGAAGCTACTGAGGAAAGTCTAGGGCTGTGCCGGGAGACACCCCAACATTCAGGGAGTTGGTGGTGGAGGAAGAGTCAGCAGAGGGTACTGAGAAGTGCTGAGGCAGTTAGGAAGAAAACAGGGAGCTCACTTACTGAAGCCAACACTAAAAAAAAATGTTTCATGAAGGGAGAAATGGTCAGTCACGGTGAATGCTGCCAAAAGGTTAAATCACGTGAGAACAGAGATGTGACTCCAACTAGCACCATGAAGGTGACTGGTGATCTTAACAAGAACAATTCCAGCAGAGAGGTGGTCATAGAGCCAGACTACAGAGGATGATGACGGGAGGGGTGGTGAGGAAGTGGAGGGAATGAAAAAAACTGTCTTTTGAGAAATGTTGCTATGAAACAAAGCAAAAAGAGGCCAGCAATTGGAGAAAGAGACGGGTCAAGAAGAAGTTGTAAAACGTGGGACATACTAGAGTATGTTTCTCAACAATTGCAAGGATTCCTTAGGGTGAGGTTGAAGCTGGAAGGGTAGGGGCATTATCCACGGAGTAAAAAAGTCCTTGAGGAAGTGAGAAGAGAACAGATCCAGGGCGCAGGTAACCACATTGAAATTTAAAACCTCTGTATGATAAACATTCACATAAAGATGAATAATAGTCTATTAGAAGATATCTACAGCCCATGTATCAAAGAGTTAGTATAGTGATATACATTAAGAAAAATGAGAATTTCATAAGCAAAAGACAAATGACCAAGAGAAAATAACATGAACAGGCAGGAGGAAAGTTGAATGGCCAAGAAAAATACAAAAAATCCTCAGTGTCATCAGTAATTAGGCAAATTTGGGTTAAAAAAAGAGATGCCACTTTTTAACCTATCTGATTAGCAAAGTTTTTAAAATGTGATAATATCAGTGTTGGGAAGGGTGTGGGAAAGAAGTAATGTCAGACACTGCTGGTTGAAATAGAATTAGTGATACTATGTTGGATGGTGTAGGGCAGACAAAGCTTTACCTCTACCTTCATAGGAACCCCAGCAGGGCCTGAGAATTAGATTGACACAAAACAGACTAGCAGGAGAGGAACATACAGATTTACTTAATTTTAAGTTTTATGTGAGTTGAGAGACTTTATAAAGAAACGACGGCCCAAAGAAGTTGCAAAATCTCAATGCTTTCCTACTATGTTGGACAAAGTGAGGCAATTGTGAAAAAGTAATTAAAATATACAGGAAAGCTAAAGAAAGATAAGAGTTGTTTTAACAAAATTCGGTTGTTTACAGAGAATTGTCTCTGTCTCTGGTGATAAAGATATTTCTTTCCTCCTGGTACAGAGAGGGCATCTTTTACATGGGAGTTTTATATGCTTTCAGGAAAAAAAGGGAAGTCAGAAAGTTCTGCTTGAAGAACTGAGCACGTTGGCTCATACCTGTAATCCCAGTACTTTGGGAGGCTGAGGCAGGAGGATCACTTGATGCCAGGAATTTAAGACCAGCTTGGGCAACATAGCAAGACACCATCTCTACAAAAAAAAAAAAAAGAAAGAAAGAAAGAAAGAAAATTAGCCAGGCATGGTGGTATGCACCTGTAGTCCCAGCTACTTGAGAGGCTGAGGCAGGTGTATCACTTGAGCCCAGGAGATCAAGGCTGCAGTGAGCCAAGGTCGTGCCACTGCCCTCCAGCCTGGGTGACAGAGTGAGACTTTGTCTCAAAAAAAAAAAAAGTTCTGTTCGCACCCACTTTTTAAAAGTGCTTTTAGCTCAAAATAACCCTTATGCCAAAATGGCATATTCTGGAAAAGCATATTCTGCCACTCTTCAATGTCAACTTAGCCAACTTATTCAAATTTAAAATGTGTATATTCTTTGGCCAAACAATTCCATTTTTAAATATATACCTGTCAAGGACTGAACTGTGTCCCCGCCAAATTCAAATTCATATGTTGAAGTCCTAACCCCCAATACCTGAGAATGTGACTGACTGTATTTGTAAATAGTGTCTTTCAAGAGGTAAGTAAGGTAAAATAAGGTCATTTGGATGGGTCATAATTCAATATGACCAGTGTTCTTATAAGATTAGAAGATTAGGACAGGCACACACAGAGGGAAGACCATATGAAGACAAAAGAGAAAATGATCACCTACAAACCGAGGAGAGAGGCCTCAGAAGAAACCAACCTTGCCTCAGACTTCTAGCCTCTAGGACTATGAGAAAATAAATTTTTGTTTTTCAAGCCCACCGGCCTGCAATATTTTGTTATGGCAATCCTAGCAATCTAATACAATACCCTAGAAAAATATCTGCACGTTTTTATGAGGCAGATATTTGTGGGACAGGACTCAGACTTGTAGAACTTGATTCAAAGGAATCAGAATGGCAGAGGACAAAAGAGCACAGGACTACAGCAGACACCACTGGCTCTACCTTCCCTTCAACCCCTTTACTGCACCCATGCTGACTTCTAACTGAGGCACCCGCTGTCTGTGGCCTGAAGTCTTTATCTCACCACTCCCATGGCAGGAGTTGCCAGGGCATTGGCGCTATTGATGCTTATTCATTCCTATCCTCATCCCAGCACCTGTCAATCAGTCAATGACTGATGAGAGCTCCTTCAACCTTGGGTGGGGTAATGCTGAGATACGTATTTTACGCAAGCTCCTAGAGTTTTCCCAGGTGTATTAAGTTCCAGTTACCCAGCAGGTAGCTGGTTTAATAATGCATTCCTTTACTGGATGCTTCCTTGATCAATCTCCAGGGTAGAGTCATTGTTGTAGTTGCAGGCTTCTATATAAACAGCATCATCTCTCTTGTCTTTCTTTTTTATTATCATAGTCAAACATCATCTTTTCCACAACTTGGTTTCCACCAGTAGATAGTCCTCCACTTCCTCCCTAGCATGAGATATACATCCCACTGCCACTGGTCTATAAATGTTCTGTTTATGTATATTGTACCACAATAAAAGATGTTAAGACCAATAAATAAGTAAATAAGTGTTCTGTTTTGCTACAGAGGGAATCTCTGATTTATCCCAGATATAAGAAGTTACTTGGAAAGGAGCCCCAAGAGATATCTTAACAGAAGTCACAAACTACATGCTTTCAGGGGACAGGCAGGTGATATAAAGGGATGCTGTAGGGCATTGTGAGTAGTAGGAGCTGGGATGAGAAGGAAAATGCATACACACTTAAGAGCACCACACAGTGAGCCTGTCACTCTCCCTGATGAAGAAAGATATTTGCAATAGCTGACTCAACTAAAAATTGTTAAGATGGCACTTCAGGAAATGTGGTGCCCAGTACAGATTTACTGACTAATTGAGATTTCATAATCAGTAGTTGCTTGGGATGCCAGAAACGTCTTCCACTGTCAGTGAGCCCTCTGCTCCATAGCTCCACTTCATCACTTTGCATTTCCTTCTCAGGCCTCTACCATCTCACTTCTGATTCCACTACTCCAACTGAAACTACACTCTAGGGTCACGAATACTCTAATTGCCAAAGTCAATGACACCATCTAAGTCCTCATCCTGCTGGACCTCTCTGCATCTGTTAAAATAAATTTTCATTTTTAAAGCCCACTGTTCTGTGGTATTTTCTTAGGGCAGCCCTAGGATGGGTTTCCTCAAAGTTTTGTCAACTTTTGCATTTGGAAATGCTACCCTGCTTTTGGTCACCCCCGTCTTTCTGATTCTACTCTTTGTCAGTCTCCTTTGCTGATTCCTCTTCCTCTGCCTGTCCCTTAATTTCTGGTATTCCTCAAGGTTCCCTTTTCAACCTTTCCTCTTCAGACTCTACCCAGTTTTCCTTAACAAGTTCATCTGATCCCATGGCCTCAACAATTTAGATGCTATTTCCACTCTATCCCAAGCTCCTATGCCATATTTCCAAATGACCATTGCACACCTCCCCTTGGATGGCCTGTGTGGCAGGGATTTTGTACCTATTCCCTAAAGCCCATTCTCTTCCTTCCTAGGAACCCAGCTTGGCTATATTTCCCAAGTTCCCTTGCAGTGAGCTCCCAAATTATTTCAGCAATATTTGATTCTTCTTAAATTACTTCAAAATGTCTCACAATTTGAATTGTTATGGTCTCTCATGGGAGACCATAAAAACCAGCAGCAGAAAAAATTTATGCTTAATTCTCTTGGGAATGTGCATGTGATGTGATTAGACAATGGCTCACCCAGGTTTTTGTTTTGTTTTGTTTTGTTTTGTTTTTTTAGCTCAGCATAGAGCTAAGGCTAGGAGTACTTAAGCCAGAGGGAGCTTTGCAATTTCAGTTTCTTAGATGGGTGTTCTCCAGGTAGAGCTCCACCTTAAAAGGAAAAGGGGTAAATGATAGTGCCCTTTCTGAGCCAAATAGACTTTTTCATAACATTGTCATGTGCTTGGAAGATAGCTGAAAATTTGTTTGCCTTTTAAATTTGATTCCATTATCCAGAGACTCCCTCCCTCTGTTCTAATAAATACATCAGCTATGGGATGGCCTGTGAAGCAAGGTATGGCAGCCAGCCTTCACAGGCTTCAGGTACAGAAGACCAATCCTAACTGGATGTTTCATGGCTCTGTGCCTTGGGGCAAATTGTGGAGTCTCTCAGGGCTTACCTCCATCAATGAAAATAATACCATATTTTTGAGGGTGTATTGTGAAGATAAAGGGAGATAACAAATGTGGATAACATGGTGTCTGCCACCTGATCATAATTATCGCCATGCGTCGATACTATACTAGATGCTTCGCACACTATCTCATCAATCATACAGTCCTGCCAGGTAAGGCTTCTCAGCTCCCACTTTACAGATGAGGAAATGGAGACTTAAAGGCCCAAGGCCGACCAGGCATGGTGGCTCACGCCTGTAATCCCAGCACTTTGGGAGGCCCAGGAGGGCAGATCACCTGATGTCAGGAGTTCAAGACCAGCCTGGACAACATGGTGAAACCCCTGTCTTTACTAAAAATACAAAAATTAGCCAGGCGTGGTGGCACATGCCTGTAATCTCAGCTACTCGGGAGGCTGAGGCACAAGAATCGCTTGAACCCGGGAGTCGGAAGTTGTGGTGAGCTGAGATGGCGCAACTGCTCATCAGCCTGGGCAACAGAGTGAGACTCTGTCTTAAAAAATAAAAACAAACAAAACCAAAACAAACACAGCTAGTAAATTGCAGAGTTGGGATTTGAACCCATGTCTGCCTGTCTATGAAAACCCATGTTCTGTCTGTTAAACCATGAGTAAGTGCTCCATAAATATTCATTTCCTTTTTGTCACTGTGCAAGTAACTTCACAGCCCTTTGTATAGCATCACATCTTGGCACTTCCAAGTTGTCAGTGCCTCTCTAGGATCAATTATAGCACCCTAGACACAATTATGCAAAATTTCAGCTTTGTTTCTTTTTTTTCTTAACAGTAATAAAGCAGTAGCAGTCTTTCCAGTTGTGCCACAATATTAAAATTCATTTGAAGATAATACTAATAAATTTGTTTTTTTTTCTAAAACATATTACAAATCTAAGCATTATCTAGGTACCATAGTAATCACTTTTTCCTCTTCCTTCTTGAATAGGAAAGTGAAGGCCTGAGCTAGCTGAGTCCCCAAAGAGAAAGGAAATGCAAATATAGGAGGTATACAATGTCTTGTACTCATTGGCCTCTTAACTATTGCTTGTGGAAAGCAACAAATATAATTATTTTCTAGTTTTAAAAAATAACAGGTGGAGGCCAGGTACAGTGGCTCACACCTGTAATCCCAGCACTTTGGGAAGCCGAGGTGGATGGATCACCTGAGGTCAGGAGTTCAAGACCAGCCTGACCAATATGATGAAACCCTGTCTCTATTAAAAATACAAAAATTAGCCAGGCATGGTGGTGTGCGCCTGTAGTCCCAGCTACTCAGGAGGCTGAGACAGGAGAATTGCTTGAACCTGGGAGGCAGAGGTTGCAGTGAGCCGAGATCGCATCACTGCACTCCAGCCTGGGCAAGAGAGTGAGACTCCACCTCAAAAAAAAAATAAAATTAAAAAATAACAGGTGGAAAGAATCATGATTGTATAGCACACTGACTGGCAATATGGCTGCACATTGGAATCACCTGAGGAGGTTTAAAAACTATTGCTGCCTGGGTCCCACCTCCTAGAGATTCTGGCTTAACTGGTCTGGGGTACAACCTAGAATCAAGATGTTTAAAAATTCCCCAGATGGTCCTGATGTACAGCCAGGTTTGAGAATCACTGGCTCAGCAGAGCACAGATGGAATTCATGTCTCAAAAATTCCATAAGGCAGCCTTAAGTCAGACTTCCTGGGTTGAATGCCAGCTACACCACCTACTAGGTTTGTAACCTTGGCAAGTCATTTCAGTTCCCCATGTTCCCTTTTGCCCATTTAGAAAATGAGGCTCAAAATATCTCATGATATCGGGAGGATTTAGTAAGGATATATTGATAAAGCACTTAGCACAGTCTCTAGCATAGGAAGGTAAACACAAGGTTATTATTGTTGAACTGTGATTCAGCCCTGAAATTTTCAGGACATGAGCAAGCCTGGCATAGAAAATTCAGCTCTCAAGGGTAAATGTACCAGAAGGCTGGCCCTTTATTTAAGTACTTTGTTCTCATCCACCACAAAATGAACCTGTTTTCAAGATAAGCACTTCTTGTCTAACACAAAATGGACCTTAGACATCCCTGGGGTGAGGAAAGTAATATCTTCAAGAAACCATCCTAAGGAGCATGTACTTGTTGGTTCTGGGAAGAAGCACTGACTCCAGATAATGTAGAGGAAGAAATCTCTTTAGTTGGTTTGGGCTCTAGGAACTTTATGATGTCCCTTTAAACTTGACATCTTTCATTTGCAGACTCTTTGGCGGGTAGTTTTCCCCAAACTGGTAATCGGCAAGTGAGACATGACTTTGGATGTAAAGATGTGATTTGTTAGGAGTTGTAGGGCAGTGAATTTGGGGCTTTCACATCTTTCCTTTGTACAGATAAACTGCCTAAAAGTTAGCATCAAATATACAATGTTGTTCTCCAGGCAGACATAATACTCATACCCAGCAGTGTGACAAGGCCAGCAACACTCCCTGTAGATCCAGGAAAGACCCAAGTAAATATGTATATTCAAATACATCAATTGAGTGGGCAAAGAAAGTTAAATTAAATCCCTTTAAACAAGAGATGCTTCTAAAACAGTTTTTTATTTGAGATCTTCGAAAGACAAAGAACAGGAGTTAGAGTTTTTATTTATTTATTTATTTATTTATTTATTTATTTATTTTATTTTTATTTATTTATTTTTGAGACAGAGTTCTGGTCTTGTTGCCCAGGCTGGAGTGCAATGGCGTGATCTCGGCTCTCCACAACCTCCACCTCCTGGGTTCAAGCAATTCTCCTGCCTCAGCCTCCTGAGTAGCTGGGATTACAGGCATGCGCCACCACACCTGGCTAATTTTGTATTTTTAGTAGAGACAGGGTTTCTCCATGTTGGCCAGGCTGGTCTTGAATGCCCAACCTCAGGTGATCCTCCCACCTTGGCCTCCCAAAGTGCTGGGATTACAGGCGTGAGCCACGGCGCCCGGCCGAGTTTTTATTTTTAAAGGATCCCTCTAACTACTGTTAGCAGAAGTAGATGGATTTGGGATACATTTTAGAGGTTGAACTGACAGAACTTGCTGTTTTGGCCTGGAATTGTTACAGAGAGCAGATGAGAAAATCAAAGAGGATTCCTAGATATTTGGTTGATGTCATTTTGTGGGAAATAGAAGGTATGGGGAAGAATAGGTTTGGGAGAGAAAATCAACAGTTCTCTTTGGGCCTAGGCACAGTGGCTCATGCCTATAATCCCAACACTTTGGGAGGCCGAGGCAGATGGCTCGAGACCAGCCTGGGCAACATGGTGAAACCCTGTCTCCACAAAAAACAGAAAAGGAAAAATTAGCTGGGTGTGGTGGCATGCACCTATAGTCCCAGCTACTTGAGAGGCTGAGGTAGGAGGATCACCTGAGCCCAGGAATTTGAGGCTGCAGTGAGCCATGATCATGACACTGCACTCCAACCCAGGTGACAGAGTGAGACCCTATCTCAAAAAACAAACAAAAAAGAGTTCTGTTTGGGCATGAAAGTGTTTAATGTTTATTGGACATTTGGGTGGAGATGTCGAGTAGGCAGTTGGAAATTCAAGTCTGTAGCTTAGGGATGAGAGCAGGTGGTCTCTCAGCAGTCATTGGCAATACATGATTCGTGGGACTGCAAGAGCTCATCACGGGAGAGAATATAAAGAAGCCCTTTCCCCTCATTCTGTAGATGAGGGAACTATGCTCAGAATAGACGTATCTGTTTTCACAGTGAATCAGCAATAGAATCAGGATTAGAATCCAAATCTAATACCACTGAGGGATTCCAAGGTGCAGGACTTGCAGTGCTAAAACCATGGAAGTTCCAGGCAGCCAAGGAGGGTTGATCACCCTATTCCTAGGCCAGTGATCACCTAACCATTTTCTCCTTTGGCAACCTGGAAGTGATTGATTGCTGTGAGTGCTTTATTTATTCTTGTTTTCAAGAGAAGATTGTTTTCATTCTTTTCTATGTCAATGAAATATTATGTTCATTTGGAAGAAGACTTAGCTTTTTCGGAGAGGAAATTACAAAGTGGTAATTACCATGTTTTCTTGCTCCTCCTGGAATAATCAGAGCAAGAAAGACAATATTTTTGATGGTGGCACATGATTAACTCTCAAGACAAAGCTGAAATCTCAGCTGGAGGGAGAGGGGCAGGAGAGAATAAAGTGCCTCAAACTGAGCTCAGCATCTCCCTGAACTCAGCCACTCCTCCTGACTCTTCTGTTTATGTTGCTATCACATCTTTTCTCTCCCCTTTATCTCTCCCTTCCTGATACCACTCCAGTTTCTTAGCTCTATAAATTTGTCCTCATCAACGTGCCTTGCATCTGACATTCAATGACCCACTATACACAAAATTGCTCAAAACAGAAACTCTGGAGTCACCCTTGACCTTCCTTTCTCCCTCTCTGATGGAATCTTTTCTCCCACACTTCCCAAATGCCTTTTATACCTGTCTTTTCCTCTCATGTCTCACAACCACCACCTTAGCACAGGCCACCAAAACCCCTGGATTTCTATAGAAGTCTACTGCGTTCTTTATCTCCCACTTTGCCTCTAATCCAGGCTCCACACTGATGACAAAATTATCTTTTTAAAATGCAAATCTGATTATAGCACTTGCTGCCTTCATCATTAATGCTTTTTAAATTTTAAAATTTTTATTTATATATAATAGTTGTACATATTTTGGGAATGCCAGTGCTATTTTGATGCCTGTCTTCAATGTCTAATGATCAAATCAGGGTCACTGGAATATCCTTCACCTCAAACATTGATCTTTTCTTTGTGTTGGGAACATTACAATTCTTCTCTTCCAGCTATTCTGAAATACACAATAAATTATTGTTAAATATAATATCCCTACTGTACTATCAAATATCAGGACCTATGCCTTTTCTCTAACTGTATTTTTGTACCTGTTAAGATTTAGACTTTACTAAGACTGGCTTCCTCCATATTTACTTCAAAATCTGGCTCCTTCCATCACTTCCAGTCAGTTTCTATATTCAGATCAGATCTTTTTGGATCCTCTCATTGGGAAGACGGGAGATCGTCTTATGTTTGAGGTTGCTTTGCTTGTGGCAGTGATTCAGTGCCTGAATGTAAAGGAAACATCTCTCATTCCTCTCAGCTGGGATCCCTACCTTCAGTCACCCTCGCTGCAGTTCAGCCTATCCTGCTGCGCAGCGAGAGGAGTGGCTGTGGTGTGCTGGGAGTATTGATCTTGGAGTCAAGAGACTCCAGTAGAATTCTAGCTCTGTCACTTTCAATCCGTCTGACTTTGGGCAAATCATTTAACTTGTCTGAACTTCATTTGCCTAATCTGTAAAATGAAGGCACTCCATAAATGTTAATTAAAACTGAAACTTCCTTGCTCTAAATTTTTAGTAACTCTCATTGCCAGACTTACCCAATTTCTCAGTCTGGCTGGTTTTCAAAACCCTCCCTCTGTCTGCAGCTTTAACCAACTTGCACATACTTTGTGCTACACACCAGGCTACTGGCAGCCCTCTGGACACCCATCACACTGTGCCTTAGGCAAAAATGTCCACTGGAGCATCCCTCTCGTCACTGTTGTCACACTCATTCACCTTCTGAGGTTCAGTTCCATTGCTACCTCATTCTGCAATGAAAGTTTTCTTAATCCCTCAACCAAATGTAATCTCTCCCTCTGCTAAATGCCCCGTCTCTCTATATATAGTTTATGGTACCAATCTATTCATGTTATAGAAGTTCCTGTGCTTGTCTAGTAAGTGATTAGGATCCTCCACTTTATTGTAAGGACCTTAGCATCATAGGACACATTATGTTGAGCATTCTATGTCCTCAACAATTATTTATTAAAGTACTTATGGGACAAGGGCATTAGCAAAATCCATCATCTAAATGCCTAATTAGGAATCTATTAATTCATTTGTTCACTTATCAAGCATTCACTGAGTGTTTTTTTAAGTCCTGGAGATTTATAGAGAATTTTAGACAGAGTTCCAACCTTGAACGATCTCATAACATAATCAGACAGCTAAAATATAATGTGATAAATACATAATAGGAAATCAGCAGATAAATAAACATGATTACAAATACTTTATTTTATTGATTATAGTGAAATGCCTCAAAAAATTCCATTTTAGTCTTTGTAAAGTCCTACAGTTTAGATACACAAACCCATGCATGTCTGCTTAGGCAGAAGGAGCAGGGAATTACTATTTGTTGAATGCCTATTAGGTGCTGTATTGGTTCTTGTACTGCTATAAAGAATACCTGAGGCTGGGCAATTTATAAAGAAAAGAGGTTTAATTGGCTCATAGTTCCACAGGCTGTACAGGAGGCATGGCAGGGGAGGCCTCAGGAAACTTACAATCATGGCAGAAGGTGAACAGGAAGCAGGCACATTGAACATTGCTGGAGCAGGAGGAAAAGTGGGGTGGGGAGGTGCCACACACTTTTAGACAACCAGATCTCACGAGAACTCTATCATGAGAACAGCTCTAGGGAGACAGTGATAAACCATTAGAAACCACCCCCATGATTCAATCACCTCCCACCAGGTCCCACCTCCAACATAACAGATTACATTTCAACATGAGATTTGGATGGGGATACAGATCCAAACCATATCCGGTGCCAAGCAATATATACACATTATTTCATTGTCAGAGGTATTGTGGGATATTGCTATAATCCCCACTTTATAGCTGAGGAAACTTAGGTTAAGAATTGTCACATAACTTGTGTAAGGCCTTACAATTAGAAGTCCTGAGTCAGTTTTTAAACCCAGGACTCTTTGATATCAACTGGCCTGTGACATCAACTTTTTAGACGACAACCAGACAGCAACTTGAGGGCCTGCGGGTAGTCTGACCCAGGAACTTGAGCTACTGATTTGGAACTACAGGAATTTGCTTCTTGGCCAGAAAACTTAGATATCAAAGGGACCAGGGATATTTGGCCAGGCTAAGATAAGATTTAGAGGAATCATTCAACCAGGAAATATGGTAAGATAGTCCAGGTGACAACTCAGGAAAGAATTGCCACTTCGAAGCCGGAACACAAAACCCTCTCCCTGAAGTTCTATCTTTGAAAACTTCACCTCTTTTGAAGCACCCTCCAAGGGAAAGGAGCCAAGGGCTGCTCCTGTTCTAAGTTTTATCTTCTAACCTCAGCTTCCACTCAGTCACCTCATTAGAACAATGGAATGTGGTGAAACTGTAAGCACAGAATGATGAAGGTGGGAGTGCCGTCAGGAGGAACACCACGCTGTGATTTCCAACAATGTAGAAAAAGAAGCTAACATTCTCAAGACTTTGTGGAAAGATTAAGGAGACAGCTTTCTAGGGGGAAGAAATGCAATAATTCCTCTAACAGATGTGTTTGCCTCAAAATAGAAACAAATTGTATTGTATAATGCGAAAATGCTTTCAAATATTTGTACAAAAAAAGTGAGGTGGTAAATAACAGACTTTGCTATTCTTCTGTCTTTACTCAAAGATCTCTAAATTCCACTAAAGTTATGTTTTCCACTGTAGAGGGCAGAGCTATGGCCAGACAAGGCTCCTTCTGCATTCAAATTGAAAAGTGGTGAGAACTGTGCTTATTTCTGCAGCTGGTGCTAATATCAGTCCATAGACTTAGGTGTTCAAGAAATGCAAAAATTTGAGTTTTATAACTCAAAATCTACCATAGTCTTCATTCTTCCAGGTGAAAGAAACTTAATCTCAGCCTATTTAGGGTTTCTGTTTTTCCTAAGAGTTATATCTTTGTACCAGGAATACCAAAAGGCTGGGGTGGGAGTGCACACGACAGACAGTATCCGGACATCTGTCCCTATCCATCCACACTGCCATCCACTGAGGTAGACTTTGGTCTGCATGATGACTCATTCCAGTCTGCAAGGTCCTTTCCTATCCAGTGGTTTTCTTACACTCTTGTAGGTGCACAGGAAACATTTTGTGGCTTCCAAGCCACACCAGGTCCAGGAAAGCAACCCCGTGCTTCTAAGACCCTATCTGCTTCCATGCAGTTTGGGGGCCTATGAAGTTATTCCATTGCCCTGTGCTATGCAGGGCTGCAATAGCCTCTGCTGTTCAGGCCCTTTAGCCAGGACCAACCACACTGCCCCTTCTCCATGGATATTTTCCCTCCCTTCTGGGGACTCACTTGGGAAAGCACTTCTAGTACCCTCACTGTCTTACCCTAATCTTCCAAATCTATCTTGAGATTCTCTTGCTCTCCTCTCCCTCTCAGGACCACACATTTAAAACTCCAAAACCAAGCGGATAATCTGTGACTGGAAGGAGAGAGGGAGGTCACGGGGTAGCAGAAAGTATGAGGGGGAAGGACCAGGTAGGTCTTGTCTCAAAATGGCACTCACAGTTTTCTGTTTTGTTGTTGAGTCTAAATGATCCTCTCTCCCCAAAACAAACAAAAAATATGTTTTTTAAAATTTAAAGACATATTTCAAACTGTTTATAGCCCAATTCATTTAGCTTTGATGATCTCTCCTATTTCTGACAGTTACAAATGCAAATGTTCTCTTTGGGAAATCAAATGTTACTTTGAGTTCCTGGGATGTTTATGCAGAGCTATCAGAGAGGGAGGCAGTTTATGACATGGGAACCCAAACTTAGCCAGGGGTAGGGGGGCACATTTTCCTCACACTCTAAGACAGGGCTAATAGCTATAATTTCACCTGCATTCCTGGATAGCAGCCCTTTCTTGCCCCAGGCTCTGGCACGATGCCTCCCAAGATAAGGGTCTGATAACAGACCTGGCTATACAGGAAAGCAAAGTAGGTCATCCTAGTTAAGTGATTTGAGGGCAATTACCTTCCATTTGAGGATGCTGCCTGCTCCAGGCATCTTCTTTACCAGCTCACTGTGGGCTCTCCCCTTCCTCTGGGGAAAATTTGTTTCATCAAGGTTATTTCTTTGTTTTAGAAAGCACAGATTTGAAGACACTGCCTTGACTCCATACAGACAGAAAGCCCTTCCAGGCGGCTTTTGATTTCTCCTGGTACCTGCAGACTGCAGGGCAACCAAAGGAACTGGGATGCTTGCAGAGTGTTCTCTATTCATTCACAGAGTCTTCCCATCTCTTTTCTCTCTTCTCCACAGCAAGTCCTCTTCTGAACCCTCATTGCCAAATATCTGCATGTTGTTATGGAGCTGTCTCAGCACGGGGTCTTTGACGCCTGTATCCTCACACCCTTAGAAGATCCTGAGAAAGGAAGATAACGTGAGAAACTTCAATGTCTTCCTGCCATAAGCAATGTCTTCCTGCAATCAGCTTCCAACTGTATGCATCCAAAGGTGGTAGAATTTGTTAGCTCTTTTTTCCTTCTCAGCAAATTTTAGTTACAAGCTGGAGCATAATTTTCTTAGCTTTTATGAAGTCCTTCAGAACTATAGGTGTTGAAACAAAGTGCTGAAGATATTCTTCATTGGAAAACAATTTCTAACCCACTCCAGTTTCAAGAGGAGCCCTGGGAAACACACAAAAGACTGAAAATTCCCTTATTCACCTGCCAATTTCTCCATTTACTAAGGAGGTAACCTGGAGAAAATGGTTTGAGTCTTTGTGCTCAGTTCCTACTCGGAATTCAAGTTGGAGAGAACAATGTTGATTACATTTCTAGCAGCAGCAAATACAATGGGAAGTAAAGCTCTTTTGGTATGTGTCAGGGTAATTTTTATCATAAACAATTGGGTTGTCACACATTAGTCATACGTAAGTATTAGATCCATAATAATGTGTTCATTCTCCAACTTTGACATTTAACATTAAGTTTAGAATAGAGATTTTTCAACCATAGCTGCACATTAGAATAATCTGGGGATTTTTAAAGCAATAGTTAAGCCACACACAATCTCAGAGATTCTGACTTAATTGCTTTGGGGTGAAAGTCAAGGTGTCAGCATTGTATTAAAATCTTCACAGGTGATTCTAATCTGAAGCTGGGGTGTGGAACCACTAATAGAGAGAACATAATGCAGGCTTTGGGGTTGGACAGACTTCGGTTCAAATCCCTGCTCTACCACTAATTGGTTGTGTGATTTGGGGGGAATTACTTAATGATTTTAAGCCTAAATTTCCTCCTCTGTCAAAAGGAAGATGGAGTAGTCATATAGTTCGAATATATGTCCCCATCAAATCTCATGTTGAAATTTAATCCCCAAGCTGGGAGGTGGGCCTGGTGGGAGGTGTTTGGGTCATGGGAGTGGATTCCTCATGGCCTGGTGCTGTCCTTGAGCTAGTGAGTGAGTTCTCACAAGAGCTGGTTGTTTAAAAGTGTGGCACCTCCCGCAATCACTGCTGCTCCTGCTTCATCTTCTGCCATAAGTAAAAGCTCCCTGAGGCCTCCCCAGAAGTGGAGCATATGCCAGCAACATGCTTGTACAGCTTGCAGAACCATGAACCAACTGAACCTCTATTCTTTAAAAGTTACCTAGTCTCAGGTATTTCTTTATAGCAACACAAGAACAGCTTTATACAGGTAGTGTTTAAGGGGCGGTATTAAAGATTAAATGAGGTAACCGGCATATGTAAAACATGAATTGCCTGGCACAGAATAGGTATGCTATAAATATAGGTGCTCATCCTCCCCTTTTATACTTGATCATTTTTAAGATTCAAGTGCTAATCCTTGAGGGAAACGGGGGAAACCCTATGGACCTAGTGCTTGGAATTGAAGTGAAGGTAGATTTGGTGTTGATCAAAGTAGAGAATAAGGAGGATGAGGTCAAATCTCAATTTTCTATGTGATGAATAATCATACAAGGGTTGCAAATCACAGTTCCATAATCGCAGCTCTCAGAACATTCTGGTACAGTTTCCTTTTTTAAAATTAAACCTTCTGGTACCATACTGTAGAATCTATATTTTAAATTTAATATTCAATAAAGTTTTCCTGAGGTGTTTTCAGATATGAAAAATCACTTGGATATTCTGTTCCATGCACTTTATTTGTTCTCTAATATTGGCTATTAGTAGGAAATTTACAACTCCACAGTTGTATTTACAACATTCACAAAAGATAATTTATTGAAGATACTCCACCTGTTCCTCCTAAACTCCTATTTTGCCCCCGTGTTGTGCTGAACCCTTATTAACCTCAACAAAGAAGCTTCCATGTTCAAGAGGCCAAAGAAGAGATCCTGAGCCAGGACATGAGACATGGGGTTTTATTAGGGGCTCACAAACAGCAGAGAGAGCCCAGTGGCGGTGGGCTGGACAATGTATCCCACCTTCCTGCAGTCCAGTGGCAGTGGGCTGGACAGGAAAATTGCAATGGCTTGCAAACATCCAGTGTACGTAGTATTTTCACTTAACACCCTCCCCTTAACAACCTCCACTTGGCAACCTTCATATAACCCAAAACTCAGGGCCTCAATCCCCTGCATGGCCTATGTTCCACAGGATGAGACAGGGGCTTAGATATTCTTCATAGACAAGGAGCAAATCTCAGGGTTGGCCACTCCCAGATTCTATAGCTTGAAACAGTCATTCGGGTGTATCTGCCATATAGGGTCATGATCAGGGTATGCTTACATTATTGCTATCAGGTACATTTCCTCTATACCACCTGCCAAGAAAGAGCCTGAGATTGCTTTCTAAATGTCTTAAAATAAAAGCTGTGAAGAAAGACGATGCCATCCAGGCCATCAGCAAATAACAAAAACCCTGTGAGCAAGAACATGACTCATGCTCCGTGCTATAGCTTTGAGGGCTCAAGGTGATCTTCTCTGGTAAAAAGCTCAAGATGCCAGAAAAACCCCTGGACAGGCTGAGGGCAATTGGAACAAAGAATTCAAAAGAACAGAAGAGTGAGGAAGAGCAGGTTTGGGGAGAGTGGAAAGAAAGACATGCTCCAATGCTTGAGATAAACCGGGTAATGTGGAACTGGGCCCAACTGATTGCTTTGTTGGAAACCAGCTGAGCCAAGAGTCTAAGAATTTGGTAATTCTGGGTCAGATCCTTTTCCTCTTAGCACTAACAAATTAGGAGCTAGCCTAGCACAGGGAATGACTCGTTGTATTGCTTTCTTTCCTCACCTCCCCTCTCCTTTTTTAAAAAATGGGGACAGGGTCTTGCTTTGTTGCCCAGGCTGGTCTTGAACTTCTGGGCTCAGTTGATCCTTCTGCCTCAGCCTCCCAAAGTGCTGGGAGTACAGGCATGAGCCACTACACCCTGCCTTTTCCCTCTTTTTAAGGATGTAGATATTAGATACTAATTTTTTTAAATTAAATAGCTAGAAGGGAACCTGGGTCATTTCATCTAGACTGTCTTCAGCAGAGCAATGCTCAACTTATAAATAAATCTCCAATTCATACACACACACACACACACACACACACACACACACACACACACACGATGGGGTAAAATTTCCTTATAAAAGTTAAAATATAAATATATTTTATGTCATATAGTATTGACTAAGAGCTTTGGCTCACAAGCAGCACAAATGTGTATGCTAATCCCAGCTTCCAAATTACTAGCCATGTTGCTATCTTGCTAAGCCTCAGTTTCCTCATCTTTGGAATGAGAATAATAATAGCATCTACATCACAGATGTGATGTGAGGATGAAGTGTTAGTGCTGGACACAAAACGACCACTCCAAGTAGTGAGCTATTGATGTTAAAAATATGGGGAAAATCACATATTTATAATTGATGACATATGGTATGGAAAGCACTTAAAACAGTGTCTGGCACATGGTAGGTGCTGATGTCATCACCCTCTTCTTCCTCCTCATCACCATACTAGACTGCATTTCATTTCCTAGATGATATTTAGTCCAAGTTATTTTTGTGATACCTTTCTTTCTTTCCCCTCTAATTGCCAATGCACTTCTCCTAATATGAGTGATATGTATCTCAATATTTCCCAAAATGACTCAAAAAAGTATTAAATCACCTCCACATAGCCATGAGATAATATTGGATATATAAATAATATATATTTTTAATTTGTATTTCAAAATGTTATTTCCATATACAGTTATTGTATTTTGTAACCCAAAAGTCAGGATACAACGTTATATCCATGGTCTGACAAGGGGACAGAACACTTAGAATTGAGCCTTCCCTGCATCAGCTTGACTACATTCAGTGATAGAAATGTATTAGACTTGGCCAAGCTTTGTCCTCAAAATTGCTTCCTAATCAAATTCTGGCCTAGGAACTCCTTGGCATGCCTCCATGCAAAGATGGAATGGGTCTCTTCTTGAGGAGAGTACTGGTGGGTTCCTCCCTGGTGCAATAGGATGCCAGCCTTCCTCTTCACTGTCTGGTTTCTAGGACATCTGCTGTCAAACAGGGTCTCTATCTACCAGTATTCCAGAGCCTTGCAAGAGAGAGTAGCATCAAACAGTCTGGTCTGCTTCTATCAAAAGCCTCCCCAATAAAAAAGATAGATACTTGTTATTGGCTGAAGAATATACAGTTTTTCACCTTTCCAGGTACTCTAAATTACAGACTTGTATCACATTGAATCCAAGGCTGCCTATACATATTAACAACTGATGTTTATTGAGCACTAACTAGTGCTAGGCATTATATAAGCACTTTACTTACATTATCTCACTTAACCTTCTCTCTCTTTATATATATATATATATATATATATATAAAGCAGAAATACAGAAAGAGCCTGGACCCAGAAAACATCCATGAATAGCTGCATTGGCCATGGATGGCCTGACCCTGGACTTATTATATCAGAAAAATAACCCCCTAAGTAATTCTGATAGATTTTTTCATTCTTGGAGCCAAACACGTTTCAAATTGATACACTTCATTTTATGAATAAGGAAACTAAAGCTCAGTGAGTTTGGGTAATTTCTCCAAAGTCCTGTGGCCAGTAGATGCTAGAAACAGGATTTGTACCCACATCTGCCCAGCACCAACACACATGCTCTTACTCACAAGAGCACTGAAGCGCCCTCCCATCACTGTATCTGCATCAGTTCACCACGTCTCATCCTTCCCAAACCATGTGTCACAGAACTCAGATATTATTCATAGATATGCCTCAGCAGAAATGTTTTGGTGGTAAGTTAAGTTCTAAGAACACAGAGTTTTGTATTCCCTTTTTGTAGAGAACCACAAAGCATATCAAAACGTCAGTTTCCAAAAAAAAACAAAAAACCTATTATTAAGAAACCTGCTTGACTTTGATTAATTCAGTGGTTCCCAAACTTATTTGAGTACGGAACGCATTTTTTTAAATGACTTTTCTATAAATATCTTCCAGAACATTGTTCCCTTGAACGCCAATTTGGGAGATCACTCACTGAATTTTAAGCATTATTTCCTCAGCTTTGGTTTAAAGTAAAAGGAAAGTGAGTCACAATTTTGTCCATTCTGCACCTCCTGGTCCCCTATGAAGTCCCAAAGGATAAATTTCTTTGAGAATCTGGTGCTCAGGGCAAAATATGTACCTCCTGAGGAAGTTATTTGCTTCCTTTTTAAAAATAAAAGTATGTGACTTACAGAGCTTCTCCTTTTGTTTTGGCTTTCTGGAGGCTGAGACAAATGGGAAGCAATTATCAGCTCAGGTTCCTGGGTTTTACAGATTTGTTGTTGTTGTTTTTTTTAATCTGATCTTGATTTTTCCTCTTGATCTTCCCTGTCTTAATTCTGTATTTGAGTTTTATTTGGCATTATTGTATATGTTCTTGTGAATGACATTATGTTTGTGGAATAGAGTGGAGTACAAATTCGTTAAATAAAAATCAAGACTGACCTGAGGCTGGGCGCAGTGGCTCACGCCTGTAATCCCAGCACTTTGGAGGCTGATGCAGGTGGACCACAAGCTCAGGAGTTCGAGACCAGCCTGGCCAATATGGTGAAATCTCATCTCTACTAAAAATACAAAAATTAGCTGGGTGTGGTGGTGGGCACCTGTAGTCCCAGCTACTCCGGAGGCTGAGGCAGGAGAATCGCTTGAATGCAGGAGGCGGAGGTTGCAGTGAGCCAAGATCGTGCCACTGCACTCCAGCCTGGGTGACAGAGTGAGCTTCTGTCTCAAAAAAAAAAAGACTGACCTGAAAAATACAAGTCATAGGGCCTGTTTGTCAACATGATTGTACTGATAGTATCTGATCGAAGAATCGGTGTAGTTTTTAATAATTGATACTATAAAACTTGAAATTACGGCTTATGAATATCTAATGAGAGGAAGGAATAGATTTTCAAATGGGGATATATTCTTGGAGATAGAACATAAATGCCTTTGCTGAATTTTTATTGAAATTAATTATACTTCTCTAGATTGCCAAGCTAAATCAATATCTATACCATCAAATTCAGTAACCAAATTAATCACAACCTTGCAAAAATAAAATAAAATTAAGAAAGACATGCCCTGTGATACATACCTATTTCAGGAAACCTAGTTAACCATGGTTGAATAGCCATCACTTCCTTAAGAAGGAATACAATTTGCTATAATTGTCAACACAGAGGAGCAGTAAGTTATTTGTGAAGTTGGTGACTTGTGCCATTTATTGAAGAGTCAACCCAACAAGCCCCAGATCAATAAACAAATGTCAACTAAGGGACATACTGTGAAATACAGTAGGCAATACAAAGAAATATGATCTCGCGGCTGCTATGAGAGAACACTCAAGTATTAAGAAGGGGCTAGGAGAAGCAGCTCAGAATGTTATTTGCAGCTTTTGTTTTAAAACGAACTCCTATAGCACTGCTTTCAGACATCATCAATTGTATTGATAATCTTTCATTTTTCTATATGGCCTCTCTTAGATCTTTAAAACCCTAAAGTCCAGATTTTAATCCGAGACATGGTGACTGCTTAGATAAATTTCATGTGTGAAGATAGAACATTTTAAAATATTAGCATTTGTTTCTTTCTCTCTACTTTTTCAGGCAGCAAAAAGATGTCCTCTTGGTGGCCTTCAGAAAAGGGTTCTTGCAATATAAACGCAAAGAAACAAAAGGGATCTGATTTTATCTTTTGAGTTTCTATGTCGATCTTTGGACCCATGGCTGAAAAAACAGCTTGAGAGAAAAGAGTTTTCAAGAACAAAAGCCAAATCCCTCTTAGAGTTGGTTAGCCTGCATAAAACAGAAAATGGAAAAGCTTGAATACAGTTTATTTCCCTTTCTTGTAGAAGAAGTCTGGTAGATAGGCTAGAGCAGGTGTGGTTATCAGAGATTCAGACTCTGTCTATATTTCAGTTACCTCCTAGTACTAGCTTGCAGCCTCAAGATTACCTGCTGGTACAAGATGGTTGCTAGAGCTCCAACCATTATAACTACATCTGAGGCAATAGGAACTAGGGAAAGGCAAAGAGAAGACCTTCCTGCTGAGTCAGATCACTTACGCAGCCGTCTCAGAAGTACCAGGCAACTCTTACGCTTATATTTCATTTGTCTGATTGTAGTTACATGACCATGCTGGGCTTCAAGGGAGCCTGGAAAACATAATTTTTTTAGCAGGGCACACAGCTGATTCAAAAAAAGAAACCAGCACTTGTTACTGAAGCAGAAAGGGAGAATAGATGTAGAGTTGCAAATAACAGTCCTTGCCACATCTCTAAAGAACCCAAGGGGGTAAAGTTGATACCTAAGTGTAAGTTGAGAATAATTCTTGATTATGCAGGTGCAAATTTTCTAACCCTAGATGAGATAAACATTCTTTGGACTGGAGGATGAGCAAAATAACAGAAAGGACATGAAAAGAAAATAGATGTTGTGCATCCCCACGCGGGTCCCTGTGCCCCAAGAGTCATCATCAGATCCTCCAGAGGGGGCACCAGAAACCTCAGATAGACTGGCAGATCCAAACCAGAGAAGTCCTGTGCCTTGCACCTGATAGAGGCCTGGTAGATAACAAGCTTCATGGCATTTCTCCTGACCTGCCTGGTGAGATATCCATACTGGAAATGGCAGCCTGGCATGTCTAGGCAGCAAAGCCTGCAAGAACTCCATGAGATCCCGTGTGATCCTACAGTAGTTTGGAAGAGCACCCAAAATGTCCCAAGGCCTTCACACTCCCTTATGAGGGGCTCAAAAGTAGCTGAGAGGGGCCAGCAGGTTTGAAGACTAAGTCAGAGATGAGAAGGATATGGGGTAACTTTCCTGGACCAACTACCAGAAACCAGATGGGGAACCCAGATGTTCTAGAAATTTCCTTTAGGGATGATGTACAACTCCGCAGATGCCAGCAGGGACAGATGCCTCCCTCTCCCTCAACACGTGGCTCTGTGAAAACTCCTCAGAATTTAGACATGATCTAGGGAACAGAGGGTGGTAGAAACCCTGAACTGACTGGGGTTGGGGGGAAGGCAGATTTGAGAGTGAAAATTCTGATTTGACTATGTTTTCTTTAAAATGGCTGGGGTTAAATTATCCTACCAGGCAGAATGGAGATTTAAAATTAAAATTCAGTTATAGAAAAAATTATTTTATAAAACTGAGTGTATGACTTGTGAAAATTCATCTGCAAAACATGCTTTCTCAGTTTGTCAATTCTCACTACTAAAAGCCACTTTTGAAAGCTCAGAATTTTGGCACATTCTTCATTGATGTATGAAAAGTTGTAACAAACAAGTATTTTGCTGTTTCGTCATTGCTTCAATAATATTGTACCTCATACTCATGACTCACAGATACCCTTTTTAGCCCTTGCCAACAAGCCAGGCATTGTTGTATTTGTACAACAGATACAAATAAAATTTGTATTTCCCAACACTTTAGCTGCATCTAAGTGCCCAATTTGTCCTAGCTTGTTCAGGACTTTACTGGTTTTAGCAATATAGTCCAGTACCCCAGAAATCCTTCCAACAATCCCAGACAAACCAGGATGTTTGGTTACCCTCTCTGCATCAGAATCACCTGGAGGACTTGTTAAAGCACAGATTCCTGGGCTGCACCCCTAGAGCTTTTAATTCAATAGGAGTGGGGATGGGGGCTCAAGATCTTTTATTTGTAACAAGCTCCCAGGCTACAAATCTAGGGACCTTGTTGCACTGACCAAAGACACAGGTCACGGTTTTTTTCCCCAACATTAACATAATAAAGCAATTGCGTCAATCCATAACCAACATAACAATGACAAATCAATGATGGATTCTTAGCAAAAACTTTGACCAAGGTCTCAAGTTTTTCTCCTTTTCTTTTATAGCAGTTCCCTGAACATGGCAGCTCTGTGGAGCTGTACCAGAGTTCATTCGTGGGAGGTAAGCTTAGAACTTGCCCCTTAGCCCTTCCAGAGGTTCATTAAGCATCTAATTTTTCATATTAAATCCCTTTCTGCTAAAACCAGCAAGAGTGTTCTGTTATCTGTAACTAATCTTGATGCACACATCATGGGGACACTGGGTCACAGGGTTTGATAAGTGGTAGAAGAAGGGGGAAAGAAGTTTGTGCACATTTCAGAGACAAGAGGAAAAGGAAAAGCAGAGATTTCCTGTGAGTGCAAAGGCCTGTCTAGGCAAAGATGCCCCTGCCCACCTTGGGCCATTTACAAGGAAAACACTTACAAACCCAGCAGTAGAAAACCATATCAATACATTCCCAAACAATTACTACAGTCAGCAGAGATGACATCATTCTCCTTCCCATCAGAACAATAAGCCTGGCTCTAACTCTATAAACAGTAAAAGCAAAATGTGTTTCTCTAACAGATGGAAATGAATAGGTTTGAAGTTGATAGTGATCTTTCTGTGGTCTAAAAGGCCTCACCCAATACAAATATCTTACCCTAGACAATAACAAATGTAAACACAACCAAACACAGTGAACCCCCTTGAGCCGAGTGAAGGCTGCCAGAACCAGAGACCCAGGTCCTGGCAAACTCAGACATTTAAGGACAATCTAGAAGAAAGGAGTCCCTAAATTTTCACACATCTCCAAAGAAATCAACTTCAGAGCTATTCCTTTTGAATTTTTATTTAAGCCTTAAAAGTTAATTCACCATGTAAGGTAGAGAGGCAAAAAGAGATGACAGATATACTCTCCACTACCAGGTCACTAATCTGCTCAATCAAGCATGGCAGGGAAGCAAGTAAACCATGAAATCTCAGTGTAGACGACCCTTGATTTTAACTCAAATATGCCGATTAAATCCTTGACATTGGATTATGCATATGTAAGGTACCAGTGTTAGATGTTAAAGCTAATATTTCTCCTGATGAAGCAGCACCTTTGCTAGGACTTAGTGAGTTGGTAAGCGTGCACTGACAACCCTGTCCTACAGCAGTGGCATCCACACACTCAGGGAAGTACCACACATCGCTATAGTCTCATTCTCTTGTAGTGTTACAGGCAACTTACACCATCTCTGATTCACTTAAAAAATTCTCAGCTGACTTGCAAAATAATTGCAACAGACTCTCTTTGTGTAAACTTGATTACTATTTTGTAAGGTCCCGTTTCTATAAGGCCAAGGAATCTGTGAAATCCGTATTTTTTTCCTTCTTTTAAAACTTGAATTTTTATCCCAATAGATACTTTTTACCCATAGGACTTAATACAAAGTATAAAATTGTCATATGTTATGGTTTTTACAGTTTTATTTCTGCTTTTCTTTCCTGCTGCACTTGCAATGAACTTACTGTAATAATTGTATCCATTCATTAGAAGGCACTTTATATCCAACAAATCTTCAAGTCACAGGGTTTGTAAGAGGAAAAGAGTGGTTAAGAATATAATGACTAGTTTCTACTCTTGAATATTTCCAATCTTTCCTCAACACAGCAGCAGGCCCTTTGTGAGATTTAAACCCAAACACGGCTCTCTCTGCTGAGAATCCCTCAATGGTTTCCCATTGCGTTCAGAATAAACACAAGCCCCGTTACAAGGCCTACAATAACAGGCCGCTCATCTAGGGTGTTATGTGAGTTAATAAATGTAAAATTCTTAGAAGTGTGCCTGGCACACAGCAAGTGCTCAGTGAATTCTAGCTGTCCTTCTCCTTCCTTCTCGCCCTTTCCCTCCTCCTCCATGCTTACCTGGCAATGCTTCCCATGACCTCTCCCTTGCCTCACTCTGCTGTCAGCCACCTTCTCCCTCCTCCAGTATGCTGCATTCACACTGGTCATCCTCCAGATTCTTGAACACATCAAGCTTTTGCCTATTTCAGAATCCTTCCCCAAGCGGTTCCTTCCCTGTCATCCAGGTGGCCACTTCTCATCTTTTAGGCCTAAATGGCTCCTCCTCAGAAGAACTTCCTTTTCTGCCTAATCTAAATTGGTCCCCCCTATTATTTTCCCACAGACTAAGTTCTTTTCTTTTAGTGTCCTAATTACAACTTGTAATTGATACTTGTTTGTTTTAAATGTTCAGTGTCATTCTTTCCCATCAGCCCTTAAACTCTCTCTGTTAGGAAAGAGGACAGATGTTTTGTTTGCTAGTTATTTAACACTGTGTTTGCCATCTAGAGGAAACTCAATTAGTATGGAAGGAGAAAAAGAAAAATTATTTAAAAGTAAATTCAATATTTATTAAATGTTTACCATGTGGCTAGGCATTCTACTAAATACTTAGAATGTATTAGCTCCTCTAATCTTTCAAATATCTATGAGCTATGTTATTATCTCTTTTTCACATTTGTAAAAAGTGGAACTCAAAGAATTCATGTAAGTCATACCGGTAATAAGTGTCAGAGCTGAGATTTGAACTGAGGTCTTTGTAGCTCCAAATCATTTGCTTTTCCTCTCATACCAAGTTGCTTCCAGTAACAAGGGAGTGGAAGTATGTGAAATTACACAATATGATAAATAGCTCCTTCTGCCTCATTTATGGCATGTAAAATTTCCCTGAGTAAGTGGTTCAGTTGTCCTTCTGGAATTGAAACATCAATGAGACAATTTTGCTGCCATGTAATGAGCTTTTCCCCGGGCATGTGCTATATCTTTTATCAGCCCAAGTAATACTTCAGGGCTTGTGTACTTACCATGTATTAATTGTATGACTTTAAAATATTGAGTAGTGCTCCCTCAAGGGCATGCTCCCTCAAGGGCTGTGTTTTCTGTCAGGTGCCATTGTGGACTTGGGTTTGTTAAATGAGAAAGTGATCAATTTCCAGAGCAACCAGAAGAATACCCTGCAGAGTGAGCTCAATGGAAAGAAAGCAATCAAGTGTTAAGGGGTAAGGGGAAATAATGGCAAGAGGTTGGGGATGGCGGGGAGATCTATTGGTTCCAAATCAGATGCGCTCAGTCTTAAAATCAGTAACATCTCAAGTTATACCAGTGATTACTCCCAGACTAAAGGCTCTTTGACTCCCATTTCATTTCCCAAATAGTGAGATGTTCTTGAATATCAAATTGAAAATTAGAAAGCCAAGAAAACAAGAGGGAAATAATAATATTTAACATTTACTATGCTAGGTCTTTTACATGAATTAACTTATTTTGTCCTCAAAAACCCTCATGGTAGACACTAATATTATTCCCAATAAACAGATGAGTAAGCTGAGGCACAGAAAGGTAAAATAAGTTGCAGTGTGGTCTTACTAAAAATTGTATTGGATGATGAAATCAGCAAGAATGATGGAATAAGAACCATTGAATATCATCTCCTCTACAAAAGCAACAAAAACACTAGAAAATATTATGTCAACTTCTTCAGAATCCTGGATATTAAACAAAAGCTTGCAACAATTCAGGAAGCATTAATTCAAGAAAAATGACTGAATCTTAACAAATTTTTTTTGACATTTTAACTTGCTTTGTTTCTATGCCTCTCTCCCACCTCTGTGGTAGCCTTGAAAACCAATAGCCCACTGTTACTGTGAAAACCAGAAGCTTCTGGGGGACACACATTAGGGTTGGAGTTCTTTCAAAGCCTCATTTTCAGAGAATTGTCATTGCTTGACCTGTCTGCGAATTCCCTGGAAAACCCCACTTGCAGAGTTTGTCTTTATCTGACCTACTAGAGCTTGCCCAGTGACAACATTTTCACCAAGAGTGTTTATTGAAAACAATCAGTGGCAGTTATATACAATGAAACAGCTATATGAAGCAGCAATAACAATTTGGGTAAGCAAAAAATCGGACCAAAAAAACTTAGAAAAATCTGGGGAATGACATTCCATAGGGGGCTTTGACAAGTTCCAACATATTCCTGGAAATCTGGAAGTCCATGCATGTGTATAGAGCTGTGTACAGGCCCAGGAAATACTTAAGAAAGTCCTAAGCTCATTTCTCTGGCTGACCTTGAGGCTCTGCACAAGCAAGAAGTAGAAATTTGGCTGGGTATAGTGGCTCACGCCTAGAATCCCAGCACTTTGGGAAGTTGAGGCAGGAGTATTGCTTGAAGCCAGGAGTTCAAGACCAGTCTGGGCAAAATAAAGAGGCCTCATCTCTACAAAAAATGTAAAAAATATCCAGGTATGGTGACACACACCTGTAGTCCCAGCTACTTGGAAGGCTGAGGCTGGAGAATCTGTGAGCCCAGGAGTTGAGGCTGCGGTGAGCTATGATTATGCCACTGCACTCCAGCCTGGGTGATACAGCAAGACCCCTATCTCTAAAAATAAAATAGGCCAGGCGTGGTGGCTCACGCTTGTAATCCTAGCACTTTGGGAGGCCGAGGCAGGCAGACCACCTGAGGTCGCGAGTTCCAGACCAGCCTTACCAACATGGAGAAACCCTGTCTCCACTAAAAACACAAAATTAGCCAGGCGTGGTGGTGCATGCGTATAATCCCAGCTACTCGGGAAAGCTGAGGCAGGAGAATCGCTTGAACCCGGGAGGCGGAGGTTGCGGTGAGCTGAGATCTCGCCATTGCACTCCAGTCTGGGCAACAAGAGCGAAACTCCGTCTCGAGAAAAATAAAAAGTAAATAAAAAATAAAAAGAGGTTGAGGTTGTAAATGGTGTGCCTAAGCATTGACAGTATGTCCCAATATGTACACAAAACCTCTTAGCAAAGGCTAGAACACTTACTGGTTTCAGGTATCTAAGGATATCTATATCCAATTATTAGCTGACCACAAAGCTGACTGAGCAGATTTCAATGGCTATACACTACAATGAATATAGACCTTGCAGAATAAGTTTAGAAATGCCATTAAACAAACAACAATAAGAAAAAACAGAAATAACAACAATCCTGGGGAAGAAGGAAGAATCAGATTTTCAAAGTTGCTATATTTTATAATTTAAAATGTCTAATTTTCAACAAAATAAGAGGGATATCTAAAAAATCAAGAAAGTGGCCGGGCACGGTGGCTCATGCCTGTAGTCCCAGCACTTTGGGAGGCCAAGGCGGGCAGATCACGAGGTCAGGAGATCGAGACCATCCTGGCGAACACTGTGAAACCCCGTCTCTACTAAAAATACAAAAACATTAGCCAGGCGTGGTGGCGGGCACCTGTAGTCCCAGCTACTCAGGAGGCTGAGGCAGGAGAATGGCATGAACCCGGGGGGCAGAGCTTGCAGTGAGCAGAGATCACGCCACTGCACTCCAGCCTGGGCAACAGAGTGAGACTCCATCTCAAAAAAAAAAAAAAAAGAAAAAAAAATCAAGAAAGTATGGCCCATACACAGAGGGAAACAAAAGTAGTCATTATAAATATTCACTAAGGAAGCCCAGATGTTGGACTTAATAGCCAACGACTTTAAAATACCTATTTAAATATATTCAACTAACTAAAGAAATATTATGTCTAAAGAATTAAAAGAATATATGAGAACAATTTCTCACCAAATAGAGAATATCAATAAGGAGATGGAAAGTATCAAAAAGAATTAATAAAAATTCTATAGTTGGAAAGTAGAACAACTGAAATTTAAAAATTATCTAGAGGGATTCAACAGCAGATTTGAGCTAGCAGTAGAAAGAATCATCAAATCTAAAGATAGGGCAGTTGACATTATCCAGTTTGAAGATTAGAGAGAGAAGAAAAAAGGAATGAAGAAAAATAAACAGAGCCTTAGACATCTGTGGGACACATCAGCATGTCAATACACTCATAATGAGAATGCCAGAAAAAGAGAAAAGAAACAAGAGCAGAAAGAATATTTACAGACATTATGACTGAAAACTTCCCAAATTTGATGAAAAACATTAATTTACAATCCAAGAAGTCACTACAAGCTCCAAGTAGAATAAAACTCAAAGAGATCCACCCATAGACACATTATTGTCAAGTTGTCAAAAGACAAAGATACAATTTTGAAAGCAACAAGAGGGAAGTGATTCATCACATACAAGTGATCTTCAATAAGATTAACAGATAATTTCTCATCAGAAACTGGAGGTCAGAAAGCAGAGGGATGGGGTGGGAGTGGGGGGGCATCCTGTCAACCAAGACTTTTATATCCAGCAGAACTAACCTTCGAAAATAAAGGAGAAATTAAGATAAACAAAAACTGAAAGAATTTGTCACTAGCAGACTTGTACTACAAGAAACACTAAAGGGAGTGTTTCAGGCTGAAATGAATAAAAACCAGATAGTAAGTCAAATACAAATGAAGAAATAAAGAGCACTGATAAGGCTGGGCTCAGTGGCTCACACCTATAATCCCAACATTTTGGGAGGCCAAGGCAGGAAGATCACTTGAGGCCAGAAGTTCAAGGCCAGCCTGGGCAACATAGCAAGACACTGTCTCTACAAAAAAATTTAAAAATTAGCCAGGTGTGGTGGCATGCACCTGTAGTCCTACATACTTGGGAGGCTGAGGCAGGAGGATTCCTTTATCCCAGGAGTTTGAGGTGGTAGTGAACTATGATGGCAACTGCACTCCAGCCTGGGCAACAGGGCAATACCCTGTCTCTGGAAAAAAAAAATAAAAGAGTGCTGGCAAAAGCAACTACATTGGCTGATATAAAAGATAGTATAAATCTTTTGTTTGTAATTCTTTTTTTCTTCCTATCTAATTTAAAATGCAACTATATAAAGTACTAATGTAAATCTGTTTTGTTGGGCAGATAATATATAGAGATGTAATCTGTATGACAACAATAAGACAAAGGAGTGGTGGGGCAGAACTATATAGGATAAAATGTGTGTATACTACTGAAATTAAGCTGGTATTAATCCTAACTAGATTGTTATAAATCAAGATATTAATTGCGGCTGGAAGTGTTAGCCTCCCGAGTAGCTGTAAACCAGCTGGTTTACAGCTACTCGGGAGGCTGAGGTGGGAGGATTGCTTGAGAACAGGAGTTTGAGACCAGCTTGAGCAACACAGCAAGACTCTATTTTTAAAATTTTTTAAATTTAATTTACTTTAAAAAAGATACTAATTATAATACCCAGGACAACTACTATGAATGTAACTAAAAACATGTATAGTAAAAGAAATAACAAGGGAATTAAGATTATACACCAGAAAATATTTATCACAAAAAAGGCAATAATGGATGAATAAAGGAATAAAACATAAAAAATGAATGGAAAACAAATAGAAAAATTACTTACATAAATCTTACCTTATCAGTAATTACATTGAATGTAAATAAATTGAACATTTTAATTAAAAGACAGAACTACATTTTGTAAAAAAAAAAACAAAACAAAACATGATCCAACTTTATGCCAGGTACAAGAGACTCCCTTAGATTAAAAGACACAAATAGATTGAAAGTTAAAATATGGGGAAAATATACCATGTAAACAGTAACCAAAAGAGAGATGAAGTGGCT
Source organism: Homo sapiens (assembly GCF_000001405.40). Taxonomy (NCBI): domain Eukaryota; kingdom Metazoa; phylum Chordata; class Mammalia; order Primates; family Hominidae; genus Homo; species Homo sapiens. Next base: position 103,263,092 of record NC_000008.11, read on the forward strand.
ATACTAATATCAGAGAAAACAGACTTTAAAATATGATGGTAAAAGACTCAATCCAGCAAAAAGATACAACAATATACATACATATGCACCTAACAACATGAAGCAAAACTGACAGACTTGAAAGGAAATGAAAATAAGTCAACAATAATAGTTGGAGACTTCAATATCCCACTTCTAATAACAGAACAACCAGACAAAAAATCAGCAAGAAAACTGAATACTTGAACAACATTATAAACCAACTAGACCCAACAGACATGGATGAACCTTGAAAACACTATGCTACACTTTTTCAAACAAAAAGTCACACATTATGTGATTCCATTTATATAGATTGTTTAGAACACAGAGTACAGAGAGTATATTAGCAGTTTCTGGGAGTTGTGGGGAGGAGAAAAAGGGAAGTGACTACTAATAAGATTTTTTTTTTTTTTGAGATGGACTCTCACTCTGTCACTAGGCTGGAGTGTGCAGTGGTGTGATCTCGGCTCACTGTAACCTCTGACTCCCTGGTTCAAGCGATTCTCCCGCCTCAGTCTCCTGAGTAACTGGAATTACAGGCACGCGCCACCATGTCCAGCTAATTTTTGTATTTTTAGTAGAGATGGGGTTTCATCACATTGGCCAGGATGGTCTCCATCTCCTCACCTCACGATCTGCCTGCCTCGGCCTCCCAAAGTGCTGGGATTATAGGTGTGAGCCACCACGCCCGGCCATAAGATCTCTTTTGAGGGTGATAAAAATGTTCTGGAATTTGATAGTGGTAATGTTTGCACAACAGTCTGAATATACTAAATACGACTAAATTATAAGCTTTAAAGGGGTAAAATTTTATGATATATAAATTAAATCTCAATAAAAATTATATGAAGTTGGGAGTTCGTTGTGTCTTAACACACCTTCAGCTATTTTCACTTGTGGATTATCTAGAAATACACCATGTATTATTCAAGACTTCTGAGGGTGCTCCATTACCAATTCATTACTTTATATTAGATGTTGCTGTCCCAGAGTTCTCTTTTAAAACATATATCAATTGCCTTAAGGGTAATTGCCATACGAAGTCTCTAACTCCCTCATGTGAGTGGATTTTTAGTCCCCAGAGAATGGGCAGAGCATGGGCAAAGAATGGGACACCAGCTTTTTCAGGCTCAGGACTCCATTTAGCCCGGAGGGGAGGAGAAAGAAACATTCCTATCTCCAATTATCAGATAACTCTGTGCCCTTAGAAATGAGTTTTAACCTTTCTAAGCATTTCCTTGTAATTTGCTAAGCGAAACTAATATTAATTGCCATTCATGTGTCACTGGAGTTTCGCTAAAATTTATGAGATATTAAGCCTGAGTCAACCAAGCTGGGAAGGGCAGTAATGGGGCCCAGCAGGGAAGGATGAAGAATGGAAAAGAAAGACAGAAGAAAAACCACTTTCTCTTTATCCACAAAATAATACTTGTTTGGCCCACATCATAGGGCTACTGCAAGGATCAAAGGATGTTGTGTCTGTGTAAGTGCTTTGCATCCACAATATGCCACACAAATGAGAGGAATCATTACTGTTTAATGAGCTAGAGAAGCAGTTCACTACATTATTAGTGGTCTGAGTTACTGTTCAGTTCTCACGTGCAGGATCTTTCCCAAATTTTTCATAGAAAAAATTGGTCTTTAAATGATTGGTGTGTTATAAATATGAAATAATAGCATTGTCATTAATGATTATAAATTATTCAGCAACTGTGACTGAATTACATAAAAAATTTGTCTTTAAAAGATTGGTATGTTACAAATATGAAATAATAGCATTGTCATTAATGATTATAAATTATTCAGCAACCGTGATTGAATGACATATCAACAAAAGTCTAAAGTACATAATCAAACGTTCTCAATATGTTGACAGAATTTGAGCAGAATCAAGACAAAGATTTAAAAGCACTTTGTTAATGGGAAAATGGCAAATAAATGCCAGTTATTATAATTAATTGAACTAAGAAACTTTTATTCATTTTAATTTTTAAGCTCATCTTGAAAAATATTAACCAATTTCTAATGCAGTCCCATGACAGTATTTATTGTGCCATCTGCTGGAAGTTTCTGAAAAATTGATGAGGTGAAGATGAACAAAATGATAAACGGCACAGCACATTGTATTTTAAGTACACATATTCCTATTCTTCACATATTAAAATGAATGTAGGTTAAGTTCCTGGCATGCATTTCTTGTATTAATATTTGCTATGTAAAACATTTTAATGCTAAATAAATGAATGTGTGTCTTGAATTACAGCATCATCATTCACTCATTCACCAATATGTTTTGAGTTCTTGCTGTCTCTGCCAGGCCCTGTGCTAAGAACCAAGCATGCAAGGAGGTATAAGTCACTGTCCCTGCTCACATGGCATTTAGGGCCTCCATTTGGTGGGGGAGAAGACAGATTCACAAACAACTAATGTAACACACTGGAAAACAAAAGCTCCATGGGGGAAACTGAGGAGGGGCCTCTCAAATCCAAGGGATGGTAGTTTTTTCCACAAAATATTGAAATCCACTATCTTTGCATAATTGGGGGAAAGAGAGAAGAATTATGGAAGAAAAATCAAACTAAGGAAATGAAGCCACCAGGCAAGTAGAAAATAAAGGTATAAAGAAAACAAAACTTTCTCCAAGCCTGTGAAACATCACAGGTGTCAAGCAGTCTCCGTGATCATCAGATTAGATTTAAATTAGTCTAGCCTTCTGCCTATTAAATGCACCATAGATTTCAATACAGAATATATAAACTCTGCAGACCAATATATTTATGATGAAACCCCAACATAATTTGCCCTACAATGAATTCAGACATAAGACAACTGTAATGAGCTTTCATCTTACTCAGCAGGCTCATCCCAATCAGTTTGCCAACCCCACAAAAATGCAATCCTGCATTTTACATGACTGAAATTTTTGGACCCCACCCAGGGAGCTTTAGTGGGGACTAACAGGTAGGTGTAATAAAAGTTATCTTTAGACCAGTGGTTCACAAACTTCAATGTGCATAAAAATCACCTGGAGAGCTTCTTAAAATGCCGATTGCTGTCCCCTTCACCCCCAACCCCGAGGGTTTCTTATTCAGAAGGTCCTAGGCATCCTCTGAGAATTTGCATTTCTAACAAGTTCCCAGGTAATGTTGATGCTGCTGGTCCAGAGACTACACTTGAGAACTACTCCCTCAGACTATGGCAACACAAAGGAAACAAAGACAAAATATTCATCAGCTTTATAAGCCTTTTAAAATAACTTATGGTGGTTTGTTCTGATTTTAAAAGAAATACAGGGTATATTGAAAAAACTGAAAAATAGAGACAATTACAAAGAAGAAAAGGAAAATCACTTAAAATTTCAACACCCAGAAATAACCACTATAAACATTTAGTATCTTTTGTTCCATATTTCTTTTGATGTGTGTATGTCCACACTTATACAGAATTGAACTCATTCGGTGTACATAATTTTGGCATCTGATTTTTTCTTTGAGTATCCTATTTTGAGCATATTCCATATTATCTAAAAATTAGCCAATAGAGAGTACATCAATGATCAGGAAATTGCCTTGAGCAGCTAGGGTTTAAAACATGGGACCTCTGAAAAACGGGTAGAACACACCACAGACTTGACCCATTCAGGAGGCAAGGAAGCTGGGGAATTTATCTTATATTTTTTCTTTGTCATTAGTTGAGGGCCAGTGCTTCCAAGACTATTAACTTTTCAATACTGCTGGCCTTCCAATGCTTGGCCAAGAGAAAGCCCTAAGAAAGTCGCAGGTGCTTCCAATAGGATGCCACTGGTAGGTAAAGGAATGATGAGTAAGTATGGATAGGCTATGGGCGGGTAATCAATAACAGCTGCTACAGGCAACACATCTAGAGTGAGGATGAAGCCTCCCACAGAGAGGACTTTGAGAAGCACATCCATCTAGTCTTCTATTACGTTCATTTGTTTTTTAAAATATCAGTCCTATTATTAAACAGTTACATCTTGCATTCTTTCTATTGAAACAGTTTTTATAGAGATTGTCTTTCAGGAGATGTTCTTATGAACTAAGCCTTACATCCTGCTGTACTCGTGGCTTGGAAATGAAGGACCCTCCATCAGCTTGCTCTGACCCCATACCTTCCAGCATTCCTTCATGCTGCATTATTTTCTGTAGTAGTTCAGCGTATCTTAGACTGCCTGTGGTTGTCTCCATTTTAGCTCTCTTTCTACAGGTGGTAGAGTTTTCTGAGATTAATGTATTCCACTTTTCTCCAAATCGTTTAAGCTGTCTTCCAGTCAGTACCACCTCACTATGGGTAGGGCAGCTCCAAGCTGTTTCCATGTTTATCTTCTTAGTGTGATTTTAGGGATGCTGAAAATCTTGCCTGCCCCAAATTCTGGCCTGGTAGAGACAGCCTGTAAGAGAGTTCATGGGAACAGTTATATCTAGGGGCCAGTTATTCTATAGCAATTCCCTTTTGGAGTCCCTGAGCTGTCAAGAAAGTCTTAGCTGAGCTATGGGAAGTTAAAAGGAGAATCCATGCATGTGGGAAACGAGAGTCAGAGTTCCCTGGGGGCACTGTGGTGGTGACAGCTGTGATGAATGTGAGATTCCTAAGGGAAAGGAAGATCTCAGAGGACAGGAGATAGGGCTCTAACATCGGCTGCCTTTCAGTGTCAATTTCCCACCCACCAATAGCTTTAGAGGATGACAGTGTGGTTTTATTGAGGAAGATGATAGTTCCTTCTATGTGTACTGAACATCAAAGGCACATGAACTAAACAATGGATAGTAAATGAATCTCCAAAAGCAAGAGATGAGTTCCCTTGCTCAAGGAAGTGATACTGGACCAGCCTTAGCCACCATTAAAGGAGCACTAGAGAATGGTAGAAGAGCAGTAATAGACCACTCAGGCATTGAGGATAGAAAGGGTTATACTTGCTTGAGTTCAAACCACTTTGAGATCCTCAATAATAACTGTGTCTCTTATATAAGGCTCAGCAGTATTCTTCTATGAAAAATAAGCAAGTCACATAAACCCTCTGAAGCCAAGGCTTCATCATACATAAAATGGATGTTGGGACTATACTAGGTCCTATAAATGGCATCCATATTTCCCATTCAAGTTCAAAACCAATCATGAGATAGCCAAAGAGGTCAGATAGCTAGAAACTACAATGCCAACTTTATTACTAAAAGAGCTGATACTGGAAAACCTGGGCTTAGGTGCACAGCAACAGTGGGCTTCCTAATACTGCATGCTAGAATTGGGCAGGCATATTCACCCAGTCACTGGCTCAGATGGACAGCAGAGACCTCTTCATTCCTTCCTTCAGGCATGGAGAGGCAGGAGTAAATGCACACTAGCTGTTGGTGGGCAGATTTGACAGAGACAAAGACAGAAATGGGAGAGAAATAGGAGAGAAATGGATCAATAGTGCTTGTAAAGATCTTTCTTCCAAACTCTTCCTGTAGGGAATAGAAAGTTACTGGGTGTATTGTACTAATGAAAGCTTCTCTGCCTGGAGACAGGCAGAGTAATAGGAATAAGCAATCATCCTCTCCAATAAGGATAATCCTACTTACTTGGCAGAGTTTGCTGCAAGGCTTAAATGAGGTAAAATCACATTCGTGGTTCATCACATGGGCTTAAGCTTCCGACAGCTCTGAATTTGGAACCATGCTCTGTAACTATTAGCTGGCCTTGGCAGAATACTAAACTCTTTAGCCTCAGTTTCCTAATAAATAAAATGAACATAATAATTGTTTATTTCAGAAGGTTGTCTTAAGAATCGACAAAGAGCATTTAGCACAGAGCTGGGCACATAAGAACTCCATACCTACTAGATATTTAATCATATTAAGGCATGTAACACAGTATCTAGCACATGGGCTTACTAAATAGCAGTGGTGGTGGTAATTATTGTTGTTGTTACTTTTATTGGCCTAGAATTGTTCCTAGGCCTCCTAAAATGCTATTATTTTCTAGGAAAGGAGGTCTTTTCAGTACTGTTGTTAAGACTCCTTTCATTGGTTTTGACTTCTAACTTCAACACAGCCCTACTTGCAAGGAGTCTATAGAAACTATCAGCTGAGTCAGGACCATTTCCTGAGCCTTTCCCAACACCTCTGCTATTTAGAGGTCAGATGTCAGCTGCAACTCAAGAAAAAGATGCCCATATTAGGAGAACTCTCAGATCCCCATGGAGCTACATTGCCCAGCACCATCTGTGTTGGTTTCATGCTGTTAACACTCATCAATTCCCAATTGACAGCAGCACTGGTTCTATTCCAGTAATTGTGACAAAGAACATAATACTCAGAAACTCCAGGGGCAAAGAGATGTATGTGTTCACTTAGTGTGGATAAGGGATTTTTGCTCTCTAAACTACCAGAGATCTAATAAACATTCCTTGAACCTGTGATACAGTGTCCTATATCCAACTGTCTCACAATCTCTTACTTTTGTTAAAACAGCTTTACTAAAATATAATTCACATACCATATAATTCACCCATTTAATTGTTTTAGTAGAAACACAAGGCTGTGCAACCATCATCACAATCTAATTTTAGAACATTTTTGTCTCCCCTGAAAGAAACCCAGTGTCCATCAGCAGTAATCTCCATTCCCCTGTTAGGCCCTCTCTAGCCCCACACAAATGCTAATATATTTTCTGTCATTATACATTTTCTTATTCTGAACATTTTATATAAATGGCCACATATAAAATGTGGTCTTTTGGCTCCTTTCACCTAGCATAATGTTTTCAAGGCCCATCTATGTTGCAGCGTGTGTTAGAACTTCATGCCTTTTTATGGCCAGATAATATTCCATTGTATGAGTATTCTACATGTTATTTATCCATTCACCAGTTGATGAAAATTTGGGTTGTTCCTACTTTTTTTGGCCGTTCTGAATAATGCTGCTCTGAACATTTGAGTACAACTTTTTGTGTAGACATAGGTTTTTAATTTCTCTTGGATAAAATTTCTGGGTCATTTGATAACCTTAATTTTTTAAAGAATTGCCAAATTGTTATAGAAAGCAATTGCTACATTTTACATTCCTACCAGCAAAAATGAGCATCCCAGTGATATAATTTGGCTCTGTGTTCCCACCCAAATCTCATGCTGAATTGTACTCCAGTGTTGGAGGAGGGGTCTGGTGGGAGGTGACTGAATCATGGTTGGGGGATTTCCCCTGTGCTGTTCTCATGATAGTGAGTTCTCACAGAATCTTGTTGTTCAAAAGTGTGTAGCACCTCCCCACTTTGCTCTCTTCCCCTTCCTCTAAACATGTAGGACATGTCTGCTTCACCTTCACCTTCTGCTATATTCTAAGTTTCCTGAGGCCTCCCCAGCCATGCTTCCTGTACAACCTGTGGAACCATGAGCCAATTAAACCTCTATAAATTATCCTATTACAAGAAGTTCTTTTTAGCATTGTGAAAATGGACTAATATAGAAAATTGGCAACAGAGAGGTGAGTCATTGTTATACATATACCTGAAAATGCAAAAGCAATTTTGGAACTGGGTAACAGGCAGAGGTTGGAACAGTTTGGAGGGGTCAGAAGAAGAAAGGAAGATGAAGTAAAGTTTGGAGCTTCCTAGAGACTTGTTAAATTGTGACCAAAATGCTGACAGTGAAATGGACAATAAAGTCCAGGCTGAAGTTGTCTCAGATGGAGATGAGGAACTTATTAGGAATGGAGCAAAGGTCACCTTTGCTATGCTTTAGCAAAGAGACTGGTGGCATTGTGCCCATGCTCTAGGGATCTTTGGAACTTTGAACTTGAGAGTGATGATTTAGGGTATATGGCAGAAGAAATTTTTAAGCAGCAAAGTATTCAAGAAGTGACCTGGCTGCTTCTAATATGGTCGTATGCATGAGCAAAGAGATGATCTACAACTGGAACTTGTATTTTAAAGGGAAGCAGAGCATAAAAGTTTACAAAATTTGCAGCCTGACCATGTGATAGAAAAGAAAAATCCATTTTCTGGGGAGGAATTCAATCCAGCTGCAGAAATCTGCATAAGTAAAGAGGAGCCAAATGTTAACAGCCAAGATAATGGGGAAAAGAACTGGAAGGCATTTCAGACCTTCACAGCAGCCTCCCTGCCACACAGGCCCAGAGGCCTAGGAGGGAAGAGTAGTTTCAGAAGTCAGGCCTGAGGCCCTGCTGCCCTGTGCAACCTCAGGACATTTCTCCCTACGTCCCAGACAGTTCAGATCCAGCCTTGGCTTAAAGGGCCCCAGATACATCTCAGGCCACACTGCTCCAGAGGGTGCAAGTCATAAACCTTGGTGGCTTCCATGTGGTATTAAGCCTGCAGGTGTGCAGAGGACAAGAGTTGAGGCTTGGGAGCCTTCATCTGGATTTCAGAAGCTATATAGAAACATCTGGATGTCCAGGCAGAAGTCTGCTGTGGGGGTGGAGCCCTCATGGATAACCTCTTCTAGGGAAGTGTGGAGGGGAAATGTGGGGTTGGAGTTCCCACACAGAGTCCCCACTGGGGCACTGCTCCTCTGTGAGGAGAAGGCCACAATCCTCCAGACCCCAGAATGGTAGATCCACTGACAACCTGCATCATGTGTCTGGAAAAGCCACAGACACTCAACACCAGTCCATGAAAGCAGCCCTGGGGACTGTACCCCACAGTGGCACAGGGGTGGAGGTGCCCAAGGCCTTGAGAGCCCACCCCTTGCATCAGTGTGGCCTGGCTGTGAGACATGAAGTCAAAGGAGATTATTTTGGAGCTTTGAGATTTAATGACTGCCCTACTGGATTTCAACTTGCATGGGCCTGGTAGCCCCTTTGTTTTAGCCAATTTTTCTCCCTTTTGGAATGGGAGCATTTTCCCAATGTCTGTACCCCCCATTGTATCTTGGAGGTAACTAACTTGTTTTGATTTTACAGGCTCATAGGCAAAAGGGACTTGCCTAATCTCAGATGAGACTCTGGACTTAGGCTTTTGAGTTAATGCTGGAATGAGTTAAGACTCTGGGGGACTGTTGAGAAGACATGATTGTGTTTTGAAATGTGAGAAGAACATGAGATTTGGGAGGGGCTGGGGGCAGAAAGATATGATTTAGCTCTGTGTCCCCACCCAAATCGCATGTCAAATTGTAATCTCCAGTGTTGGAGGAGGGGCCTGGTGGGAGGTGACTGGATCATTGGGGCGGATTTCCTCTTTGCTGTTCTCACGATAGTGAGTGAGATCTAATGAGATCTGGTTGTTTAAAAGTATCTAGCACCTCCCCATTCACTCTCTTCCTCCTGCTCCAGCCATGTAGGGCATGTCTGTTTCCCCTTCACCTTCTGCCATGACTGTAAGTTTCCTGAGCCCTCTCCAGCAATGCTTCCTGTACAGCCTGTGAAACCATGAGCCAACTAAACCTCTTTTCTTTATAAATTACCTTGTCTCTGTAGTTCTTTACAGCAGTATGAGAACAAGCTAGTATACACATTTTCTCCACATCCTCACCAACATTTGTTATTGTCTTTTTTTTCTCATAACCATACTAGCATGTGTGAAGTGGAATTTTGTTTTAGTTTTTATTTCCATTTTCCCAATGATGTTGAGCATCTTTTCATGTGTTTATTGGCCATTTATATATCTTCTTGGGAGAAATTACTATTTAAGTACTTTCCTCATTTTTTACCAGGTTATTTGTTTTATTGTTGAGTTGTAAGAGTTTTCCATATGTTCTTGATACAATAACCTTATTAGACACGTGATTTCCAGATTTCTCCCATTCTGTCAGTTATTTTTCATTGTCTTCATACTTTCTTTGAAGCACAAAAGGCTTTAATTTTTCGGTAGTCCAATTTATTTATTTTTCTTTGGTTTCTTGTGCTTTAGGTGCAATATCTAAGAAACCACTGCCTAACCCAAGTTCATAAAGATTTACTCCTATACTTTCTTCTAAGAGTTTTATAGCTTTAGCTTTTACATTTAGGTCTTTGATGCATTTTGAGTTAATTTTCGTGTATGATGTGAATAAAGGTCTACATCCATTCTTCTGCATGTGGATATCCTTTGCAGAAAAGACTATTCTTTCACCTATTGATGTCAAAACTAAACTAACCAGGGATTTATGAGTTTATTTCTGGACTCTCCATTCTATTCCATTGATCTATATGTCTATCCTTATGCCTATAACACACAATCTTGATTACTTGAAGTTTGTGGTAAGTTTTGGAATCAGGAGTGTGAGTACTCCAAATTTGTTCTTTTCATGTCATTATTGTTTTGGCTATTCTAGATATCTTTCATTTCCATATGAATTTTAGGATCAGGTTTTCCATGAGGTGTATACCATAAGTTTCCATATATTATGTTTTGTTTTCATTCATCTTGAATATTTTCTAATTTTCCTTGTGATTTTTTTCTTCAAACCATGGTTAATAACATGTTGTTTAATTTTTACATATTTGCCAGTTTCCCATGTCTGTTATTGATTTCTAATCTAATTCCACTATGATTGGAAAAGATACTTGGTATTATTTCATTCTCCTTAAATTTATTGAGGTTTGTTTTGTGACCTACCATATAGTCTATTATGTTCCATGTTCACTTGAGCAAAATGTGTATTCTGTTGTAAATGTGTATTCTTGAGCAAAATGTTGATGGAGTGTGTCCTATATATCTCTGTTAGGTCAGGTTGGTTTATGGCCCCATTCAACTCTTTCATCTCCTTATTGATCTTCTGCCTCATTTTTCTATCCATTATTGAAACTGGAGTATTGAAATCTCCAACTATTATTGGGAATTCGGGGGGAGGTTTTATTGTCATTATTGTTGTTTTGAGACAGGATCTCACTGTGTTGCCCAGACTGTAGTGTAGTGACCATTATAGTCCACTACAGCCTTGAACTCCTGGGCCCAAGTGATCCTCCTGCCTCAGCCTCCCAAGTAGCTGGAACTATAAATGCACACCACCAAGCCCAGTTTATTGTTTTTTGTAGAGATGGGGTCTTGCTATGTTGTCCTATTGCCTTCTGGCCTTCACTGTTGTGGTGAAAAACTGGCTGTTAATCTTAGGATTTCCTTGTATGTGATGAATTATTTTTATCATGCTGTTTGCAAGACTTTCTTTTTGTCTTTCCACATTTTAAAAGTGGAAAGTGATTGTGTTTATCTTACTTGGAATTCACTGACCTTCTTAGAGGTATATGTTTTCTATCAAATTTGGGAAATTTTCAGCCATTGTTTCTTCAAAAATGTTTTCTGTCCTTTTTCTCCTCTAATTTGGTGACTCACACTAATGTATATGTGGGTGTCCTTAATAGTGTCTCACATTTTTCTGAGACTTTGTTCCTTGTTCTTTATTCTTTATTCTGTCTGTTTTTCAAACTGAATCATCTCAAAAGATCTATCTTCAAGTTCAATGTTTCTTTCTTCTACAAGCTCAAATCTACTCTTGAACCCCTCTAGTGAATTTTTGATTTCAGTTATTGCAATTTTCAACTCCAAATTTCCACTTGGTTATTTTAAATAATATCTGTACTTTTATTGATATTCTCTATTTTATGAGACATTGTCATCATACCTTCTTTTAATTCTTTAAGTATGGTTTTCTTTAGCTCTTTTAACATATTTAGAATTGCTTCTTTAAAGTCTCTGTCTGCGTAGTTTATCATCTGGGTCCTTTTGAAGTCAGTTTCTATTTCTACTAATTCTTTTCCTATGTATGGGTAACAGTTTCCTGGTTCTTAGTATGTCTCATAATTTTTTTGAAAACTGGAAATTTTAATTAATGTAACAACTCTGGATACAGATTCCCTCTCACCCCACCCCAGGAGAGTGTTGTTTTCCTTGTCATTTGCTTATTTGTTAGGTGATTTAGCTGAACTAATGCCATGACGTCTCTTTCCCCTGCAGTGTGCAGCCTCTGATGTCTCTGCTCAGATTTTTTTCCCCTTGATTTTATCTTTTAACCTGGATACCTACAGATTGTCCTTGGATTGGCATAAGCAACTTACTGGTCAAAGGTTGTGCTTAAGTTCATTCAGCTAGTTAGATTTGTACTCTAATACTGGATGTATGTGTGATTTGTAAACTATTGTCACAATTCAGGGAGTTTATTTTTATTTATTTTTGTCCTACATTTAGCCAGTGATAACTAGCTTGAAGATTCCCTCTCTGATCATTCCTAGGAGGACAAAGCTTTGGGCATGCACACATTATTCCAGAGAGCCAAGGATGACTATGATTATTTTTAAGCCTGACTTCCTAGGAGTCATCCTTGTGGCAAAGTAGTATATTGTGTAGTCAGTATTTGCTCATGGGGTTATGTTTAAGTCACTTGTGTTGATGAGTCTGTGTGCAGGTTGGGGAATGCTTTCAAGTCTGTGCATGTCTTGCTCTGATTGCTCCTGAGTGGGTGCAACCTAGCATAGGTACACAGCTTTCCTGATCCCCAGAGTTGTCTGTGATCCCAGAAGAGCTCTTCTTAGTTATCTCTTTGCCGTCTCTTGGTTTTTCTGCCACTTTGCTTGTGGCAGAGCTATCAGCCTCCTCTTAATTGTTCTCCACTAAGATCTTCACTGTTTTCAACAAGGCTTTTCTCTATTCTCTTTTCCAAATAAAATCGGTTCCTCTGGCAGAGCTCTTTGTCCTTATGATCTGCCTTTCCTTCTGTGCAAAAATCCTATACAACTGCAATGAAGCTGAAGATAGAGATATGCTTTATCTAGTGTGGCACCCCCACCCTATCAGTGGACATGTGGGCAGGTTTACCAGCCTGTGGTCTTTTGGACTTGTTTCTTCTGGTATGGACCCTTTATTTTATGAGTTGGGGTAGGGATGAGTTGTGGTCCCAGTATCTTTTGTCTGCAATGCCTGAGATAGAGCTTCTGCTTATCAATAGTGACTGGAAGGCAGAATAGAGACCCAGTTCTCTCAGCCATGGCTGTCCAAAATTACCTTTTTCTGCAGAATTACATACATTAAATACAACTCTTTTTAATTACATACATTACATACACTAAAATAATTTGTCTGCAGAATTACAGAGATTCTGCAACATGGTACTGAGGGTTAGGGGAGAGAATTTCTAGTGGCCTGCCCTTTCATGGTGAACCATGAGCCCAGACTGAGAGAGAGAGACAGAGCCCCTGTCTTCTTAGCTGCAAACACTTGGAGTAGAACTTTTGTAACACAGAGCTGGAGGCAGAGGTGAGAGTAATGTAGCTGGTTGCAGCTCAAATGCCACAAGCTGCCACTGTTCTTAACAAAATTTAGTAGACTTTCTTGAATGAATGTTTCTTCATTGTCATATTCCCTCCAGATACTTTGAATGATTTTTTAAAAATAGTTTTCATCAGTTAAATAACTGTTTTGCTGGTGAGAAGCTCCATGTAACTCCTGAGCTATCATTTTGGAAGTCCCACCTCATCCTTTTTTACTATTTCTGTCCCTGATCAACAGTTGGTGGGAAGAGCATGAATAAGCAGGAAGTCAGCAATCAAATGTCTCCTTTGTGGAAAGTTCTCTTAAGCAGTTAGATTCACAGAAACTATAGATTCTATAGAAACTCATAGATACTATAGATTTCTATATTGTATATTATGGATTTATCATTAGAAATAATAGGAGAATTTACATTCTGGGATCTTCCCATCCTCTGTATCTTCAACCCCTTTAACCATTAATGAGTAGTATTAACTTTGAATATGTTAAGTATAGTAGGTGTAAGTTGTAATTTTTTTGAGGCCAAAATCAGCTGATTAATCATGGAATTAATCTAATTGATTATTTTAGTATCCCTAATAAATCTGATTTTAGGTTTGTCAATAAAAATTTAGGGTAAGATTAAAGATCAAGGGAAGATCCGTAACTTCTAAATTTAAAAAAATATTTTTATGTAAGTAATAAATGTTCACCACAGAAAAAAGAGTTATAGCTCTGCTTCTCAAAGTATTTTGATTGTTTAGGCTTTCATTCTAGCTAATATTCACTCCAGCTTTGGTCTAGATAATAGTCACTCTACATTTGGTTAAATCTTAACACTTTTCATTTTCTTTCAACCATAATTTACTGGTTAAGATCTTAGACTCAGAGTTGGAGTCTAGTTAGAAACAATCTAGGTATTTCAAATTGAGGAGTTAATAGGAAAAATAGTTACAAGTGCTGGAAGGGCTGAAGGAGTAAAAATGAGACTATGAGATAACTGAGAAATTAGCAACTGCAGGAATCTGCTACCACCCTAAGGCTGGAGCAAAAGAAAGGAAGAAATTGCTGTTACCAGTCCCGTCAGGCATTCATCTCTATTACTGCTGAGGCTTGCTATTGCTGCCAGAACCACTGACACATCACTGGGGTCTGCAGCTGCCACCACTGCTACACACTGCTTACCAGCAGCTATAGCCCACAGCCAGTGATGCTAAAATTGCCAAAGGACACCGGAGTCTGTAGCCATCAGAGGTTGTTAGAGGAAGAACAGTGGTTTCTCCCACCTCCCATCAGTGCTTTCCATTGGCACTGAGAGTTTATTGAAAGAAAATGTTGTTTACAGGGTCTAGAATTCAGGATTCTCATAAGCACCTCCTGATATGAAGCAGAATTTTCTGCTGTGATGGAAATGTTCTATGATCTGTGTTGTCTGATACAATAGCCCCTAATTACATGGGGACTATTGAGCACTTGAAATGTGTATGAGATGACTAGGAACAAAATTTTAAATTAGTTTAATTTAAAAAGCCACATGTGGCTAGTAGTTTCCATACTGGCCAGCATAGATTTAGCATCTACGATGCAAAGCAGATAATAGAAGTGTGAGATTGGAGCTAGGAGTAGGCAGGCATAACGCTCAGATCATAATGCTCAGACAGACGTGGTTCCCACCCTGGCTCTGTCACTCACAAGCTGCGTAGCCTTGGGCAAGTTCCTCAATCTCTGCGAGCCATCTGGAAAAGTGACAATAATAATAATACCTCTTAGGATTAAAGAGTTATTGGAACAACTAAACAAGATGATGCAACCATTCTGCAAAAACCTGACTCATGGTAAGTGCCCAATAAATGTTCATTATAATTATCACTTAAAAGAAATATTTTCAAAACTTTGATCATGGGGAACAGAGTAAGATGCAGAAAGCCTATGGAGAGATGGTAGTCCAATTTGTCTCCTAATGTTTCTTTTAGCTATAATTTTGTGAATGTATTTGCTAAATATTTTCTTTCTCCCTTTTTTCTATGTTATTGTCTTTTTGTCTAGCTGGTAATTTCAATGTCTTCTTATTCTTCTTATATTATGGATCACTTTTCCTTGACTTAATTGTCATACATTGTGGAAATTTCATACTATTATGGAAGACTGACTTAATTATCATATGTTATGGAAGTTCATGATTATGTCAAAATAATGTTTGTTGGACCTGACACCATGATATAAGCTTTCTTGCTCTTTGCTCTTTTGTTCCCAGGGGTGATTTTTCTGACACCACTCTGACATGCTAAGACTTTAACCAGAACACACTGCACTGTTTATGTTGACTTTTCCTTATCATATGCTTAAAGACAAAAAAGAGTTATAAATATTTACAAGTGTTTTATAATAGTTCTAATACATTTCAGAGGCTTAATTTATTAAGAAATGTCATATTTTGTGCCAAACCTAGCCATCTCTCTCATAATCTCTTTTGCTCTTTCAGTGGTTTAAGAGAATAGATGAGCATCTAGAGATATATCTCTTAGACAAATAATGTTGATACAGCCTATATATTGTCAGCTGCTTAAAGAACAATATTCCAATTGAAATGACAGGAATCTCACAAGACAGAACCACTCTTGCAACTGTGTTAAAGGAGCACCTTTGTTTAAGTCAGAAACGGTGCTAATGAGACACACCTGGGAGTGAAATGATTTTCTCATAGGGGCAAAAAACAACAATAAAAAAAATAATTTCATTGCTCAACTACGTCTTAGACATAGTATTTTTCTTAGATAACTTACAGCGAGACTTTGGAAAAAGAAGAATAAACATAAAACAATGCTGAGTCCTAAATGGAACCAAACCCAACAATAACAAGATGAGCTGCATGCAGCTACAGTGGGCTGCTATTCATAATATGTGATGGCACATCAGGCCTTTCACCAAAGTCAGGCAATGCTGTGTATTGCACTGAATGTTTCCTGTGGATCCTCTATTAACACTAGTGGGAGCTCTTTACATTAAAAAAGTCATAAGTCCCACAACTGTTCTGCAATCCTCTCCTCATATTAAATCTACTCATCATGTCTGGGGGAGTTATCTTTAAGGAAATCATTTGCCAAGACTCAGATTTTTAAAAAACATTCTAAGGCACTAGAATATGGAAGTGAATAATTTGCTCCAATCTTCCTTTCCACCTCTGAACAAAATGTAGCCAGTGAAAGGAAATTAGCCCCTGGTCATTAGTGCTTTTCAAAACAGACTATCTAGTTGCCTGCCCTTTCAGTTACAGCTACTGTGACGCCCCATATTCTGTTTAACACCATATATAACTCCTGGCATAATGCCTGGACAAAGAGGGCAATTTCTCTCCAACTTTGACTTTCCAGATAGTCATACTTGATCACCAAAGCCAGGGTGGCCTGGCACATTCTTAGGTAGCCAAGATGCTCAAAATTATGGGATTATTTCATCTAGAAGGGCTGTGAATTTCCATTTTCATGCACTTTCTACACTCCAACACTCCTACATAATTCTATTTCTGATAAAGGAAGTAAAGGAACAATCTGGAGGAAGCAATTGCTGGGCTATCAGGTACCCTGGGGACCACAAAACTGGTCCCCTTCCTTACACACTGAGGTGAAGACTCCAAGAGCTGGAGTGAATTGACCTGTTTTCTTCTGATTCTTTCCAGGGCACCGTGCTACTCATAACAAAAATGCATTGAATAAAATGCACAGCTTCCACTTAGTGGAGAGTGGGAGTGCAAGGACACACTAAGTGTCAGGCACCAAGCTAAGGGTTTTATATACCTTCTTTCTTATAATTCTCATGCCAAAGCTTGGAATTCTTCTTCTTATTTTGCAGATTTATACACTGAGGTTTGAGGGTTTAAATAACAGAGTTAGTAAATGACTGAGCCAGGATTCAAATACAGATATGTCTGACTGCAAAGGCCATTTTCTCAAACCACTATGCTATACTCTAGTGTATATGCAGAATAATACTCATTCTAAAGAAGGAAGCATTGTTGGTTGGGCACAGTGGCTCAAGCCTTTAATTCCAGCACTCTGGCAGGCTGAGGTAGGTGGATCACCTGAGGTCAGGAGTTCAAGACCAGCCAGGTCAACATGGCGAAACCCCATCTCTACTGAAAATACGAAAATTGGCCAGACACAGTGGCTCATGCCTGAAATCCCAGCACTTTGGGAGGCTGAAGGGGGTGGATCACCTGAGGTCAGGAGTTCGAGACCAGTCTGGCCAACATGGCAAAACTCCATCTCTACTAAAAATTAAAAAACTAGCCAGGTGTGGAGGCGGGCGCCTGTAGTCCCAGCTACTCGGGAGGCTGAGGCAGGAGAATGGATTGAACCTGAGAAGTGGAGGTTGTAGTGAGCCAAGATCACGCCACTGCACTCCAGCCCTAGGCAACAGAGAGAGATTCTGTCTAAAAAACAAAAAAGGAAGCACTGTCAAGACATGAAGAATAATTTGAGATCACAACAGGAGATGGTGAGATCACAGAAAACATATCCAGAATATTATTATCCCTTAATAATAATGATTAATAGCTACCATTAACTGAGTGTCCAGTATAGGCCTGGCACTTTATATTTGTTATTTTATTTAACTATCACAATCTCCCTGTGAGGTAGGGATAATCATACCCATTTTTTAGGTGAGGAAACTGAGAATTAGAGAAATTAAATAACTTTCCCCAGTCTCACACAGTTGGCAGATAGTAAAATGAGGCTTAAATCCAAATCTAAGTGACTTGAAACCCCACACCTCACTTACCTTAAGATGCATTCCTGACCCATGGAAACTGCTTAATATATATTGAGCACATGAATAAATAAAGGACCATGAATAAACAGTGGCTGGAATGGAGCATGTATCTGTTATGTAATGCCCATGTTGGCCTTGATTAGAAGCTCTTAAAAACAAATGAGTAACAAATACATGTTTTGTTTTGCTCCAAAAGGTATAACTGGGACAGATCAGTGGAAATTGCAGACTTCCTGTGGCTTCCTGTACAGGAACCTGGCTTCAAAGAGTCCATTGCCTGAATGACCTTCAATTCTGTGATTCAGAGATTCTGTGAGAGTCTGTGTCTCTACAGAGGGATAATAAGGGAAAACATTCCCACAGTGAGAGCTGCCTAGTAAAACAGTGAGCTACCCATTTTGGAAGATGTTCCAGGTACATGACTACATGCCAGAAATGCTGAATAAGAAATTATTAAATTGTGTGGTGTAGAAGGTTGTTTGGAAAATGGCTGCAGTTATTCCCTTTCCTTTATTCATTCTCCTTTGCAAGATGACTCTTAAGCTCCTCCCATTGAGAGATGGTATTTCCCCAACCCTTGAATCTGTGTTGGCCTTGTGACTGGCTTTGCCCAAAAGAATGCAGCAGAAGACATTTCATGCCAATTCTAAGTCTAGGCTTCAAAAGGCCTTGCATAGTTTCAATCTCCTTTTTGAAACCCTGAGGCTGCCAAGTGAACAAACTGTAGCTAGACTAGCCTGCTGGAGGATTAGAGGCTACATGGAAGAGAATAGAAATGTCCCAGTGAATAGTTAGCTAACCTCTAGAAGCAGAACCACCTAGCTGCCTTGTAGCTCACCACATATTCATGGGCAAGCTCAGTGGAGACCAGAAGAACCAACTAGTTGACCCATAAACTCAAGGGCAATAAGAAATGGTTGCTGCATGATTCTCATAAGCACCTCCTGACATGAAGGGAAGATAAAAGGAATGCCTGATGTCCCTGTCAGAATAGTTCATGCCACTATCATCTGCCTGTATGTCAGAAGGCCTCCAGGGGCTTTCCTTAATGGACATAGCAACATCCAACATTAATTGGGCATCTTACTACTTGCCAGGAAATAGTCTTAGTGTTTTGCATAAATTAATTCTTAAGCCTCACAACGAGCAGCGAAAAATTGATTATTGTTATGAAACTGATTTCACAGATATAGAAACCATGTCAGAGAACTTAAGGAACTTACCTAAGGTACAGAGTTAGTAAATGCCCAGCCCAGTATTGGAACCCAGAAAGTCTAAAGCCACAGTTCTTGCTATTAGCCACACCACATTGCCTCCTGCTAGTCGTCCTAAGGGGAAGGTTGTGTGCAGGAACTATACTTGCACTCACAAAACCTAGTAGTTGTATTTCCTGATTATTTTCACCAGGCTTTCTTTGCAGAGTCTGGGATGTCACCAAATATCTTGTTCATGTTCCACGCTTCTCCCACCTGAAAGTCATTTTCTTACTGCCTGTTTCTGAGTAATCTCACTATTAAGCTTGAAACCTAGAATCTATGATCAGGAGAAATGTTTTAAAAGACTCATTACCAAAAACACAGGAGCAAGTAGAAGAAACACTCCTTTTCCAAAAGAGAATTAGTTCTCCAGTATGAGAGTTTCCATTCTATTCACAGTTGGAAATGCGTGTAAATCAGGTTTAAGAAACATATGAGATGGGCTTATGCGAAGGCCTTAAGTAGGGAATCAAATGCTAAATGAAATGTTAAAAGCAGGTTTAATAATCATGCCTGACATCCAAGATGGGTCAGTTTTTTTTTCTCCTAGATATAGTTTCCCTGAAGCTCAAGATAATTACAAAATGTCTTAAATCCCTGTTTTTCTTATTGAATACAATGGACTGCCAACATTTCAACTACAGTTAAACCAGCCCAACAGGAAAAAAGCCAAGGAATGTGTCTATTCCAACATTTTCTGCAAAGTCTGGTAGTATATAGCTCTCTGTTTTGAGAAATCTTAAATGGAAATTCCATTTACAAAACTGGATGAAACATGACCAACCTATATATACTTTTCTAGAAATTTCTTCTGCCTTATCTAATTTCCCCATTAGAGGAGGCAGTATCACTTACTTCCCTGCCATTGTGGGTTTTTTCCCAGATACCTCTTGGGGCCCTGGTGCAGTTCTCCCCACCCCTAACGCACACACACAGAGTACAGCTTAGTAATTGTTGACTTAATTAATGTGGGGCAGTGGGAAGCCCCTAGGACCCCCATACCCACCCCCCGCCCACTGCTAGGGATTTGACCACTGCCTCTAGGCAGAGTAGTGTCAGTGCCTGTGTGTCTGCACAGACCTTGCTTTTATTTCACCCACTATGTAACTGATGTTTTAGGAAACTCTGGTAATTTCAACTCCCTCTTGCCCATGGCTTTTTAAGGCC
Source organism: Homo sapiens (assembly GCF_000001405.40). NCBI lineage: Eukaryota > Metazoa > Chordata > Mammalia > Primates > Hominidae > Homo > Homo sapiens. Next base: position 103,283,479 of record NC_000008.11, read on the forward strand.
CAGATAGGAGCCCCCAACCCCTTCCACCCTTTAAATTAACCACCAGACTCTTGAAAGCAAGATGTCAGTCTCGTTCTGGGAAGTTTTCATGGAATCCTTCCTGCCCCCTCCTCCCCTCCCCTCTCCTCTCCTTTCCTTTTCAACTGTATTTTTTTTAGAAGCTTTAGGTTCACAGCAAAACTGAGCAGAAAATACAGCGATTTCCCATATCGCCCCCTGCCCTCACACATGCACAGCCTCCCCGACTATGAGCATCCCCCACCAGATGGTATATTTGTTATGATCCACGCACCTACGTGGACACATCATTATCACCCAAAGTCTGTAGTTTGTGTTAGAGTTCACTCTTGACGTTTTATATTCTGTGGGTTTTGACACATGCACAATGACGTGCATCTGCCATGATAGTATCATACAGAGTAGTTTCACTGCCCCCAAATCCTTTATGCTCTGCTTATTTATTCTTCTCTCCCTCCTAACCCCTGGCAACCACCAATCTTTTTTTTTTTGTTTTGTTTTTTTGAGACAGAGTTTTGCTCTTGTTGCCCAGGCTGGAGTGCAATGGCGCAATCTTGGCTCACCGCAACCTCTGCCTCCCGGGTTCACGCGATTCTCCTGCCTCAGCCTCCTGAGTAGCTGGGATCACAGGCATGTGCCACCACAGCCGGCTAATTTTGTATTTTTAGTAGAGACAGGGTTTCTCCATGTTTGTCAGGCTGGTCTCAAACTCCTGACCTCAGCCTCAGGTGATCCACCTGCCTTGGCCTCCCAAAGTGCTGGGATTACAGGCGTTAGCCACCACACCTGGCCCAAACTTTTTACTGTCTACATAGTTTTGCCTATGCAGTTTTCCCATATTTTCAAAATGTCACATAGTTGCAATCATACTGTAGTATTTTGACTTTTCAGATTAGCTTATTTCACTTAGTAATATGCATTTAAGTTTCCTTCATGTCTTTTCATGGCTTGATAGCCCATCTTTCTAGTGCTGAATAGGATTCCATTTTCTGGATGTACCACAGTTTATCCATTCACTTACTGAAGGACAACTTGGTTACCTCCAAGTTTTGACAATTATAAACATAGCTGCTATAAACATCCATGTACAGGTTTTAGTGTCAACATACATTTTCTACACCTTTGGGTAAATACTAAGGAGTGTAACTGCTGGATCATATGGAGAGAGTATGTCTAGTTTTATATGAAACAACCAAATGGTCTTCCAAAGTGACTATACGATTTTGCATCCCCACAAGGAAAGATTGAGAGTTCCTGTTGCTGTACTTTCTTGTCAGCATTTGGTATTGTCACTGCTTTGGATTTTGACCATTTTAATAGCTGTGTATGGTATACCATTGTTGTTTTTACCTTTGTGTATTTATTTCATTTTTGCCTTTTGCTTTTGTGTATATACTATACTGTGAAATTTTCCTATTTTCCTCCAACGTGTTTTCATAAAATCATGCATGATTGATGTGAAAGAAAGGCAACAGTCTCCTTTCCACATCAGACTCCCACTTATTCCATGCAGCCATAAGGGACCCAAAGTTAATAGTTTCTTATACTGGCTTGGAAATAGGTATTCTATCTCCCTTCTCTATGTCTGTCCCTCCCATTATATTCCAGTCTCACCCAACTCAAGCCTAGACCTGCCAATTGTGTGTTTTTTTTTAACTTAAGAAAATTTTATGTAGGAAGACATACTGTAACTTTCAGTTTGTCTTATAACTATAGTAAGACCATAGAATGGCTTTTACAATCTCAGATGTCTCTAGTTGTTAAACGTCCCATATAATTCTCCTATTGTCATTTATGTTACAATGAATTTGTTAATCAAATTAAAGACAACATTTGTTCTATCCAGAGTTCTTACTAAGATAGAAATATTTTATAAATAAGATTCTTGTTTAAATCATCTCTCTCTCTTGAATATTATCTTTAAGATTATAATCCATTCAATTTGAGCAAAAGTATAATTATTTTAGTTACGGCCATGTTTTAAAATTAAAAATAAAAGTGATCATCCAAAATTACATTTAAAAAGAGTCAAGACTGACCCATGTTTTTATTGTGAATTAAGTTGTTCATTAGTAGAGTTACTTGGAGGCTGAATCCACATTGAGGATAACTCAATTCTACTTTCAGACATGGCAGTGTGGGGAAAAATCCAACCCAGGGAAAGAGGATAATGAAGAGGACCGTTTGATGAAAAGAAATTCTTCATCATTAATGGAAAAGGTGGAGGGCCAGGCCGAGCAACGAGAGAGAAGAGTTTCCTCTTCCCACAAATTCTTCCTTTGGCAGCAAGGAACTCTGGATTGGAGAAAGGAGTGGAGGGACAAAAGCTGGCAGGGCTTACCTGGTTTGAAGATCTCTGCAATAAAGATCTTCCATGTACATGGGCTGCTCAGGGTTCCATCTCCCCTCAAATAAATAAATGAATAAATAAATAAATACATAGTTTTAAGTTTTGTCAAATTTATGCATACAAAAGTTAACTAGTAATACAAGGTTTATTATTCAAAAAATATATGTCAGCAACCTCCTATTCCACCATTTTCCCTTTCAAAGGAGAAATCAATTAAACTCTTCTAGATGTTATTAACTGCCTCAAAACTCATCTGAAATACCCAACTTCCCTGGTCTCCACTATATTATTTTCCTCCATTCAAGAAGAGTGAATTTTGATTGTGAGGTTCTTAAACTTATACAATTTTGAGACCTTTTTAAAGAAAAAGAATGTAAGATTCCAAAATATCAAATTAGATAGAGCCTTGGAAAGGTCCCTGATGCTTAAGCTTCATTATTCATAGTACATCTGCTTCTGCCTTCAAGTGAGAACATACAAGATCCTTTGTATTAAATTATCCCATTGCTGCCTCTAAACCATCTCCCCATCCACATACCATGTCGAGATCACCAAATCTCTCAATAATTTGACATTCAAGTAGCTCCCCAAAGCCCACCTCCTCTATAAAATCCGTTCTATTGAATTGAAATATAGTCATATTTCTTTAATTTCACTTTCTCTAAAAATTTAACTCCATGTTTTCCTTCACTTATCAACCTATGATACTACTTATCCCATTGTGCTTATTTTTTGTATTTCTTTTTCCCTAGCTTTATTAAGGTAGAATTGGCAAATAAAAATTGTGTATATTCAAGACATACAATGTGATAATTTGATATACATAAACATTGTGAAATGATTACCACAATCAAGTTAATTAACACATTCATCACCTTACATAGTTACCATTTTGTGGTATGTGTATGTGTGTGTGTGTGTGTGTGTGTGTGTGTGTGGTGAGACACTTAAGATCTACTTTCTTAGCAAATTTCAAGTATATAATACAGTACACAACTATAGTCACCATGCTATATATTAGATCCCCAGAACTTATTCATCTTATTTTTATTTATTTTATTGAGATGGAGTCTCGTTCTGTCACCCAGGATGGAGTGCAGTGGTGCAATCTAGGCTCACTGCAACCTCTGCCTCCCAGGTTCAAGTGATTCTCCTGCCTCAGCCTCCCGAGTAGCTGGGACTACAGATGCCTGCCATCACGCCCAGCTAATTGTTTGTATTTTTAGTAGAGACAGGGTTTCACTGTGTTAGCCAGTATGGCCTCGATCTCCTGACCTCGTGATCCACCCACCTCAGCCTCCCAAAGTGCTGGGATTACAGGTGTGAGCCACCGCGCCCAACCCAGAACTTACTCATCTTACAACTGAAATTTTTTCTCCTTTGACCAACATCTTCCCATTTCCCCCATCCCCCTAGCGACCACCTTTCTACTTGCTGCTTCTGTGATTTTGACTTTTTTAGATTCCACATATAAGTGAGATCTTACAGTATTTGTCTTTCTGTGTCTGGCTTATTTTACTTGGTATTACGTCCTCCAGGTTCATCTCTGTTGTTGCAAATGGCAGGATTTCCTTCTTTTATGGCTGAATTATATTTCATTGTATACTTACATCATGTTTTCTTTATCCATTCATCTACCAACAAATGCTTAAGTAGTTTCTATATCTTGGCTATTGTGAATAATGCTATAATGAACATGGACGTGCATATATCCTTTCAACATACTGACTTCAGTTCTTTTGGATATATAACCATAAGCATGATTGCTGGATTATATGGTAGTTCCATTTTTAATTTTTTGAGGAACCTCCATACTGTTTTCCATATAGCATACAGGTAAACCTAGGAGATATTTCAGGTTTGGTTCCAGACCACCACAATAAAGTAAATTTTGCAATAAAGCAAGTCACATAATTATTTGGTTTCCCAGTGCATATAAAACTTTTGTTTACAATATACTGTAGCCTATCAAGTGTGTGATAGCATTACATCTAGAAAACAATGTAAAATACCTTATTGCTAAAAAATGCTAACAATCATCTGAGCCTTTAATGAGTCATGATCTTTTTGCTGGTGGAGGGTCTTGCCTTGATGTTGATGGCTGCTGACTGATGGTTGGTGAAGGCTGCAGTAGCTGTAGCAATTTCTTAAAATAAGACAACAATGAACTGTACCTTATTGATTGACTCTTCCTTGCACAAAAGATTTCTCTGAAGCATGTGATGCTGTTTGATACCATTTTACCCACAGAACTTCCTTCAAAATTGGAGTCAATCCTCTTCAGCTGTGTTGCTGCTTTAACTAAGTTACATAATATTCTAAATCCTTTGCTATCATTTCAACAATATTCACAGTTTCATCAGGAGTAGATTCCACCTCAAGAAACGACTTTCTTTGCTCATCTATAAAAAGCAACTCTTTATCCATTAAAGTTTGATCATGAGATGGCAGCAATTCAGTCACACCTTCAGGCTCCACTTCTAATTCTAGTTCTCTTGCAATTTCTACCACAGCTGCAGTTTCTTCTTCCACTTCAATCTTGAACACCTCAAAGGTCATCCATGAGGGTTGCAATCAACTTTTTCCAAACTCTCATTTATGGTGGGTTTTTTTTTTTTTTTTTTGAGACAGGGTTTCACTCTGTTGCCCAGGCTGGAGTGCAGTGGCACAATCTCGGCTCACTGCAGCCTCAACTTCCCAGGCCCAAGTCATCCTCCTGCCTCAGCCACCCAAGTAGCTGGGACTACAAGCACACACCACCATGCTTGGCTTTTTTGTACTTTTAGTAGAGATGGGGTTTTGCCATGTTGCCCAGGCTGGTCTTGAATTCCTGGGCTCAAGCAATCTGACCACCTCAGCTTCCCAAAGTGCAGGATTACAGGCATGAGCCACTGCGCCCAGCCTCTGTGTTGATATTTTGACCTCCCATGAATTATGAATGTTCTTCATAGCATCTAGAATGGTGAATCCTTTCCAGAAGGTTTCAATTTATTTTGCCTAGATCTATCAGATGAATCATCCTCTCTGGCAGCCATAGCCTTATGAAATTTGTTTCTTAAATAATAAGACTTGAAAGTCAGAATTACTCCTTGATCCATAGGCTGCAGAATAGATGTTGTGCTAGCAGGCATGAAAACATTAATCTCCTTGTATATTTCCATCAGAGCTCTTGAGTGACCAGATATATTCTCAATGAGCACTAATATTTTGAAATAAATCTTTTTTTCTGAGCAATAGGTCTCAAGAGTGGGCTTAAAATATTCAGTAAGCCATGCTGTAAACAGATGTGCTGTCATCCAGACCTTGTTGTTCCATTTATTGAGCACAGGCAGAGTAGATTTAGCATAATTCTTAAGGGAATTGGAGTTTTTGGAATGGTAAATAAGAATTGGCTTCAACTTAAAGTCACCAGCTGCATTAGCCTTTAACGAGAGTTATTCTACCCTTAAAAGCTTTGAAGCAGGTATTGACATCTTCTCTCTAGCTACGAGTCTTAGATGGCATCTTCTTCCAACATAAGGCTGTTTAGTCTCCATTGAAAATCTGTTATTTAATGTAGCCACCTTCTTCAATGATCTTAGATATTCTGGATAATTTACTGCAGTTTCTCCATTAGAACTTGCTGCTTCACCTTCCACTTTTATATTATGGAGACGGCTTCTTTCCTTAAACCTCATGAACCAACCTCTGCTAGCTCTGCAGCTTCCTCACCTCTCTCAGCCTTCATAGAATTGAAGTGAGTTAGAACCTTGTTCTGGATTAGGCTTTTGCTTAAGGGAATGTTATGGCTGGTTTGATCTTCTATCCAGACCATTCAAACTCTGTCCATATCAGCAATAGGGCTGTTTTGCTTTCTTATCATTTTTGTGTTCACTAGAGTAGCAATTTTAATTTCCCTCAAGAACTTTTCCTTTGCATCACAACTTTGCTAACTGTTTGGCACAAGAGACCTACCTCTCCGCCTGTCTCAGCTTTCAACGTGCCTTCTTCACTAAGCTTAATCATTTCCAGCTTTTGACTCAAAGTGAGAGATATGTGATTCTTCCTGTCACTTGAACATTTAGAGGTCACTGTAGGATTATTAATTGGCCTAATTTCAATATTGTTGTGTCTCTGGGAGCAGGGAGGCCCAAGGAGAGGGAGAGAGATGGGGAAAACAGTCAGTCAGTGGAGCAGTCAGAACATACTTAACATTTTTCTGATAAGTTTGCCATCTTCTATGGGCATGGTTTGCAATGCTCCCAAATAATTAAATAGTAACATCAAAGATCACTGGTCACAGATCACCATAACAGATATAATAAAAATGTAAAAGTTTGAAATATTGTAAGAATTAAAAAAATGTGACATAGAGACATGAAGTGAGCACAGATCACTGGGAAAATGGCACCAATGACTTGCTCCATGCAGGATTTCCAGAAATCTTCCGTTTGTAAAAAGCACAGTATCTATGAAGCACAATAAAGCAAAATGCAATGAAATGAGGTGTTCCTCCACTAATTTACATTCCCACCAGTAGTGTGCCAAGTTTCCCTCTTGTCCATATCTTGCCAATATTTATCTCATCATGTTGATAATAGCCATCCTAAGAGGTGTAAGATGTATCTCATTGTGGTTTTGATTTGCATTTCCCTGATGATTAGTGATGTCGAGCATCTTCTCATATACTTATTAGCTATTTGAATGTTTTATTTGGTAAAACATCTACGCAGGTCCTTTGCCTATTTTTTAGTTATTTGTTCTTTGGTTGGTTTTGTTTTGTTTTTTGTTTGTTTGTTTTGTATTTTTTGCAATTAAGTTGTATGGGTTTCTTATATATTTTAGATATTAACTTCTTATCAGATACGTAGTTTGCAAATACTTTCTCCCAGTCCATAGGATTGCCTTCCCATTCTGTTGATTGTTTCCTTTGCTGTGCAGAAGCTTTTTAGTTCGATGTAGTTCTACTTATGTAAGTTCGCTTTTGTTGTCTGTGCTTTTGATGTCATATCGAAAAAAATTATTGCCAAGACCAATGTCAAGGAGCTTTTCCCTTATGTTTTCTTCTAGGAGTTTTACAGTGTTGGCTCTTATATTTAAGTCTTTAATCCATTTCAAGTTAATTTTTTCACATTGTATAAGAAAAGGGCCCAATTTCATTTTTTGGCATGTGGATGTCTAGTTTTTTCAACATCATTTATTGAAGAAACTATCTTTTCCCCTTTGTACATTCTTGGTGCCCTTGTCAAAGATTAGCTGATTTTATATATATATATATTATATATATAATGTATATATATATAATATATATATGTATATATATTATATACATGTTATATATATTATATATTATGTATATTATATATAATATATACATAATGTATATAATATATATATATTATATATATAGGCTTATTTCTGAGCTCTCTCTACTGTTCCATTGGTCTGTTTTTATACCAGCATCATACTGGTTTGATTACTGTAGCTTTGTAATACAGTTTGAAATCAGACAGTGTGATGCCTCTAGTTTTGTTCCTCTCTCTCAAGATTGCTTTGGCTAGCCAGGGTCTTCTGTGGTTCCATATGACTTCTAGGATTATTTTTTCTATTTCTGTGAAAAATGTCACTGAAATTTTGATATAAATTGCATTAAATCTATGAATTGCTTTGAGTACTATGGACATCTTAACAATATTAGTTATTCTAATCCATTTGTTTTTAATGTAATTTTAAAAATCAGAGTTATTACCTAGGAATCCAACTTACAAGGGACGTGAAGGACCTCTTCAAGGAGAACTGAAAACCACTGCTCAACGAAATACAAAGAGGATACAAACAAATGGAAGAACATTCCATGCTCATGGGTAGGAAGAATCAATATCATGAAAATGGCCATACTGCCCAAGGTAATTTATAGATTCAATGCCATCCCCATCAAGCTACCAATGACTTTCTTCACAGAATTGGAAAAAACTACTTTAAAGTTCATATGGAACCAAAAAGAGCCCACATCGCCAAGTCAATCCTAACTCAAAAGAACAAAGCTGGAGGCATCACGCTACCTGACTTCAAACTATACTACAAGGCTACAGTAACCAAAACAGCATGGTACTGATACCAAAACAGAGATATAGATCAATGGAACAGAACAGAGCCCTCAGAAATAATGCCGCATATCTACAACTATCTGATCTTTGACAAACCTGAGAAAAACAAGCAATGGGGAAAGGATTCCCTATTTAATAAATGGTGCTGGGAAAACTGGCTAGCCATATGTAGAAAGCTGCAACTGGATCCCTTCCTGACACCTTATACAAAAATTAATTCAAGATGGATTAAAGACTTAAACGTTAGACCTAAAACCATAAAAACCCTAGAAGAAAACCTAGGCATTACCATTCAGGACATAGGCATGGGCAAGGACTTCATATCTAAAACACCAAAAGCAATGGCAACAAAAGCCAAAATTGACAAATGGGATCTAATTAAACTAAAGAGCTTCTGCACAGCAAAAGAAACTACCATCAGAGTGAACAGGCAACCTACAAAATGGAAGAAAATTTTCACAACCTACTCATCTGACAAGGGGCTAATATCCAGAATCTACAATGAACTCAAACAAATTTACAAGAAAAAAACAAACAACCCCATCAAAAAGTGGGCAAAGGATATGAACACACACTTCTCAAAAGAAGACATTTATGCAGCCAAAACACACATGAAAAAATGCTCACCATCACTGGCCATCAGAGAAATGCAAATCAAAACCACAATGAGATACCATCTCACACCAGTTAGAATGGCAACCATAAAAAGTCAGGAAACAACAGGTGCTGGAGAGGATGTGGAGAAATAGGAACACTTTTACACTGTTGGTGGGACTGTAAAGTAGTTCAACCCTTGTGGAAGTCAGTGTGGTGATTCCTCAGGGATCTAGAACTAGAAATACCATTTGACCCAGCCATCCCATTACTGGGTATATACCCAAAGGATTATAAATCATGCTGCTATAAAGACACATGCACACGTATGTTTATTGCGGCACTATTCACAATAGCAAAGACTTGGAACCAACCCAAATGTCCAACAATGATAGACTGGATTAAGAAAATGTGGCACATATACACCATGGAATACTATGCAGCCATAAAAAATGATGAGTTCATGTCCTTTGTAGGGACATGGATGAAATTGGAAATCATCATTCTCAGTAAACTATCACAAGAACAAAAAACCAAACACTGCATATTCTCACTCATAGGTGGGAATTGAACAATGAGAACACATGGACACAGGAAGGGGAACATCACACTCTGGGGACTGTTGTGGGGTGGGGGGAGGGGGGAGGGATAGCTTTAGGAGATATACCTAATGCTAAATGACGAGTTAATGGGTGCAGCACACCAGCATGACACATGTATACATATGTAACTAACCTGCACATTGTGCACATGTACCCTAAAACTTAAAGTATCAAAAAAAAAAAAATCAGAGTTATTAGCAGCCCATGAACCACAATTGGTATAAAGTTACTTCTGCACATCAAAGAAAATTAATTTAGCTATTGTCTAAATTACTAAATTGGGGCAAAAAGCCCTTTTCTAGATGCTACAAGCTTTATAAAGGGAAAATACTATTTCTAATATTCGACTTAACATGGCTGCTTTGGTTAAAAAAAGGATAACATATTAAATATTTAAAATGACCAGATGGTAGGTTTGAATCCACTGAAAACAAACCCAGCAGGGCAAACTCACAGGCACAAAATGTAACTCAAAGCATTAATAGAGCTGAGGCTGTTTTTCTTTAGCATTATGAATCTCTTATTTGCAATGACTATACCAGAGCTCCAAAGAGGCAGTCTTATACATCAAACTGTCATTAAAATATGTGGCTCTTTCCTGCAGTGTCATGTTACTACTGCACTGAAAATTTTATTTTTCCAGTAACACTGGAGGTAGTAATTAGAAGGTCTATTATTTCTGGCCAACCATAATGGATACAACCATAATGGACACAACCCAAAGGTTAATTGCTGTGCTACAAACACTGCAGCAATTAGCTTTCAGAGTAGGGAGTGACAGGGAATGTATTTCAAGTGAAAGTTAGTTTTTAAATAGAAACTATCCTCTACGTCATGCGCATAAACTTCCCTAAATTAAGTCAGTGCATGATCAAATTCACAATGTTACATGGAGGGAGTGAAGCCATGATAGAGCTTTCAAGGGTTAGGGAAAGAAGTATTAGGGAGAGAACTTCATGAGGGAAGGGGTTCATACCACTGGAAGTTCTAACTGCTTCCTCCCAAGTTCCTCTTTGCTTCTGTACTCTTCTATGCCTCTGCTCAGCCCAGCCTCCTCCAGCTGGGGTCCCTCTACTGCTGTTTGTTCCTCAAACTGCTAATGTCTCAGCATCAGGTCAGTGGCCACAAGCCGGCCTATCCCCCAGTATGTGTACAGGGCCCAGGCAGGAGTACAAAGGAGGACACCATGCTATATGTCTACATAGCTAAAATTCATATATCAAACTAACAAACTGCTACTTGAAATATGTTCTATCCTCCTACCTTGAAAAAATGTACCTTTATAAAGACAGAAATGTTTTTAATGTGTAAAGCTATGTTTTAATGAGTAGGCAAAATATCAAAAGTAGATAAATTCAATTATTATGGCACGTGTTTGCATAGTCCGGTGATAGGCTGGAGATGTTTGGGTAAGTAATTAAATAAAAACTTACACAGTTTACAAGTTACATATTTACCCCTGTGAAATTTACTTTCTTCCCTTCATTTTAGCAAAATCCCTTAATTATATTGTCATAATAAAAATTTTCATATAGTCAGTCTTCTATGAATACTAATGCCAAATTACATAACTTTTCTGAATTATTGCAGCTCTTGGGATTTTTCAACTCGATTTTAACTTGGAGAAACTTTGCTCTGCTAAGGCAGTAGCAACTGGAATTATCAATAAAATTCTTAAAGTCATACCTATTTTTAAAAATGAGAAATTAAGGTTTGTAGTGTGGCATGTAAGGAGCTTAGCTGTTACTCTGTCCTGACAAAAAGTAGAAAGTTGAACAAACTGAAAATCAACAACTCTTCCTAGATCTAGCAGAGAAGTAAGGACACAGAGCAAGCCACTGCCCCCAAAGTTGGAGAGACAAACAGGCAGATACACAGAATCACAATTTACTAGAGCAGAAACCCGCCGGCAGAAACCTCCAGGGGCATGAGTACAGGGTAGGAAGACCAGAACTGTAACTGATGAATTGCTAGAGGCTCAGGGTGGTCAAGACTAAGAATTTAAAACTCCAGGGGGTCAGCTGGGCACGGTGGCTCACGCCTGTAATCCCAGCACTTTGGGAGGCCTAGGCAGGGAGATCACGAGGTCAGGAGACAGAGACCATCCTGGCCAATACGGTGAAACCCCGTCTCTACTAAAAATACAAAAATTAGCTGGGCATGGTGGTGTGCACCTATAATCCCAGCTACTCGGGAGGGTGAGGTGGGAGAACCATTTGAACCCAGGAGGCGGAGGTTGCAGTGAGCCAAGATCACGCCACTGCACTCCAGCCTGGCAACAGAGTGAGACACACACACACACAAACACACACACACACACACACACACACACACACACAAAGGGGGAGGGGGCCTAGTCTTTGGAGGGCACACTCACACTTTTGTAAGTTTTACCTCCAGGAGTTCTTCCAGGTTCTCTCAGTGAAAATCAAAGAAAAATCACCTCCTACATCCAACAGGGAGAGGTGAAAAGAACCATTTTGAAATATGTCAAAATATTCTGTTCTTTTTAACAAGGCCTGCCCTCAAGAGAAACTACCAGAGCCTAACCTATTACAGTTTTAGCAGAGCCTAACCAAGCTGATAGATGGGAAATATCCAACCCCAGCCCCCTCTAGACATCCTGTCCCACCCAAGAAGGGGGATAAAAACTAAGAAGCACTTGTGAAGTTTCCAGCCTAGGGACACAAGCTCACTAAGACTGAAATCTAATCATAGGTCTATAGAATGTTTCCCCTCCTCCCACATCTTAACACCGCATCACTGAAGCCCATTTACTCCAGTGCCTTTCACCCAGTGCATCATGTCCAGCTTTCAACTAAAAATTACAAGGCACACTACAGAGCAAAAAACACAGTTTGAAGAGGCAAAGCAATCATCAGAACTAGACTCACATACGGCAGAGATGTTGGAATTATCAGACCAGGAACTTCAAATAACTGTGATTAATATACTAAGGGTTGTAAAGGTAAACGTAGACAACTTGAAAGAACAGACGGTTAATGTAAGCAGAAATGAAAATTTTAAGGAAGAATAAGAATTGCTAGAGATATAAAATTCTATAACAGAAATGAAGCATGCCTTTGATGGATTCATTAATAGACTGGACATGGTTGAGAAAAGAATCTCTGAGTTTGAGGATATGTCAATGGAAACTTCCAAAATTGAAAAATAAAGAGAAAAAGGACTTAAAAAAAAGAAACAATATCCAAGAACTGTGAAACAACTACAAAAGTATAACATATGTGTAACAGGAATACCAGGAGAAGAATTAGAGAAAGGAACAGAAGAAATATTTGAAGCAATAGTGACTGAAAATTTCCCCAAATTAATGTCAGTCACCAACAATGTTAGACCAACTCTCTAAAATCTCTTCCAGAAGATAGAAGCAGGGGGAATACTTCCTAGCAGCATTGCCCTAATACCAAAACCAGACAAAAACATTACTAGCAAAGAAAACTATAAACCAATATATCTCTTGAACAAAGATGTAAAAATCCTCAACAAAATATTAGCTAGTAGAATCCAGCAATGCATAAAAAGAATTGTACAGCATAACCAAGATTTATCCCAGGTATGCAAGGCTGGTCCAATATTTGAAAATTCATTCATGTAATCTACCATACCAATAGACTAAAGAAGAAAAATCACATGACCACATCAATAGATGCAGAAAATGCATTTGACAAAATCCAGCACATTTTCATCATAAAAACTTTCAGCAAACTAGGGACAGAGGGGGAACTTTCTCACTTGCTAAAGAACATCTACAAAAACCCTAAGGTAACAATATACTTAATGATGAGGAGCTTACCTATAGAGGAACAAAAATAAAGAATGACATCCAACTTCTCAGAAACCACGTAGACAAGAAGAGAGGTGGAGTAAAAGTGTTCAGAGAAAAAAACTACCAACCTATAATTCTGTACCTTGCAAAATTAGCCTTTAAAAGTAAAAGTCTGTTTCTTCTACTTTTGGTCACCACTGTCCCCTAGCATCAGCCCAGAGGAACAATGCAAAGAGAAAGAGAAGGAAAATGAGGAAAACCGTCAGATAGTTCCATATTTACAGATGAAGAAACTAAAGAGGATCTGAATAATTTGCTCAAGTTCACACAGCAAGTAAATGCTGGAGCTAGGTTTTGAACCCAGGGATTTTGAACTCCAAAGTTTGTGTTCTTAATCTCGTACCATTGGGATGAAATTGTACAGTGAAAGACAAGCGATGATATAGATGATTGCCTAAGTATTCCAAATCCATCCTGACAAAAAAAAAATCATTCTAGTTCATCACTGCTCACTATATAATTAAATACAATGAAAAATAAAACAGGCTTTATTTACTTCTGTATAAATCAACTTACTACAATTTTTCCTTCCAAATAATGGAACAAGTATTCACTTGAATTTCAAAACTATCGTTTTCAAATGATACTTTAAAAGTATCGTTTTCAAACGATATTTTAAAAAGTATCGTTTTTAAATGATACTTTTAGTGATACTTCACTGCCTGGTAGTCACTAGAGCCTGATCACAAAAAGATCTCATTAAGTTCGTAGAAACTGGAGAGAAATAGTCTTCCAATGTAGAAAATTAGAAATTTAGGGGAAAATATTCTTCCTACATAGAAATTTATTCTGCAATACATCAACTATCCAGCTCTTAATGATGTTAATATTTCTTCATCACTACCTGTCTCCCAACATCAGTAAGCTTTTGATAAAACTGGGGAGGAATTCCCCACTCCAAATTCGTCTTTCCCCACAGATTCCAAAACTCTTACTCTGGTTGTTCAGGGTTGTCCTTCTAGGTATGGAAATATGACATTCCTTTTCTGCAACAGGATGATTTATCTGACAAGAATAGCCTCCATCTACAAGTTACTTTGCATTTTTCAAAGTACTTCTACAAGTTCATTTGCTTCTCATACTATTCTGCCTGTTTCATAGGAGGGCCTTACAGGTTAGGTGTAAACACTTGTAACGAACTTGGCACTATTTGACTTACAGCCAGTGCTCAATTAACGTTAACCATCATTACAACTATTGTCATTCCTATATTGTGAGGAAACTATGCCCCTTAAAGATTAGGGTAATTTATCTAATATCTATGACAGAGTTGGTACCCCAAACTAGGTTGATTTCTACAGCAGTTCAACTTCCTATTAGGGTTTGTATCAATAAAACTGTGGGACCCGCCAGGGCTGGAATCCCACTGCTACCTGAGCATCCAGTTGGTGACCAGGCTCCCCGAATTAATAAAAGTATTTGTTGTTGTTTTTATAGCAGTTGTCCAGGAAGTATCTCCTTTCGAACTCAAGTCACTTGGGCAATTGGCTTTACAAAGCAAATTGGCTCCGTTTAAGGATTCTTGACTCCTGAAATCCGCAAGGAAGTGGGTTCTTTTAGAGCCAGCGCCAAGAGCTTCAAAAAATCCTTCTAAGGTGAACCCCTCCGGACCCGGATAGCGAGATGGGGCTCAGCCTTGCGCCTCGGGGGTCGTAACAGACGGCAAGGTGGAGGTGGCTTCCCGGCCCCGCAGCCGGACCTCGGCACCCCGAGCCCGTTCACCGGGGCCGGGTCCTGGCGGGCCGCGGAGTGAGGCCGGGCGGCGCAGCGCAGGCGGTGCCCGGGCGCAGGGCCAGTCCCGCCGCCGCCGCCGCCGCCGCCGCCGCCGCCGCCGCGAGCCCGGACCTGCCCGCCCGACCTGGCGGCGCAGTCTCGCGGGATCGCTCAGCTCTCGCTCCCCGTGCGGCTCTCGAGGCAGCTCCAGTCCCGGACGCAACCCCGGAGCCGTCTCAGGTCCCTGGGGGGAACGGTGGGTTAGACGGGGACGGGAAGGGACAGCGGCCTTCGACCGCCCCCCGAGGTGAGGCTTCCACGGCTGGGACTGGGCAGGGGCCGGGCGGGTGCCGGGGGAAGCGGGGAGGGCCTCGAGGGGCGAGGGGCCGCGGCTGGGATGAGGCGCGCCGGGAGCCGCAGGTGCTGGGGAGGCAACGGCGGGACGGCCCGCACCTGAGTTTCCTCGGAAGCGGGAACCGGCTCTGAAAGGCGATGCCGGGGCCCCGCGGCGCCGCGCAGGCCAGGAACGCTGCTGTCTGGCTCTAGGCCTGGGGCAGGTTCCCGGGTGTGGGGCGCTGGCGGACCGGGCATCAGTGTGTGTTGGGGCGCGGGTAATTCGTAATCCGGGGCCTACAGCCTTCCTCCCGCAAGGGGACTGCCTTCGCCCTTCCCCCGGGACAGATTTGCGCACTTTCCTTTCGACGGCAGCACTACACCCTCCTAGCCAGTGAAAACTGCAATGTTGCTCCTCCACTGGAGGAATCCTAAAAGTCTCCCTCTAGTTGGCCTTACGAAAATCGAGAAAACTACATACCCAGAAGACTGCCACAAAAACTGACTCTTCAGAGTCTTTTACAAGTTTAAGAACTCTTTGGGTCTTAAGGAATTTCCCAGGGCCTTAGTTTTCTTGTACTTAATAAGCTTTCCAACAGGGGCCCTTAGATTGTATGCTTATATTAATCCTTTATAATTTACTCCGAATCACCAGCTTTCCTTTTTTCCTCCATCTTACTCTTGCCATTCCCTCTTTTTAACCCTGTCTTCCATACAGCACCAACCTCCTAGCATCGGTTTCCTAGAGGTGCAGCTTCCTTAGCAAATGATATATTCCATGCTAAGGCAGGTGGAAGAGTATCTCGTTAGGACAGAATTTTCCGTTGTTTTTCCAGTGTTTGTTACCTGGGGTGAAAATCTTAACTCTGCACTTTGACTCCACATTTGAGTTTATGACAAATGTTGCTGATACACCCTCCTTTTGTTTTTACAGTAATTGACCCAGGACTCATTTTCAGGAAAGCCTGAAAATGAGTAAAATAGTGAAATGAGGAATTTGAACATTTTATCTTTGGATGGGGATCTTCTGAGGATGCAAAGAGTGATTCATCCAAGCCATGTGGTAAAATCAGGAATTTGAAGAAAATGGAAATGTTTACATTTTTGTTGACGTGTATTTTTCTACCCCTCCTAAGAGGGCACAGTCTCTTCACCTGTGAACCAATTACTGTTCCCAGATGTATGAAAATGGCCTACAACATGACGTTTTTCCCTAATCTGATGGGTCATTATGACCAGAGTATTGCCGCGGTGGAAATGGAGGTGAGTAGTGCTTCATACGTTTATTGAATAGTAGTTTATGCTCTGTTCTAGAATAAACTAGTAAAAATAAGTCTATTTTTAAACAGAGCCGATTTCTTCAAGTTGTGTACAAGTTGTGTTTTGAAAAGTCCTTTTGAAAATTAAATCCCTCTACTGACTTATGTTTTGTGTACCTTTGCGGCCCTGTTTAGTAGATTCGTTTGAATAGGGTTCATTTTATATAATGAAGTATGGTTACACATGATTTCTAAATACCTTGTACCTAGAAAATATTTTGCTTTCCTGAATCAAGTATGATAGTTCTTCTAGAAATGCGAATTCTGAATATTTTTCTACTTCACTGAACATGTAATATTTATTGCCTGGACTAAAACTGAAGAAATTTACAAGTTTTTATAAGTAGTTGTAATATTCACTTGGTACAGTTTTTCTGAAATAAATAAATTATCAGAATATTTTGTTGCTGTAGACTGTATTTTAAGGCTATCACAAAGTCACTAAAAAGTGACTTTGTTTTCTAAGCATAGCACTTATATGTTCTTTATAAGATACTTGTTAAAAGAAACCACTTGGGAGGAGTACAGTGACACTAAAGATTGCCTTAGGTGCCTTAGTTACCTGTCTCTGGTTTAGAGATATGCAAATTACTAGGGAGTGTGAGAAGAAAGCTACCTGTACAGACAGGAACCTGCCTTCCCATACAGATTTGTTAGGTTGTTAAGTCTCCTGAAGGAAACTAGACACATGCATTGTTTTTGTAGTTTTTCTCCAGAAAAACAGAATAGTAAAGGCTTTTTTCCCTCAGATTGTTGCTAAGAGAGGAAATCCCTACAAATTTAATATATATACTATTTTTAAAATTGATTAGATTTGATTTTGCAGCTTTGAAAGTTTTCTATTGTTGTTCAGTTGAATAGTTGTCTGACTGCCTCATTGTGGACTCATGTCTGGAATAGGAAAGCTTATAAATACTAAGTAGATGTTATTTAAAAGGATAGTACAGATTATATTATTGTTATCTTTCAGTGGTTTTTTTCAAACTGATGCTAGATGTCCTTTTGAACTGAACAAATGATGCACTGAGACTTTCATGAATCAGAACCATTTTGATGGTTCAATCTGATTCAATATGAAGTATATAGTGAGAACACTGTGAAGCAATAATTACATCATTCATTCACTTTTTTGCTGATGATAATATGTTTTGTAGTGTTCATGTTTTAATAGTGTTCCTAAATTTTTTAAATCTAATTTCCTTTGTATGTGGTAACTACATACATTTTAAGGTTTTTGTTTTTTCTTTTAGAGATGGGGTCTTACTATGTTGCCCAGGCTGGTCTCAAACTCCTAGGCTCAAGTGATCCGTCCTGCCTCAGCATCCCAAAGTGCTAGGATTACAGGCGCGAGCTACTGCACCTGGCTGACCATTTTAAGTTTGAATGCTAACAGTGACCTTATAAATTCATATCACCTAGACTCAAGAGAGATGCATCCCTGCTATTAAATGCCTGTAATTATAAGATGGTAGCAACTAGCTTTGTTCTGCACGTCTTTTTAAAACCAAATTTTTTTTACTTTCAAAAAAATTACTTTTTAATTTACCTAGCTTCTTTCCCAAGTAGTTTTGTGCCTGGATATTATCAAGAAGGCTTTTTGTTCTTACCTCTTTTATATGATTGCTAATACTACCAATCTCTTCATTATATAATTTTCCACTTATAACTAACCTTTCTCATAGCCTTTACTAATGAAGTTTTTTTTTTTGCTATAAATCATACTTCAGTAAATTTAAGGATACAAAAGAAGAGAGCCATCAAGCAGTCACAATACCAGCATTAACCTAAGTCTATAGAAGAAAGGAAAGAGAAATGAAAAGGCAAAAATAATGTCACCCTGGCTCAGACTTTTAATCCCTATATGTAATTTCTCAGTGTATACTATTGTGTTTTTCCTACTGCCCCTTTCCTATTTATCCATATACAGTAGTATTCTCTTTTAGTTCCTGTATTTGAATGTCCAAAATCCTATAAGTTGAGAGTTGTAAGTGACCCTAAAGATCATATAGAGCTTCTTAACCTTTTTTATGACATTAACCCCTTCTCAAGATAAGAGAAGTTTTAATATTTAAATAAATAAAATGTGTAGGATTACAAAGAAAACAAATTATATTGAAATATAGCTCAGGTAAAGAACCCCCGAACCCTTCATTATACAGATGAAGAAACTGAAACCCAGAAAAGCTGCGATTTGTCCCTTTGAGCACTCTAATCTGATAGTCTTCTCTGTCTACATGGACCATAATGTCATCTTTAACTGGTTTTTTTTTAGGCCCTTGTCCTGATTGGATAAACAAGATAATATTTCTTATGATTTAGAATGCAATGTGTAAATTTCAGACTTTGCTACTTATTTGCAAACTTCATTTAGATAAAAATTAAACTGGGTGATTGTTTTACCTCTGTTTAGCTCTGTCTCTCTTTTTCCTTCTTACAAGTGCCTTGAATACAAAGTCTTGTTAGACCAAAAATAAAATCTCTGTGGCGCACACCTGTAGTCCCATCTACTCTGGAGGCTGAGGTGGGAGGATCACTTAAGCCCAAGAGTTGGAGGCTGCAGTGAGCTATGATCGTTCCACTGCACTCCAGTCTGGGCAACAGAGTGAGACTTCAACTCAACAAAACAAAATGAAAACAACAAAAACAAAGCAAAAGTTAACTCCCTAATCTTCAGTCTCTCTAGTGGTGCCACAATGATTTTATTATAATTCAAATTTGTGCAGTCCACTTTAGGGTTAAAATCCTTCATCATTTTCCCTAAAGCTGGGGAAAAAAAGACCTGGTTCTAGAGCACTCCAGGCCCTTCATGTGGGACCCTGGCTGCTTGTCCAGTCTCTCATCTTGTACCTTCCCACATTGCACACTCTGCTTCAGCCAACTGACCTATTTGGAGAATTCAAATCCATATTACTGTCCATCACCTCTGTATCTTTACACACACTCTATCCTCTGGTGAGCCGTCTGTCTACCTACCTTTCTTCACCTGCTCAATTCCTTCAGTTCTCAGTTAAAGCAATAACTGTTTTTAGCGAACCCTTCTTTCACCTTTCTCCTGAGCAAATTTAATCACCCCACTCTACACCCTTACAGTACTTATAATGTACAGTTGTTCTTATGCTATTTTACAGTGAATCTACATGTCTCTAGATTGAGAGTTTGTTGAAGGTAGGGATGGTGTTTTTTTTTCATCTGTATCCCTAATACTAAGTACAATGCCTCTGAGCATGGTAGAGGCTACATAAAAGCTAAATAAAGAAAAAGGTAGGATTTTATGTCCCAATAAGGTAGCAAAGGGAATTTTCCCTCCAAATCTTTACATTCCACTTCTATCATCTACAGTGTCCAAGTCAAAGACATACTAATATTTTTAGGTGGTTTACATATCATTCTTTTTCATTCTGTCTGAGCCTAGCTGTAATGAAATATATCAGTTGACATCCTCTATTTTGTTTCCCACATTAGCTCTACACATATTCATTAGAATTTGCTTAAAGAATTTGATTTTTAACCATTTCTAGTTATTTATATGAAGTAAAGGAATTCAACTTTTGATCGGACCGTTGGATTATAAGCTATATGAGTCAGTTTTTTTTTTTTCAAACATTGTACTTTAGTCCTTAAGTGTATATTCCAGTTGAGTACTAAATTATAGCTGCTTGTAACTTGGCTTTTACTAAAAATGTGTTTTATAGCTTCTCTAAAGATCAGATTGGGTTTTACACCTCCAACCCGATTACCTTTAGTTTCTGCTGGTTCCTATTGAATTTCCAGGATTCACTGTGAATTAGTGTTAGGATGAGGGGCTGAAAAATTGCCTGATGGCTATGGCAATGAATTGTACTCTCTTAGTCACTGAGAATTCCGTATAAGTCAAAAGATCTATCTCACTCCTTTTTTGTTCCTAGTTTTCATTTTGTAACAGCTAGCCTGTTTTATAGAATTTAAGCATTTATGGTCATTTTTAATCTGTGATTATATGAGATGGTTTAGAGCAGTGGTTCTTAAACTTTAGTTCATAGACCAGCAGCTTGTGAGCTTGTTGGAAATGCAAGCTCACAGACTCCTATCCCAACTTACTGAATCATGATCTCTGAAGATGGAGCGCAGCTGTGGTTTCACAAGCTGCCCAGGTGTTTCTTTTGAGTGTTAAAGTTCAAGACCCACTGGTTTAGAAGTTTGGATTGCAAATTTTTACTGTAAAAGACCAAATTATTTTGACTTTCCAGACCATACAGTCTCCGTCACAGCTATTCAACTTTGAAATTGTAGCACAGAAGCAGTCAGACAATATGCCAACAAATGAGTGTGGCTGTGTCTCAATAAAACTTTATTTACAAAAACAGGCAGTGGGCTATATTTGGCCCAGGGGCTACAGTTTGCTGAACCTTGGTTTAAAGTACTTGAAAATGTTTTAAGGATAGTATAGAATGAAATAAGTGGACATTATTGTGCATTCTTATGTTAATACATTAACTGAGTTATTTGTTACTTACTTTCCACATAAATTTTTTAAAGTAAAATTTATCACAAACCAAAAGGATCTGACTGGGACATCTTGGTTCTTTAGTTTTGTTTCAGAGATTGCTTAAAATGAGGGACTTCAGTTTTTTCCTAATTTTATTATGTGAACCTGAAATCATTTGTATTACAAAGAGTTAATTTACAATTCTGCATAGTAACGGGGCTTTGTAATGAAAAGGATGTACAGTCTAACTCTCCCAAGTGGAAAAACAAATGGCTACTGGTTTTCCATTGTGTTCCTTTTGTTTCATATCTAGAGCATTGTGAGATTGAGGTCCCTTGAGAGACTGATTTCATCCAGAAAGAGCTGAGACTGATCTAGGGAAAATGGAAACAGGAATGTTGTATTTTTCTTTTTCAATTGCCTTCATTGAGGTCTAGGCAAAAGCCAGGTCACGTATTGTGTTTGGAGCAGCAAGTGGTCATTCCCTTTTTAAACAGTCTAAAGGGAAGTGGGCCAAAAGAAAAAAAACAACTTTCCTTTCCACCTGTTAATATGTGCTGTTAGAATGTCTCTATTCAGTTAAAAATAAATGGAGAAAAACTGGATAAACAGACTTTTAAGGAAAATATCTATTTCTGTTGTATAGTGGCTTTTAAGCATTTTTATTTTCCTGCTTTTAGAAGAGTCCAGTCCCTTCCTGCTTTCACCTTTCTTCCATATTCTCTACCCTTGTATGTCCATACACAAATAAAGAAAATGTTTAGTGAGATTAACCTGTTTGTTTTTCAGGAAAGACTATCTGAAAATAACTGTAGCTATTCTGAAAGTAAGACATTAATCATATAAAATGAAATAAATAGTGAGAAGTGTTCCAAGCCAGTTGCGTGTATAATGACTACTGTTGTGTTTTAAAGGTAGAAACCTTCCTTCGTGATGTTGCATTGCAGTAGCAGGGAAAGTCCCTTGACTCCTTCTTTTGAAACTGCAGAATAAGGGCAGGCCTGTATGTGAAGAGAAAGGATATTTCTCCTGGGAGGCTCTGCTGATAAGCACAAGGTTCCTAGTCCATTCCTTAGTATTCCATGGGAAGACTGTTGTGATTATTTCCTTTCCCCAAGAATGTGGCATGTAAATAATGAAGCTTTATTACTCTAGGTTATATATTTGTCATGTGTTCATTCATATTTATTGAATATGTACCTGAATATGTAGCTCTCCCAGAATTACAGTTTTTCAAGTTCTAAGGTTTACATTAAAAAAGTAATTTATTCTAGACACATTCCTTTGTAGTATCAATCAGTTAATATGTACATTTGTCTAATTTCCAAAGGTACTCTCTTCTGGAGAAATGATTTAAATTTTCTAATGGTCCCTCACAAGAAATAGTTTAAAAATAACAAGTTTTCCATTATGGAAATAATGTAAATTCCTGCTTTTTGTTCTCTTGTATTCCAGGCTCCACTTTACATTTTTTAAAGAAGCTGACTTGCCTGAGATTGATCACATTCGTGAAAATAGGTAGCAAAATTTGCACCACTTTCCTATACAGTAGTCCATTGACATTCTCAAAGAATTTACTCAAGACTTTTGTAACCACTTAAACAGTATTTGCCCAGTGAAGTCTAACTGAAAACATTTAAGGGCCCCTTTAGACTTTAGTGAGCCTGTTGTTTTGCTAAGGTTCATCACTTTTTTTTTTTTTTTTTTTTTTTTTTTGAGACAGAGTCTCGTTCTGTCACCCAGGCTGGAGTGCAGTGGCGCCATCTCGCTCACTGCAAGCTCCCTCTCCTGGGTTCACGCCATTCTCCTGCCTCAGCCTCCCGAGTAGCTGGGACTACAGGCGCCCGTCACCAAGCCCGGCTAATTTTTTTGTATTTTTTTAGTAGAGACGGGGTTTAACCATGTTAGCCAGGATGGTCTCAATCTCCTGACCTCAAGATCCACCCACCTCGGCCTCCCAAAGTGCTGGGATTACAGGCGTGAGCCACCGCGCCTGGCCCCAGGTTCATCACTTTTTTTAATGACATTTTAAATTTCCTTCACTCAGTTTTAATCACCATCACTGTAAATCGACTTTGTTTTTGGTGCCAATTTAGAGCAAGAAATATAGCTTTTCTCACTGCATGGGAGTTACTGTGTATGTCACCATGAGTAGAAAGCACAAATCCTGAGCTTAGGATCAGAGGCTTTGGAGTCACTTGGTCTTGTTCACTGGTGATGTGGCTTGCTTCCATGTACCAGTGGGATTCTGATTCATGCTTCAGAAAAGTGACAAACGTTTATGTATCCCATATTTTCAGTACTCAGGGAAGCAAGGCACTGCCAAGATACTGCCACAGGACCACTCTGCTTAGGTTATGCTTTATATATTTTTAAGAAACCAAATAGTTCCTTCTTTTGACCCCTCTCAATTAAAATTCTAGCCCAGACTTTCCCTTCAGGATCTTACAGTGCCACCAACCCCAGGCCCATATTATGGTTCCTTTCATTATCATATTATTATAGCATCAGGAGCTAGCTGGTCCTTTCCCTGTATATTTCACTGAGACTAGCTGGTGTTTATTCATTCAACAAATATTTGAATGCCTAAATAAATAAATATTTGAAGCACTGTTCAGATACTTGACATACAGTAATGCACAAACAGACCTATATGCCCTCACAGAATTTATATTCTAGTGGAGGGAATGTAAAACAACCTATCTGTTTTTGTCATTGTACTTTCAGTTCTACTTTTTGACAAAGGCTTATTTTCTTAGATTACTTTTTTGCCCTTGTTTACTCATTTCCAAAAAATACTTTTAGACTTATTTTAATATTATTTTGCCCTGGTCATTCTTTCATTGATTTTATATAGCTCTTAATTCTTTTAACTCTGAAGAAGGAGCCTCCTTTCCTTGTGTTCTAAGGTGTGTTTTTTTTTTTTCATGTCCTTTCCATCTTAGGGTACCCAGACTGGTTAAGCAGAAAAGGAATTGATTATAAGAGTAGCAGGTAGCTCATAGAATCGCCAGGTGGGCTAGAATTCAAGCTCAGGCTGTAAGGAAACATGCTACAGCTAAGATGCTGGCACAGGTATGGTCTACTTGGGAACTTATAAGCAAGGGATTTCAGTGAGGACAACTCTTGGATGGAAATTATCCAGGATACTTCTTAACCTGACACTAGATAGTTGGTTGATCCTGCTGGAACATGATACCATATTGAGGGCTTAAGGTTGGTTACTGCTCTGCTTCTGGCAAATGAACTACTCAGCAGTAGCCAGATCACCCCAAGAAGGAAAAGTCTATGCTATTGGATCTGGGCACTCTTCTGCCACCATGGCCGTTTTGTTCCTGAGCCTGTTAAGCCTATACTGGTGCAACTAGAGAAAAGGCTGATTGACATCCACAGAGTAGATTATTTAGTCTACACATTTAAGAGCCTCCTCTGTCTTGGGGCCTTTGGGTTTGCATTCACATGCAAAAAAAATTTTTTTTGAGATTATAGGCCCATTTTGGAGAAGTCCAGTCACACACTGCTTTTCCGGACTCCTAATACCAGTTCTGTAGAACTCTTCCAAGCTCTTGTTGCTTGCAAGTCCCTATCTTGTTGTACCATTAGCTATAGCCCATGAATCAATATAACTTCTTACCTGAGACCATCTTTCTACTGATAACATAGACAGTGATTGAAGTTCTGCCTGCTAGGGCCACCTCTGAATGGAGTTATAATCCTATAGTAGCTCACTTACAATAGCTGGGGCCAGCTATTGTAAGCCAGGCTGTAATTGTTTCTTCATGAGTCATTTGGTGAGAGGGAACTCTGCTTGAAGACGTAGGTGTGTTTTAAGGAAAGAATTATAATATGGCAGAAGCAGGCATTCTGAGAATGCAAGCAATATGCTACTTTCCCGTATCTTTGAGATCTATCCAGCCACTTGAAGATGGAATGCAGTTGGTCCCTGACATCATGAGTAGGTGAGTTCAGTAACACTCAATTCATGAGAGGTAACTTGACCTGATGATCTCTAGATGTTCTCTCCTGTTTAGTTTCTATGAGGAACTAGTAGCAAAAGCCAAGGTCCCTTTTAATTATGTAGGGTTAATCTCCTCATCTGCACTTGTATCTTACTATGGCATCTAGGGTACATGTCTATGGCCTCATCAGCTTTATGTCTTTGATAAGTTAGATTAGTGTGATGTCCTGTGAAGTCGGTGATATGTTTCACTGACTGAAATTGAGGCACAGAGCTGAAGAGCTGATGATGTTCCCCTAAAGCTGAAGCTCTTAAGCTTTGATGTGCATCAGAATCATCTGAAGGACTTGTTAAAACACAGATCACTGGCTCCATCCCTGAGTTCCTGAATCAATAGGTCTGGGATGGGATGGAAAAATTCCACATCTAACAAGTTCCTAGGGGATGCTGATGCTGCTCACTCAGGGGCCACTTGTTGGGAACCACTGCTCTAAGGCAAGTTGGCAAAGATATGCTGCTGTCCCTACTGGGTGAGAACAAATTGCTTTTGTAGAAGAAAGAACTGGCTAGCTTAGAGAGGCATACAAAGTGCCTGAGCTTTACTATTTGCTACAGGAAAGAGACCACATCTGGAGAATCACCTTAGCCAATTGAGTTGAGGTTGCTTAAGACAATCCACTGGAAAGTTGAAATGAGCAGGTGGTAGGAACTGTTACCCCTGAATATGTTTCTAGTGGTGTTGCCAATCTCTGAAAATCCCCTTGATCTGCAGTATTGTTTTTGATTTTCTTTCATGGTAGGGAGGGAGACCTCTAATGGTTTTTGTTTGGCCCCTACCATAATAACATTTATCCAGGAAACAAATATGCCTATTGTGTTTTTGCTAAATACAGCTATTTTAGGTGTACATACATGGACTTGGAAAATTGCAGTGGGTTGGATTTAGGTCTCACTGAACCCCTGTCAGAAGCCCATTTATCATCTTACCTCCAAAAGCCCAGTCTCTCTGAAGCTAGCACACTGAATCTAGAATCTCTGAGAAATAACCCCATGTCAGTATGTCTTAGCCCCATCTAAAATTGTATTCTTTCCTCTTCAATTCGTAACCCTCAGAAACCAATATAAATTAACAGTCTTACAACTAGTTTGTAGGTCTTTTTTTCAGATTTGATTTTGACTTGATGCTCCCAAGGCGTGCTGGGGTGAAACTCTAGTTACAGGTTGAGACATTGAAGACTGGTGGGATGGGGCAGGGGGCTATTTATTTTCTTCTTACAGAAAGGGTCTACCTTGAGAGCTGCAGGTTCAGAGCACTCTGCGATATCCTGAGCCTTGTCATGTGTCCCCACTACAGAACTCTGGGTCTCAGTTTCCTAGTTACAATATCACCAGGTCTCTTATGTGAATGGGAAGCACATTAAACTGATATAATTTAGCCACCTGCAGATCAAACTGTGCTTGGTTTTCAACTCCTTGAGCCTTAAGTCCTTTTTGTCCTTTTGTGTGTGTGTTTCATTTTTTTTAAAGACAGGGTCTCACTCTGTTGCCTGGGCTGGAGTGCAGTGGCACAATCATAGCTCACTGCAACCTGGAACTCCTGGGCTCAAGTGAACCTCAGGCCTCAGCCCCGGAAGCAGCTGGGACTGTAGGGCTGTGTGCATTGACAACCTGCTATTTTTTTTTAAGAGACAGGGTCTTGCTATGTTGCCCCGGCTGGTCTCGACCTCCTGGCATAAACCAGTCCTTCCACCTTGGCCTCCCAAAGTGCTGAGATTACAGGTGTGAGCCACCATGCCCAGCCTAGTGTTTTACTTCCCACCTTGAGTCAAAAATTCAGAGATGCCAGTTTGTTATTCTCTTCCTAAACCAAGCAGTACCATTAGAAGTCCTCACCCTACCCTACAATCTGATAACTCATGCTCGTTATATTATTTTCTGGTTCTCTGGCAGCAGGCACTCATTTGATCTCCCACAGCCTCGTGTTCATGGGGCATATCATTCTATTATGTACAGAGAAGCTAAGCTAAAACCAAGCTAAGTGGTTACAAGGATAATTTAATTCACTTTGCCATGGGTTGCCAGATTTCCATCTTTAAATACTAACAGGA
Source organism: Homo sapiens (assembly GCF_000001405.40). Taxonomy (NCBI): domain Eukaryota; kingdom Metazoa; phylum Chordata; class Mammalia; order Primates; family Hominidae; genus Homo; species Homo sapiens. Next base: position 103,310,872 of record NC_000008.11, read on the forward strand.
TGCTCACTGCCTTTGGCCTTAGACCAGAAACCCAGTTCTAGAGTTCCTCCTGTTTTGCTGAGATCACTTGCAAACCATTCTTTATGTTTTTTTTCTGTACTAGTTGGTCTTCTTGATTACAAACAACAGAAACCAATTCTGACTAAGCAGAAAATTGATGGATTTTGGACAGCTTGTAAGATCAATGGGAAGGCAGGAGAACCGGGTTCAAAATGTAAGGAGGAGCAAAGGGAACTGGGGCATAGCTAAGGTCATACCATAGGATTAGTTTGTCACCAGTGCCAATACCATTGGATACTTCCTGAGCCATTGTCACTGGATGCTTATTTGGCCACTGCAAGGATTACTGATCGCATTGCAGCTTCCTCAAATAATCTGACTATATCTGTTCTTTTGCATAACCCTCTCCCCAGGAATCACAATACCCAGAGTATACAGATGGCCAAGCTTAGATTAGGTGCCTATGTTTTCATTGCCAGGCTGTATCCCTGCATCCCTCTTAGCTTCCATAGTGTCTTACCTACTTTTGGATTCCCCCAAATAGTAAATATTCACTCTAGAGCACAGTGTAAAACAGTGTTACTCTCTGGGAACAGTGGTTCATACCTGTAATCCCAGCATTTTGGGAGGCTGAGGCAGGAGAATCACTTGAGCTCAGGAGTTCAAGATCCGTCTGGGCAACACAGACTCTATCTCTACTTGGGAGGCTGAGGCCTGAGGCTCACTTGAGCCCAGGAATTGGAGGCTGCAGTGAACTATGATTGTGCCACTGCACTCCAGCCTGGGCCACAGAGTGAGAACCTGTCTCTTAAAAAAAAAAAAAAAAAAAAAGTGTTAACTTACCAAGGAGAAAATTTCACCATAGCACCTACAGTTGTTTTGAAATTGATCTCCAGTTCTTCTACTCAATTCTTTGTTACCCTCTTCATAAACTTTTGAGCCATAGAAGTTAGGTATCATAAATCTCCTTAGTGATCATCGAGTTCATCACTGTCACTTTACTGATGGATACTCTGAGACTCAGAAACAGAAAACTACCTGCCAAAGGTAGCACAGGTAGTTAAACTAAATAGTTAGAATTAAAGTATTAGAATTAAATAAGAATTAGAACTTAGTTAGAAATAAAATGCTAGCATTATTTCCAGTGAAGGATTATAGAAAATACTCTATGTATTTTGATTCTCATTTTTCATTTATCTTACTGTTGGCTCAGGCTGTTTTTCACGATAGAGATGTGAATTGCCTTCTCACTTGCCCTCTTCTTTCTCATCTCTGCCAGTACTAATAGTAACTGCTATTTCCAGGGATTTCTGCCAGGGACTGACCATTTCCTTAAAGGAGCCTACCTTTTATTTCTTGATTTTTGAAACTGTAATTAATAACGCTGTTTTAGTTATTGAATGGTAGAATCTCAGAACCAATATTAATAGTTATTAGATGAGTTTTTTGAGAATGAAATTTGAAAGGAGGAGTTTATAAGTGAGATCATGAAAGCACTGGGTTACTAAGAGAGTTGAAGAAGGTGGTGTCACTAAAGGTGAGTAAAAGGAACAGACTGATGCGACCAGGTTTGATATTTGCTCAATTCATAGATTTGCACTTTAATTCATGAGTTTAATTCACAGGTTTGGCACTTAACGTGCTAAATCCTAGTTTAATGATGTGATGAAATTCATAGCATAAAATTAAGGACATAAGAAATATCTCAATGAGTCATGTTAGATTTGGTTTCTGAGAATGGTACCCAGGACATTTTGAGGAAGAACATAAAACATTTCAATCACAATTTTTACTTCAAAAGACTGTGAAAATATGTTCATCCCAGTTATGTTTCAACTGATTGGTATAATGAGTTCAATACTAGGCTGACTACCCATTATTTAAAGTGCTGTGATTTGTTCTGAAAGTACTCCATATGATGGAATACTTGCTCTTGCTTCAGGAGATAACGCATCATCTGGAATGTGATCAACATAGCTTGAGGTTTTATAGTCTTTGATATGTATCCTGTGAACATTTATTTTTTTTAACTGAAGAGTTTCTTTCATGTGGAAGAGTCCCAATCCTCTTGATATATTTTCTTCCCTTCATCCTCATTGGCATTTTTGCCTGTCGCTGTGCTTTGGGAAAGGGTAATTTTCAGGGAGAAATGGGTAGCAGCACAGAGTGAAGGTTAAAGAGGACATACTCTGGAGTCCTAGGAACATAGGTTCATATCCTAGTTCTGCTTCTTACTACTATTGTGACTATACAAGTTACTTAACCTCTCAGAGCCTCAGTTGCCTCAGCTGCAAGGTGGAGAGAAGAACAGGTTGTGATAAAGGAAAATGGTATATGAAAAAGCACAGTGCCTGGTTTATGGTAAGTACCAAATAAGCCAAAGCTCTGATTTATTATCAGTAGCCATAGAATTGGTAAAAGTAGCATTCGATCAGGAATAAAGATACCTAACTTCTAATTCAGAGTACATTTTGGAATGTGAGTAACAATTTTAATAAGAAATTGGCTTCAGTTTTCTCACTTGATCCAAGGGCTTAGATTAGGTCAGTGGTTTTCCAATTGTGATCTCTGGAGGTGCTCTGAGGTCACTGGTAGCAAAGGGGAATGGTGAGAAGTATCTCAGCAGGGAGAGCTTCCTTTTCAGCCCAAGAAACTATGCCTTTATTTATTTAGTATATCGGCCTCCTTTTAACTTCTTATTTAAAGAAAATGTTTCTTGGCAAAGTGTGCATGTGTGCACACACAGACACACATACACTTCGAAAATAATTAACTTAAAGGTTTTCTCTCAAGTCCCTTCCAAGTCTAAAATTCTTTAAGTCTATTCATCTGCAACTGAACTTGGAAGTTGGTAGCCCACACTGGATCTGACCTGAGACTTGATTTTTCTGTGTGTGTGTGTGTGTGTGTGTGTGTGTGTGTGTGTGTGTGTCAGGGAAGGGGGGGGCCCTGTTTCAAATGTATAGATTAAAGTGCCAAAATCTAAAATTTGGGAAATTACACATAACAATCTAGGTTCTGTTTTCTTAGGAAAAATGGATATACCTGACAATTCTATGCCCCCATTTCCAAATAATAGTCTGCTGGAGTTGAGTAGCAGCAGCTTCCCAAATACTCCCTATCATCTTACAGGCATTTTCATTTACCTGCCTGGCCTCTGAAGGTATCTGAGTTTTCAGCATTCAGTTTATCCTCTACACAGTGCAGGAACATCAACATTATTGGATTAGCCAACTTTGGCACTGTAAAAGAATTAAATTAGGGAAGTGACTTGTGTTTTCCATGTAAGAAAATTGTTTTTGTATAGCAAAAGTACATGTATTGCATTCATTTTGCCTGCCCTTGAACTATATAATTACTTCTTAAGTGCTGACCACCAGTTAATCATGGCTTCTGAGTTAGAAGAATTAAATAAACATAGTGTGTTTTAATTCTTTCCACCAAAGGATCTGATTACCACATAGTCAAAAAATTTAGGAACTAGGCTTTTTTGGGACAGTAAACAAAGAGTTTACCACAGTTTACTAGTTGCCCGCAGCTCCCCTTCTCCTACCTCAGGCTCAGAGGAGGATTTGCACACTGTCTGGGCACTCTCTCCCCTTCACGATGGAGGAAACTGAGAAAAGTACTGTGCTGTTTGCACTCCAAGTTCCTGTGAGGTGACAAAGGATCCAATCTCAGAGCATCATTCAAATAAAAGCAATAATATATGTCAACCATGGCAACCCTGTCTCTGCTCAGTCACTTGCCCCATCAGGACAGGGGAACTTCCCACTGGTCCAACATCCTTCATAGCTATTGTCCTCTAATTGTTGGGTGTGGGTTCTGTATATGCCCTTTAAGTCAGACTTGTTAATTGTAGTCTGTAATCAAGGCTTATATTTACCTATTAATTTTTGTCTGCTTGACCGTTCATTTACTAAAGCAGATATATTGAAATTTCTCATGACCATGGAAGTGTCCATTTCTCCTTATAGTTTTATTGCTTTTTGTTTATATGTTTTAAGGCTATTTTTAAGGTGTATACAGTGCTCAGCAATGCATTTCAAAGTATATGTGTTGCACTTTATCCAGAACCTGAATGTTTTGTGGCAGGAGATATTTAGTTGGCCATACTGATGAAAGAAGTTGTCATTCCTTCTTTTTATCTTTCAAAAATTTCCCAAAGCTTATAGGGAGCCCTTTCTTTATTTTTTTAATGCAGTTATGGATTTGTTTTTTACCTTTAAACCTTTTCTTTCATTTCAATGGCATTTCGAGTGGAAGGAGATGCTAATATATAGAGTCAGTGTATTTCCCTTGAATCAGAATTTTCATCTTCTCTCACTCTACTTATTCTCCTTAGGTAATTTCAGCCAGTTATTTCAATTACCACTTTTATACTGATGACTTGTAAATCCATATCCTTAATTTAAAGTCTCACTTCTACGTAGCTTTATTTAACTGCCTGCTAGTAGATATTTCACACTCAAATGTGCACTTCAGACTGTCCATCAACTGGTAAATGGTTAAGAAAATTATGGTACAGCCATACAGTGGAATATTACTCAGCAATTAAAAGGAATGAACTACTGATGCATCAGACAACATGACTGAATCACAAAACAATGATGCTAAGTGAAAGAAGCCAGACAAAAAAGAAAACACACTATATGATTCCACTTACGTAAAATTATAGAAAATACCACTCCGCAGTGACAGAAGGCAGATCAGTTGTTGTCAGGCGTGAGAGTTACTGAGGGGGTGAGGAGGATGGAAGAGCAGGAGGGATGACAAGGGAGCCAGAGGAAACTTCTGGTGGTGAGGGATACATTTATTACCTTGATTGTGATAATCATTTCAAAACTTATCAAATTGTACACTTTATACATGTTCAGTTTATCATACATCAGCTATACCTGAATAAAGCTGGAAAAGAAAACCCTCAATACTAAAAGGCTTTGAACAGAAAAATAACAGTCCTTGCCCACCCTTTTCCACCCATATCCCAGTCCTGCCCTTGAGAGGCAGCCTCTTTGAACTGTTTTAGGTGTTCCTCTGGTATGCAGGCCACATTCTAACTAACAGGTTTACTCTGTTGGTTATAGATTAATCAGTTTAGCACTTTAGGCCGTTTCTGTTTATTCTTTCCTATTAGGGTAATTGATAATTCATTTCTCTTACCCTGCCACTTTTACTTCTCCTCCTGATACAGTTTTTGATTAAATGAATAGTCAGTGATAATATTACTAGAAATATTAAATATTGTACACTGCTGAGTCAGGTAGTATACTTTGATTACATTTATTTTTTTAATACCCTCCCAACAATTAACACAGTAGTTGTATTTTCATTTGTTTTTTATGTAACAATGTCTGACTATTTTTAGATATCCTAACAGACTTGTCATACACCTAGCAGCAATTTTCCTAGTGCTCAAAATAACATATACTCTGTCAATCTCAATCCCCGCTCCTTTCCCTTGGAGACCTTTCTTCTTCAGCCATCTGCCCTTCTGTCAAATGTGTTCTGATTACTTCTGGACTAGATTTGTAGTTGTCACATGGAGAATTTCTCTTGTCATTCTTCAGTGTTGAATCAGCTAATTCCTGGGTCCCATATTATTTTCCTTCCTTGTTTATTCATATATTCCTTCAATTTGTTTCAGGAATATTACATCTTCTAGTTGCTTCCTAAACAGGGATACTTGAAAGTTTAAATTTTGTATTCCTTACAGTGCCAAAAATGTCAGTAGTCTACTCTCTAAATGTTTGGGTGGATCTAGAATTCTAGGTTGAAATGCATTTTTCTTTAGAATTTTATAGTCATTTTTTCATTTTCTTCTAGCTTCTGATATTGTCAAATATTCACAGTTTAATTTAGTTACATGTATTCTGTTTTTTTCCCCCCTCTGGAAACATTTATGACCTTCTCTTTGTCTTGATGCTCTGAAATGTTTTATTGATATGCTTTGTCAGTGTTCATTTATTGTTTTGGAGAATCATGCATTTATTCTGTAAATATAGAGAAATGGCCATGTAGCAGACACTGCTTTAGGCACTGGAGATAGAGCAGTGAACAGAATAGACAAAATCCTTTCCCTCTTTGAATTTACACTCTAGTGGTAAAGGCAAAAATTAAATAAACTAGTACATAATGAAATGCCAGATAGTAATAAGGATTTAAGAGAAATGCAAACCATGGTAATGGGAAAGATAAGAGCAGGATAATTTTAGATAGGATGGGCAGGAATGCCTCTTTGAGGTGAATTGAGTGGAGACTCAAATGAGGGCACAAGACTCACTATCTGGGTGAAGAGGTGAGGGGAACAGCAAGTGCAAAGACTCTGAGACAGAAATACACATGGAACTATAAGAAGTAGAAGTCCAGTTTAGTGGCAATGGAGTAAATAAGAGACAAAGTGGTCAGAAATGAAACTGGAGACATAGCGGGGAACACGGAAATTTAAAGGCTCATGGGAATTGGAAAAGACTTTGGAATTTATTTTACTGGAGTCTTTGAACAAGGATAAACTTACGTTTTAAAGAATCGCATTGGTTGGAAAATTGACTGTAAGATTAGCAAGTGTGGGAAGTAGTGAGACCTGTTAGGAGGCCATTTTAGTAGTTGAGGTGAAAGATAATAGTGGCTTAGACTGGGTGGTAATAGTGAGAAATGGTCAGATTTGGAATATACTTTAAAGGGAGAGCCAACAGGATTTGCTGATGGGTTGGAGATGGAGTGAAAGAAGAGAGGAGTAAAGAATAAGTTGTAAGACCAGCCTGGCCAACATGGTGAAACTTCGTCTCTACTAAAAATACAAAAATTAGCCGGGCGTAGTGGCATGCGCCTATAGTCCTAGCTGCTTGGGAGGCTGAGGCAGGAGAATTGCTTGAACCTGGGAGGCAGAGGTTGTGGTGAGCTGAGATTATGCCACTGCACTCCAGCCTGGGCAACAGAGCAAGACTCTGTCTCAAAAAAAAAAAAAAAAGAAAGAAAGAAAGAAAGAAAAAAGAATGAGTTGTAAGATTCTTGGCCTGAGCAACTTGGTAAATGGTGGCATTATTTACTGAGATGGAGAGTACTAAGGGAGTGTTTGGGAGGCAGAGATACGGTGGGATTGAGTTGTATTTTGCATACTTTGGGTTCAAGATGCCCATTAACAGCCAAATGGAGTTGTCCCGGAGCAGATGCTCATTCAAGTCTGTGGTTCACAGTAGACATGGGGACTGGATGAGTTTCCCTTGAGAGTCAGTAGAGATAGAGAAGAGGTCTTGGGGACTGAGCTCTGGAGCATTTCAATGATCATAATTGGGAAATGGAAGAGGACTAGAAAAGGAACAGCCAGTGAGACAGCCAGAAATCCAAGAGAATTCGTGTCCTAGAAGACAAGTGCAAAAGGGGCCTCAAGAGGAAGCTAGGAGTCACTGTGTCGATTGCTGTTAAGAGCTGAGTAGAAGGGATGTTCAGAATTTACCATCAGATTTGACAATGTGGAGTTTGTTGGTGACTCTGGCAAGTGATTTCACTGGAATAATCCATGTCTTCTTGAAAAATATATGATTGAATAAAATAGTAGTATCCCATTGTGTATGAAGAGTTCATAAGTCTGATAGAGGGAGATTTAAAGATTCTTTTGCAGTATAAGTGAAAAAGCATATACTTTAAACAGTAAATATATTAATTTTATTCATTTGTTATTAAAATGTTTTCTAACTGTATCTTGATGTCTTTAATAGCATTTTCTTCCTCTCGCAAATCTGGAATGTTCACCAAACATTGAAACTTTCCTCTGCAAAGCATTTGTACCAACCTGCATAGAACAAATTCATGTGGTTCCACCTTGTCGTAAACTTTGTGAGAAAGTATATTCTGATTGCAAAAAATTAATTGACACTTTTGGGATCCGATGGCCTGAGGAGCTTGAATGTGACAGGTAAACAATGTTTTTCATGGAAAGCTACTAATGGTATTTTACTACTGGTACTAGCTCTCTGGGATGTTAGTGAGAAGCTTTCATTATTTAATTCCATAAATGTTTATTACACACTTAATATATGTCAGGCACTATGGTGCTAAGTGCTGTGGACACAAAGGTGGGCAAAAAACAGACTTGGTTCTTGCTCTCAGGGAACTTACAGTGAGGTGAGAGGGACAGACAGTAATCAAATAATTATGCAAATAAGTGCAAAATTATGACTGTGATAGATACAACAAAGGAAAGGTAGATAATTCTATGAGAATATATAATGATACCTTTGACCTAAACTGGGGAAAGGGGAAGGAAATGACTGTTGAGCTAAAGTACGAAGGGTAAGGGTAAGACAGAGGTAACTAGGCAATGAGAGGAGGGAAGAGCATTTCGGGCAGTGGGAATAGCTTATTTAGAGACCCTGCAGGGCCCCTGAACAGGGAGTGAGGGAGCATGGCATATACAGGGAATTCAAAAGCTAGTATAGCTGGAGTGATGAGAGTGAGAAAGAATATGGTGCAAGATAAGGAAAGAGAGAGAAGCAGCAGTCAGACCACCCAGGGCCCATCTTTCATATTTTTATGCTGAAAGCAGTGAGGTCTTTAATATTTTAAGACAGGAATGGGTAGCACAATCCTGTGAGCTTCTGTGTAGAGCATGGCACCTGTGTCAGTCTCCTGAGGGTTGGGCAGCACTCTGGCAGTTTCTGTTAGGAATCCAGGACACTTCCATCCTCCAACTCTGTCAGCCAGGTGGATGGGAGAGAGAAGGTAGAGAACTCACGCCTTTTCTTGAGTGCCTCAGATGGGAAGTGTTATACCTTTTCCACATGCATTCCTGTTGGCAAGATGTCAGTCATGTGGTTATAACTGAAACAAATAGGGAAAATAGTAAATGTGTGTCCTGAAGGAAAAAAGCATTCAAGGCAGAGGACATGTCAGGTGCTGCCAGTCAAAAAGAACATTACCTTATGCTATTTCACTAGAGTGACTGGGGCAAAGGACAGATCACAGTAGGTGAAGGAGTGAAGAGGAAGTAAAGCCAGAAACAGAGTTCTTAGGGAAGCTGGCTATAAAAGAGGAAAGTTTATGAGTTTAATGGGAAAGAACTATTTTAAGAACTACTAGGAAAAAGGAAGAGGCAAGCATATATGGGGTAGAAGAGGTCATCAATAGTAGTTTTCTAAGAAGGAGATAGGATCCCAAGCATAGATGACATTTTGGCCATGGATGGGAGGAACATCTGTTGTAACAGTAGGAAAGGATAGGATGGCTGTGGATATAGTAGGTTTGTGTGTTTGGTAAGAGTTGTTGCAATAATTTCTTTCTGATGGTTTCTATTTCCATTGTGACATAGTAAGAGTCAAGGAGGTCCTCTGTTGTGAGTCTGGGAAAGAAGGATATGTGTTCGAGAGAAGTGGTCATCATGGAGCATGGGAGAATGAGTCAATTAGAGAGGCTTCGTAACATTTTAGGTAAATCAGGCGATCCTGAATGTGTGGATCTCATCTGGCCTGTTGAGAACTTCTCCAGCTGTGGTGGGATGCTTGGGGCTAAGCACAGAGAAGGCAGATAGTTGTGCTCATCTGTGGTTGGGGTTTTGTCAGATGGATTCAGTGCAAAGATAAAGGTGCACTAAAAAATGAAGGATAATGAGAAGGGTGTTACTGAAACAATAGCCTATGAAAGTCTAAATAGATGGGGAGCGAAATGAAGAGAGAAATGAACTAATGTATGGAGACAAGCTGGAGGAGATCTATCCCAATGAGGTTTTTTTTTTAAAGGCATAATGAGGATTTTTTAAAAAATGAATTGCAAGGATAGGAGCTTGCAGACGAAGGGCAGGATGCTTGAGTTGATTTTTGGAGATAGTGTGTACTTGCAGGTTGTGGCAGGGTTCCTTGTGTGACTTTGATTACAGGTGGCCACTGCGGGTTAGGGATAGTCATTGGAGATGAGGAGGCTAAAGAGCCGAGAAGCCAGAGTGTGGATAGCTTATTCTTGGTCAAGTCACCAAGGATGATGACAGCAAAAGGAAAGGAGACAAAACTGATGATTCATTCAACTCATATTTCTTGTACTCTTACTGTGTGCCAGGACTGTTCTAGGCACTAGAGTTACAACAGGCAAAAATTCCTGCCATCATGGACCTTACATTTTAGTGGAGGGAAGGAGAAGATTCAGTAAATAAGTTATATTTATATGAGAAGACGGTGAGGCCTGTGGAGAAAATACTTGCTCTTTCATTATGAGATTGCCTACTCAGTTTCAAAGCAGGGGAGGTTATAACTTAAAAAAATTTACACTGGCACCTATGCTTAATTTCTAACTCTGTTGGAGTTTTGGTCTTCGTAACTTGATTTTTGGAGAAACGGAATTAATCTAAATCAAATTTATTCGTGTTTGAGAATGCTTGATACATTGAATTGGGAAGTAGAATTCATTTTTTAAAATTATTTAAGCCCTATATTAAACCATGTCCCATTAATATAAAGCAAACCCATTAACATCCTTTTATACAATGTTAGTTGGGTCAGCTGCACATAAAAATAATTCTAGTATGGCCTATACTGGAGAATATTTTTTCATTTCTATAAATAAGACCTTCAGGCTTTTGTGGCATCTTATTTACTTTGAAAACACACACAAAGAAAGAGGGGAACCTCTGATTAAAACACAAAATCTAGCTCATTGAAAGATTTCTAGCATAATGAAAGATTTAACATAACTGTGGTAAAAACATGAAGGCTGCATCTATTATTTGAGAAACGGCAGAACTGTGTGGTTATGGCATGCATTAGGCTCTTGGTTCCCCAGGAGAATGCCTTTGCCTTGGAAGAAAAAGGTGCATTCATTCTTTGAGGTCTGTAGTTTCCTCAGCTCATCAGAGCACAGGCACATTCTTTTCTACGTGAAGAGTTTTGTAAACTGAACTTTGTTTTCAGTTCCGGCTCCAGCCATCCTCGGGTAGCTTGCCAATAGATGAATCCCACTCGTTTGACCCATGACGCTCCTTCTTTTCATTTCTCCCTCTTTCCCCACAGCAGTGCATGTCCACCATACCACCTGAGAGTCTGTGGAATCTAATTTTCTGTTATACTTCTTTCCTTACACTCATTTTCCTGTCTTTATTATGATAGTCTAACTTTTTCTCCTCAAAGGTATAGCTGCCTTGCTTTCATGAAAACACACTTTCCTATTGTGATTTATCAGAGGCCTTTCCATATCTCAGCCACTATGCTATGACAGATTTTATAATTAATAAGTGCATTTCAAAGTGAAAACGTTACAAACATGCTTAACAGATGTTTTTATAACATGAAATATTCTACTGCGTTAAGATCAAAATGCTGACTATACTTGTTCCGTATACCTTCAGACCACTGTTAATGTAATATTTTGGCAAGGTGAATGGTCTTTTTTGGATATAAAAATCTCAGCATAAGCCAGGCATGGTGGTACACAGCTGTATTCTCAGCTATTTAAGAGGATTGCTTGAGTCCAGGAAATCAAGACCAGCCTGGGTAACATAGTGACACCCAGTCTCCATTAAAAAAAAAAAAAAAAAAGAATCTCAGGCATATACAGGCATATATTTAAAAGAAATATTCTATCTGGACCTTTCCGTGATAGTGAATAAACTTGATGAATACTGACTGACTTGATCATTTGCAATTAGAGTTCATGTGGAGAAAGTAAGATTTTAAGCACAATTAACTTATGAATGAATGTATCCATTCACTGACCTTTTCCACATTAGTCTTGATTAATTTTTTTTTCCTATTCTCTAGACAGTGGAGGCTGCTAATTTATTCTACTGATACAGTGAGACCTCATATAATAAATTGGGGAAAGAAACTGGTTAGCTTTTTGTTTTATTTTTAGGCTGAAGAAACTATAGAACCTATGTGGAACTTACACACTTCTGGTAGATACATAATCATTTTCAAGAACAATTGAGTAACATATAGTAAAATGGCAGATGCTTAACCCTGCATCCTAGGAAATCCCCTCCCATAGAAACTCTTACACAGAGAGTCGTGCACAAGAATATTGATTGTAGATTATTCCTAATTCTTTTAATGGGAAAAAATCTAAAAGTCCATCATAGAAGAATGATTAGTAAATTGTGATGTACTTACACACTGGAATACTACCATACAGTTGATAAAATGAATGTAGTTGACCCACATCTGTCGACATGGATAAATCTAGAAAATATAGTGTTAAATTTTAAAATGTAAGTTATAGCATGCTATATACAGCATGGTGTCATTTATATAAAGTTCAAAACCTGAAAAACAATACTTTATAAGGTTATAGTTAGTAAATAATGTAATAAAAATATTTTAAAATGCTTGAGAGTAAACACCGAATTTGTGGTAATGAATACTTCTGAGGAGAGAGAGAAGGAACTAAGACCAGAAAGGGTCCCCACTGTATCTATAATGTTATATTGCTTTATTTTAAAAGATATAAAGCAAAATTGACATAATATTATGTTTTAATAAAGCTGGTAGTTTTTTTTGTATTTCATTTTATGGGCATATGTTTTAGTCTGTTCTTATCTAAGGTATATTTAAAATGCTTTCTCATTTAAAACCTCCAGTACTTTTTTTTTTTTTCCTTGAGACAGAGTCTCTCTGTCTCCCAGGCTGGAGTGCAGTGGCTCGGTCTTGTCTCACTGCAACCTCCGCCTCCCAGGTTCAAGTGATTCTCCTGCCTCAGCTTCCCAAGTAGCTGGGATTACAGGCACCTGTCACCACGCCCAGCTAATTTTTGTATTTTTAGTAGAGATGGGGTTTCGCCATGTTGGCCAGTCTGGTCTTGAACACCTGACCTCAAGTTATCCACCTGCCTCAGCCTCCCAAAGTGCTGGAATTATAGGCATGAGCCACCGTACCTGGCCAAAACCTCCAATACTTTTTAAACCATTATAGATCCCCCAAAATAATACTGGTATGTACAAACTCAACTTAGTGATAAAGAGATGGAAATATCTCCATCTATCACTCAGGACTGTCCATAAACAAGGGAGGCAAAGAGCCCAACCTGAACAAAATGGTGATGTTCATTAAGCTGGTCCTCAGCCTGCCTCTTGCTGGTATACTTGCCTGTCTTTAAAAACTTGAACTCTATCCTGTCAATCCAGGGAAGGATCTCATTTCATTCATTTTAATTATCATCACTTTAGTTATATGGTTGCTTTACTTTTCTTATGGACATTAGAAAATAAAAGTGAATAGACAAGATATATTTCATATGATATAAAGACATATTTCATATGCTATAAAGAGACAAGCCAGTACTTATCTGGAGCCTACCAATTAAGATAAATTCTTTTAAATATTTAGTCTTAAAAACAGAAATTATTTTAAAATTATGAATTGGCTAATTTTTTCCAAGTAAGTGCATTTTCATGTTCACCTGCTTTGTATTTAATATAAATTATTGTGTTGAGGCCCCATTAACAGCCACAAGTTTTTAGTCAACTTCAAAAATTTCTACTCAACTCTTATCTGTAATCCATTTAGATTTGTATCTCTTCCCATCAATCATGAATACATAAGGTAATATTTTATAGTTGGAAAGCATTGCTTAATATATTGAATCAATAAAAATGTTGATTTCATATATTTAATTTTTATAATCTTTACAGATTACAATACTGTGATGAGACTGTTCCTGTAACTTTTGATCCACACACAGAATTTCTTGGTCCTCAGAAGAAAACAGAACAAGTCCAAAGAGACATTGGATTTTGGTGTCCAAGGCATCTTAAGACTTCTGGGGGACAAGGATATAAGTTTCTGGGAATTGACCAGTGTGCGCCTCCATGCCCCAACATGTATTTTAAAAGTGATGAGCTAGAGTTTGCAAAAAGTTTTATTGGAACAGTTTCAATATTTTGTCTTTGTGCAACTCTGTTCACATTCCTTACTTTTTTAATTGATGTTAGAAGATTCAGATACCCAGAGAGACCAATTATATATTACTCTGTCTGTTACAGCATTGTATCTCTTATGTACTTCATTGGATTTTTGCTAGGCGATAGCACAGCCTGCAATAAGGCAGATGAGAAGCTAGAACTTGGTGACACTGTTGTCCTAGGCTCTCAAAATAAGGCTTGCACCGTTTTGTTCATGCTTTTGTATTTTTTCACAATGGCTGGCACTGTGTGGTGGGTGATTCTTACCATTACTTGGTTCTTAGCTGCAGGAAGAAAATGGAGTTGTGAAGCCATCGAGCAAAAAGCAGTGTGGTTTCATGCTGTTGCATGGGGAACACCAGGTTTCCTGACTGTTATGCTTCTTGCTATGAACAAAGTTGAAGGAGACAACATTAGTGGAGTTTGCTTTGTTGGCCTTTATGACCTGGATGCTTCTCGCTACTTTGTACTCTTGCCACTGTGCCTTTGTGTGTTTGTTGGGCTCTCTCTTCTTTTAGCTGGCATTATTTCCTTAAATCATGTTCGACAAGTCATACAACATGATGGCCGGAACCAAGAAAAACTAAAGAAATTTATGATTCGAATTGGAGTCTTCAGCGGCTTGTATCTTGTGCCATTAGTGACACTTCTCGGATGTTACGTCTATGAGCAAGTGAACAGGATTACCTGGGAGATAACTTGGGTCTCTGATCATTGTCGTCAGTACCATATCCCATGTCCTTATCAGGTAAAAGCTATCACTTGGATTATGTCTCTATTTACATTTAATGTAGAAAATGTTTCATGGAAATATACTTGTCATGGATGTAAAAGTTGATTTCAGGTGAGAAAATACAAGAGCCATAGGTAAGGATTTCCTATACATCAACTGAAACTGGGATGAATGTTTCATGACTTCCTTCCTCAAGCTTTAGCTTCAGTTGTATAGTAAAGCACTTCCTTTATTCTCTGAAAAATTAAATTGAGCTGCAAAGGCAGATTAATAGCAATAAAGAGCAGAGTCAGAAGAACAGACCTTGACATTGGGAGAAAAACAGAAGTCACTTTTGTCGCATTGGCAATTATTTTTAATTTTTTAGTTAGTAGTAAAAAATCTTATTTGGATATATTTAATTTGATCATATTATCTTATAGCTTTTTACATAGTATATACTTACAAAAACAGAATTTGCTTTTTGCCTGACTCATCTGTCATTTCTCAATTGAAAAAAACACAGTTGTAACAAAATATGCTTTATCTATTTCTGATTCTTATGATTAGTATAAGGGTGGTGTTTTTAAAATTAATAAAAGTAAATTTCTGAAAATATAAAATTTCTTAAAGCATTTTAGTTGAAGTTTTGTAAATAGAAATTTGGTTTTGTTTTAGTAGATTTTAGACATTATTCCTGACTCTGTGCGGTATTAACTGCATTGAACATGAGCACTGCCATCACAGTGTATCAAATTAAGCAATGGGAATGTCAAACTATTTCATATAATAGCTTATATTTCAGAAAGTTACTGCTTTATAACATTGTGGAATCTATTTTTTATGTTGGTATGTGGGGATACTAGTTTTACTTGCCTTATACGTTGTCCATAATCTATTATCCATAGTTTGTTTTTACTATATACTTAATAAGAGGCTGTGTCTTAAAGTGATCCTGCTATATTAATAATGACTCCTAGTTTCCTCAGTCTTTTTGGCAAGGTTGGGGAGAGGAAACTATTACATATTATTAAAAAGTTTAAGATCTATGGTTTTCAAGTTTAAGATCTGTAGTTATTATGTTTTATGTAAGAAACTGTAAAATATAATAGAATTAGAAAATTATAATCTTCAAGTGGAGAAGGATATAATATTCCTGTAGTTGTAGAAATTATAAAAGATTGCTAAATTTGACTAAGTAAAAAAAAATTTTTTTAAAGATTCTGCGTGACAAAAAAAAACAAACAAACAATCCATAATCAATGTCAAAAGACTAACTGGGAAAGTTTATTTGCATATGACATCATAGCTGAAAGGCTAATTTCTCTAATTTATAAAGAGTTGCTACAGATCAATAAGAAAAAAACCATCCATCTGATATAAAAATGAGAAAAGAGTAGGAAAAAGGTTCACAGGAAATAAAAATGAAAAAACTATTCTTAAACATGTGAAAAAGTTATAGTAAAATAAATGTAAAATTAAAATTAAATTATATTTCCATGTATGATACGGCAAACATCTTAAAGGTGTTCTAACCACTGTGTGGTGAAACAATAAATAGCAAAATACATATTTTCAGACTTTGCTATTAAGAGTTAGTTCAACCTTCTGTTGAAGCAATTTCGCGGTATGTACAGATGTATAATGTGTGTACACTGATACTGCCCTTCTGGGAATTTATAGACAGATTTGCTTACAAATATGAGAAATTAAATAATACCAAGATAGTCACTACAACATTATTTGCAAATGACAATAGATTGGAAGTAAGTATCTATTAACAGGGATAGTAGAATAAGTTATGGTTCACTCACACAATGCAACAGCCTTTACAAAGAATAAAGAGCTCTGGCCGGGTGCGGTGGCTTACGCCTGTAATCCTAGCATTTTGGGAGGCTGAGGAGGGCGGATTGCCTGAGCTCAAGAGTTCAAGACCAGCCTGGGCAACATGGTAAAACCCTGTCTCTACTAAAATACAAAAAAATTAGCCAGGCATGGTGGCGTACACTTGTAGTCCCAGCTACTTGGGAGGCTGAGGCGGGAGAATTGCTTGAACGCGGGAGGCGGAGGTTGTAGTGAGCTGAGATCACGCCACTGCACTCCAGCCTGGGTGACAGAGTGAGACTCCATCTCAAAAAATAAAAATAAAATAAAAAATAAAAGAAATAAAGAGCTCTATTTGTATTGATACAGAATGGTCTCCAAGAAATATTAGTAAGTAAAAAAGGCAAGAAATGCAGAGTATGTAATATCGTGACCCTTGTGCAATGTTTAAGGTTAGAATTTCAAAGTTTATGCCTGAATAAAAAGTATAATTTCAATTCTTAGGAAATTTTCGCATTTTACTGATACTTAATTTACTTTAACCAAGTTTTTATAATATAAATATTAATAACGTATAAAAGCTGTAAAATATTTGTTATGATGAGTTTAAATGTATTTTTGTGGTAGATTATAGTGGGGGAAAATAGGTACATATTTAGAGGCAAATATTCTGGCAATTATAAGAGGCTACTGTATCTATCGAGAAAAAAATGCGAGGAAATCATGCCAAGATTTAGGAGATTATTCTTAAATATATTTCAGTATTTTCCCCTTTCTAGAGATTTGGTACATAAAGTTTCTTTGTTCAGCATTTAGATAAAAAATGTGTTGCACTTAGAGCATGCTTCATTATATTATTTCAAACCTTTTTAGTAAAACAGTTGAAGATTTATAACTTTTGTTCGTTTTATATTGACAATATAGACTTCTTTCCACTTTAAGTGCATCACTGAAAATATTATTATTCACTATTTTTTGTAGGCAAAAGCAAAAGCTCGACCAGAATTGGCTTTATTTATGATAAAATACCTGATGACATTAATTGTTGGCATCTCTGCTGTCTTCTGGGTTGGAAGCAAAAAGACATGCACAGAATGGGCTGGGTTTTTTAAACGAAATCGCAAGAGAGAGTAAGAAACTATTGAATTGTCTGACACAATTTTTAAATAAATAGATCAAAATACCAAGGAACTGTTCAAATCAATGTACTAGAGTTTCATTATATCAACTATTATTTCAATTTGATTTGCCAACTGAAGTTTGGAAATTTTTTTTATGAAAGAGACGTGCTTTATTTTTGCATTTGTTACAATAGTCTTTGACATATACTATTTATCATATAGTATATGTCTGTGACATATACTATTCTATTTGAAATATGAATGAATGATTTATGAAAGGCATATTTTCTTTTCATGATTTATAGTATATCCAGTATTATTACTGCTGTCATTGGATTCATTATTTTGGGTACAGCATTTTAAATAATTTTATCCTTTTTATCAAGGATAAAAGATTAAGACTTAAGTATATATAAAGAAACCTATAAAGTATGATTCAAATATAAGTGATGTGTTATGGTCATTATTTACTAACTTTAAATCTTATTACACACAGCTATGACCTAAACTTTCACTTATTTGTCTTACTTAAGATGTTAAAATTCAAACTTATGGAATATTCTATAACAAAATTGATTTATATTTATGAGTAATTCATTTTAGTTTTATATATATATATATATATGCACACACACTATATACAAGGTACTATAGCTTTTTAAAAATTGTTCCCCATTGGTTTGCTTAACTCATTTCAGAACTGTAGACCATTTCACAAATAAGTTTCTGAAGTCTGAAGAATCGTATTCAACTGGATTTTTTTGCACTATTATTATATGTCTATCTCATATTTATATACTCACACTAATTTCAGTGTAACTTGCTAATTTTTAACGTTAGAAAGAAAAGACTTATATTTAAATGAAGACCGTTAATTATATTCTCTATCCTTTTCTTCTGGTTTACTTTTATATTACATATTTATATATTATACAAATACAGTATTATGTATAGTACGTTTATGCTGTTTTGAGCCTCCTTGCCCTCATCCTTTGATTCTTGCCTTAATTTCTTGCCAGTTTACTATTTATACTGACAAAAGCAACTTAGAGTGTATACACAAAAGATTTTATAAAATCAGTTTATGTCCTAGTATTTATAATCCCAGATTTTATAATATAAACCATAGAATTTTCAACTTTAGTGACTAAGGATTTTTGGCAAAAGATATGTGATATCCTTTATATCCTCTACTTTATAGCCACACTTCTAATTTGAGTAAATCCTCTCCTTCAATTTTCTTATAGTCCAATCAGTGAAAGTCGAAGAGTACTACAGGAATCATGTGAGTTTTTCTTAAAGCACAATTCTAAAGTTAAACACAAAAAGAAGCACTATAAACCAAGTTCACACAAGCTGAAGGTCATTTCCAAATCCATGGGAACCAGCACAGGAGCTACAGCAAATCATGGCACTTCTGCAGTAGCAATTACTAGCCATGATTACCTAGGACAAGAAACTTTGACAGAAATCCAAACCTCACCAGAAACATCAATGAGAGAGGTGAAAGCGGACGGAGCTAGCACCCCCAGGTTAAGAGAACAGGACTGTGGTGAACCTGCCTCGCCAGCAGCATCCATCTCCAGACTCTCTGGGGAACAGGTCGACGGGAAGGGCCAGGCAGGCAGTGTATCTGAAAGTGCGCGGAGTGAAGGAAGGTGAGATTTGATTTTATGTAAAATCATCACTATTTTAAATACTGCATTACACATTTTTTATTAAAGCATAACACATTTGGAAAGCATTTTGTGATATATTATGTCTGTACTCTTACCCCAAGGAAGTTTGGGTTCAGCCTATAAATATGCTATTTAGTAGTTTAATTCTTAGCTTTGAGAACAGCTTTAATATAGGTGGTTCAAGTAGGAATGTTCATTTCTGTGGCAATTGTTAAGAGTTCCTTGTACATTTAAGTAAATGCAATTTACCCAAAATACAGGCTAAGTTTTAATTAATACTACATTATAATTCTGTCTAAAAAGTGTCACCTTATACAAAATTATAATGTGTCATTTTATCTAAAATTATTTTATTTTCTGAACATGAAAAGATATTGACATTATCTTTAATGAATTTTCTCAAATGGCCATAGGTGACCAAAACACAGGTAAGCCAGAATGCAGACAGCTAATTGCATTAAGATCTCAAGGTTATCTTACCTAGTCCTCTCAGACTAGGCTAAATGCACCTTCTCTGTGATCCTATGGCAGCTTTCATATATTTGGATTGTAATTAGATACATGCTTTATCTTCTCGTAGATTTGTAACCTTCTCAATGGGAGAGCTAAAGTCTTACTCATCTTTATGTTCCCAGTTTCTTACATGGTACTGATCCATGGTGGGAAATCAATAAAACATTTGTTAAACTGAGGACAGGAATCCTGCCTTATTCTATTCCCCACAAGATTCCATGTTCAGCCCTATATATATAAGTAGTGCTTGATGAAGTTTCTGAAGTAAGTGAAAATTATATTTTAAACAATTATTTGGCCAGGCACGGTGGCTCACGCCTGTAATCCCAGCACTTTGGGAGGCCAAGGTGGGCAGATCACAAGGTCAGGAGATCGAGACCATTCTGGCTAACATGGTGAAACCCCATCTCTACTGAAAATACAAAAAATTAGCCGGGTGTGGTGGCACCCACCTGTAGTCCCAGCTACTCGGGAGGCTGAGGCAGGAGAATCGCTTGAACCCAAGAGGTGGAGGTTGCAGTGAGCTGAGATCACGCTATTATTGCACTCCAGCCTAGCAACAGAGTGAGACTCTGTCTCAAAAAAAAAATTTGTATTTTGAAGTGTTAAAGTACACCTGAAGACTGTTAGCTATTTATTCTCTGATAAAGGTGGACACTGGTTAGGGGTGAAACTCATGAAAAATGGCATCATATTTGTGTTTGTGGATGTGTGTGTGTCAACTTTTTTTCTTTTATCTAGGATTAGTCCAAAGAGTGATATTACTGACACTGGCCTGGCACAGAGCAACAATTTGCAGGTCCCCAGTTCTTCAGAACCAAGCAGCCTCAAAGGTTCCACATCTCTGCTTGTTCACCCGGTTTCAGGAGTGAGAAAAGAGCAGGGAGGTGGTTGTCATTCAGATACTTGAAGAACATTTTCTCTCGTTACTCAGAAGCAAATTTGTGTTACACTGGAAGTGACCTATGCACTGTTTTGTAAGAATCACTGTTACATTCTTCTTTTGCACTTAAAGTTGCATTGCCTACTGTTATACTGGAAAAAATAGAGTTCAAGAATAATATGACTCATTTCACACAAAGGTTAATGACAACAATATACCTGAAAACAGAAAATGTGCAGGTTAATAATATTTTTTTAATAGTGTGGGAGGACAGAGTTAGAGGAATCTTCCTTTTCTATTTATGAAGATTCTACTCTTGGTAAGAGTATTTTAAGATGTACTATGCTATTTTACTTTTTTGATATAAAATCAAGATATTTCTTTGCTGAAGTATTTAAATCTTATCCTTGTATCTTTTTATACATATTTGAAAATAAGCTTATATGTATTTGAACTTTTTTGAAATCCTATTCAAGTATTTTTATCATGCTATTGTGATATTTTAGCACTTTGGTAGCTTTTACACTGAATTTCTAAGAAAATTGTAAAATAGTCTTCTTTTATACTGTAAAAAAAGATATACCAAAAAGTCTTATAATAGGAATTTAACTTTAAAAACCCACTTATTGATACCTTACCATCTAAAATGTGTGATTTTTATAGTCTCGTTTTAGGAATTTCACAGATCTAAATTATGTAACTGAAATAAGGTGCTTACTCAAAGAGTGTCCACTATTGATTGTATTATGCTGCTCACTGATCCTTCTGCATATTTAAAATAAAATGTCCTAAAGGGTTAGTAGACAAAATGTTAGTCTTTTGTATATTAGGCCAAGTGCAATTGACTTCCCTTTTTTAATGTTTCATGACCACCCATTGATTGTATTATAACCACTTACAGTTGCTTATATTTTTTGTTTTAACTTTTGTTTTTTAACATTTAGAATATTACATTTTGTATTATACAGTACCTTTCTCAGACATTTTGTAGAATTCATTTCGGCAGCTCACTAGGATTTTGCTGAACATTAAAAAGTGTGATAGCGATATTAGTGCCAATCAAATGGAAAAAAGGTAGTTTTAATAAACAAGACACAACGTTTTTATACAACATACTTTAAAATATTAAGGAGTTTTCTTAATTTTGTTTCCTATTAAGTATTATTCTTTGGGCAAGATTTTCTGATGCTTTTGATTTTCTCTCAATTTAGCATTTGCTTTTGGTTTTTTTCTCTATTTAGCATTCTGTTAAGGCACAAAAACTATGTACTGTATGGGAAATGTTGTAAATATTACCTTTTCCACATTTTAAACAGACAACTTTGAATACAAAAACTTTGTTTTGTGTGATCTTTTCATTAATAAAATTATCTTTGTATAAGAATTATGGAGTATTCTGTGGTTAGGTATAGTAGTTCTGGCCAAGGAAGTAGTATAATTTTTTAGATTAGTGACTCCATGGCTGGTAAGTCAGAGGCTTCTTTTTAACCTTGAAGGAGAATGCAGTCAAGATTCTTGCTTTTTGTCACTATTTCTTTCCAAAAATGTAAATTATAAAGCTATATTAACTGTAACTTTTTAAAGCCAGTGGGAAAGATCTGGAGTGTGAGGGGTGAAGCAAAAGGAACCCAGGACCCAGTTTTCACTCCTAACAGTGTATTAGGTGATACAGACAAACCTCCCAAAACAGAAGGCTAGAATATGTGGATGAAATAAAACAATAGGCAGATTTCTGTGATGGGGGAAAAAAAGAAATAAAATAATATTAACCCCAAACATTAAAAAACTAATAAGATAGTGAGGAATTGCCAGGTTAAGATCTGGGAGAAGAGAGAAATTCTCACTACAAAGCCCAACATTTGGAGCTGTTTTGCCCAGGAGCACTTGATGACTTGGAAAGGGCAGCTGAGAAGTGGAACAGTGCTATTGACAGCCTCAAAGGGCTGGAAGACAAGGGGTCTGCAACCACCCTACATTTAGAATTGTGACCTCAGAGGGTTGGATCTTAAAAGTACATGTGAGTTGTACATAAAGCAGCCCTGCTTCAAGTTGTCTGGGTAGATAGAAAAAGTTCAAACCCTGAAATTAGATTAAGGTAGCTCAAGCACCAGGTAAATGAAAATCTTCTCTGGAGGAAGAAAATGTTATTTTATATACTCTAAAAGTACCACAGTGCTCATCATACAATCAAACAATCAGGTATGCAAAAAAGACCATTTTTTGTTCATTAAAACATGAACAAGAATTGGCACAAGCAAGAGAAAAAGATCCCCAGGTACTGCTGATGTATTACTAGATACACATCATGTAACTTAAAAGTACAAGCAAGGAAAACAATAAGATACTACACACCTATAAGAATGGACAGCACATAGTGACTTCCTTCCAAAGAATCCAAAGTACAGGTGGTACAGGGAGAGTAGCATTTACAGTGGAGAAACCTGACAAACTCAGCGAGAGGTACCTCACTACTCAGAAGGCGATCAAAGTCAAAAGAGAGGTAAGTCATGTTGAGAGTGTTACCTTTCATATGATGTGATGAAAATTGCAGTTTACCTCTGATATTCCCAAAACCTATAACCTCACTCTAGTTGTGAAATATGAGATGAATCTCAGCAGATGGACATTTTACAAGATAGCTGACCAGTCCTCCTCAAAAGGAGTCAAAATCCTCAAGAACAAGGGAAGTTTGAGAAACTATCACAGCCAAGAGGAGCTGAAGGAGACATGACAACTAAATGTAATGTGGTATCTTGGAAAAGAAAAAAGCACATTAGATAAAAACTAAGGAAATTTGAATAAAGCTTAGTCATCCAAATCAGCTAAATGTTCTTTATAATTTTCTTCCTTCTGCTTGCTTTTTCTCACCTTTTAGTCAGATATTGGACTCCTGGATGGATCCTTTAATTTTCTCATCTTTCCTCTCCTTTTGCCAATCTCTTTGGATTTTTTTCTTTGAAACTTTATCAAATGTATTTTTTAATTTTTGATTGAAGTTTTTTTGGCTATCATTTTTTAATTTCACAGCATTTTAAAAATTTTGTTCTTTTTTCATAGTACCTTTTTGTTTTATGATTATTTTATATATAATGTATTTCAAGATACACAATTTACTTTTTAAAGATCATATAGGAAACATTAATTTGTAATATTTATTTTGTAGCAGATGACTTTATTAAAGTCCCTCAATCCCTCTAATAATTTTGCAGTTGATTTTTCCTGGATTTTCTAGGTGGATGATTTTTTCCTCTCAAATAATGGTAATTTTATTCCTCAGCTATTAGCTGGAACTTGTAGCCAGTTAACATTAATAGTAGTAGCAGTAGACATCCTCGTCTTGTTTCTTTATTTTAAAGAAAATGCCTGTAGTACTTCATCATGAAGAACAATGTTGGCATTTGACATAAGATAGGTATTTCTTAATGAGTTAAAAGAATCCTATTCCATCTTATAAGTTTTTAAAAATGAGGAATATGTACTGAATTTTATCAAATGCCCTTTTGCTACCAGGATTAGTCAGTATGAGGCTAACTTCTGTAACAATCCTCAAAATCGCAGTAGCTTTAGAAACTTATTCATGCGACAGGTGTGAATGTTCTTGAGGTAGCCTTCCAAATTCAAGCAACCACCACTTCCATCTTGTGGCTCTGCCATCTCCCACTGAGTAAGAGAGAGAGTAAATGACTGCACAGAAAAAAGCTTCATGAGCTAGAGTTGAAAGTGATATGCAGGCCGGGCGCAGTGGCTCACGCCTGAAATCCCAGCACTTTGGGAGGCGGAGGCGGGCGGATCACGAGGTCAGGAGATCGAGATCATCCTGGCTAACACGGTGAAACCCCGTCTCTACTAAAAATACAAAAAATTAGCCGGGCGTGGTGGCGGGCGCCTGTAGTCCCAGCTACTCAGGAGGCTGAGGCAGGAGAATGGCGTGAACCTGGGAGGCGGAGCTTGCAGTGAGCCAAGATCGCGCCACTGCACTCCAGCGTGGGCGACTGAGCAAGACTCCGTCTCAAAAAAAAGAAAAGAAAAGAAAGCGCCATGCAACATTTCCAGCTGCATTTCATTTACCAGAACTCAGGCATAAATCTAGATGTCTTCCTGAGAGGGAGGAGAAACAGATTTACTAAGCCATTGGCCAGCATTTCAATCTACTAATGTGTTGTGTTAAATAAATTTCCTAACATAATGCCATCCTTTAATTCATTGAATAACCCTACTTGATCATGATGTATCATTTAATACTTCTGGATTTGATTTGTTAGTGATTTATTTAGGAGTTTTAAAATGTGCATCTATATGTACCTATATTCTAAATTATTTACCAGCCCTGGGCAATATTACAATATTTGTAATAAGTAAGTTTGAATTTTAAAACTATTTATTTTTAATAGCAAAATTCAGAAGCATTATTTAATTTTTTTAAAAAGCAATTTTTCTTTTTCATGGGACTAGAGTCTTTGAGGCAAAAAAAAAAAAAAAAAAAAAAAGCCTGCTGTCGACCAGCCTGACCAACATGGTGAAACCCTGTCTCTACTAAAAATACAAAAATTAGCTGGGCGTCGTGGTGGGCACCTGTAATCCCTGCTACTCAGGAGGCTGAGGCAGGAGAATTGCCTGAACCCAGAAGGCAGAGATTGCAGTGAGCCAAGATTGTGCCATTGCACTCCAGCCTGGGTGACACAGCGAGACTCCGTCTCAAAAAAAAAAAAAAGCCTGCTGTCTCAGAAAAGGTGACATTAATTTTTATAAGAATTACATAACAGTTTTCAGCCAAGAAAGTTGGCTTAAATTACATATTTACATTTACAATAACGAAATTGGCACGAGCACTGTGCAGGTAAACCCAAAGCAGCAAAGTCTGCTAGAAACCCTCACTTTGAAAGTCTGCTACAAACCTTCAACAAAATTTTATGAAATGCCATGTTTCAAAAAGACCCAGGATACCCAATGGGATCCACCACTGCTATGCTGTTTATGGTTCTGAAGAAATCTTCCCTACACTTTCTTGATCAAACTAGACTGAAAACAGATCATAATTGCCAGCCATCATCAAAATCACAGTTTTAGTGCTTTCTTACTTTTTTTTTTTTTTTTTAGTGCTTTCTTACTCTTTGATCTTCTCAGAAACTTACCACAGGTGGGTGTTTCCAGTTCCTACTGCTGGAAAGTTTTAACCTTGCCAAGCAGGCAGTTACTCTCAGGAAATGAAAGATACAATTTGTAATAACCACAAGAAGTTCTGCAGTTGCTTTTCTGCATGGAAGGCATGATATTGAATACCTCACTGCCCACTGCACAAGTCAGATACTTAAATTCCAAGCTTTAACCGTGGCCCCTGTGATCTGTCATGTGCAGAAGAATCAAAACTTTCATTAACTTACAGTGAAAATGTGTCGACAAAGAGCAAGAAAAAATTAAAAGATTAATCCAAAATGATCAAAGACATTGGGATCCAGAGCCAGGCGGTAGTGGAGAGAAGCATAGTGAAGTTCGTTATGAATATTACTGAAGGATGGGAGCCAAATGGAAGCAGTATGGAAAGAAATACAATGAAATGAAAATGAGAAAGACTTGTGGCAGTAAATACTAATTAGAAATAAACACAGATGGAAAATTATTGCTAAGGTGAGTAAATTTAGCAGCCAATTCTGAGATTTGTATTTTCTATCCCTAGAAGGAAAAAAGAGCCAGAGAAAACGTTGAAGTGCAGGTTTTCTAATTTTCCACCACAAAAAGAAAAAGGACATGAAGGAGGACAAACCTAGTTAAGTCTTGGTAGAAACGTCTTAGAGAAAGTTTTCAAATAAATTATTTTCTAAACACATGCCATAGTTCATCTTCATTAATACTGAACACACTTTAAGTATTTTCTACTATTTCACTTAGATTAGGTTTTAACAAACATACCTAGTGTAGAGTCTATTAAAGCTTACATTTAATACTTATGTTTATATACTATTAATTATAAGTATAATTATAATACATTTAGAATATGTTGAAAAGAGAGGCACAAAATCAATAGAGATTAAGAAAAAATTTTTTTCTAAAGTTTCAAGAAAATGAAATATCTGAATATCTTCTTTCCCAAGTGCTAACTAGAGTAAAACTGTCTAGTTTGTGGGTTTATTTCCTTAGGGACCTATTCCAGGATCTAATTAGTTTCACTGTGAGGAAATAAGTCTGAATATACATACTACACATTATCTAGAGAAACTCACCAGCAAGGTAAGAGCTTCCCTCATGGTTTTAGTCCTTCCTAACTGTCAGCCCAGTGTCCCCTCATGAGAATTCTCATAAAACAGAAACCTCCAGACTTGTAAACAAAGTTGACCACTGGCAAAACACTTGCTGGCATTTCCAGCCTCTTAACTGCCACCTCTATTAGTGCAGGCTCCATGTGAAAAAGAATGACACTCTGTGTTTCTGGAGCTGACCTTGTTGGCAGGCTGTGGGCAAATAAAAGGATGCAGTAAAACAAAACAGGAGGGCTGTGTTTCCTCAACTGACAGGCATCACTGCCTCCTTGTCATGCATCCTCAGGCTCTGGGGAGGCCTTTCCAGGCTTACCACATGGACAGTGAGCAATCCAAAGGTGTTCTTTTACGAAAGCAAAGACCATGAACGTGGCATACAACACAACCAAGAGTTGGGGGAGGGCGCCTCGGGGGCACTGTAGACAAGGCAGAATCTGGCTACCTGGACAGTCCGAAGAGATCAAACATAATATAAAAACACAGCCTTCACTCAACAAGAGTACGAGTGACAGGGGAGACTGCATTCACCCTTGCAAGGGGGACGAACATCTAAAGAATTAGCAGGTAATCCATATGAAATCTAACTGCACGGACATGGAAGATTCTTGTATTAGTCTGCTCTCACGCTGCTCATAAAGACATACCCAAGATTGGGTAACTTATAAAGAAAAGAGGTTTAACTGACTCACAGTTCCACATGGCTGGGGAGGCCTTACAATCATGGCAGAAGGCGAAGGGGAAGTAAAACACATTTTACATGGCAGCAGGCAAGAGGGCACGTGCAGGGGAACTCTCACCATCAAATCTCATGAGATTTATTCACCATAACAAGAAAAACCTGCCCCCATGATTCAGTTACCTCCCAGTGTGTCCCTCCCATGACATGTAGGGATTATTACAATTCAAGGTGAGATTTGGGTGGGGACATAGAGCCAAACCATATCAATTCCCAAAATATTTTTAAGCACAAAAAAACTTGCAAAATTACACTTACACAATAATACCATGTATATAAACTACATCCACCCCACAAAACCACACTAATATTTTCTATTATTACTTATAAATGTATCTACATGCATAATGATACCATGTGTGTTAACAACCTTCACCCCATAGAATAATACTATATGTTTTCTATGGTTACATGTATATAAATGCATAGGGGAAGTCCAGGAAAATATAGAAACATGGGTTATCTCTGTGGAGGGGGTCAGTATTGTAAGTGATGAACAAAGCAGACTTTAGCCTGATCTGTAATGTTTACATTTTTATAAGGAGACTCTATTAATATATCATATGTCATCATTAAGAATCTGCTTATTTATTTATTTACTTATTTATTTTGAAACAGAGTCTTGCTTTGTCACCTAGGCTGGAGTGCAGTGGCGCAACATTTTCTCAGTGCAACATCCACCTCCTGGGTTCAACTGATTCTCCTGCCTCAGCCTCCTGAGTAGCTGTGATTACAGGTGCCTGCCACCACACCCAGCTAATTTTTGTATTTTTAATAGAGACAGGTGTTCACCATGTTGGCCAGGCTGGTCTTGAATTCCTGACGTCAAGTGATCCACCTGCCTTGGCCTCTCAAAATGCTGGGATTACAGGCATGAGCCACCACACACAGCCAAGAATCTGCTTTTTTAAAAAGAAAATCCACTAAGCACAAATCTAGCTAATTCGTGGATTCAGCCACATCTACCTGAGTCTGAGCCTGAAGCAGCCATTATTTCTGGGGATGTGGGCCACACACCTGCAGGCCAGGAAGGGGCAGCCCACACCGCTGAGGTCGGGAAAAGCCACCGGTGCATCCAGTTCAAACTCCCCTTGGCTCCTCAATCCTGCGCTTCTCCTTTCTCTGGAACCATATTCTCTTTAGTTGGCAATCACCACATGTTTATTGGGAACCTCTGTGCCTGCTTCTTTCTCTTCAGTCCCTTCTCCAGATTTGACTCCCACCCCCACAAATAAAGCCCAGACCTGCTGATTTGTTCCCGCACAGGGAAGACAGAGGAGCCTCCCAGGGTGAGACATCAGGGACACAGGTGAAGGAGAGGAAGCTGAGGTAGGCTGCGTTCAGTGGAACACCCACCAGGGCCGATTCCTCCTGTCCACACCCTAGTGCACACACCACCAGTACCTCAAGTGCCCCCAGCAGTGGGCAACACATCACCACAATTTACTTCTATATGCCTCAACCTCAAGTTGAGAAACTGCTCAAAAGTGAGATCTGAGGTTAGGGAGAATCTAAGGCATTCGTGGCTTTCTGCAGAAGATAAACCCCCGTTTTTCTCTGGAAACTCCAGCAATATATTCACCCATGTCCCTTAGAGCCATGCAGTTGACCCAGGCCCTTGAGTTCTGACAGAGGCACAGGAGCCCATGGAGCTGAGAAAGTTGTCTGTTTATAGCTCGCTTTGTCCTAGTAGCCATGGCTAAGTGTTCATGGGGACCATCGAATTTTGATCAGCATTTCCCAAATTGATGGATAGTTCCTACATAGGCTGAACTGTGAAGGGCCTAAGTTTCTTGTCTGTACTTGCCTACTGCCTAAGCTGCTAAGAGATTAGGTTTTGATTTTAGAATTTAACCTAGTCCTTTCCCTCTAGACCAGATGAGTCAATTTTTCCTCTTAATATGTTTGCCAATAGCAAAAATAACTTTCCTAACCATCTGACACTTAAACCAAAGATTCATTATTTTTAACCAAGAGGACAAAATGTTCCAATAAGAATACTTAATACATCAGTGAAAGGTAAGCCCCAGCTGTGGCCCAGGAGACCACTAGAGTCTCCCAAAGATATTCTTCTATCACTGCTAGATCTGCCATTCAACCTCTAGAATATAGCCAAGAAGAAAAAGTATATGATATTTTGGCAAGATAACCTGCACACTATAGACCCTGAACTCAGTGACTCTCAACAGCATTTTTCTGTCTTTAAAATTTTTGTTTTGTTTTGTTTTGAGACAAAGTCTTGCTCTGTCACCCTGGCTGGAGTGCAGTGATGTGATCTCGTCTACTGCAACTTCTGCCTCCCAGGTTCAAGTGATTCTCCTGCCTCAGCCTCCCAAGTAGCTGGGACTACAGGCACGTGCCACTATGCCCAGCTAATTTTTGTATTTTTAGTAGAGACACGGTTTCACCATGTTGGTTGGCCAGGATGATCCACCCACCTCAGCCTCCCAAAGTGCCGGGATTACAGACATGATCCACTACACCCGGCCAAAAATTTTTTTAATTTTTTAATTGTTTAATTGACACATAATAATTGTACCTATTTGTGGGATACACAACAACGTTTTGATATATGTAATGTATAGTGATTACATCAAGGTTTGGGTTGATTTTATGTTTTTCAGGACTAGAGTCTGGTATTCAGACTGGGATGCATGTTACAGTTCCTCCTCCTCATTTTCTGGGAGTGGGAGGAGGTGATAAAGTCCACTGTCATCTGTACTTCAAGCTCTAGACCAGGTCCTCACGGCACGGAACTTGAGATATACCAAGGAGTTAAGATTATGTCTCATACATAGAACAGAGACCCATGGGAATAATAGAACCTTATGATTTTTAAAATATTTTACTAAGACCCTTCTTCCATATTTCTCTGGATTGGGACACAGGACCATTTACTGGTTATAAAGCCCTGTTTACTAAGGCAAACAAAAAGGTGTAATTGGCACCCTAGGTTTTAAAATTTATAAATATCAAGTGCATGTCTGTGTGTGTGTGTATCTGTGTATCTGTGTGTGTGTGTGTGTGTGTGAAGCTTTTGGAACACCACTTAAGAATTCCTAAGAAAACCACACGTCAAGCCTCTATCACACACACTCAGGTAAATGGGTCTGTTCTGAAGACCAAATTTTGCCTTGGGTGATGTGTTCTAAGATCTAATCTTGGGAGGATCAGGAGGCCAGGAACACAAGCAAGCCCATTTGACTCTCACAATAAGCCACATTCTCCAGTGGCAGGTTTAACATCAACATACATTCTCAAAAATCAGGGGGAGGTATAACTAAATGAGCACTCACTCAGACAAACTACAGAGGTATTTGGTAAATCTATTTGTAAATAAAGTGAAAAAGAAGAGGCTCTGCTTTCTTCTTAGCCCTGTGTTGATAATTAGTTAGAGAAAAGATTGAAAGAGGTCGTATGCACAATCCTGTGTCAAAATAAGAATTCCTGTTACGCTGGAACAATACTCTGGCTTCTCACTTACATGAACTCTTACACAATAGTTGGTTCAGAAGCAATTCAACTCATCAAAAAATGAATAGCAATTTTAAAGTGGAACTGAGGACCTATACAATAAAGCTACAAGAAAAAGAAAAGAAGAGAAACAAGACAAACAAATGACACAGAATCCCTCCCAGAAAATATTGCTATAGGGTAGATAACATGTTTGACAAAACGTATCATTTTTACAAGTTTTAGAAATCAGTGAAACAATCAACACTGTAAAAGAAATACACAATATAAGAGCTTGGAGATGACATGGGGAAAAGATACAAGGAGGCAAAACATGAATTACTGCCAAAACTCTGGAAAGAAATAGAAAAGAATTGGAAGCAGCACAGAAAATACACATTTCCTATAACATGATAATGGACATAGAGAAGAGGAATGAAAATAGTAAAATAAATAAAAATGACTAAGAGTTAAATAAATTGAAAGAGAAAATGGTAGTTACAGAAGACAAAGAAAATTAATATTTATATAACTAGTGACCCCGAAGAAGATAACCAAAATAACAGAACATATAATATCTAACAAGAGGCCAAGCGTGGTGGCTCATGCCTGTAATCCAGCACTTTGGGAGGCCCAGGCAGGCAGATCACTTGAGGCCAGGAGTTTGAGACCACTCTAGCCAACATGGCAAAACTCCATCTCTACTAAAAACACAAAAATCAGCTGGGTGTGGTGGCGCATGCCTGTAGTCCTAGCTACTTGGGAGGCTGAGGCAGGAGAATCACTTGAACCTGGGAGGCGGAAGTTGCAGTGAGCTGAGATCGCACCACTGCACTCCTTGGAAAACTGTGGCAACCCAACAAAGACAGGCCCACCAAGACCTTAATCATTTAGGAATGACAGTTTGTGTCTTCACTTGGAAAAAAGCCTCCAACCAAATGAAAGGCTGGCGGATGAAGAGGGAAACATGGGGTGGGTGAGGGAAGAGGCAGCTATAGGATATCAGCTTAGGCCTCAGAATTTTCCCCCTTTCTGACACTACCTAGATGAAAGCATTGGTTTGTCGCTGATTTAAGTTTTATTTCATGAGCATAATCATTACCCTTCAGTAGTCATGGTGATATTTAAAGGATTTTGTTACTTTTATCCAAAAGAAAAATAAATATTTTAAAGTTTTTTGTTTTGTTTTGTTTTTTGAGTCTCACTCTGTTGCCCAGGCTGCAGTTCAGTGGCACAATCTCGGCTCACTGCAGCTTCCACCTCCCGGGTTCAAGCGATTGTCCTGCCTCAGACTCCTGAGGAGCTGAGATTACAGGCACAGGCCACCACGCCTGGCTAATTTTGTATTTTTAGTAGAGACAAGGTTTTGCCATGTTGGCCAGGATGGTCTTGAACTCCTGGCCTCAAGTGATCCCCCTGCCTCAGCCTCCCAAATGCTGGGATTACAGGCATGAGCCACCACACCCAGCTTAAAGTATTTTTATATCAAATACTTCTTGCTGTGCAGCTCCCAACACATTGGATCAATGAAGGGCATTCATTCCCTCAGGAGAACATCAGATACAGCCAAGAACACAGGGGTCAGGGGATGCGAGTGACTAAATGTGTCCTGGCCCCATACAGCCAGATTGGTTGCAAAGAGGAAAGGTGCCAGGGTGGGTGTGGGATTCCTGAGACCTAAACTGGATCCTGGCTTTCAGACTGGAAAGATCCCAAGGCATCAGACTCTCCAAAAAGAGAACTGCTTGGGCAGGAAGGAGCTCTAAGGGCTGAATGTGGGACGAGGCAGGGAGAGGACCAGAGGCGGCCACCTCTCCAGAGTGCCCCTTGACTCCCTGCATCATTGATGGACTCTAGAAACAGCCAAGTGATCCCAGAAATAATCACAAATTATGGTATCTGTCAGGCACCATCTCAGGGATAAGGATCTAATGGAAAACACTAAAGGTCCTTGCTCTCATAAAACTTACATTCCAGGAGGTATCAGGCAATAAGCAAGTTACTGAATAAACAAACAAGGTCAATTCAGATTGGGAAGGTATTAAATAATGGAATATTACTCAATGATATTAATTGAAGCATCATTTATAACAGAAGCTAAAGTGTCTACAAATATGCAACTGGTTATATAATTTATTCCATTCCATGGAATACTGTGAAAATACTAAATTAATTAAAAGACAAGGAAGAACTGTAAGTGTTCATAGGGAAAGATGTCCAGGATTCACTGTTAGTGAAAAAAGCAGGTTATAGCATAATATGTATATGATAATCCTATTTGGTTTATATTCTAATGCAGTTGTATATGTATAATGACTAGAAATATATGTACCAAACTACAGACAATGGTTATTTTAGAGGAGTGAGATTATGTTGGGGGTCAATAGCAGGGAAAACTTTTACTTTCTACATTATGCACTTCTACATTGTTTGATTTCAAAATAAGCATATACTATTCCCCACCTACCTCCAAAATAGGGGTGGAGGAAGACAGTGGTAGCTCGAAGTGGCAAGAAAGAACAGCCTGTTTTGCAAACTTCTATTATTTATTTAATTTGACGCTTCAGGTAAATTGAGGCATATTGCATTTCAAGCTATATATCAAGATATAAATGAAAATAAGCACCTTTATGAATTTCATTATCTTAGACACTGTTCTAGAAGTTTCCAAATTATTTCTTACCAGATAAACTTTTTTTTCAATTTTGTAAAAGATAAAATATGCTTGTTTCTGGAATACAACATGTAAAATTTCATTGATTCTATATATGATATTAATGTATAAAATGCAAAGTTGGTTTTTACCTTCTACTGTAACTTGGTTTAGAACTTAACTTTGATGAGTGTCCTGTGTCTCTGGATAGAGATCTTAGAAATATTTGATGTGTTTTAGTCCTATACAGAATTCTAAGTTAAATATTTCAAGATGGCTTTGGTCAGCCAAGCCTGACTGCTGGTATGCAGACATGAGCAAATCACTAAGAAAAATAATTAAAACCCTTACTTTGGATAGGCAACTTGGAAACCAGCATATCTGTTGAATGTATTAACAATGACTCATAACCACATGAGTTAAATATACTGAGGAATTAAGTGTTTAGCTCATAGTTCTGGGTGTCCTGAGGCCTGGGATTACTATAACTCCAACAGAAAATAGTGATTGGATTAGATACTGGACTCAACTCCTAACTTCAAGGCCAAGAGTTTGCTAATAATGTACCCTGTAGGACTTAGACAGGAGGGGAACCTCCCTGCCTCATTCTGCCTTCTGTTTTCCAGGACTCTGTCAGGCAAGAGGGGGAAAATATCTTTGCAGCAGGCTGTCGTGTGATTTGGATTATTGCTTCAGATGCGAAGTCCAAAAATCTCAGAACAAAAGGAGTTCTGGTGACAAGTTGTAAGGAGAAAGAAAGTTGTAGGTGACAAGTTGTAAGGAGAAAGTTGTACTTCCTCACCGTCTTAGGGGATCCCCAGGAGCCCTCAGTACAATGCAACTTGTATCTGGGCCTTCTCCAGCAGTGGAAGCAGCAGACAGGTGTCTGCTAGCAATCTGTCATCTTCTCTTTCTGCATGCTCCTGACCTTGGGAGTCACAGCTCTGCAATGGGAACACTCCAGAGCACTGGGCCTCCAGGGACAAACTACTCTCTGGAAAGGAGCTGATGTGCTTGCTCACCTTAAACTGTAAATGCTGTTGGGGTGTAATCTTCCCAGATACATGGAAAAAAACCCATAGAATTTTGCTAAGTTAGAAAAAGAAAAAACTACTAATACATGCAACAATGGATGAATCTCAAAAATATTACGCCAAGCAAAGGAAACCAGACACAATGTGCACACAAAAAGCACATCATCCAGAAGTGGGCGAGTGACAGCTTAGCCTGGGAAGGATCATATGGTTGTATAGGCATGTCTATCATCTCTCCATAAAATGTGTGGGCCTATGTCATCTATTTGGGCTTCACCAAAAGTTCTGAGGAAAAAGGAACAGTCATCTTTAACATATCTGTGTCCTCAACCAAAAGCTGTCAATTGCCAACTCAATATCCATTCCCCCATTTTTTTTCATTGCAAAACTCCAATTTCTTCAAGTAGGAATTCTATTCTACATGGGGAAATTAGTCCCAGGAGCCCAGGAGACTTGATTTGTCTAAGTCTATTGTGGTTATCTCATTCACGGGATTAAGAATTATTTTAGGGCTGAGTACGTGGCCTCCTTCTAGCCAATGAAATGTGTATAGAGCAGGGGGCTCCTGAGACAGATTCTCTT
The DNA here is from genome assembly GCF_000001405.40 of Homo sapiens. Taxonomy (NCBI): domain Eukaryota; kingdom Metazoa; phylum Chordata; class Mammalia; order Primates; family Hominidae; genus Homo; species Homo sapiens. The sequence goes on from NC_000008.11 coordinate 103,346,195, forward strand.
CCTCAAGAAAGAAATAATGCAAGAGATGGTCCTCTTATTCCTCTAGACATTGTTGCATCCATCAGGGACACCTGAGTCAGCTGTCTCCCAGGGAGGATGATAGTGTGAGGACAAAGCCAGAATCTTAAAGTGGCAGAACCTAAAGATGGAAAAAAACTTGAATCCTTGACGATGCGGTTGAGCTCCGAGTTAATTCAACCCAGAGCAGCCCTCCTTATGAACTTCTTGTTAAAATAGAAAATAAATTTCCTTATCGTTTAAGTCATACTGAGTTGGAGTTTATATTACACGCTGCTGACAGCACCTTAACTGATTTAAAAATCAAATTTTTGGGGGGTGATGCATATTTGCCAATATAGTGTCTATCACATAAAAGACACTCAGTCAATGTTTTTTGAAATATTATAAGAAATGTATATGGCTTGGCACGTGGCTCATGCTTGTAATCCCAGCACTTTGGGAGGCCAAAGCAGGCAGATGACTTGAGGTCAGGTGCTCAAGACCAGCCTGGCCAACACAGTGAAACCCCATCTCTACTAAAAATACAAAAATTAGCCAGGCATGGTGGCACACACCTATAACCCCAGCTACTTCGGAGTCTGAGGCAGAAGAATTGCTTGAACCTGGGAGACAGAGGTTGCAGTGAGCTGAGATAGCTCAACTGCACTCCAGTCTGGGCGACAGAGTGAGACTCTGCCAAAAAAAAAAAAAAAAGTATATATCAGACACTTTGATAACTACAGATACATCATTCCACCCAAATAAGTCTGAATTTGAGCTTATTTATACTGCAAAATGAGTAAAAAAGTAAGAGGACATGTAGGATTTATGTGGAGTGAGGCCATCTGGGAATCACTGATGGTCAGGTGTATCAGGGAGCCAGGCACAGTGGCTCGTGCCTGCAGTATCAGCTACTCAGGAGGCTAAAGCAGGAAGATAGTGTGAGCCCAGGAGTTTGAGGCTGCACTGAGCTATGATCACGCCATTCCACTCCAGCCTGGGTGACAGAGAGAGACTCTGTCTCCACATAGATAGATAGATAGATAGATAGATAGATAGATAGATAGATAGATAGATAGACAGACAGACAGACAGACAGACAGACAGACAGACAGGCAGACAGACAAATGAATGTAGCAGGGAAAGTAACAGAAAAACCATCTGGCTGGGGAAATGTGATTTATAACTACAGGAACTTCAACCTTCGGTATGAAATCCTTGAAAATTCTGCTGTAAACATGAGGGAATGATGGCAAGGCAGGATAAGTGACAAGCTGCAAGCTTTTCTGAATCTGAAGTCTCGTTAAGATTAATCAGATACTGAGCCTCTAGAACAAAAGTTTGGAAGCTTTTTGTTATGCCCTGAGTTCCTCTACTCTTCTGTACTTAGATAAATCTCACTCCATACAGATCTGCTTTGCATATTGCCACAGCCAAAGCGATTTTTACAGTGAAGGTGATGGCAATTCCAGTAAGCCTTTGTTCAAAAGATTACCCAGAGCCATGGTTTCGTGGGGACCTTAATCAACACTGTACTATTCCACCCAATCATCCCCATTGATTTAAAATGGACTTTATTTTCTTAGAGCAGTTTTAGGTTCACAGCAAAGTTGAGCAGATGATGCAGAGAATTCTGAAATCCTCCCTTGCCCCTACTGTCAACATCCACCACCAGAGTGGGGCATGTATAGCGAATGATGAGCCTATATTGATGCATCATTATCATCCAAAGCCCATGGTGTACATCAGGGTTTACTCTTCATGCACTTGGCAAATGTATAATGACATATATCCACCATTTTAGTATGGTACAGAGTAGTTTTGATGTCTTGTTGATAAGCTTATAAAATGCATATGCATTTCATTTGTACTGGTGTAGTTAACTACAGCAGGCAGAATAGAAGAGGGAATGGAACAATCACCTTACACCACTTTCAAACAGATAAACTGGTGGAGGACTCTATAAGTGAAGATTTATCACAAGAATTGAGCCTTTCTTTTTTAGTGTACAAACAAAGAACACACCACTGGAAATAAAGACCAGTATGGAAACAAACAACCAGTGAACTGAAGTGCAATAATGATGATGATTATAGAGGTACGGTAGCAATCATGAAGAGCAATTTGAAATAAATGCCTAATAATTGAGTTTCTGCTAAATAGCCAATACTCCAGGAACTTAAAGACATACTGAATCTAGGAAAAGAATCTGAGCATTGTGAGAATCTGAGCCTAAGTTTCATCTGAGGAATTAGCAAGAGATAACAAACTGCTTGTGGAAATGACTAACCAGAAAATCCAGTGTGTCAGTGACATTTTCCAGACATACACAAGGCTTCTTAGTAAGAGGGGCCCCACACATGATCCTCCAAAGAGAAAAAAAAGCACATTCCATCAAGAGTATTGTAGAATCCTGCGGAGACAGGAAGCAAACATAATACGGACAATCCACTGAGTAAGTGGGGAAGTTTGCAAAGTTTCTTGGATTTTGCACAAAATATTTATAAAAATCTTCTCTGGAACATTCCATTGCAACCACAAATAAGCTGGGGCTACTTACCTAAAAACAGAGCTGGGTTCTGTGATTAGCTTTTGTGTGCTAGAAAAACTATTGGTACAAGAAGAGAGTGGGTATCATGGGTTAACATCTATGAATGGCTCTTGATGATACATCCTTCAAACCTGGGGATTTATTTCCCCTGGTGCTTTATCCTAAGCCCAACTCCTGGAGGTCTCTCATTTCCAAAAGACAACTAGAGCTGAAAAAACTGGTAGGAGGTTGGGTAAACAAGCTAAAGACTTTGTTGTGGTTGACAGGAAAGGGAAAATGGTAAGAGGGTCACTGCTGAGTAAGACTATGTTCCGTGGCAGACACTCTTGTGTGCTCAGCAGTCAATCACCATGCCACCACTCACCCTTCTTTTTTGCTATAAAACCCAAATGTTGTTCATTATCCTCCAGGTGGCCATGTCCTTCAGGGGAGACACTGTCTCTTTCTAGCCTCATGGGGTTAATATCCCTTGCCAAGTGACTTGTTTTAGGAAACAGGCATGTGAGACAATCTTGGCCAATGAGACTGGAGGGAAGCCTTCAGGGAGGACTCTGGGAAGAATTTTCCCACTCTTGAAAGGGAACACACAAAGGACCCTTTCATGTGTGGGAAGGTCAAGAAGGAGGAAAAGCATGCTGTGGACAAAGGCTAATGGCAAGGAGACGGGCAGGAGAAGAACAGCATCAGGGTGCCAAGAAAATCAATGAACTTCAAAGCCCAAGAGATCACCAAAGATTCAGGAGACGATGCAGTGCCAAAGTCTCAGGCTGAGGAACAGAATCAATAGTCCAAGAATCTGGGAAGACCAACAGGTGCTTCACAGGGTGACACTTACTTCTGATCTCATACTAAGGATATTTGTTCTCTGTTGTGAGTTTAACTCCATTGCACAGGTGTGTGTGGGCTCAGCTGCGTATGTGAGGTAAAGGAGAATCTGAGTTATTCCCACGTGGGTGGATCTTGATCACAGCACAGACTAAGGTTCTGCTCCTATCACAGGGCCCTCTCCCTGTTTTTCTCCTACTTCTCTGGCATCTTCAATGGAGCTCTTTCCTTCTTCTGCCCATCTCATAGTCATCTGTTCTCAAAATATGGCCCAGGAACCCTTGGGTGTCCCTTGGGCACTTTCAGGGAGAATGTGACAATCAAAACTATTTTCATAATAATACCAAGGTGTTATTTGCTATTTTCACTCTCCTCCTCTTACACATCCGATAGTAGAATTTCCAAGAAATATGATGTGACTTTTTTTTGTTTTGAAAATATTGCTTTTTAAATTAAAACCTGTTATTTATTCTAACAGATAATGGGTTAATTACTGCTATCTTAAAATGAACTAAAAAATAATTTTTAAATTTCTCAGTTTCAATTTCTATTGCATGGTTCCTTGATTAGCACCGTCAGAGCTTATTAGAAATGCAGAATCTTGAGCCAGGTGCAGTGACATGCACCTGCAGTCCCAGCGACTGGGGAGGCTGAGGCAAGAGGATCACTGAAGCCCCGGAGTTTGTGGCTGTAGTCTGCTATGATTGCAACTGTGAATAGCCACTGCACTCCAGCCTGGGCAACATATCTATACCTTGTTTCTTAAAATAAAAAATAAATAAATAAATGCAGATTCTTGGGCCCCTTCCCAGAACTATTAACTCAGAAGCCCTGGAGGTGGGGCCCAGCAATCCTGTTTCACAAGCCCTCTGGGGGATGCTCATGCACATGGAAGTTTAAGAACCTCTGCTGTCATACACCAGTCCCCCAACATTTCTCCAAGGTGAGCAGAAACACATTCCTGAGTCTTCTGAACACAAGTCCCCGAGAAGCCGTGGCTCCCACATGGGTTATGCAACTGTGTTAGGATACTAGGGCTGTCAATAACAAAATACCTCAGACTGGGTGGCTTAAACAACAGAAATTTCTTTCCTACAGTTCTGGATGCTCAAACTCTGAGATGAAGGTGTCGGTAGGTTTGGTGTTACCTGAAGCCTCTCTCCTTGGCTTGCAGGCAACTGCCTTCTCCCTGGAGCATCACATGGTTTTTTCTCTGTGCAGGTGCATCTCTGGTATTTCTCTGTGTGTCCAAAGTTCCTCTTCTTATAAGAACACCAGTCATATTGGACTAGGCCCACCCTAGTGACCTCATTTTAACTGAATCATCGCTTTAAATGCCCCATCTCCAAATACAATCATGCTCTGAGGTTCTGGGGGTTAGAGCTTTAACATATCCACATTTGAGGAGACAAAATTAAGCCCATAACAGCGTCTAACTGTTAATAAAAAATTTTATTTACACTATTGGTGTGGGAGCATCCAAGAAAGCTGATAGGCTCTAGAAACTGAGGCTTCAGAAACATCCTGCTCAGAAATTGCTCTCCTGTCTAGTCACAGAGTACTTATGTTTACTGTTTGACTTGTTAAAATGCAAATATTCCTAGGAAGCATTCACTGAAACACCAACTGCTTTCCCCATATAATCATGTTGCATTCTCTCCGGCTGAGATTAGGTCTAAGGAACTAGGAATTCAGGCCCGATGTGAGCTGTAAAGTACAACAAAGTCAGTAATCCATGATGGCAATTTGGAGATGGGTGGAGAGACACAGACGCTATGGAGGGGATTCCTGGGGGGAAGGTGGGTCTATTTGGGCTCATTGCTTAGATCACTGTGGAGCAGGAGAAAGGGAAGTGGTGAAGGGCAGTTGGCGTGGATTTTCTGAGTGTTTCTGCAGAAGGGTAAGGAGAGTGAGAGCAGGCACATAATGAATGGTTACAATCGGCATTCAGAAGGAGAGGTCGAGGGGAAAGTGAGTGTTACGTACAGTGATGGCCCCTACTATCATTGGCGGGGTCAGTTAATCACCCTGCTCCCAGATTCTAAAACGGATGGGAAGAAAATGTCAGTTTATTAATGGTAAAGCAGGCTTATACAATGCAGCTTGGACAAAAGCCAGCCTCCTGAAGCACCTGCTGCTCCCAAACATTGCTGCAAACCCAGCCTCAATATGTCAGATAATTGGCCAAACCCACTGGAAGTGATGGTGACAGGAGCACAATAAATAGGCCCAAATCTTCACCATCTGCTCTGCCACTTCATCACAGTCCTTCCCCATGGACAGACTACTAGATTTCCTTTTTTGCTTCTCCATCTCCTTTCTCCACAAAAGATGCTTAAACCAGGCCCTGCATGTCTCCAAGCACCACAGTTCTAGGATATAGTTGAACATTACATAACATGTGCATTTCCAGACAAGACTAGACCCTGAAGCCCAAAGGTTTTTTGTTGTCATTGTTGTTGTTTTTGAGATGGAGTTTTGCTCTTGTTGCTCAGGTGGGAGTGCAATGGCATGATCTCAGCTCACTGCAACCTCTGCCTCCCAGGTTCAAGCAATTCTCCTGCCTCAGCCCCCAAAGTAGCTGGGATTACAGGCATGCGCCACCATGCCCGGCTAATTTTGTATTTTTAGTAGAGATGGGGTTTCTCCATGTTGGTCAGGCTGGTCTTGAACTCCTGACCTCACATGATCCACCTGCTTGGGCCTCCCAAAGTGCTGGGATTACAGGCATGAGCCACCATGCCTGGCCAAAGCCCAAAGGTTTTCACCACCCATTCTGAGCTCTCAAAACTCATTGCCATTGCATCTGTAAACACATTTACTAAACTTCCCTCATCCCAGAACTATAACATAATTTGCACATTGGTTTGTATCCATACTAAAATGCCACACTTCCGTATTCGGGTATCTGCCCTCTAGGATGAGGCATAAGAAATAAGTCAAGCTACTTAGCCTCAGTGTACCTTCCGGCCCTGTCTTCCTCAGCTACCCTGCTTGGCTTGGTGGTCATCTCTATGTTGATGAGTCCTCCACCAAGCTTCAGAACTGTCTTTCCAACTGCCTATAGGACAGCTTTCTCAGATGTACCTCAGGCACCTTCAACCAAAAAGGTCCAAGATTGCATTTGTTTATTTATGCCCTGAAAATTGTTCCTTTTGCTATACTTTATATCCCAATTTATGATCACAATCCATGGATTGTCCCCTAAGCTAGAAATCCAGAGAGGGGAGAAGAATCACTGTGGTCTTCTCACTCTGATTGCATTTCCTAGATTTTTCTCACCACCCAGCTCAGTTCCTTGTCATCTCTAACCTCTATTAGTGGGCCCCAATCTCTTTTCTCCCAAGAAACAAATATTCATGCATCATCACAGCAGATGTGTGCAGGGCACTCTATGGCCATCAACATGCAGCACTGATGAAACAGACTTCAGATCGTGGGCAGTTTCCAGGCCCTGCAGGAACCAGAGACCATCCTCAGACTGATCAGACACAGCACTGTGGCTGAGAGCCACTGGCTTGCATGACAGCAATAGCTTTCTAAATGATCTTCCTGGATACAACGTGGATCCCTCAAGTCCTGCCTCTCCATGCAGCCAGAAGTTTCTGCCTAAACAAACCTGACCAGGCCAGTCCTAGTTAACAACCACCCAAAACTTCCAACAGACTCCAGGACAAAACCAGTCACCTTCCCAGGGAACACAGAGCTCACCATGCACTGACCCCCGCTACCCCCTCCAGCCTCATTTCTGGACACTCTCTGCCTTGCACCATAAGCTCTGGCAACCCCAGCTGTACAGCTTCTTGAATGTGGTGGGGCTGTTCCCTGCCATTCCTCATACTGCCACCTTAACCAAATGCCCTTCCTTTCATTACTCTCCATGTTGATTCCCCCAAATCCCAGTATCTGCCCTTTGCCTGGCTAACTCCAACCTGCTATTTATAATGGCCAGGTATTACCTCCTACAGGAAGCCTTCCATGGCCTCTTCCTCTCTTCAATCTCCCCAACTCGGGCAACCTATACTCACTTTTACCATGGCACCAATCACCCTGTTCTGCACTCACCACATTAGAAATCTTTCTTTCTAAGCACAGAGCTCTTTGAGGACAGAGACCATGTCTTTTTCTTATCATCTTTCCTCAGTGCCTAGCACAGGAACCTAATGCATAGCAGGTGCTCCATAAATGTTAGCTGAGTGAATGAATGAATGACTTCCAGGAATAACGGAGAAACCTCATGTGACAGAGTTAACAGGGCACCATATATTAGAGGCAGTCCAAAGTGCAGGAGGTGATTTACATCGTTGCCAGGTAAGGCAGGGCTGGGGGTGGGGGGAGGGGTGTGGGATATCCTCACAATGAAATGTCCTGCAATAAAATCGAGAAAAAAGTGGAGTGCCTAATCCCTGCTTTTTAAAGTATGGGGTCTGTCCCCCACAGCCTTGCCACTCTTAAACTGTCCGTGATTCAAGACTGTTTTGAGACTAGGCATTCATTTTCAGTCCCTGAGACATGTACTACCTACCAAGCTCAGTTTCCGGGAGTTAAACATTGCCCTCTCATATCCTATTTCTAGAATATAATCTTTATCTTCCAAGATCAACCACAATTGCCATATGCAAACTACCCTCAAATAGGGGGCCTCACAGAGGTACCGCTGCACATTTAGACAGTACCTGTGTTCCTGCCTACTCACCACCAGGGCAACTGGACTATTATCACAATGCAAACATCAGCCCAAAAAGCTCGCTTCCACTCTTGGCACTTCCTGGAACGCAGCAGATCATCTCAGGAAGGTTACACCATCCCCTTGAGCACAACAGACCAAGGCTTTTCTCTCCCTTCTGTGACTGCCCTTCAGGTTTTTGCGCCTTGCTTCCCTTAGCTAGGCTTCTCCATTTTTTCAACAATTCCTTCTTTTGAGACGGTTTCTAAACCCCTTCACAATCATGCTCACTTTACTTAGAAGCATTCCTGTGCTGTATTCACAAAATGTTGCTCTTAAACTCTGTTGTCTGGAGTAGAACCCAGTACTGGAGAGCTGCTCTTAAGCATGCACAACAGTTTACATCTGTCAGTGCACTTATTTATTATAGTGGTTATAATGCCACTAAGATTGCCTTGGTTTTCAGTAGCCATATCAGCCCAGCCTTGATAATTGTAAATATGGAGCAGTATAATCATAATTAAGCCAGGCCAGGCGCGGTGGTACACACCTGTAATCTGAGCAGTTTGGGAGGCTAAGGCCAGCAGATCACCTGAGATCAGGAGTTTGAGACCAGCCTGGCTAACACGGTGAAACCCCATCTCTACTTAACAAATACAAAAAATTAGCTGGGCATGGTGGTGTGCGCCTGTAGTCCCAGCTATTCGGAAGGCTGAGGCATAAGAATCACTTGAACCAAGAGGCAGAGGTTGCAGTGAGCTGAGATCATGCTCCTGTACTCCAGCCTGGGCGACAGACTGAGACTCTGTCTCAAAAATGAAAAAAAAAGATAATTAGAGTAGAAATGCAGGATTTTGTCTTTGTCTATGTGCATGAATATGGGGTGGCAAGGCAGGGTGACTGGGAGGTAGCCCAGGAATGTTATATTCCAGCCATAAACTTGAAATGTTGTCAGACACTTAATATAGGGTTACCAAGATGCAGAGATTCCTGGAGACATATTAAGCAGATGCTGAGGATATACCCCGGCTCTTAGAAGAATTCTACCTGAAAGAAAAGGTAGAAAGGAGTAAGGCAAGGGTGCAAATTTCCTGTGATACCCAAGGGAGCAATCACCTTAACAATTAAGGCCCATGCCAAGCACTCCAGTTATCTGATGAAGAAATTTTACCATGAAACCATGAAGGGGTAGAGCCCCACGTCATCCCGTCTTACCCCTAGCATGACAGTCACATACAACTGGTGGTAGCATCTAACCTGGTGCATTTAAACCCCAAAAGAAAATTTGTATATAGCTGGGATTAGTAGATGTGTATATCTGTTTAATGGATACATGAGAATTTTTATTATCTCTCATTTTTCAATTTCCAGTGATTTTCTTCTGTATAAGAATTCATTGGTTTTCACTTAGCTAGTGAGTAATTCAATATCTGCATGCTTCCCCCTCCCCATTATACCCTCATCTATTCAGCTGATATTTTTCTTGCTTTGGAGCATGCAGCTAGAGCATTATATTGCTATCTCTTCTAGCTTTGGGTCATCTATAAATTTTGAAGCATGCTTTTCTATACAGTCCATAAATTAAGGGATCAACAGTGTCCACAAAAATAGGAATCATTGGCCAGTTGCCATGGCTCTTGCCTGTAATCTCAGCACTTTGGGAGACTGAGGCGGGCAGATCACTTGAGCCCAGGAGCTCAAGACCAGCCTAGGCAACATGGTGAAATCCCATCTCTACCAAAAAAAAAATTACAGAATTTAACCAGCATGGTGGTATGTGCCTGTGGTTCCAGGTACTTGGGTGGCTGAGGTGGGAGGATTGCTTGAGCCCAGATGGAGAAGGTTGCAGTGAGTCGTTATTGCACCTCTGCACTCCGGCCTGGGCAACAGAGTGAGACCCTATCTCAAAAAAAAAAAAAAAAAAAAAAAAGTAGGAATCATTAACTAGCCAAGAGTTAGAAGGAAAAGGTGACAGGAGGATGTTTCTGATAACTCTGATAATACTACCATAGCATCTGATAATATTGCCAATGGATTATTTTCAAATCACAGTAAAGAACATGGGAAGGGAGTTTGCCTAGACTTAATTTTAATTTTCTACACAGTGGTTAGCAAGTCTTCACAACCAGTAATCTCTTTGCCATATTGACAATGAATTATTCCATTATCTCTTGTTTTGTTCTTTGAATAGTTACCAATTTCTTGTTTCGTATGTGTATTAGTCCATTCTCACACTGCTATAAATACCTGAAACTGGGTAATTTATAAAGAAAAAAAGGCTTAATTGGCTCACGGTTCCACAGACTGTACAGGAAGTATGTATGGCTGGGGAGGCCTGAGGAAACTTCCAATCATGGCGGAAGGGGAAGCAGGCATGTCCTACATGGCCGGAGCAGGAGGAAGAGAGTAAAGGAGGAAAAGCTACACACTTGTATTAAACAACCAGATCTCTTGAGAACTCACTCACTATCACCAGAACAGCAACAGGACAATCAGACCCCATGATCCAATCACCTCCCACCAGGACCCTCCTCCAGAATTCGGGGTTACAATTCAACATGAGGTTTGGGTGGGGGCACAAATCCAAACCATATCGGTATCCAAACCTCTTAATCTTTCTATCTCCTGTCACCCATCAATTGCATTTTTTCACTTTTTAGCATTATCTATCGGCTAGTTTAGGGAAAGGTAAAACTATATTCAGCTTGCTTTGCCATTTACTAAAATCCCTGTGATGTGAGGGAGGAGATTAAAATTATTGGCTTATTTGAATTTCCACTACAATAACATGACTTTATACCAACAATGCAATCGCATCTCTAACAGAGGAGCTGGAGAAGAAAAACGAGAAATCATAGTGCAGCTGATGGAGATGGAGATTTGTGGAGGGAGACTGGAGAACTGGACATATTTTTTAAACCTAAGTGTTTTGAGATGCCGTTTCAAAACTCCTGCTTACTTTGGCTTCCTTTTATCAAAAACAGGTGGTTCTTTGTACTTTGAAAGAGACACACAGGCTGCAAAGAGTCATCTGAACTGCTGAGAAATGTCTTTAATCGTGGCCATTTTCAAACACAGATCTGCACAGTGAACAATTTTCTGAGGAATTCTTACAAAGCAGAGTCTGTTCAGAGGATGCTGATTAAAAAAACCTCTGTACACAGAGCATAATGAAGAGGGGAAGAAAGTGCATGGCTTTGTGTAACTTAATAAAAAGGGAGAAAATTTGACCGGAAATGAAAGACTACCCACGTTGAAAGCATATAGTATGCTATGATTCAGAATAAATGAAATAGAATTCTTCCAGGTCTAAGAAATCAGCACTTCCCCCCAGGCACTGCAGAGAGTGTTAGCTTCCAGTTGTATAAATATGCAGAAATAACAAAGGATGCATGTAGAATGTACTTATCATAATGGCAGGCCAGGGACTTTCAGTTATCTTGCACCAGTAACTTAGGGTCTATGATTTTCCAACAACTTGTATTCTCTTAGAACAACAAAAATTCCAATCACTCATAAACTGGTAAGGATGGTGTATATTTAATGTCTATCAGTACAGAGTGTGGGTAGGTTGACCATTTAATACCAATCCAAACAGCCTTGTAATCTAGGTGTTTAGGAATGTGGGTGAAGATGCCACACTGTTGGATTTTATGGCTATTTGTGTGCATGTGAACATGAGCCAGTGAAGGGAGAAATTCAGTAACCTCCTTCTGGGACGTATTGGTGCTGTTTGCCTTCAGATCCATTCTTTGAGCTTCCCTGGCTCTGCTCCAACCTCTGCAGGCTATTTCCAAGGCTCCTGTTTCATAGGCCTTCAGTTGGGCATAGCCAATCAAAGATTGGATGATAGAAATAAGAGAGAAGCCAAAATATTCCTCATCTGCCTTCTCTGCCACAGGTGGCTTTTCTGGCAGTGGCTTCATCTTTTTCACAAGCCCAACATGATTCCAACTTTGACTGGACACCTTAAGTCTCTCCATCTTAGGGGTGGTAGCAGTTTACAAGCTACTGCCAATTTGGGATGGAGGTGCCTAACTGCGCTCTGTTTAGCTTGTAGTCTGTGTGGATGATCCATTTCTCACATTAAATTAACTCTTCTAAAATAATCAGAGTTGTTTGTTTCCCAGATGGACACTGAATGATAAAACTGATGTATAGTTAGGTGTTTTCCACTGAATCATGACTTCCTTTAATCTAGATGGAATCCCCTAATTATCTAACTAAAGTAACAATAGCTAATATGTCTTGAGCACTTTTTTTGTTTTGTTTTTTTTTTTTGTTTTGAGATGGAGTCTTGCTCTGTCGCCCAGGCTGGAGTGTGGTAGTGTGATCTCGGCTCACTGCAACCTCCACCTCCCGGGTTCAAGCAATTATCCTGCCTCAGCCTCCTGAGTAGCTGGGATTACAGGTGCATGTCACCACACCTGGCTAATTTTTGTATTTTTAGTAGAGACAGGGTTTTGCCTTGTTGGCCAGGCTGGTCTTGAACTCCTGACCTCATGATCCACCCACCTCGGCCTCCCAAAGTGCTGGGATTACAGGCGTGAGCCACCGTGCCTGGCCTCCCAGTTGGTCTTCACATAATAATTGTATGAAGAAGGTACTAACACTATCCTCATTTGAGGAATTTGAAATTCAATTAGATTTTAGGTAACTTGTCCAAGATCATGCTCATTAAGTAGCTGAGTCAGAATTCAACCATCGTTTGTATAACCAAGGTCCAGTGTTCTCACTTTTAATCACTGTATTATGTTGCCTTTGAACATATTGTACTTATAAAAAATGTAGCTAGGCTGGGTACGGTGGCTCACACCTGTTGGGAGGCCAAGGCAGGAGAATCACTTAAGGCCAGGAGTTTGAGACCAGCCTGGTCAACATAGCCAGACCTTGTCTCTATAAAAACAAAAAATAAAAATTAGCCAGGTGTGGTGGTGTGTACCTGTCATCCTAGCTACTTGGGAGGCTGAGGTGGGATAGGATTGCTAGAGCCCAGGAGATTGAGGCTGCAGTAAGCTATGATCATACACTGCACTCCAGCTTGGGCAACAGAGAAAGACCTTGTCTCAAAAAATAAAAAAAGTGGATAAAAGTCAAGTATCTTACAATTAAAACACTTGTGTTACAGGAAATAAAAGAACTTACGGAATCATATTACTGAAAAGTACCAGCTCACTTCAAGGCAGGGTCCAAACAATGTTTTGGGTCTTTATGTCTTTCTTTCTCTCTATCTCTTGGAAGAGCTCTCTCCAGTGGCAGACAAAACAGCAACTGGCAGCCCAAACTCATACTCTGCCAGCTTAGGAAGGCCAGCAGAAAGAGCCAGCATTTGCTGCAAATGGCTTTAAAAATAAAAAATCCTAGGGAAAGCCCTGATTAGTCTGGTTAAGATCATCTGCTCATCTCTGAACCAATTACTGTGGCTAAGTGAATGGGGCCCTGCAATTGCTGGGGCCTGGATAACACACCCCATCTCAGTGGTGGTGGGTCAAAGTCCTACTTGACCTACAGAGAATGAGAATGGGTTCCTTACTCTAAAGAAGAATTCTGTCACCAGAAGAAATCAAAGTGGTTTTAAAAACACAAAGGCAAAGGCTGTTCAACAGAGGAGAGTTCACATCCCTTCTGGACCACAGAAATATAATGAATTCCCTAGATATTTCCCACTCTTGGTAAACAATGTTTGAAACATATTTTCCTCATTTTGCACATGTTCTTTAGTTTTTATATTGTCATGCCCTGGGTTATTTTCTATTGTTTTCAACTCTAAGCCCTCCCTCTATACCCTGCTCTGAAATGCTAGGTCTGGAGGCTAAAAACTACATCTCCCAGATGTTCTTACCAGCTGGCTTCCTGTTACGGTGTAATGATTGGACAACTGGAGGCACTAGAAAGACATAGCAAGGCACAAGGAGAGAAAAAGTAACTCATTTCTTGTTACAGATTCCTGCTAGCTCCACACTGACAGCAAAGCCTAGTCCAGCTTCTCTCACCACTTCCAGTGCCAGCTGTGATTTGCCCCCGTTGATGGTTCAATCCCCGTGCACTTGGTGCTCCAGGGAGAAGTCTAAGAACTGAGCCGGAGTATGGGTGGAACTTCTTCTAAGTTCAAGCTTCTAGGACCTCCTCACAGACACTTCCTCTCTTTTGTTTTTCCAGCCCTGCAACTGGTAGCCGCTTCCATCAGTACCTATCTGGCTTACCTCAGCATCCTGGTTTTCCAACAGCTGGGTAATCAATTTCCTGCATCTACTGTGGTTGAAATATCTAGCATGGTTTATGTTACTCTGACTAAACAGGTTCTTGTTATCTTCATTCCAGTGACTGTCCCATTGATGCTAAAAAATTGGCACTTGCAGCCCATTTATATCTCTATTTCAGCTATAAAAAGTTTATGAGCTCTTATAACTAATATCACCACGTTTTAATTGTTTTCTTTTTATAAAATAGGAACATACAAAATAGTGGAACAATTGCACAAATACTGTTATACAAGGATAGACATGGTGTTGGAACTAAACTTTTGACTGGCAGGCAGTAATCACATGATACTTTGAAATGTTTATCATTAGCCGATACATGAAAGATACACTTGGTACAAGGATGACTGAAAAATATGTGACCACCTAACATTTTAAAAGTTGAGAATTGCTTGTATTTGCTTTCCTGCAAAGGAAATATAAAAACTTCAGTGGCCACCTACGGCCACTAGTGTAATTAGAACGTTTTTATTAACCATCTTGATCTTCTTGAGCAAGCCTGATACAATTTTGTGCTTTAAGGAGACAAGTGATGAAAATCAAAAACTTCTAACCATAGCTAATCACCTCATACAGTAGGCAGAGTTCTAAGATGACCCCCAAAATTCCTGCCTTCTTGTAGACAAGTCCTGTATAATCCCCTCCCTTGGGTGTGAGTGAACCTGTGACTATGATATATGTCACTGTCATGATTATATTATATTATACAGCAGAAAGATTTTACAGGTATAATTAAGGTCCCCAATCAGTTGACTTTAACTTAAAAGGGATATTATCCTTGATGGGACTGACTTAATTGTGTGAGCCCTTAAAAGGGACTACATCCTTCCTGAAGTCAGAGATTTAAGACATGAGGTAGAGCTCCTTTAAAGAGGGCCACATGGCAGGAATCTGAGACCAATTTCTGGTACCTGAGAATGATCCCTAACCCACAGAGAGCAAGAAAATGGGAACATCAGTCATACAGCCATAAGGAAATAAATCCTTCCAACATCCTAAAGAAGCTTGGAGGGGATATTTTTTTTTTCTTCCCCCAGCCGAGCTTCCAGATGAGGATGCACCTGGTGGACACCTTGACTTCAGCCTAGGATAATACTGAGCAGGGGACTTAGCTAGCCATGCTGAACTCCTGACTCACAAAAATGGTGAGATAGTAAATTTGTGTTATGTTAAGCCATTACATTTGAGGCAACTTGTTACATGTAATAGAAATGTAATATAATATATAGGAGGGTGGGAATTCCTATTGCAATAGCAGCAAAATATATAATAGCCACAATAAGAAAAGGGCACAGTGGCTCATACCTGTAATCTCAGCACTTTAGGAGGCCGAGGTGGGCAGATCACTTTAGCTCAGGAGTTTGAGACCAGCCTGTGCAACACAATGAGACCACACCTCTACAAAAAAATACAAGCCAAGCATGGTACTGTCTGCCTGTAGTACCACCTATTCAGGAGGCTGAGGTGGGAGGACTGCCTGAGCTCGGGAGGCAGAGGTTGCAGTGAGCCATGATCATGCCACTGCATTCCAGCCTGGGCAACAGAGTAAGACTTTGCCTCAAAAAAAAAAAAAAAAAAAAAGAAAGAAAGAAAGGCATAAGAAGCTAAATTTTAAAAATTATAAATCTTCACTGATCAATAAAAGGGAATTTAGAAAAATGGGGAGGCATATTACATCCCTATGAGGAAAGATTAAGTGTTTTAAGTACATCAATATTTAAAGAATTTTTATGTCCAATAAAAATGCATTAATAGCCCAATAGAAAAAAAAGTGAAGGACTTGAAGAGAAATGTTGGAAGACTTGGAAATAGCCAATAAACTTGGAAATGATCAATAAATATGGTCAATTTTAAAGTGGCAAACATTTCAAATACAGTAATATTTAAAGTTGAGGGTATAAGAGATGTGTGCCCTCATCACTGCAATGGGTGTATCAACTGGTGTAATTTTTATAAAATGTAATTTTATACTGCATATCAACAGTCTTTGAAAAGCTCATCCTCTTTGATTTAGTAATTTCACTCCTAGTATTCTATCCATAGGATATAATGATATGTGTGCTAAATGATTTTGTAGAATGATATTCAATGCAGTGTTTTTTATAAGTTGAAAATAACCTATGATAGCAAAATTTCCAGCATCTATTCCACTTCAAATGATTGAACTAAGTCAAACTACACTCATTCCCCTGGATAATGATTGGTTAGGAAACTGACGTGTGGTCCAGTCCTGGCGGAAGACATGACCAAGTTCTGTAACGACTTTGGAGGAGATTCCTTGCCTTTAACAATGACACAGAGAGGAAACTGTAGCTCATCTTTTCTGGATATTTCTGTGCCTGAATGTGGTGTCTGAGACTATCTGATTATCAGGAGTGGAGAAAGCCAGAGGGTAAAACTGACCCATTGAAGATGACAGAACAGAATGATGGAAAGACCTGGGCATTCTCTTGCCTCAGGGGCTTTGCATTGGAATACCCACTGCCTGGAATGGTCTTCTCATAGATACCTGCACAGCTTACTTACTTCTCTACCTTCAAGCCTTTGCTCAATGCCACCTACTTATGAGACTAAGCCTGACCACTCTATGCAAAATTACAATTGGCTTCCTCTATACTGCCACTAAACTTTTAGTTCCTCTTCCATCTTCTATTGTATTCCATAGAATTTATCACCGAACATACTTACATAATGCATTTACTATATCTATTGTTTACTGCCTGTCATGACAAACTAACTTGTAAGCCCTTTGAGGGCTGGGATGTTTATTATTATTATTTATTGATAAATCCCTGTAGTCTTGAACAGGGCTGAGAATATAGTGGGACTTTGATAAACATTTGTTCAATGAATGAATGAATGAATCCAGCAGTAGTGATGGATTCAAGGTTCAAAACTTGGATCTACTGACTTCAAATTTCACAACTGCCCCCCTTGATGGTGTGCTGCTTTCAAACAGAAGAAAGACTATTAAGGGCACAAGTGAATGGACTTGCTATCCATAGTTTTAGAAAGCAAAACCAGGGCATATGGATCAAAACTACATGGAGCTTCTTAAGGGAACAGCTTCTTCGGCTAATCCCCACCCACATTCTCCAGAGTGCAGCTTGCTGCTAACTCTGGTTTTACCATTCCCTTGGGGCCCTTTCACTTTAATCCCCTTTTGTCCTTATGACAGCTGAGTTCAAAGGCACTTTTTTGCCTTTGTTTCTTGTTTTTGTTTTTTAGAGACAGGGTCTCATTCTGTCACCCAGGCTGGAGGGCAGTGGTGTGATCATAGCTCACTGCAGCCTCCAACTCCTAGATTCAAGCAATCCTCCTGCCTCAGTCTCCCAAGTAGCTGGGCGTATCGGCACACAATACCATGACCAGCTAATCTTTTTATTTTTTGTAGAGATGGGGAGTTCACTATGTTGCCCAGGCCGGTCTCGAACTCCTGACCTCAAATGATCCTCCTACCTCAGCCTCCCAAAGTGCTGGGATTACAGGCATAGGCCACCATGTCTGGTCTTCTTTGCCTTTAAGCCTTTCAACACAATTCTTTCCTCAATCTCCAGTAGTCACACTGTGGAAGACTACAATATTCAAAAGGAATATTATTAAATACTGTACATGAGGTTCTCCAACCTTAGTATAACCCTGCTTTGACGCTTTGACCTTTGGAAAGTTCTTTGAGCTCTCTGAGTTGCCTTTAATTTTGTGCATCAATTGTAAAATAAATGGGTTGAATTAGATTATCTCTAAAACTCTTGTGAACTCTCAAAACCTATGATTCTACTCTACCAAAGAATTAGAACTTGCATCACATGAACTAAGTAATGATAAACTATACCCAACAGTCTTAATTAACCCATTCATTTCCCTTTCCAATTCCTTTCAATAGAGATTTTTTTTTTGGTTAGGAATGGGCATTATATGCGCATGAAAAATACTACTTGAAGCTACTTCTAATTATTAACTACTTAAGTATTTAAATTTAAAAACCAAGTTTTTCTTAAGTTTTTAAGCTCAACATGGAAGATTCAGCTTCAACTTACTCATTTATTTAAAAGATTCAATTTACCTAAAATTTAGCTATATTTAAAAACTGAGTTAAATTATTTTACACATTTTAAACGGCACTTACAAATTTAATATATCTAATTTTCTCAAATGCCAAATGCCCATCAGGGCAAACTTTAAAATGTAATGAGAAAGCCTGGCACGATGGTGCTGTAGTTAGTCCAGCTACTCTGGAGGGTAAGGTGGGAGGATTGTTGACCAGGAATTCTAGACCAGCCTGGACAACATAGTGAGACCCTGCCTCAAAAAATGAAAAATAATTTTTAAAAAATCTAGTAAGAAGAATAATTTAAAACACCCAAGCTCTTCTTTTAACTCTAATAATCAAGCTTATAAATATAGTAGTTAAGTTTTATCAAACATTTAAAACCTTTACAAACTTGACTAAATTTTGTTATTCATTTCAAATTAATATCAGAAATCTAATGTGTTACATTTTCTTAAATGTCTCAAATGTTTCAATAACATTAGAATGTTAATATTTAACTAAAACATGTCATCATAATAGTTAAAAGAGTTATTACTAAAATTAGGCTTTAAAATTAGAATCTACAAAAGGCTGTTTGTTATTTTGTGGTTCAGAAAGGGTCACTCTGGAAATAGCCTTCAGGATACAAAAATAACCCATAATCTCTAAACAGAACTAAAATCTATAATGGTAGAATGAGCTCAAGTTTTAGACCAAGAAAACTCAGCTGGACTGAGAGAGTAAATTCCAGGGATGGAAAGATAAATGCCTTTGCAAACCCGTAGAAGTATAAAAGTAAGCATAGAGACAGTGTAGTTAATAAACCTATAGTGGTATACTTTTGTGCTAATTTTAGGACCTCGGAGACAGGATATGTGAAAATCCTCTTAATGTTGTAAAGCATTTATACATTACTACATATTATCTTTAAATTCATGGTATCTGGCTTACTTTACATTGTAATTTGGTTAATTCTGAGAATGTATAGTTTAAAAATGCCTGGATGTTAATGCAGGGCTAGTGTTTTGCTGAAACCCAATCTGGACCCTACATTTACACAGAGCGACCATCTGATGTCAGTGGGTGATAGTTGCAGTAACAGCAACAGCAGGCACTGGAATTGGAATTGGCTAAAAGACAGACTCTTTGGTGGTTCCCTGCTCTCCTTTCCAGAGACTGCTGCCATTATAGTGGTTTGGCTGCTAAAAGGCAACAGCTGGGACTTTGTTCAGTTTTATACAGGGCCAGTTTCTTTTCTTTTCTTTTCTTTTCTTTTTTTTTTAGTACTTTTAAGTTCTGGGATACATGTGCAGAACGTGCAGGTTTGTTACATAGGTATACACATGCCATTGTGGTTTGCTGCACCCATCAACCTGTCACCTACATTAGGTATTTCTCCTAATGCTATCCCTCCCCTAGCCCCCAACCCTGACAAGCCCCCGTGTGTGATGTTCCCCTCCCTGTGTCCATGTATTCTCATTGTTCAACTCCCACTTATGAGTGAGAACATGCGGTATATAGTTTTCTGTTCCTGTGTTAGTTTGCTGAGAATGATGGTTTCCAGCTTCATCCATGTCCCTGCAAAGGACATAAACTTTTCCTTTTATATGGCTGCATAGTATTCCGTGGTGTATATATGCCACATTTTCTTTATCCAGTCTATCATTGATGGGCGTTTGGGTTGGTTCCAAGTCTTTGCTACTGTGAATAGTGCTGCAATAAACATACATGTGCATGTGTCTTTACAGCAGAATGATTTATAATCCTTTGGGTATATACCCAGTAATGGGATTGCTGGGTCAAATGGTATTTCTAGTTCTAGATCCTTGAGGAATCGCCACACTGTCTTCCACAATGGTTGAAGTAATTTACGCTCCCACTAACAATGTAAAAGTGTTCCTATTTCTCCACATCCTCTCCAGCATCGGTTGTTTCCTGACTTTTTAATGATCGCCATTCTAACTGGCGTGAGATGGTATCTCATTGTGGTTTTGATTTGCATTTCCCTAATGACCAGTGATGATGAGCTTTTTTCCATATGATTGTTGGCCGCATAAATGTCTTCTTTCGATAAGTGTCTGTTTATATCCTTTGCCCATTTTTTGATGGGGTCATTTGTTTTTTTCTTGTAAATTTGTCTGAGTGCCTTATAGATTCTGGATATTAGCCCTTTGTCAGATGGATAGATTGCAAAAATTTTCTCCCATTCCCTAGGTTGCCTGTTCACTCTGATGATAGTTTCTTTTGCTGTGCAGAAGCTCTTTCATTTAATTAGATCTCATTTGTCAATTTTGGCTTTTGTTCCCATTGCTTTTGGTGTTTTAGTCATGAAGTCATTGCCCATGCCTATGACCTGAATGGTATTGCCTAGGTTTTCTTCTAGGATTTTTATGGTTTTAGGTTTAATGTTTAATTCTTTAATCCACCTTGAGTTGAGTTTTGTATAAGGTGTAAGGAAGGGGTCCAGTTTCAGTTTTCTGCATATGGCTAGCCAGTTTTCCCAACACCATTTATTAAATAGGCAATCCTTTCCCCATTGCTTGTTAGTGTCAGGTTTGTCAAAGATGAGATGGTTGTAGATGTGTGGTGTTATTTCTGAGGACTCTGTTCCATTCCATTGGTCTATATCTCTGTTTTGGTACCAGTACCATGCTGTTTTGGTTACTGTAGCCTTGTAGTATAGTTTGAAGTCAGGTAACGTGATGCCTCCAGCTTTGTTCTTTTTGCCCAGGACTGTCTTGGCTATATATGGGCTCCTTTTTGGTTCCATATGAAGTTTAAAGTAGTTTTTTTCTAATTCCGTGAAGAAAGTCAATGGTAGCTTGATAGAAATAGCATTGAATCTACAAATTACTTTGAGCAGTATGGCCATTTTCACAATATTGATTCTTTCTATCCATGAGCATGGAATGTTTTTCCATTTGTTTGTGTCCTCTCTTATTTCCTTGAACAGTGATTTATAGTTCTCCTTGAAGAGGTCCTTCACATCCCTTCTAAGTTGGATTCCTAGGTATTTTATTCTCTTAGTAGCAGTTGTGAATGGGAGTTCACTCATGACTTGGCTCTCTGTTTGTCTGTTACTGGTGTATAGAAATGCTTGTGAGTTTTGCACATTGATTTTGTATCCTGAGACTTTGTTGAAGTTGCTTATTAGCTTAAGGAAATTTTTGACTGAGACGATGGGGTTTTCTAAATATACAATCATGTCATCTGCAAATAGAGACAATTTGACTTCCTCTCTTCCTATTTGAATACACTTTATTTCTTTCTCTTGCCTGACTGCCCTGGCCAGAACTTCCAATACTATGTTGAATAGGAGTGGTGAGAGAGGGCATCCTTGTCTTGTGCCGGTTGTCAAAGAGAATGCTTCCAGGTTTTTTTTCCATTTAATATGATATTGGCTGTGGGTTTGTCATAAATAGCTCTTATTATTTTGAGATAAGTTCCATCAATACCAGTTTATTGAGATTTTTAGCATTAAGGACTGTTGAATTTTGTCAAAGGCCTTTTCTGCATCTATTGAGATAATCATGTGGTTTTTGCTTTTGGTTCTGTTTATGTGATGGATTATGTTGATTGATTTGCATATGTTGAACCAGCCTTACATCCCAGGGATGAAGCCAAGTTGATCGTGGTGGAGAAGCTTTTTGATGTGCTGCTGGATTCAGTTTGCCAGTATTTTATTGAGGATTTTCGCACTGATGTTCATCAGAGCTATCGGCTTGAAATTTTCTTTTCTTTTTTTTTTGTTTTCAGGATGATGCTGGCCTCATCAAATGAGTTGGGGAGGAGTCCCTCTTTTTCTATTGT
The DNA here is from genome assembly GCF_000001405.40 of Homo sapiens. Taxonomy (NCBI): domain Eukaryota; kingdom Metazoa; phylum Chordata; class Mammalia; order Primates; family Hominidae; genus Homo; species Homo sapiens. The sequence continues at coordinate 103,368,337 of NC_000008.11, forward strand.
TTGGAGTAGTTTCAGAAGGAATGGTAGCAGCTCCTCTTTGTACCTCTGGTAGAATTTGGGTGTGAATCCATCTGGTCCTGGGCTTGTTTTTGTTGATAGGCTATTAATGACTGCCTCAATTTCAGAACTTGTTATTTGTCTATTCAGGGATTCGACTTCTTCCTGGTTTAGTCTTGGGAGGGTGTATGTGTCAAGGAATTTATCTATTTCTTCTAGATTTTCTAGTTTATTTGTGTAGAGGTGTTTATAGTATTCTCTGATGGTAGTTTATAATTCTGTGGGATCAGCGGCGATATCCCCTTTATCATTTTTTTATTGTATCTATTCGATTCTTCTGTCTTTTCTTCTTTATTAGTCTGACTAGTGGTCTATCTTTTTATCTTTTCAAAAAACCAGCTCTTGGGTTCATTGATTTTTTGAAGGGTTTTTCATTTCTCTATCTCCTTCAGTTCTGCTCTAATCTTAGTTATATCTTGTCTTCTGCTAGCTTTTGAATTTGTTTGCTCTTGCTTCTCTGGTTCTTTTAATTGCAATGTTAGGGTGTCAATTTTAGATCTTTCTCATTTTCTCCTGTGAGCATTTAGTGCTACAAATTTCCCTCTAAACGCTGCTTTAGCTGTGTCCCAGAGATTCTGGTATGTTGCATATTTGTTCTCATTGGTTTCAAAGAACTTATTTATTTCTGCCTTAATTTCGTTATTTACCCAGTAGTTATTCAGGAGCAGGTGGCTCAGTTTCCATGTAGTTATGTGGTTTTGAGTGAGTTTCTTAATCCTGAGTTCTAATTTGATTGTACTGTGGTCTGAGAGACTGTTTGTTATGATTTTCATTCTTTTGCATTTGCTGAGGAATGTTTTTACTTCCAATTATGTGGTCAATTTTAGAATAAGTGTGATGTGGTGCTGAAAAGAATGTATATTCTGTTGATTTGGGGTGGAGAGTTCTGTAGATGTCTATTAGATCTGCTCGGTCCAGAGCTGAGTTCAAGTCCTGAATATCCTTGTTAATTTTCTGTCTCGTTGATCTGTCTAATATTGACAGTGGGGTGTTAACGTCTCCCGCTATTATTGTGTGGGAGTCTAAGTCTCTTCGTAGGTCTCTAAGAACTTACTTTATGAACCTGGGTGCTCCTGTATTGGGTGCATATATATATTTAGGATAGTTAGCTCTTCTTGTTGCAGTGATCCCTTTACCATTATATAATGTCCTTCTTTGTCTTTTCTGATCTTTGTTGGTTTAAAGTCTGTTTTATCAGAGACTAGGATTGCAACCCCATACAGGGCCAGTTTCATGGGCATATGACCTGTGCTGTCACACAGGGCCAGGCACTTAGAAGGACCCCACACGTGATTTAATGCTCCATTGACACCATTTTGCAATTCTGAATAATTTTTTAACAAAAGCTCCTGCATTTTCATTTTGCACTGGGTGGGGCAAATTATATAACCAGCCCTGGCTTTACAGTTCATTTGGATTTTTGCTGCTTCTAGAAAAACAAGTGAAATTTACCTTTAGTTAGTTACCAGCCCAGGACTGGGCATTTGCAGAACTGCCGCGACCTGCTTCCCTGCTAGACTGCTCCCTCTCTTTAACATCCATCAGCTGGACTCACCAACTCCGGAAAACCTGCATGGGTCTATAGGGAGACCCCTGCTGAGCTGAATTTGACTTCACAGTATTACCATCCGTCACAACCTCGTGTTGTTATGGGTGTGGCAAGACTTCTGTTATGCCTGATTCCAGCCAGTTATATATAAAAGATCTCCTGCTCCAACCTGGCCCTACGTGGTGGGTAGCCTGGGCCCTGAGAATGTTTTCTTCTACAATGGACAGGCCAAAGGAGGACAGAGGGGGTTACAAAAAGATAATATCCATCAGAGGCAAAGAGTACTCAAAAGTGAACTTCTACCATTTCCACTGGATATTGATTAACTTCCCTGAGCCTCAGTTTCCTCATTCGTTTATGAGAGTAGCCCAGGAGGCATCTACCCCTCCCAACCCGCCAGGATTGCTGAGAGGACAGAGTACGCGTGCAAGGTTTTGCAATGTGCCAGAGCTTAGTAAGTGTTAGCACTTATGAAAACAGCGTTTATATATCATTTGGGTCATGGGACTCTTGGAAAACCTGATGATACCTATGGTTTCTTCCTGCCTCCGCCCCACCCCCACCTTCCAGCCTCCAAAAATGTCACCTCCAAAAAACAAATAAGGCAGGGCGCGGTGGCTCACGCCTGTAATCCCAGCACTTTGGGAGGCCGAGGCGGGCGGATCACAAGGTCAGGAGATCTAGACTATCCTGGCTAACACGGTGAAACCCCGTCTCTACTAAAAATATAAAAAATTAGCCGGGGCCGGGCGCGGTGGCTCACGCCTGTAATCCCAGCACTTTGGGAGGCCGAGGCGGGTGGATCACGAGGTCAGGAGATCGAGACCATCCTGGCTAACACGGTGAAACCCCGTCTCTACTAAAAATACAAAAAATTAGCCGGGCGTGATGGCGGGCGCCTGTAGTCCCAGCTACTCGGGAGGCTGAGGCAGGAGAATGGCGTGAACCCGGGAAGCGGAGCTTGCAGTGAGCCGAGATCGCGCCACTGCACTCCAGCCTGGGCGACAGAGCGAGACTCCGTCTCAAAAAAAAAAAAAAAAAAAAAAAAAAAAAAATTAGCCGGGCGTGGTGGCGGGTGCCTGCAGTCCCAGCTGCTCTGGAGGCTGAGGCAGGAGAATGGCGTGAACCCGGGAGGCGGAGCTTGCAGTGAGCCTAGATGGCGCCACTGCACTCCAGCCTGGGCGACAGAGCGAGACTCTGTCTCAAAAACAAACAAACAAACAAAAAACAAATAAGACTCGCCGACCCATGCCATAGATTGACGACCCTTGAAGGTGGCTCGTGTACCCAGGTTAAGCCACGTGTCTCTAAAATGTTCATTTAGGCGGCGCTGTGTTACCTGCGGGAATCCCCGACCTGCGGCTCCTGACCACGGGCCACCCCGCCCAGACCCTGCAGGCGGGCTCTCCACGAGGGTCTGCGCAGCCCCGCGGGGGTCCTGACAGGCCGAGCGACTGCAGTAGGAGGGGGCGGGCCCGGCTCTCGGTCCGCCCCCACGCCGGGCTCGGGGTGGGGGCTCGGGGCCTATTACGGGATGGAAGCTCCGGGTGTCGCGGGGGCGGGAGGAATTAAGGGAGGGAGAGAGGCGCGCGGGTGAAAGGCGCATTGATGCAGCCTGCGGCGGCCTCGGAGCGCGGCGGAGCCAGACGCTGACCACGTTCCTCTCCTCGGTCTCCTCCGCCTCCAGCTCCGCGCTGCCCGGCAGCCGGGAGCCATGCGACCCCAGGGCCCCGCCGCCTCCCCGCAGCGGCTCCGCGGCCTCCTGCTGCTCCTGCTGCTGCAGCTGCCCGCGCCGTCGAGCGCCTCTGAGATCCCCAAGGGGAAGCAAAAGGCGCAGCTCCGGCAGAGGGAGGTGGTGGACCTGGTGAGTCCGAGGGAGCCGAGCCGGGACCGCCGCGCTGGTGGAGGGGACCTGGCCGCGCGCCCCACGGGCAGGGCGTCAGTCTGGCTGTTGGGGGTGTCTGTCTGTACAGCTGTGTGTCGTGTGTCTTGCTGCGCCGGGGTGTCATGCTTTTTATTTACAGGTGAAGAAGGACCTGGTTATGCGTGCAGTGAGTCTTGGAACTCAGAGGGGAGACCAAAATGGGAGGCCATCGTGGAGCGGACATGCGATATGGGCCCGGTGGGTCTCCCCGAAGTACAGGGAGTCCCCCAATAATTTCTGGCCCCAGGGGGACCCCTTGGGAAGGGTGGGAGGGATAGGGCGGCAGTGAGAGTAGGATGAGGAGCTTGGGTACGTCCGAAGTGGACCTGGGAAAAACCCTGGCCTCGCTGATCACATGGACCTGGGCCTGGGCCAGGGCGGTGCAACGTGTCCTTTGTTGGGGCTGGTGGCCACGTCTGCCTGCGAGAGAGAATAACAACCCCCACAAAGCATCCGTCCAACTCTTTGTAACTTGAAGACTATGAGTCACGTTGGGTCATCTTCCTAGGGAGTATGGGCTGCAATTTACTTTGTTGGACAACCACAGCTGGGGCTAGGAATGGTTCAGAAGGTTTAAGGCCGGAAAGGGAAATGAAGGGGCCCGGCGCTAACCCTCTAAGGACCTGTTTTGCTTCTGTTTAAACCAAATGGGCAGTCTGTCATTACACACACCCTGGGTCTTCATATGTGGCCGCCAGGTAGGAGCATCACAGTCAAGCTACGGGAGAAAACAGTTTCCAGGAAACTGGAAATGAACGGCCCGAGTGCTTTCCAGGGGCTCATCTGTGGGAAGGTATGTTTGCTTAAAATCCTTCCCTCTAAAAATCAACAAACCCAGTGGAGGGCGGAGAGGTTCTCTGGCCTGTGGTATGAGGGAGCCTTTCAGAGCTACCGTAGTCCTTGGCATATTATAAACTTCAGTCTCACTTGCAGACAAACATGATTTACAGGCATTGCAAGACATAAGTTGGGGCATTTTTTTTTAATTAAAAAGAAAGTTTTGAATTTGTTAAGCTGCCATTTTAAACTGAGCTAATATACCAAGTTCCCTGGCAGCTAGTTCTGTATTGGATTCAAAAGTGCTGGGAAAAAAATTCCCGCCATTTCACACAGCACTTTTTGGTGGTAGGCTGTGTAATTTTGATCCACAAAAGGGGACTATGTGTTCAGGCAACAGTTCTATTTTAAGTGTCCAAATTATTAAAACTGTGCCAAATGAGTATGGTTCATGTGTAGTTTGCATTTTATGAGTCTGTAGTTATGATACACAAAATACCCATTTTTCCTGTGAAGCTTGCTATTTTCCCCCCTTCAAGGATTTACAGTACCTGTGGTTTCCCACAACTCTAGCCAGACTTGGAAAAGATTTTGCAGTCAGGCTCAGGTGCATCCTGTAGGTTGGATTTGGTTTTGCTGACAGAAGAAGTCCACAGTCATTAAGGTTTCAACAGATTCTATAAAGCAACTTCTTTGTATAGGATCTTTCAAAGCGTTCCTTTCAAGCTTCCACAAAGCTCTGCCCCCTGGTGGCCAGTGAAAGAAACAGGGGCGTATAAAAGTGCGCTTCCCTTCACATCTTTTTTTTTTCATTCCACAGACATTTATTGAGAGTACTAAGCATATGTTGGGTTAGCATTTTAAAGTAGAAGACTGATGTAACACCTGCGGAATCGAGTCAAGTAAAGTTATATAGTCTTTGAAATGTATCTTTTAGATGAAAAGGTGAATAAAAATTCCCAATATGGCACAATGGACATGTTGGGCCAGATAATTCTTGTGGGGACTTGTCCTGTCCGTTGTCGCGTGTTTAGCAGCATCGTTTGTACATACTAGATGCCAGTAGCAATCCCCTCTCCCAAGTTGTGACAACCAAAAATGTCTCTAGACATAGCCAAGTGTCCCCTGGAGGACAAAATTGTCCCCAGTTGAGATCCACTGATATATAATGAAGTAAAATTTAGTCTGTGTAGCATCTTGCCCTGAGGGGAATAATAGTGAAAAAAATCAAAGAATATCAGAAGCAGTCTTATTCCCATTTGAAATGTATGTCTAAACATTGTATATATCTGCTTGTGAGAGTGAATTAAATTACTAAAATAAAAATAAAGTCTAAAACACACCAAACTATTTTGAAATATTTTGCACTTTTAAAATGCTTTACTTTTTGTGTCTTTGAATACTTTTGTAATTGTTAAATGCTTTTTCTTTTCTTTTTTTTAACTATTTCTCTGACAGTAAATAAGTAGTAGTGTCTTTTTCTTCTTACAGTCAGGAAAATGGCGATGTCAAAGACTTAAAAAGTCATTTATCAAACCAAAACTCAAACTGGCGATGGAGACACAAATTGATTAGCAAGCATCAGTCTAATTATATAGGATTCTTCCCAGACAACTATTGGATTTTATCATCCAATCCCAGATACTGTAGTCAAAAGATAAGCTTTGAAGTTACTTTAATATCTAAGAAACTTTGTTTTTTGTTTTCATTGGGAAATATAGTTATACAGAATAATACTAGGCAACTTACACAAATAGAGGAAATGTTAGAGTAAACATTTAAATGGATTGCATTGGGTTTTGGAGTGTCTAATAAACGGCACCTTTGTTCCTAGCTGAACCAATTCAGGTGTAGACACAGGAATTAGACAGGTGGGGCACAGGATATCACCTTTACCACTGATCATACAGCATTGGCATGTATGGCTTATGTGTGCTAGGCTGGTGGGTTTGCTAATGCTCTCTTCCCCAGGTCTAAATCCTGAAAGGTCCACCCAGGGCAGTGGACACACTTACCCAGAGTTGCTGCCTTGCACTGGTCCTGGGGAACATAGGAATAATAATGGCTGACACATACAGTGTTTACTGTGTTCCAGGCATTGTTCTAAGCACATTTTATATATTATTCACTTAAATCTCATACAAACCCTATAAAGTAAGACTCTTTATTATTATCCACATTTTACAGATAAGGAAACAGGCACCAAAATGTTGAGTAATTTGCCCTATCTCACAGAGCTAATGTAAGGTGGAGCCGGGACAAAATCCAAAGAAACTGGCTCTAGAATCCATGCATTTAAATGCTACAAGATGTCCTTCTCCAAACAAACAGAAAATCATAGTCCTTACAGACAGTTTGACAGATTGTGGATGGTCCCCTATTGAGAACTAATGGTCACTTGAAACTGGGTCACTTACTGCTTCTCCTTGGGGAAGAGGGGTGGGATGAGAGGCCAGAAATGTTATCCAAGCACTGCTTCCCCCACTTAAAAACAGGGAGAAGCAGGGATTTTCATACCCAAGTTGGAGCTATTGCCAGTACAAGATAATTATTGACTCTTAAGATTTTATTTTATAATTATGTCCCTAGGAATTTATCTTAAGGAAATAATTCAAAAGAAGAAAAAGGCTGTATGGATATTTTCATTACAATAATATTCATAATAAAAAAAGTAGAAATAAACTATCCAAAAATAGTGCAATGTTTGCATAAAACTGTAAAAATCCAGGTCCCTTTGCAAGATACAGAGTTAGAAGAAAAAAGCAGAATATCAAATTATTCCCACCTTGGAATACAGCTATTTAAAATTGTGTATGCCTATAATGAGCAGAAGGGAGCAGGCAAATAATTTTGTCCTCCTCTGATGTGTGTGTGTGTGCGTGTAAAGTCTGTGCACTAAAAAATATGAAGGAAATCACAATATTTTAGAAATAATTTGAAAATGAATTCTCTGTAATAACTCATCTAGAACACGGGCATGTGGTATGAAGGGATTCTTGACTCCAAGGGCTCAAAATAAATGCATTTCTAATCATACTGAGTCTTTGACTCTTAAGTGGTGAGAGTTTTCTTTGCCTTTTCTTTCTCATTATAGTATAATGGAATGTGCTTACAAGGGCCAGCAGGAGTGCCTGGTCGAGACGGGAGCCCTGGGGCCAATGGCATTCCGGGTACACCTGGGATCCCAGGTCGGGATGGATTCAAAGGAGAAAAGGGGGAATGTCTGAGGGAAAGCTTTGAGGAGTCCTGGACACCCAACTACAAGCAGTGTTCATGGAGTTCATTGAATTATGGCATAGATCTTGGGAAAATTGCGGTAAGTTTGAATTATTTTAAAATTGAAGCAAGATTTAAGGGTTTTCATATTTTAGTGTTAATTTTTAGGTGACATTTTATTTTTTTTTAACTAAAAGACTTAAAAAAGAGAAGTAGGTAGCATGTGACTTTTAATTTAAAACTAATGAAAAAGTTTATAACATTTCAGAATTTCATAGAGATATTTCTAAGACAAATGCTTATCATTTTAACCATAGTATCTAAAATAACATACTTTTTAAAAATGCAAACAAAAGAGAGCATATGTGTCTGTGTTGGACAGTAAGCAACTTTCCAATCTTATCCTAAAGTAAATTTAAATTTAGTCTAAGAAATTCTGTCCTGGCTTCAGACATAAAGGTGGGAAAAAATTTCCAAGAAATTACCACATTGATCTGGAAGCAGAAGTCCATTGGTGTTTGTCTTTATTTAGGAAGCATGCCCAGCTTAAAACTGCTAAGCCTAAGAGAAGTGAAATGGGTTAGATGTGAGGTACTACAGTGATTATTTTAAGTTATTCTGCAACATTAAGGCTGAGTGGCAGAGAATTACTCAAAATAGCCTGTCCGGTCATGTATTTTGACTAATGTTTCAGTCACTTTGATTAGTGTTTGCTTCAAAAGTAATTGGCAAGTCCACTGGGATGGAAGAGAGTTGAAGAAGTTGATGCTATTTATAAGCCTCTTTTCTCTGTTGATGAACTCTGTACATGGTTCCATATTCACAACATATTACTTCATGATTTTACTGCTACCATCAAGCAATTACAAGAAATTTGTTTCATAAAACTCCAAGATTTTAAGATGCACTCTGTGTATAATCCCTGTTCCTTATCTCAGCTCTTTCTGCTCTATTAAGAGTTTGAGACTGTCTTGTTTTGTGATAGAATTTCCATGTAGCTTCCATAGTTATGATGACTATGACCTTTTCTGTGTTCATGTGTGTTTCTAGAAAACATTTTGTTAAAATGTTCCCTAGTTATTTAAACATCTGACATTGATAGACTGGTTGTTTATTTATAGTTGTTCATCAAAAGTTACTGAGTTCTTTCTAAAAGCTATCCTTGTGGGTTCTGAATTATTAATATGTTTTCAAGTTCCTTTTAGCAATGGTCAGGATGGGTATGGTAACCTTCTATGAGTAAAGGATAATAGGTCCATGAGCCAATAGACAGACAAATTTGCATAGACCAATGAGAAAATAAGCAAACAAGAAACCTGGGCCTTATCATTGCATCATATAGATAAAGACTAAAAACCCTGCCTATCCTTTACTCCCTCATACTGTTTGCTGTTGCTCGAAAAGAAACACGTCAAGAGTCAATACGAATGGACAGAACTAGTCTAGAATGTAAGTTCCATGAAGGTAGGGATTCTGGTTTGTTAACTGCTCTATCTGTACCATTTAGCACATAGTTGGGGCTCAGTAAATATTTTTTGAATGCAAAAAAAAGAGGAAATATATAAATTGATTTTATCAAAAGTACTGAAGGCTAGCCTTTTTTGATAAAACTGAAAGATACCCTCAATGGGGCGAAAAGTTCTGAGAAAGCTGCAATTTGATTTTCTTAGAGTTCCTATATCAAAATCTCTTACCTAGCTTGCAGAAAATCTCCCTCCCTCTATAAAAGTTAAGCTTTATTTTTGTTTATTTTAATTTTTTTGAGACAGAGTCTCACTTTTTTGCCCAGGCTAAAGTGCAGTGGCACAATTTCGGCTTACTGCAACCTCCACCTCTTGGGTTCAAGCGATTCTCACGTCTCAGCCTCCCGAGTAACTGGGATTACAGGCGTGCGCCACCACACCCAGCAAATTTTTTGTATTTTTAGTAGAGATGGGTTTCGCCATGTTGGCCAGGCTTGTCTCTAACCCCTGGCCTCAAGTAATCTGCCCCCCTCGGCCTCCCAAAATGCTGGGATTACAGGTATGAGCCACCACACCCGGCCAAGTTAAACTTTTTAAATACATTTTGGGGAAAAGGATAGTTAAGTAAAATTCACCAGTCTCAAAAGCTCTTTTTAATTAAAATAGAAAATGTTAATTAAATCCCATTTCTATGTTTGTGACAGGAGTGTACATTTACAAAGATGCGTTCAAATAGTGCTCTAAGAGTTTTGTTCAGTGGCTCACTTCGGCTAAAATGCAGAAATGCATGCTGTCAGCGTTGGTATTTCACATTCAATGGAGCTGAATGTTCAGGACCTCTTCCCATTGAAGCTATAATTTATTTGGACCAAGGAAGCCCTGAAATGAATTCAACAATTAATATTCATCGCACTTCTTCTGGTATGTAAAATTGTGACATTGCAAGATGTGCCTCAGATCTAAGTAAGATTAGTTTTGAGTCCCACTATCATGTTGGTTCACTAGCCTACTGTAAAGGGACCTCTAGCAAGTTTTCAATGCATGATTCTCCACCCTGGGTTGTACTTCTGCATTACCTCTCGATCTTTTAAAAATACATAGATGCCTGGGCCCTATCTCTGATGAACTAACGCAGAATCTCTAGCAGTAAGACCACAGCTTCTGTGTTTTTTAAAAGATCCCCTGGTGATTCAGATGTGCCCCAGGCTTGAAAATCAGTGAGTTAAATGACATGGCAAAATAGCCAATAATGCCATAGAGCAGTGGTCTTTCAACCTTGGCTACATATTGGGCTCACTGTAGGAACTCTGGGAACTTTAAAAAGAAATGCCTATCCCACCCTTCCAGGGAGTCAGATTTAACAGGTCTGGGTGCAGACTTGGCAATGGGACTTTCGAAGTATCTCTTGGTAGGCTGGGCGTGGTAGCTCACACCTGTAATCCCAGCACTTTGGGAGGCTGAGACGGGCAATCACTTGAGCCTAGCAGTTTGAGACAAACCTGGGCAAGAGGGCGAAACCCCATCTCTACAAAAAAAATACCAAAAAATTAGTCCCAACTACTATGGAGGCTGAGGTGGGAGGATGGCTTCAGCCCAGGAGGCAGAGGTTGCAGTGAGCTGAGGCTGCCCCACTGCACTCCATCCTGAGTGATGACAGAGTGAGATGCAGTCTCAAAAAAAAAAAATCTCCTGGTCATTCTAATGTTCAGCCAAAATTTAGAACCACTGGCTCAGACTAATAAGGAGACTGATTTTTCTGCCTTATCCTTTAAAAGGGTGGATACTGTCTGCTGAATTTGTAAAAGACAAAATTTTTATACTGTTTCTGTATTCTGTTTCCACCTAGTATGAGGAAAAGACATTCAGTGGTCACTTAAACTGTCAGAAAAATATCATTGGGTTGTTTTATGTACTTATGTATTTGTTTATTTATTTATTTATTTTAGAGACAGGGTCTTGCTCTGTTGCTCAGCCTGGAGTACACTGGCAGGATCACAGCTCACTGCAACTTTGAACACTTGGCCTCAAGTGATCCTCCTGCTCAGCTTCCCAAAGTGCCATGATTACAGGCATGAGCCACCATGCCTGGCCTGTTTGTTCTATTTTAAGATTCATTAAAGAAAGTTTAGAAAATACCAGAAAATAGAAGAGTTAAAAAAAAAAAAAACTATTAATCTCATCCTCCAGAGACACCACTATCAATATTTTGTTGTCAGCCATTTTGGTTTCTTGAGTTGCAGTGGATGGCACACCATGGTAGCATCAGAAAGTGTACATACTGTTATATTCATATGCCTTTTCATAGAAGAAAAATAAGAAACTATACATATGGTTAGCATCATTTCCTTGATTTCCTGAAGAGATTTTTCACTAATCTTATAATTAAAAATGGTTGAGGGGAGGGAGGAGATAATCTCACTCTTCCCTTCCCTCAAAATAACATTTCAGCATTCTTTAGGGCTCCAAGTCAGGTACTGAACCCCAAAACCAATTTATTCCTAAGCAATCAAGGGCATCCCCTCCACATTTTCCCTCAGATCCCCACAATATCCTTGAAACATAAAGAAGAGATTTTAACCCCCTCTCTTTGCATATTGAGAAACCCAGGGAAATACAGCGTCTTACACGGGACAGTAGAATCAGCGTTCAGGAGAGCAGAAACCAACGCCCTGTTCTCTTGGCTCCCAGTTCTCTTTGTAATCAGATTAAAAACCCTCTTCACTAAGTACTTAGATACATGTGCTGGAAAGGAAGAAGTGCTTCCCATCTAAGAAATAGTCTTTAAAATAAGAAGAATCTAGATATTAAAAATAAAATTTGATTAGGAAGTGATATGTTCAGACAGTCGTTGATATAAGCAACTTACATTCTATTCTGTTATCTTTAAGGTGTGTGTTAATATTTTGCTAATGTAAGCCCTTAGGCCCAGGAACTGTGTCATATACACGCATATACTTTATAAATAATTTAACACAGCATTTCCCAACCATTGTGTGCAAACTCATTTGGTGTGATCAGTTGGGTGGAGTGTCACAAGTAATTTGTTATTAATAACAGTTTTTGTATTATTGTGGATTAAAAGTTACCTCTGTAACAGAATCACTTTTTCTGACATACTGATAGTCTCTCTTAAGGGAAAGGAAAGGGGTGCACTTATAGTTAGCATATCAGAGGATGGCTTAAAGCCTTGATATGCCCATGGGAGTTTGACAAATGGTTGTCATCTGTTACATGGTCTAGGAGGAAAACAGGTTGAGAACTCCCAATCCAACATATCGTTTTTACTTAACAAGCTATCATACTACATTATCACAGCAAAAATGTTCATTCAACATTATTTCATCTGCTAAAGACCATGAAGTGACCATTTGACTGTCCTCAGATGAGGCTGATGCAAGACCCAAGCTTGTCTGACGTCCTTAGGCCGTAGGGGGAAGTGAACAAGTTTCTAGGCCATGGCTGTCAAGACCCTGGGAAAACATGAGCATTTGTAGGCATTTTCACTTGGCATGGTACTAAGAATACCAGATTAAATGGGATTGTGGGCCTACTATTTAGTTCCCCCAACTTGGGAAGGGGACTGAACCAGAGACAGGTCCCTGGATTCTGAGAGACTTGCTCTGGATTTACTCCTGTGATAGTTTATGTAAGCAGATTGCTTCAGACCTACATCTCTGGGTCTCAGCAGGAATGCACTAACCTCAATCAAATAGGAAGCCTAACCAGTCACATAAAGTCATCCACTATATCAGGATTCATTTTCTTTTTTTTCTTTAGTATTATTATTATTATACTTTAAGTTCTAGGGTACATGTGCATAACGTGCAGGTTTGTTACTTATGTATACATGTGCCATGTTTGTTTGCTGCACCCATTAACTCGCCATTTACATTAGGTATTTCTCCTAATGCTATCCCTCCCCCAGCCCCCCACCCCACAACAGGCCCGGGGTGTGATGTTCCCCGCCCTGTGTCCAAGTGTTCTCATTGTTCAATTCCCACTTATGAGTGAGCAAACTATCACAAGGACAGAAAACCAGGATTCATTTTCTTGAATCTGCCAACCTACAGTTTCTTCTCCAGCTTTACACATACATCAAAGGTACCATGTCTTTTTGCCTGCTAAAATGACTGAGGGATTTTTTTTTTTTAATTTAAGAGAAGACTTTGGTAAGATGGAATGCAACTTGTATTGTTAGTAGGTGAAAGTCCAGAGGACATGTGAAAAGGTGCATAATTGTAATGCATAAAAACACAGAGGAAAAGCAGGGGGGATTTTCTGTTTTATGTTTTTTCACTATGAGGAAATTCTGTGTAAAATGGGATTCCCAGATTGAAGGACTGGTGTAATGATTATGTAGAATTTCTTTTAATGTTATAAAAGTTATTTCTTCTGGCTGGGCACGGTGGCTCATGCCTGTAATCCCAGCACTTTGGGAGGCCGAAGTGGGTAAATCACGAGGTCAGGAGATCGAGACCATCCTGGCTAACACGATGAAACTCCATCTCTACTAAAAATACAAAAAATTAGCCAGGCGTGGTGGCAGGTGCCTGTAGTCCCAGCTACTCAGGAGGCTGAGACAGGAAAATTGCTTGAACGTGGGAAGCGGAGGTTGCGGTGCACTGAGATTGCGCCAGTGCACTCCAGCCTGGGTGACAGAGCGAGATTCCATCTCAAAAAAAAAAAAAAGTTATTTCGTCTACTTGTCTAGCATCACTTATCAGCAGATAAGTGTCGGAAAGGGCTTTCTTTTTTTAAAAAAGACTTGCATATCAAATGAAAGTCTTGGCTTTTAAAAGTATATATAGCCTTTCTTTGTTTATTCAAATAAATTGCTTTTTTGTTTTAAGCTATCTCTGTAAGTATACAAATTCTGGTTTTATGCTTGAAACCTGTAAGAACACTGCTTGTTAAACTTATATCATAGAATGGATATGTATACATCTTTTAAAAATATTTATGTACCAATTTAGAAAAAGAGGACTTCATTATAAAAACCTTATCAAGTATTAAAATTTTTAAGTAGCATTACATTAAACAGAATTACAAACTAGCTTTCTGAAGTTATAAAATTTAACTAAAGGATTTTGCTCTTTGTTCTAAAGAAAGATGTAACTTTCATCTTTGTCTTGCAGTGGAAGGACTTTGTGAAGGAATTGGTGCTGGATTAGTGGATGTTGCTATCTGGGTTGGTACTTGTTCAGATTACCCAAAAGGAGATGCTTCTACTGGATGGAATTCAGTTTCTCGCATCATTATTGAAGAACTACCAAAATAAATGCTTTAATTTTCATTTGCTACCTCTTTTTTTATTATGCCTTGGAATGGTTCACTTAAATGACATTTTAAATAAGTTTATGTATACATCTGAATGAAAAGCAAAGCTAAATATGTTTACAGACCAAAGTGTGATTTCACACTGTTTTTAAATCTAGCATTATTCATTTTGCTTCAATCAAAAGTGGTTTCAATATTTTTTTTAGTTGGTTAGAATACTTTCTTCATAGTCACATTCTCTCAACCTATAATTTGGAATATTGTTGTGGTCTTTTGTTTTTTCTCTTAGTATAGCATTTTTAAAAAAATATAAAAGCTACCAATCTTTGTACAATTTGTAAATGTTAAGAATTTTTTTTATATCTGTTAAATAAAAATTATTTCCAACAACCTTAATATCTTTAAATTAATTGCCACTAAAATTGGAGTTTCTAGTCTTTATATCTGAAAAATTTAACATAAATCCTATTTGTGTTTATTCATTTAACACTCATTTATTAATTTTTAGTACATGTATAATATGGTTCCATTTTTAAAGGAATACAAAGAGAAAGTGGTATTTATATGTCAGGAAATATATCAGCACTTTAGGAATTTTATCTTTATTTAACAAAGGGTAACAAAGGATGGATTCTATCCTCAAATTCCTTACCATTTGGTAGAGAATATCAGACATATATAGAAATAACAATAAATCAAAAGTTAATGTGTTGATTACTATAAAAGTGTTGAAGTGGGTGATGTGGTTCAAAGGAAGAGTGATCACTTCTGGCTGAGGTGATCAGAAAAAAATCCAAGAAGGCAGTATACATGTAAGATTAGTGAAGTTAAGTAAATTCTGGGCTTGAATTGGAAGTATCAGTATGAACTCCTAAAGTACTTTATCTTAAATAAAGCTACAAAACAGCAACAAAATCTAGCTTTGTTTACCGAAAAGGCCCAGAAACAATGACCAATCCAGTAATGCCCAGAATGTGATCTCTACACTCCCATTTCCTACTAAAAGGAACTAAAAATCCTTGAAGAAATGGGAGATTTCACCTATGGGGCAGGAAATGTACAATATGAGCATGGAACATTTTGTCATACTGGAAAACAAGGCAGCTATGAAAAACAACTCAAAAGGATCCAAGAGCCAACATTTGAATTGGTTCTCACTGTTAAAGATGACACAATTTAAGCATCAATAAAGAGAACTGCAATGGTTTAAAACATCAAATATGTTTAAATACATGAGTTCATAATATATTAAAATAATTGGTCAACTTACAGTATGCCAGCAAACCAACTTGTTACTTTGAAAATTGGTAAATAGAACCAAACATTTCTTCTGCTTTCTCTATATGTACTGTATCTCTGAGTAACCAAATTGTTGATGAAGGGAAATTTCTCTTTCTAAAAGTGTGTGTGTGTGTGTGTGTGTGTGTGTGTATATATATACACACACACACACACACACTATATATGTCTTATAGTAACATCACATGTTGGTGGTATAGCTTGTAAATGAAGAAAGAATGATAAAATTCCAATATTACCTTTTTTCGACCCCTCATGAAGGGATCTAGTAATGAACATCAATGACTGATAATATTCCCAAAAGAGATAGACCAGCAATGTGCCTCTAATGAAAGTATATAACAGCACTCAGGAAGTAGTTTTCCAAGAAACAATCAATTCAGGATCTGATTTAGCCTCTAGTTCCAACCATTAATTTGTGGGAAATACACAGGATAAAAGAGCATGTTCATTGACACCACAGGGATATAATCAGCAAAATCCAGACGGTGGGAAACTTGAAAGACAATTTGGTTTCTTTAATAAATAATTGTAAGAAAAGTGAGGCAGGAAAAAAACTTATAGATTAAAAGAAAAGATCATATCAACCAATTGCAATGTTTGGACTTTATTTGGATACTGATTCAAGAAAACTATAAACACAAAAACAAAACTTCCTTGAGACAGTTGAGGACGTGAACATTGGCTGGATAGTTGATGATATTAAATAATTATTTATGTCTGGTAATGGTATTGCTCTTTTTAAATAGTACTTTTATCTTTTCAGTATCTTTTAGAGATACTGAAATATTTAAGATAAAGTGATGTGACATCTTGAGTTTGCTTCAGAATAATCTAGAAATGGGAAGTAGAAGGGGAGTCTAGATGAAATAATATTGCAGATAGGTAGATGTTAACCAAGATGGGTAAAAATTTTGACAAATGGGGATAGTTGTTAAGAATAGTTTTGGTAGAGGCAACAACATTAGTAAAAACACTGGGGTATTAATAAAATAGAAATAATGTTTTTAGGTGGGTTGAGCTTAAGTAATGTGTGTAGAAACAATAAGAGACAAATGTGGTGTGCTTATTTCAGCAGCACATATACTAAAATTGGAACAATACAGAGAAGATTAGCATGGCCCCTGTGCAAGGATGACACGCAAATTCATGAAGCGTTCCATATTTTTACTGGTACCATTCCTTCTGAAACTATTCCAATCAATAGAAACAGAGAGAATCCTCCCTAACTCATTTTATGAGGCCAGCATCATCCTGATATCAAAACCTAGCAGAGACATAACAAAAAAGGAAAATTTCAGGCCAATATCTCTGATGAACATCAATGCAAAAATCCTCAATAAAATATTGGCAAACTGAATCCAGCAGCAATTAAAAAGCTTATCCACCATGATCAAGTTGGCTTCATCCCTGGGATGCAAGGCTGGTTCAACATACGCAAATCAATCAACGTAATCCATCATGTAAACTAAACCAATGATAAAAACCACATCAATAGATGCAGAAAAGGCCTTTGACAAAATTCAACACCACTTCATGCTAGAAACTCTCAATAAATTGGGTATTGATGGAACATATCTCAAAATAATAAGATCTATTTATGACAAATCCACAGCCAATATCATACTGAATGGGCAAAACCTGGAAGCATTCCCTTTGACAACCGGCACAAGACAAGGATGCCCTCTCTCACCACTCCTATTCAACATAGTATTGGAAGTTCTGGCCAGGGCAATCAGGCAAGAGAAGGAAATAAAGGGTATTCAAATAGGAAGAGAGGAAGTCAACAAATTGTCTCTATTTGCAGATGACATGATTGTATATTTAGAAAACCCCATCGTCTCAGCCAAAAATTTCCTTAAGCTAATAAGCAACTTCAACAAAGTCTCAGGATACAAAATCAATGTGCCAAACTCACAAGCATTTCTATACACCAGTAACAGACAAACAGAGAGCCAAGTCATGAGTGAACTCCCATTCACAACTGCTACTAAGAGAATAAAATACCTAGGAATCCAACTTAGAAGGGACGTGAAGGACCTCTTCAAGGAGAACTATAAATCACTGCTCAAGGAAATAAGAGAGGACACAAACAAATGGAAAAACATTCCATGCTCATGGATAGGAAGAATCAACATCATGAAAATGGCCATATTGCCCAAAGTAATTTATAGATTCAATGATATCCCCATCAAGTTACCACTGACTTTCTTCACAGAATTGGAAAAAACTACTTTAAACTTCATATGGAACCAAAAAAGAACCCACATAGCCAAGACAATCCTGGGCAAGAAGAACAAAGCTGGAGGCATCACGCTACCTGACTTCAAACTATACTACAAGGCTACAGTAACCAAAACAGCATGGTACTGGTACCAAAACAGATATACAGACCAATGGAACAGAACAGAGGCCTCAGAAATAACACCACACATCTATAACCATCTCATCTTTGACAAACCTGACACTAACAAGCAATGGGAAAAGGATTACCTATTTAATAAATGGTGTTGGGAAAACTGGCTAGCCATATGCAGAAAACTGAAACTGGACCCCTTCCTTACACCTTATACAAAACTCAACTCAAGATGGATCAAAGACTTAAACGTAAGACTTAGGACCATAAAAATCCTAGAAGAAAACCTGGGAAATACCATTCAGGACGTAGGCATGGGCAAAGACTTCATGTCTAAAACACCAAAAGCAATGGCAACAAAAACCAAAATTGGCAAATGGGATCTAATTAAACTAAACAGCTTCTGCACAGCAAAGGAAACTATCATCAGAGTGAACAGGCAACCTACAGAATGGGAGAAAATTTTTGCAATCTATCCATCTGACAAAGGGCTAATATCCAGAATCTACAAAGAACTTAAACAAATTTACAAGAAAACAACAACCCCATCAAAAAGTGGGCAAAGGATATGAACAGGCGCTTCTCAAAAGAAGACATTTATGCAGCCAACAGACAAACGAAAAAATGCTCATCATCACTGGTCATTAGAGAAATGCAAATCAAAACCACAATGAGATATCATCTCATGCCATTTAGAATGGCGATCATTAAAAAGTCAGGAAACAGGGTGGGCGCGGTGGCTCATGCCTGTAATCCCAGCACTTCGGGAGGTCTAGGCAGGGGATCATGAGGTCAGGAGATCGAGACCATCCTGGCCAACATGGTGAAACCCCATCTCTACTAAAATACAAAAAATTAGCCGGGTGTGTTGGCACGTGCCTGTGGTCCCAGCTACTTGGGAGGCTGAGGCAGGGGAATTGCTTGAACCTGGGAGAAGGAGGTTGCAGTGAGCCGAGATCGCGCCACTGCACTCCAGCCTGGTGGCAGAGGGAGCCTCTTCTCAAAAAAAAAAAAAAAAAAAAAAAAAAAAGGAAACAACAGATGTTGGAGAGGATGTGGAGAAATAGGAACACTTTTACGCTGTTAGTGGGAGTGTAAACTACTTCAACCATTGTGGAAGACAGTGTGGCAATTCCTCAAGGATCTAGAACTAGAAATACCATTTCACCCAGCAATCCCATTACTGGGCATATACCCAAAGGATTATAAATCATTCTACTATAAAGACTCATGCACACGTATGTTTATTGCAGCACTTTTCACAATAGCAAATACTTGGAACCAACCCAAATGTCCATTAATGATAGACTAGATAAAGAAAATGTGGCACATATACACCATGGAATACTATGCAGCCATGAAAAAGGATGAGTTCATGTCCTTTGCAGGGAGATGGATGAAGCTGGAAATCATCATTCTCAGCAAACTATCACAAAAACAGAAAACCAAATACTGCATCTTCTCATTCATAAGTGGGAGTTGAACAATGAAAACACACGAACATAGGGAAGGAAACATCACACACCAGGGCCTGTCAGGGGGTGGGGGGCTAGGGTAGGAATAATAACATTAGGAGAAATACCTAATGTAGGTGATGGGTTGATGGGTGCAGCAAACCACCATGGCATGTGTACACCTATGTAACAAATCTGCATGTTCTGCACACGTACCCCAGAACTTAAAGTGTAATTATATATATATATATGAAAAATAAATGTACATCAGTGCAAAAAAAAAAAAAAGTCAAATCTGGTAAAGGAGGTTGAGAAGATACTGTGGAGGCCATGAATGCCTGAGTTATTTGTAGAGCCATGGAGAGCTATTGACAGTTTGGTGTAGAATAACATTATATAACAAAAACTCATTCTAACAGCTGAGTTAAAAAACAAAAGTTAGAGGTATAAAGAGTAGAGGAAGGCCAGCTTACGAGGCTGTTAAGACAACAAAAAGACAAACTAGTTAGTCAAAAAATGTGCAAAAGAAATGAACAGGCATTTCCCCAAAGAAGATATATGAAGAGCCCACAGACACATGAAAAGATGCTTAACATCATTAGTTATTAGGATAGTGCAAGTTAAAACTATATTGAGATACCACTTTACATCGACCAAGATAGTTATAAACAAAAAATGGAAAATAAGTGCTAGCAACGATATGGAGAAAATGAAGTTCTGATACATTGCTAGTGGGAATACAAAATGGTACAGCCATTGTACCCAGAAGAACTGAAAACAGTGGTACAAACATAATCTTGAACATGAATGGTCATAGCAGCGCTCTTCACGATAGCCAAAATGTCAACACAATCCAAATGTCCATCAACTGAAAACAACTGATAATCAAAATGTGGTGTATGAATACAATGGAATATTATTCGGCCATAAAAAAGGAATTAAGTGTCAATACATTCTTATAGCATGGATGAACCTCAAAAATATTACAGAGAGACACAGAAGGCAACAGGTGGTATGATTCTATTTATATGAAATGCCCAGAAAAGGCAAATCCACAGAGACAGAAAGCAGATTAGTGATTGCTAGGAGTTAGGGGAGGGAAGAATGGAGAATGATTGCTTATTAGGTATGAGATTTCCTTTTGGAATAATATAAATATCCTGGAACTACAGAGTGATGATGGTTGTACAACACTGTGAATATACTAAATGCCAATGAATTGTGCACTTTAAAGTGGCTAAAATGGCAATTTATGTTAGATACATTATCCACAATAAAAAAAAAAGGTTACTGGAAAAAAAGATTATGGGCTTTGGTGATGACCAAAGGAATAAAAGAGAGAATAGATTAGAGAAATGTCAAAAGTGCCACTCTGAAGAATACACCTCTGCCTCCTGGGTTCAAATGATTTTCCTACCCCAGCCTTCCCAGTAGCTAGGATTACCAGTGTGAACCACCACACCTGGCTAATTTTTGTGTTTTTAGTAGAGAGCTGGTTTCACCATGTTGGCCAGGCTGGTCTCAAACTCCTGACCTCAGGTGATCCATCTGCCTCAGCCTTCCAAAGTTAGTTCTTGTGTAATACCCTAAAAGCACAGGCAACCACAGCAAAAATGGACAAATGGTATCACATCAAGTTAAAAAGCTTCTGCACAGCAAAGGATACAATCAACAAAGTGAAGAGACAACCCGCAGAATGGGAGAAAATATTTGCAAATTATCCATCTGACAAAGGATTAACAACCAGAACACATAAGAAGCTCAAACAACTTTATATAGAAAAACTAATAATCCAATTTAAAAATGGGCAAAATAATTGAATAGACATTTCTTGAAAGAAGACATACAAATGGTTAACAGGCATATGAAAATGTGCTCAATATCACTGATCATCAGAGAAATGCAAATCAAAACTACAATGTGATATCACCTCACCCCAGTTAAAATGGCTTTTACCCAAAAGACAGGCAATTAATGAATGCTGGTGAGGATATAGAGAAAAGGGAACCCTCATACACTGTTGGTGGAAATATAAATTATTAGAGTCACTAAGGAGAATGGTTTGGTGGTTTCTCAAAAAAACTAAAAATAGAACTATCATATGATCCAGCAATCCCAGTGCCAGATACATAACCAAAAGAAAGGAAATCAGTATACTGAAGAGATATCTGCACTCCCATGTTTATTGCAGCACTATTCATAACAGCAAAGATTTGGAATCAACCTACCTGTCCAACAACAGACAAATGGATAAAGAAAATGTGGTACTTACACACAAAGGATCCTGTCATGTGCAACACATGGATAGAACTGGAGTACATTACGTTAAGTGAAATAAGCCAAGCACAGAGAGACAAACTTCGCATGTTCTCACTCATTTGTAGCAGCTGAAAATTAAACAACTGAACTCATGGAGATAGGCAGTAGAATGTTGGCTACCAGAGGCTGGAATCAGTAGTGGGGAGTGGGGGGAGAGTGGGGATGGTTAATGGGCACAAAACATAGAAGGAATGAATAAAATCTAGTATTCGATAGCACAACAGAGTTACTACAATTAACAATAATTTATAGTACTTTTAAAAATAACTAAAAGAGTATAATTGGAATGTTCGTGACACAAAGAAATACATGCTTGAGGTGACGGATGCCCCATTTACCCTAATGTGATTATTACATGTGGTATGCCTGTATCAAAATGTCTCATGTACCCCATAAATATATATCTACTAGGTACCACTAAAAATTAAAAATTTTAAAAAAGTGGTTCCTTGAGATGGAATCTACTCCTGGTGAAGATGCTGTCAATATTGTGAAATGACAACAAAGGATTTGGTATATTACATAAACTTAGTTGATAAAGCAGCAGCAGGGATGGAAAGGATCGACTCCAGTTTCAAACAAAGTTCTACCGTGAGTAAAATGCTATCAAACACCACCACAAGCTACAGAGAAATCTTCCCTCAAAGCAAGAGTCAATCGATGTGGTAAACTCCATTGTTATCTTATTTTAAAAAATTGCCACAGCCACCCCAACCTTCAGCAACCACCAACCTGATCAGTCAGCAGCCATCATGAGGCAAGATCCTCCACCAGCAAAAAGATTGCAACTCACTGAAGGCTGAGATGATTGTCAGAATTTTTTAGCAATAAAGTATTTTTAAATTAAGCTATGTACAAGGTATTTCTAGACATAATGCTATTGTACACTTGATAGGCTACAGTATAATGTCAACATAATTTTTATATACACTGGGAAATCAAAAACTTCACGACTCATTTTATTGTGATATTCATTTGGTTGCAGTGGTCTGGAACTGAACTATAAAAATATCTCAGAGATCTCAAAGGTATGCCTATATACCTATAAATCTCTTAATAAATGAGAGGAAATTTATTAGGGGAATTGGCTCACCCAATTACGGAGGCTGAGAAGTCTCACAATAGGCCATTTGCAAACTGGAGAACCAGGGAGGCCCATGGTGTAATTTTCAGTTTGAGGCCGAAGGCCTGGGAACCTGGGGCGGGGGGTGTGCTGGTGTTAAGTCCAAGTCCGAAAGCTGGAGAACCCGGAGTTCTGATGTCCAAGGGCAGTCAAAGAAAGGTGTCCCTGCTCTAGAATAAAGATCACATTCACCTTTCCTCCCTGCCTTTTTGTTGAATGCAGCCCTCAGCTGATTGGACTGCGTCCACCCACACTGAGGGCAGATCTTCCTTACTCAGTCCACTAATTTAAATGCCGATCTCTTCTGGAAACACACTCACAGATATACCTAGAAATAATGCCTTAACAGCTAGCTGAGTAACCCCTAGCCTAGTCATGTTGACATCTAAAATTAACCATCACGGACTTATCTCACTATTACACCTAATAACCGGCTTACAGACTTTTTGCTTCCTGTCCTGGCAACTGTGAGTCTGCTGGTTTGGAAGTGTTAGTAACCACCAGGGGAACAAAATAGTGGTTCCATTGAATTGTAGGATGAGACAGGTTATCAGTTTCCTATTTGTTGCATAACAAATTACTACAAATTTAGTAACTTAAAACAACACAAATTTATTTATCTCATGGTTTCTGTGGGTCAAGGGTCTGGATACAGGTTAGCTGAATCCTCTGCTCAGTGTTACCAGGCTGAAATTAAAGCATTGGCTGGGGCTGTGATCTCTTCTGAGACTTAGAATCCTATTTCTAGCTCATGTGGTTGTTAGCACAATTCAGTTCCTTGCAGTTGTGATTAAAGTTCTTGTTTTTTTTTTTTACTGTTAGCTGAGGACTGCTCTCAGCTCCTGGAGGTCACCCTCAGGTCCCTGTGGTCCCTACTTTCACAACAGGCTGTTTTTCTTCTAGACCAGCAGGATAACTCTTCTGCTTTTAAATAACTTGCCTAATTAGATCATATCTACGCAGGATAATCTCCCTTTGGATTATAGTCAACTGATTAGGAACCCTTTGCCATATAGCATAATCGTGGAGGTGCTATCCAATTATATTTACAGGTTTCAACCATGCTCAAGGGGAGATTACACAGGGTGTGTACAAGAGAGGGAAAGTCACGACATTCATCTCAGAATTCTGCTTATCAGACTGCCACCTGGTCATTTTGCACTTCTTGTAACACTTAACCAACGGATGAAAAACAGGGGGTTAATTTATTGGCTGTAGTGATTGATCTGAATTTCCAAGGTAAATTGGTTTGCTTCTGCAAATGGAAGCAAGGAGGACTTTCTGGTACCCAGGAGATTTTTCTAAAGTGCCTCTTAATACTTCCATGTCCAACTGTAAAGGTTCAATGGAAAACCACAAGAATCAGAAAAGGGCAGGATGATTGAGGATTCAGACCTTTCAAAAAGGAAGGTTTGAAGCACTCTACCAGGCAAAGAACCCAGAGCAGCTGATTCTGACTGGGAAAGGGAAATATAGAGGTAGTTGGAGGTGGAAGCTATAGATATCAACCATAACTTTGTGACCATTACAAAACCAAGAACTGTAATAGCTCTGCATATTTTCTCTTTGCTTGCAAGCATGTGTTTATTTTTATTTTCTACTTTGCCATTCTCCCTATTTTTATTATACAGGTTGCTGAAGGTCAACTTTACAATTCAGTCTTAACAGAAAATTAGGTGGCATGATGACTGAATTGAGGAGTAATTAATACAGCCAGCAATGAATCCAATGACTGTTGAAACTTTGTGTCTTATTTTGGGGAACAGCAAGAGCTTCAGTTATCAGGATAACCGTATCTTGCTAGACCAAAATACAGTTAGTTGCTCTGTTGTGCAGGAGTTCAAACACGTGTAGAAAGGTGCGTATGGAAGCTGAGCAGTCAAAGGGGCTGACTGAACCCCCTTGTCAATTTATCACTTCTCAGCTCCAAACTCATCCTTCAGTATCTACTCTGTGATAACAGATTGAACAATAAGCATTTATCCTTTAAAATGAGAATAAGTAGAGGACATTGGAGGGGCACTGCAGGAGGAAAGGAATTTCTCATCCTAGTGTTGGTGTGCTCATTTTTTTTTCTTTTTTGCTCCCACACAAGGTTAGTGGTGTATGCATCTGGTGGTGTTTTGCTCCGGCTGCACACAGAATGTACAGTCCACCTTGCAGTCCCAGCCTAGGAAGCCTGGTGACCACCTTGCTGCAGCCCTCTTGAGATGCACCCCACATGCTCCTGGCCTTGTACCTGTAGCAGTGCCCTGACTCCCTCTGTATGCCCACCTGTCAATCTCAGCTTTCCTTTCTCCTAAAGGTTGGCTTCTGAGGTCCTTCCAATGTGTATAAGTTCTGCCCCAGTTTCACACCTGCAGAAATGTCCTAACTCTCTCTGCAATCTGCTCACTAGCCTTGGCTTGCCTGTGTCCCAGAGGACCGTTTCCTGTTTATCAGACAATTCTAAACCAGCTCTGGCCCGAGGCACGCCAGCAAACTTCCACATCATCCAGTGTCGTGCAGCCACAACTTCTCCAATAAAGTCTGAACACCAGAGGGGGACTCTCTTCCAACTTTGTCCTGCTTTGGCTACTCACCCTCAGCCCTAGAATAGTTTAGATTCTCTAAACATATTTATATTGTTCTATCACAGCATCATAATCCTTTAAACTTAGCCTATTTAAATTACGGTGTGTTCTGTCTCCTGGTTGGACCTAGATTGACAGATGTAATTGACTTGATTGTTAAGTTTGGGATAGGGAAGTGAGCGTGAGTAGCACTTTCTTTCCCTCCTCTCTCTTTGGAAATAAGCTGCTTACAGAGAAAATGCATTCTGCCCCATTCCTCCTTGCTGTAACTTTAACAAGATCAGGCCATATAATAGTCTTAGTTCAGTGTTGTCTGTGGTTAGATGGGTATATGATTCTGGGGCTTGGTATAAGGGAACCTACTTTTACACCTATATAAGCCTCATTATCTAATTTTAGCTTTATCATTAATAAATGCAATATCCCATGCTCCCTCTTCCACATCTTGTCTATGTCTGGATTGGCTTGGAACCTGGGTGGGAAAGAGATCAATGTGAATCACTTAACAAAAACAGCTTGCAGCTTTTCCTTTTGTTATGTTCAATGTGAACTGGTTTTATAATTTCCTAGCCTTACAGTGGTACAAGTCCAATATCATAATATT
This sequence comes from Homo sapiens, assembly GCF_000001405.40. Lineage (NCBI taxonomy): Eukaryota > Metazoa > Chordata > Mammalia > Primates > Hominidae > Homo > Homo sapiens. The sequence continues at coordinate 103,394,328 of NC_000008.11, forward strand.
GAAATTTAATACTAAACACAATTCTGGAATATTAGATCTCAGAAAATCTACCAGGGAGAACTTACAAATCATCCAACTTTTGTACAGTTGGACCTTCCACCATAAGCATATTTTATTTTTCTATAAATCTTCTACCTTTGTGCCTTTCATGAGCTGAATAATCTCTTTAACTTATATAAATATCAAACAATGTTTTCCTATAAAACTGAACACATTTTAAAGAAATTATGTGACCACACAATGGCCCCAAAGTGCTCAATTTTCATAAAGGTGACTTCGATTTCCACAGAAACAAGAGTCCACCTAGATCAAAACAGCTGATGGGGAAGTGACATACAGAATTCAGGGTATAACAGATTCTGTGTCATCCGCGAAGTTTTCACTTGCAGCAAGTGATAGAAAAACCAAACTGAGACTAGCTTTAAAAATACAGGAAGTCGGCCGGGCACAGTGACTCACACCTGCAATCCTAGCACTTTGGGAGGCTGAGGTGGGCAGATAACTTGAGGTCAGGAGTTCGAGACCAGCCTGGTCAACATGGTGAAACCCTGTTTTTACTAAAAATATAATAACTAGCAAGGTGTGCTGGTACACGCCTGTAGTCCCAGGTACTTGGGAGGCTGAGACAGGAGAATTGCTTGAACCTGGGAGGCTGCGGTTGCAGTGAGCTGAGATCATGCCACTGCACTCCCACCTTGGCGACAGAGCGATACTCCATCTCAAAAACAAACAAGCAAGCAAGCAAACAAACAAACAAACAAACAAAAAACCCCCAGGAAATCTACTGGGTCACCCAGCTGAAAACTCCAGAAGTACATGCTGCTAGGGGTAAGGGTTGATCCAGAATCCCATGCAACACAACAAAGTACCTAGTTCGTTTCTTTCAATTTCTTATTGTTACTTCCTTGGTGCTGACTCCATTTTGGACAAACTAACTCTGCTTAATCTATGATTCTAAATTGGCTTTGAGAAGCTCTAAAAATTAGCTCTAAGTTCTTTCACCTTGAGTATAGTGACATAAATTCTGTCTTTGTTGTTTCATGAATGAGGAGGTTCCTCTGTCACCCCTAATGAGGATTCATGAAACAGTAAAGAGAGAATTTATGTAATCAGGGGGAAAATGTCTTTAAGAGTCACTGATCAGACCAGCTTAAGTAACTATGTCAATTCCAAACCACTCGTTATGAATAGAGATGGCACATTCAGGTCGGCTCTGTTTATTAGGGCCTATCTCTGGCGCAGGTGAGGCTGATCCCATCTAAATCACAAAACTGAAAATGGAGGGAGGGGGTAGGTTCCAAAAAGAAATTCAGGGTCCAGGTGAGGTAGCTCATGCCTGTAGTCTCAGCTATGAGGTGGGAAGATCCCTTGAGTCCAGGAGTTTGAGCCTGCAGTGAGCTATGATCACGTGATCACGTCACTACACTCCAAACTGGGTGACAGAGCGAGACCCCGTCTCAAAAAATAAACAACAACAAAAAAAGAACTTTAGACTACTACTCCAAGAAGGAAGAAGAGACGGATGCTGTGCAGCCAATTAACAGGTATTCATTACAGGTACTTCCAGAGTCTTTCTCCTATTTAGGCCTTTAGAATGAAATTTAAGACTTTAACCCCAAACCTCACATAGTTTCTGCATGTTACCTAACACATCTTTTGAAAACAGGCATAACGGTAACTAAATCATGTCATAGGATTTTCTTCCTATAAGCTATTTTACAATAGCTAAAGAGACCTTGTTATAAAAATGGTAATAATACATACTTTATCTGGAGGATTTTATATTAAGTGTCCACATTCAAAAGAAAATATTAACTCTGATGACTCATAAACTCCAACATACTTTTTAGTTGATATCCCTCTTTTAGTGTGTTTAGAAGACATGACTTTCTAAATATTGTCAGACTACAAAAGCACGTATTGAAATATGATAGTCTTCTTTTCACAAGGCATAGTACCCATCATTGTCCATTGTCTTTGATTACATTCTCTGGTGCACAGCTCCAGCAAGTTGGTTTTTTTTTTTTGTTTGTTTGAAACGGAGTCTCGCTTTGTCGCCAGGTTGTACGGTGGCGTGATCTCAGCTCACTGCAACCTCTGACTCCCTGGTTCAAGCTATTCTCCTGCCTCAGCCTCCAGAGCAGCTGGGATTACAAGCACGCACCACCACGCCCAGCTAATTGTTGTATTTTTAGTAAGTTTCACCATGTTGGCCAGGATGGTCTCGATCTCCTGATCTCGTGACCCGCCCGCCTCAGCCTCCCAAAGTGCTGGGATTATAGGCGTGAGCCACCGTGCCCATCCCCTTAGCCTGTATCTTTATCTTCAAGGGTTCTCCCTACAGCCATGTTCTGGTTTTCCCTTTGCCAACCTCTCCTACCTATACTCCTTCGTAGAACTGCAGTACCTTTACAAGCTAAAGTTCTTTACCTTCCTTTCATCTGCCAAAATCCAGGAAAGAAGAGCCCATAGTGAAATAAATACTTACAGTCACCCCACCCCCTAAGTTGCTTGCAATGTGTCATCAGCCTCTATAATTCAAATCTGCTTTATCAGTGGCATCAATCTTCATCCTACTGAAATATCTATTGGTTGACTAACACCTTCTGTTTTGAATTTGTTCCTCCTGTCTGACCAGTCTTCCTCTGTCACCCCTAAGCAGTAGCCATGTCTCTCTGTTCTAATTACTCTTACTTCTCTTTTACCCAATAAAGCCCACATAGGTTGTCAGGCTCTGAGAGTTCTCATGTCCTGGTCTCAATCTTCCATCTTTCTCTTCCTTTTCCTTTTATTATCACATTAATTGACAACTCACTGTTCAAGGCAGGTCACCTGTGCTTTCCTTTTTCCATGGTTCCCTCTGGAATCTTCATTCAATGCCCAGCTTAAATGTTTCCCCCTCCATGAACCCTGCTCTAGTTCCCCCAAGCTATAAATCACCACTTCAGACTCCATCGACCAGGTCCAAGCTGCCACCTGCTCATGACTCGACATTTGTAAAAGCTTCCCAACTAGTATTCCTGCTTTTTTGCCTTTCTCCTGTTTCCTCTATACAATCACCAGAATGATCTCTCAATCAAAACTCTTCACCATGGCCTACAAGGCCTGGTCTCTGCTAACATTTATTGGCCCAGGCACACTAAGCGCCTTTTAAAAATTCATTAATTTAATCCTCTCAATAATCCTACGGCTATGTACTTTTAATATCCTCATTTGCAGTAGATGCTGTTGGTGACTTACCCAGACCCCTTTCACAGGACTGGTGCACCCATACCCTAGCTGCTGTAGGTGTTGGCTGGTAAGAACTGACACCTCCACCCTTATCTGGAGGATTGCCCTTGGCTGAGGAGAGGTAACAGTCACTCCTCCATCCTTTCTCCCTGTAGCCAGTGGTCCGTGACAGCCTGATGTGGGAACCTAATGGCTCAGCCCCTTCAACTCTGGGCAGGACAACGCTGGGCCCAATTCATTCAGCAGAGTGCCCTATGAGTCAGGGTGAGGCTGCACTACTCCTGAAACTCTTCTTCCCCGGCCTTACCCTGCTTGCTTTACTCCATTACAGATTTCTCCTGAAAGTGCTCCCTCAATCACTTGCCCAAGAATCCCCATCTCCGGCATTGTTACAGAGGAAGTGATCTAAGACACCATTTTACAGATCAGGAAACCTAAGACAAAGAGGGCTGAAGTGATCTGCCTAAGGTCAAACAGAAAATGGGAAAGCTGAATTTTGAAGCCAGAGGGCCTGGCTGTCCCACCTGAGCTCTTTCCCACCATACTGCAGTGGCCACTTCTCCAACCTCCTCTCTCTCCTCACCCATCCCCTCTAGCCAACTTAATTCCTCCCTCAGGCCCTTTTTACTTCCTGTCCTCTCTGCCTAGAATGTGTTTCCTCTCACTGTGGCTCGCTTCCTCACTTCTTTCAAAATGTTCCAAATACTATCTCAGAGACCTTTCCTGACCCCAACCATACTACCTAAGATAGCAACACTATTCCCCCGTTCTGCTGTAGTTTTATTTATAGCATTAAATACCTGAAATTACATTATGCATATATTTCCTTTTCTGTCACTTACACCAAGATGAAAATTCCCTGAGGGCAGGAATATTGTCTGGCTTATTTATTGCTATATCCTCAGTGCTTGGTGACGTACCTGCCAAAGAGCAGGAGTTGAGTGACTATTTGTTGTTGAATGACTGAAATTGAGTTCTCTTCTGTCAGAACTCTTACCAGGCTTTGTGAGATATTCCTTACGAGTTCTTAATCTATAGCTGTAATTATTTAATGCATATTTATCTATCACACAAGCTTGTATGCTCTCAGAGGACAAGAATTATGTTTTATTCATTTGGGAGTACATAGGCGGTATTTAAACAATGGTGCTATCTTAAACACCAAATATCAACTGCAGTTCACTTTTTCCGTGTGGGGACTAATATCAAGATTTCATATGAATTATAGTATAATCCAGAAGTATGAAAAAATACATCATATTTAACTTATAAAGCATTCATCTGCATGTTATAAGATATTACAGTAAATACAATTAGGTACTTACCATTTTATCTTTACTTTAAAAACAATGCCTTTTCCAAAATATAAAAAAAAGACCTATTTTTAAAGAACTATTTAAAGATGGCTTTGAAAACAACACTTTTATTTACAACAAATAGATGGTAGTGCAACAGCACTCGTGGATGTTTACGATAAATAAAAATACTAGTATTCTGGCATCCTTTGGGTACAGGCCCTTTTATATTTATAGATGTCTACAATGACTCATAAAAGTAAAATCAATAAAGGCTATTAATTTGTATTTCAACCTGAATTTGAGAAACCAATGAAGATTAATCATTTATTTGGGATCTAGATCCATATATCTGAAAACTGAAGTATAAAGTTTCTCATTTCCATTTACCTTGTCAACAAACATATCCCAAACATTTCAGCATCTGTAAAAGGTGATCTATTTAGCATCTGTAATAAGTGATTTATAGTTATATATGCTAAATAAAGGTTGACACAGCTGGATCCTAGAAGCTCAGATTTTATAAATTTAAAATAGATTAAGTATTTATGCCAAAAAACAAGAACTGGATCTAGGATTTTATTTTAAATTATGGAAGTCTCTGGGGAAAAAAAATAGCAATGGAATGACAATAGATGTCAGATATTTCTCTGAGAAGTATATAGTTTCTCAATTTTCGCTAGGTAGTGCATCCCAACTGAATTAAAACTAAAGCATATTTACAGTGCATTTTTTCTCACTAAAATTTCCCAATTCTAAAATGGTCTGGCCAGGCGCAGTGGCTCACGCCTGTAATCCCAGCACTTTGGGAGGCCAAGGCAGGCGGATCACAAGGTCAGGAGATTGAGACCATCCTGGCTAACATGGTGAAACCCCATTTCTACTCAAAATATAAAAAAAAGTTAGCCAGGCGTGGTGGCAGGTGCCTGTAGTCCCAGCTACTCAGGAGGCTGAGGCAGGAGAATGGCGTGAACCCGGGAGGTGGAGGTTGCAGTGAGCTGAGATCACGCCACTGCACTCCAGCCTGGGCGACAAAGCAAGACTCCATCTCAAAAAATAAATAAATAAAAAAATAAAATAAAATGGTCTGGATTTGGTCAACACCTTATTCAGTAAATCCTTAATTTACCTTGAGACATACAAAGACATTCTTTTAAAGAGCTATTTTCTTGGTATTGCACAAAGGTTAATTTTAAAGCAATCCAGGCAAGTAAGCTCACAAAAAGAAGTACATTCATCTAATCCATTTAGCAAATGTTGCAAATCAGCTTCCACCAATAAAACGTAGAAATCTGTGAAACTCTATCCTTCGTGTCAGTTTTAACATTGTGTTGATGGCAGCCATTTCAGGCAGAGGTAGCCAAGTTCCATATATATGGGGAAGGCAAAAAGCAAGAAAAACATTGCAGGAGACTTAGCAGTTCTCTGGCTTCTAATGACTATAGAGCAATTTCGAATATGAGCCATGTTTCTATGCAGAATTCTTCTTTTATGCCTTAAACACAAAAGAGCTTGTTGCTGCCTTGGGCAGATATACTGGAATTGTCCTCTTTGAGCTTACTTTCTCTTTTCTCTAAGGTCAAGTAAAAAATGTGAGACGTTTTCATATACCACAAAGGTAATACAGCAGGCTGGAGTCACTCTAATCAAATTAGGAGCAATTCCCTTGTAAAATCCACCGACGCCTTCTTTCCTTTAGAGGGAAAAATAGATAATGCTTAATTTTGTATAGAGCTAGCTTGAAAACACGGAAGTTCTAACTGACACAAGGCATGGAGCAAGCAGCAGTCAAACCTTACTCTGATTTAAGTTCATGTTTTCAATGTCCTAAAGTAATGTAGTTTATAAGCCATCTGTAGGGATTTACATTCCTTTTATGGATGGACTGAGTAAGAGAGGGTAGGGACACCTCAAAACTGAACTAAAAAGTGCTTTCAATTAGCTATCTTTCAAATGCTTTTAAATGTATGTACAAGCAGGAGTTTTAATTGACCTAATGTAGGCATTAAAAAACCTCATAGCTTGGATAAATGCTAGCCAACATTAAATACAGCACATACAAATATAAAACTTTATTTCCTTAATGCCAATAATATGGAATACGGCCTAGAAATTTGTCACTTAGGTGCTCATTAAATATTTCTTGAATTGAATTAAATTTAAACATCCTAAATGTTCTCCTCTGTTCCTTTAGAATTAAAGGGAAATATGGTGATGTCTGCCTATAATAATTTAACTAGTCTCATACTGAAGAACAAACATCTCTTTCATATATGGAAACAAGTATTTGCAAAAGTTATGGTGCCAGTAGCAGGTGTGGAGCCTTCTTGAATGTATTAAGCTAGTCTTATGACTTCTTATATTCAATACCATTCAGATATTTTATAACACCTAAATTTTATTTTCCAAAACATTTTCACACATTTAATTTGATTCTTATAACAACCTATTAGTTAGAAAGTCTTACTTTACAAATGAAGAAATTAAGTCTCAGAGAGATTAAGGCCATGGTCACATACGTAATAACTGGGAAAGCAGGGACCACCAATCATGTTTTCACCACAGCAAACTGGCCTTTGCTATAAAACTAGTATCAACAGGATGGTCTAAGATATGCAAGGTACCTTGTCAAAGCAATTTTTGATATAGCACGTGCTCTCACCTCCATGTCTTTGTGATTACATCTATTACACCACTGTAAAACATGTGTTGATCCTGAAGACGAGCTCTTACGACTTGATATGGGTATGTTGCTGCGACAGCAAATATTTTGGATAGTGCTGCAACAGATATATATTCTACTGTGCTCTAAAATGGCAATACAAAACAGTTTTTTCTTTAGACAGGATTTCTTTAAAAATACAGAAGTAAAAATTATATACAAAAAACATTTAAATGGATCTTTAAGGGATTCTATTTTTGACATTTGTGTGGCTTCAGCCTATAAATATTTAACTATAAATTAAATCAGTGGCAGAGCCAGTACTCATCATCATAGCACTACCACCAAAGTAAGCATGACAAAAATTTCTACCTATTAAATACCCATAAAAGGAAATGATATCATTTTTACAAGAATAATCTTACCAACTGGGCTTCTGGTAATCTATTGATATGCTGGTTGTACTTCAACTTCAGCAATTCATATGCCATAAACTGAAGGGCACCATGCGATGTTCCAAACAGCCCAGGAACAAATCCCTACAAGGGAATGATTTTTAAAAAGCAAAACAACATACGTTTGAAGAACAATATATTTAAGTAAAATACTTTCTCTTCTCTCTCATTACAGCACTTTAAGCAAATTCATTTAATTTTGCACAAATCACATTTTTAAAATATGGGGTTAAAAACTTGTAATATAAAGACATGGGTAGTATTCTCTTCTACTTTATTTTTAAAGGTTTGGATGTTCACATATTAGTTTTTCTTTAAACAGTATACATATAAAGAAGACCCACACTGTCAAGACTTGAGGTGTGAGTGGGAAACTAAATTCTGGAAAGTTAAGAAACTAAAGGTAATGGTAAATCAATGAACTGAGCATAGGTATTCTGAAAGAATAAGGCAGAAAGTGACGAAAAAACATAAAAATAATATATTTATAAAATTCTTGCTTATAGGTCAGTAAAATCATATCAGCCTTAAAATGATTTTAAAAGCTATTACTCAATTCTTGAAAAACAAACTGAAATTCAATGTGTCTAATTTTGATTTTAACCTATGTATGCCTAAAAATTTCTTTATGGGGATAAGCAATAGATGGGAATAGAAGGCAGAAAAGGGGAAAATAAAAAGGAGTTATAAAATCAGAAAACAGATCTGACACTAGGAAAAAAATTTTTAAAATATTACAACAGGCAAAAGGCTGGGTTTGATTTGTTTCGTTATTTTTAAATTTATGTAAGATTTGAGATGAATAAAAAAACTCAATAAAATAAGATCCTGTTAGAACTGCTAATGTCTTCTCCAGACTACATTATCCCAGGTCCCCAAGAGACCACAGCTTCCAAGGAATGGAGTAAGGAATAAGTGACCTGGTTGTATAACTTATCAAATAGAAACTTGACAAAGTTTTAGACAGATCTCATGCCCACCAATGTCATGATGATACATCCTATGTTAATGGGGACAAACAGCTTAAAGTACAATTTCAGTATTATTAACTATATTTCAGTTTTCATTAAATTGTTTTTTGCCTAAGTGTGGCTTCTTTTTAGGACTTACTATAGGTCATTCAGAACTAAGACAACAGAGCCAACGGAAATTCAAATTTTTCAGTTATTTAAAATATATTGATAATTTGTTACCTTATATAATCCACGCACACCTTCATACTTATATATTTTCACAAGTGTATCAAACATTCCTTTATATTGTCGGTGTGGGGAGTTAACAACAGCATCATACTGTAACATAAGGCGAGTTTTTGTTACCCATAATGGGTTTGTAATGCAGAGGGTCATGGCTCCTAAAATGAGATTTCAATAAGATTATTCAGCATACAGATACTTTCGCACTTATGACAACCCAAATTAGAAACAGTACATTTATGTAAAAAAAAAAAAAAAAAAAAAGATAATGCACAGGACCATATCTGAAACTGTGAAATGTAGTTTCTGAGGCACAGTCTTAGGGTCAAAAGGTAGACATTGTTTTTGGTAGTCATAAAAAGTTCCTCATGCAGTTAGCTAGAGGTAAATTAAAAGGGAGATGGAAATGTGAAATGCTTTCTCTTTGAAGTGTAAGGATAGCAAAAATGTCTTGACTCCTAAACAACGTGGCCTGGTGCAGAGAACAGATGGTAAGCAGATACAGACCTTAGGTGTAGCACATGGTATAATCCCAGAGGGGTTGAAGATAGGCGAAAAGAACCAGGAATCTGGCACCCCAATAATCTGTGCATGTGACACATATATCTACCCCAACTTTATCACAATCTTCCTCAAATCCAAAGTAACTACTACCCCTCAAAAATTAAATAATTATGTAATACAGTAAGTCACATTTTACATCCTTTATAGAGTGACAATTTTATTAAAAAATTCATCTGGTTAAGTTTCTCATTTGCCAGGTTTCCTAAGTAGTCCTTTATTCAACAAATATTTGGTCCTGTTATGACTCAGGTTTTTGCTAGTGGCTATGTGTTCAAAAATGATTAAGTTAGGTTTTGACTAATCAACATTAAGAAATCAAGGTATTAAAGTAGGAGTTACAAAGACTTACGGCTCTTACTGTTTTTTCCTTCTGGATAGTATACATAAGTGAGGCGATTAAACAAGGCTACTAAATTGTATAATTTGAAAATTAAAATTATACTTTAAAGAAACACTATACCAAATCATTTTAAACCATTAGGGATTCATAACTTTTCTAAACTTTACCACTTTGTCATGAGTAAAATTCTTGAAATCTGCACAGAGTAATCATAATAATTTCTGCTAAGAAATTCCATATAACAGCCAGGCGTGGTGGCTCATGCCTGTAATCCCAGCACTTTGGGAGGCAGAGGCAGGTGGATCAAGAGGTCAAGAGATCGAGACAATTCTGGCCAACATGGTGAAACCCCATCTCTACTAAAAATACAAAAAATTAGCTGGGCGTGGTGGCACGTGTCTGTAGTCCCAGCTACTCAGGAGGCTGAGGCAGGATTATCGCTTGAAACCCGAAGGCAGAGGTTGCAGTGAGCCGAGATAGCGCCACCGCACTCCAGCCTGGGCGACAAGAGCGAAACTCCGCCTCAAAAAAAAAAACCAAAAACCGAAAAACAAACAAACAAAAAAAACAGAAATTCCATGTAACTGATTTAATACAGTTAGATGGGCATATTTAAACTCAGGTGTTCAAAGAAAAGAAATCAAAAACCAAAACTGAAAATTAAGTTTGGAAGGTGACATTTTTATATTTCACACATTGCCTTACCAGCTTCAGCAGCTGAGACAAGGTATTCTGTTGCCTCTAAACGTTCAGCTCTTCCTTCTGTTTTATATGACTTGATGGCATTGTAACTAAAAGAATTAAATGTGAGCAGTTTAATTTGAATAGGTGTCATTAAGTCTGTTTTAAAGTGTATGTAAGTCAACAGCAGTACCCCAAAAGCACAAGTCAATGCATAATGCAACCACAAAATGAGACCTTTTTCAAGAATGAATTTGCTGGAAGTGGTTTGCTGCAAGATTATACCACCCCTCCCTCTCAAATGAATACGGCTAGCAATACAAATGTAAAATATTTTAATCAGACACTCATCAATTAACTTCAAAAGACAAGGAAACTGGGAGGAGGGGAGAGTACAGTAGTGGTACACAGACTGGCCATAAAAGACAAAAGGGACCAAAGAAGGGGTACCTAACAAATATATACTGAGCACCTACGTTCAGGTACTATAGTTAGCTTTCTAATAGATGATAAAAAGATAAACAAGTGATGAATTTTTCTTAACAAATTAATAAGGACTATTAAGTGGCACACAAATAAATCATAATAAAAGACAACACAGACAATAGAAGAAATTCAGGAATTATGACTGAGATCACAGAAGGCTTTGTGTAGGAGGTAGTATTGAGCTGGGTATTGAGACAGGCACAGTTTCAACAAGGAAAAAGATGAGCATGGTGAAAAGTAATAAGGGTGGGTGGGAAGACAGGGAAAATTGGCCACACTTGAGTGGTAGATTGAGATTTGCATTTTATTTGGTAGAAAATATCCATTAAATGTTTCAGAGTAAGGGAGTCAAATCAGCCTATTTCCTTTAATGCCGATTTCTACTTTTCTCTTGGATGACGATGTCAAGTGAACACATTCTTTCTTTTTTTTTTTATTTCAGAGACAGAGTCTCACTCTATCACCCAGGCTGGAGTGCAGTGACACAATCATAGCTCACTGTAACCTTGAATTTCTAGGCTCAAGCAATCCTCCTGCCTCAGCCTCCTAATTAGCTAAGACTACAGGCATGCAGCATCATGATGCCAGACTAATTCTTTTTTAAATTTTTTGAAGAGATGGAGGTCTCACTATGTTGCCCAGGCTGGTCCTGAACTCCCAGACTCATGTGATCCTCCCACCTTGGCCTCCTAAAGTGCTGGGATTACAGGTGTGAGCCACTGCACCTGGCCCAAGAAATTCTTATCACAAAAATTTTATATGGCTTGTCCTTAGAAGCTGTCTTGAAGAATCTATACAACTCAAATTCATGATGTGTGTGTGTGTGTGTATATATATATATATACACACACACATATACATAAACATATCTATATATACATATATACATACATTCTATACACACATATATATGTCAAGGGGGGTGTGTGTGTATATAGTTTCACACACACCTCTCTAAAGAGAAGAAAAAGAGAAAAAATATTTAAACAATTTTAAGGCTGAATTTTATTTTGCTTTCACTTAAAAGATACTTTAAGATTGGTTTGGATACTGCCATAAACTTATGGGAGATCAAGCAAAATATATGACACAAAGAAGACAAAGGCAAATACACTAGATACTGATGTTTTCCTAAAAATGAAATCTGTTGAAGCAAAGAAAAGCTTCCTTATTCATGGTTTCAGTTTCACAGATCAGAGGCGTGCTCAGAGCAGCACATGCTCCTGCAATACAGTGCGATGATGGTTTGTGTCCATGTTCTTGTTCACTAAATAAGCTGAATGTGCCTGCCACAGGAACTTTCTATGGCTTCTTCAGGAGGCAGGTGAGAGCAGTTATTTTAAATGGTGATGATATCTGACTGGTGAAGGAGTAAGGAAAGCAATGAGCTGGGAAGATGATGGGGCAGGTCAAACAAGAAGAAACAATTTGCCTCAAACCCTTTAGGCCATGCACTGGCTTTTGCTTTCTGTTCCCAACAGCGATTTCCTGTGGTACCTATTCATATGAGGACCCTAAGGTCTATCCTCTCTGTTTTTCCACCTTCATCATAAACAAATGTATTTTTGTAAGCCATCTCAAATATCTTGGGAATCTGGTTGAGGATAAACAAGTAATTAATGATACTTCAGTATTTATAAAATTTTCTATTTGGGACACTCCGGAACTAATCTCTGATAAACGGAAAAAATAACTTAGTTATTTAAACAATCTTTCTTTATCAAAATTGAATACCAAAGAGAGCTGAAATCCACAGGATTCATTTTGGACAACAGCTGCAGGCTCTTCCAGTCTCTACATCACTTTCCAAAATCACTAATAAATAACAAACCGACTGATTCAACTTTTTCTAATCTAGTAATATTTTGACTCTAATTAGAAATGCTCACAAGTATGTATTGATATGGCCAAAACACCTAATAAAACACCGATGGGGCCCTACAATTTCATTGTGAATTATCTGGAGTTGGCTGTTTTTCAAATGGCTTTAACTAAAATAAAAAGCTCTCTTTAATATGTATTTAGCTTACAAAAGTAATCAGTTATACATTTCATCTTCCTGAATTCACCTCACAGAAATGGCTTCTCTAAAAGTATCATTCCACCTCATCTCTTTGCCTTTTTCCTATTAAGAATTTTCTTCCAGACCAAATAATGCCTCTGATAATAGCTAATAAGCCATTAGCTATTAATAGGCATCTGATAATCAAACTAATAAGCCATTTTGAATCAAACTAATCAAATAACTAATCAGCCATTTTGTTCTTCCTGATCCTTCCAATTCAGAGAAACTGATTAAATGACTCAACTTATCATTTTACATTTACATGTAAAAATCACCGAAAACAAAAATTCCTTTTTAATTTAATACTGTAAAATCTCCCAAATCTACTCACAAGAAAAAGTAGAGTCCCCAGGATAAACCTGCACCCCATATATTTGGGGTTACTCCTTGATAAAGTCCCCGTAGTCCATCAAGTTTCCAAATGGTAGTCAAGCAATGTAAAATTCCATTATATTTCGGTCTCAGTTCCAATCCATCACTCACTGCATCAAGGGATACACAAAGTCAGGTAAGAACAAAGTTCTAGCTCTGTATCACATATAAACACAGACACTGTACAATTGGTTATATAAAGGAGATAAACTTAGAAGAAAAACTTTTTTAGGTAGAAAAAATTATTTTCCAGGCTTTTATATATATATTACATATATATATAAATATATATATATATAAATATGTAAAATATACATTTTTGTGTCAGAGTCCCGCTCTATTGCCCCGGCTGGAGTGCAGTGGCACGATCTTGGCTCACTGCAATCTCCGCCTCCCAGGTTCAAGCAATCCTCCTGCCTCAGCTCCCCTAGTAGCTGGGATAACAGGTACACATCACCATGCCCAGCTAATTTTTGTATTTTTTTTTTTTTAAGTACAGACAGGCTTTCACCATGTTGGCCAGCCTGGTCTCAAACCCCTGACCTCAGGTGATCCACCCACCTCGGCCTTCCAAAGTGCTGGGATTACAGGTGTGAGCCACTATGCCCAGCCCAGGCTTTAATATTTTAAAACTACTACATTCATGAATTTATTCAAGTGTTTATTGAGGGCATACTAAGCACTCAAATAATATTTAAGGAAATATTAGATTAGCTCTTAATCCAAAAGTCTCTTAGGTAACTAGGTTTCAACACTTAGGTTTTGTTTTTGCTCCAAGGTTAAGGATTTGAATGTTAAAAAATATTACTCAAAAAATAAACTAGCTAGGAGCCTCAATTTATATCGAATGCTATCAAGACTGAGGAGTGGCAGGAAAGAAAATGCAGAGGATGGGGTAAACTTTTTTTCCTGGAAATTCTTTCTATCCTCCCCACCAACATATGTCAAAATCCAAGTAGAAAGTAGAAAAGCATTTCACTTGAACATATCCAAAATTGAACTAGTTTTCCCCATCCCTTCTGAAGCTGCTCTTACTAGAGTGTTCCATATAACTCAACAAACGCCATCATCATCTGCATTGATGCCCACACCAGATACCTGGGGACTATCCATGAACCCTCCTCCTTCCCATCCCTTTTTATCAAATAACAAGTCCTTTTGATTCCACATCACAAATTTCTCTTGCACCTGTCTATGTCTCAGTTCACACTGCCATCATCCTACTTTGAGATACCATCAGTTTTCAACTAGTATCATCAGCATTTAAAGTAGTCTTCTTGCTAATTTTGTAAAAAATATAATCTAGATTATAAATCTGGCACTTTTCATTTCATCTCTCTGTAGGAAACAGAAAGCACATTCAAAATAGGGTAACTCTAGGGCATGAGGGGTAGTTAAAAGGACTAATTACAAAGGTGTGAGCAGGTTATAGAAAACCACAAGGAATAATACAGTATCAATTATTTACTGCTTTGAAAAATCACTTAATTCTATAAGTAGAGTATTAAGTATCTCAGTAATCGGCAACGGCATTCTACATTATGCATACCATTCTACATTATACTACAGGATATCCAAACTTGTAATTTTACTATATATAATTTTGTATACAGCTTTGTTTTCCACTCAAGATTATTTGTGAGCACTCCCCCTTGTTATTCAACAGATTCCCCCAAATAAGATTTTAACATATGACATTATGGTTTTCCATCTTATAGATATCCCATGATTTACACAGTCATTTCTCCACCTGACCTATGAATTCTTTTTTTTTTTGGCTATTATAAAAAGTCCTCTAAACAACATTCCGTACAACAATCTGCATGAATGCTTATTACTGCCTTAGAATTAGTTATTAGAAAGGGAACTGATATGGGTCAATGGGTATAAACTTAAGTTACAAATACGTATTGAACCTGCCTTCCAGAAAGTTTATACAAATTACACTCCACTAGCCATACCAGCATCCCTGGTTCACTGTCCCCTTGCCACTACCTCACTGTGTATAATCCAGCCTGGCAAAGAAGGATCACTATTTACCATTGCCAGGAAAAGGGGGAAAAGTCAATTTCTTTCATCATTAACCTGCCAACGTTACAGCATGAAGGGAGATTAAAGTACATCAGGTTTTGTCAGAAGACCTGGGTTTGATACGTAACCTCCCTAATTCGCTACATGGTCTTACCCTTTCTGAGCTTCAGCATCCTCACTTATAAAATGGGGATAAATCATGTACCTCACCGGGTTTTTTGAGGTTTATATAAGACAACAAGTTTAAAGGCAGGCAGCAGAATGACAGGCTCTTGAGAAAGGTTTTCCTGCATAGTTTATAAACTTTCTGATGCTTCCCCTGGATTCTGTGTGTCTCATTCTTCTGTATAGATCCCTTTTTCTAAGAACTTTCCATTTTCCTCTCAATAATAAACTCACAATACCATTTCTCTCTTGAGGTAAAAAGCAAAACCAACCATAAAAACACTACCTGTTCTTTTCATAGGTATAAACCAATGCTGAACTATAATCTCCCTAACATAAAATTAAAATTGTTATATCGATAAAATACAGTAAATTTTTTTGGTCTAAATCAGGGGTCCCCAACTCCGGGTACCAATCCATGGCCTGTTAGGAATTGGGTCACACAGCAGCAGGTGACCTAGGT
Source organism: Homo sapiens (assembly GCF_000001405.40). Taxonomy (NCBI): domain Eukaryota; kingdom Metazoa; phylum Chordata; class Mammalia; order Primates; family Hominidae; genus Homo; species Homo sapiens. Next base: position 103,410,334 of record NC_000008.11, read on the forward strand.
GGGCGGAGTACGAGCGAAGCTTCATCTGTACTTACAGCTGCTCCCCATTGCTTGCATTACTGCCTGAACTCTGCCTCCTGTCCGATCAGTGGTGGCATTGGGTTCTTACAGAATCTCGAACCCTATTGTGAACTGCACATGCAAGGGATCTAGGCTGCACACTCCTTATGAGAATTTATTGCCTGATGATCTGAGGTGAAACAGTTTCATCCTGAAATCATCCATACCTCCTCCACCCCCGTTCATGGAAAAATTGTCTTCCATGAAATCAGTCCCTGGTGCCAAAAAGGTTAGGGACCACTGGCTTAAATGACCTCATGATCATTTTAAAAACATTTGCCACTAATGAATTAGTATGTAGATCTAAGTACCTATCAAATAACTTACAATGGCCTATCACAGCACTAAAAAAATGCCAATGGACACAAGCTGAAGATAAAAAGTTTGGTGTACAGAAAGGAGCCAAGACAGGACACTAATTTTAAATTCATTTTCAAAGAAAGACAATATAATGACTTTAAAAAAATTATCATCTAGCACTATCACCCTTACACAACCTGTTTCATTTGCTGGATGTTAGTTTTACCCCTCCTTTCCTCTGTGACAAGTTTGTCTCTCTTAATAAAATTAATCTCCCCCCTACCTGTGCTCTATATTGGTGTTTTTAAAATTGCAGATGAATCAAGAAACCAATTGAACAGATTGCCAGTATCTTTTCTTTAAAACCAGACTGGAATTGAAAACAAATATAAATGACATTACAAGTAGTTAAGGATAAGTAATGTTTCATGAAACTTGTGTTTCAGTAATGTTTGTGTGTGGATAGCAAAGGTAAAATTTATTTCCTACTAAGCGTTCTGGTCAAAAATGCTTGTTCTAGATCCTGCTTCTTCAGATAACCCACCTTAGTTAGATACGTTACTCTTTATCCTCCTGCCTCCATTTCCCAATTTCTTCCTTGATTTCAGTTCTTTCCCATTAGTATTTAAATAGACTTAAGTCTCTCCTAAGTATTTCCTCTTTGATCTCAGTGCCCCCTTATCAGGTAAGTGTCTGCAATGAGAAAACCAGCCCCTCCCTGGCCCCCGAGACAATCTCAGCAGGGACTCTCTCACCCCTGCTGCAATCTGGTTTGAGCTTTACCAATTACTGCAAGCGCTCTAATTAAGAACCTTCAAAGGCACTTTGGAGTTCTCTCTTTCTTAGGAACCCCTTAATACACCTGATATTGTGTAAATCCCTCTCTTCTGGCTCATTTAACACCACATTTTCTTGAATGTCCTCTTGCTTCTTTGCCAATAAATTTCCTTGGCCCCCTTTTCTCTGCCCATCCTTAAATGCTGATTTATAGGCACAATTTCCACCAAATAGGGGTGGTGTCTCAACCATTAAGTGGCTTCAACTGCCATCCCTGTGCTTCTAGTCCTGGTCTCTTATTCCTAACATCCTGCCCTACTAAGGGTTGTGGTTCTACTGCCAGTTTCCATTTTCACATGGCATAAAAGATAATGTCAATCTGGCAGCTTAACTTTCTGGAATCATTCTTTATTTCCATCTCTAGCATTTTAATTTACCCTTTAGCTATACCAAACTACCCACTCATGGTTTCAAACTAACAGCATATGTTACGGAAACAGACTTTCTGAGCTTGAATCCCAGTTCTAGCAATTACTTTGCAACCCTGAGTAAGTCACTTGATTGCTCTGTGCCTGAGTTTTTCTGTAAGATAGGAAAAAATAATAGAACCTAACTCTAAAAATTATAAAGGATTAAATCAGTTAGTACATATAAAGCTCTTAGAATTATGCCTGACATATTGCAAGCACTCTGTAAGTACTAGTTTATTTATGCTACTGGGTCTTGCGATACCACATACTTACACAACTTTACTCGGCACTACTGTTACTGAATTTTACGTTTTGGTTCCTTAATATTTTGGATGTAGTCATAGTCTCTACATTCTTCACAAAAGCTCACACACAACTTTAACTTGCAGATTAGGCTTTTGGGTATTTGAGAAAATTACTATTTTTACATCTCATTCTTTGTTGGGGCTCTCTCATCATTCTTGAGGGTTTAAAATTACAGAGTAAAGTTAGAAGGGGCCTGAATAATCATCCAATCCAATCTTTCCACCTAATACAAGAATATCTTCTAACTTCTGTCATCCAACTACTATCTGAACCACTTCTGATCATCATCAATTTCATTTCTGAGCACTGCCACATTGCCAAACCAAAATCTGCTTCCTTGTAATTTCCACTCAACCTGTGTCTGACCTTAGGATCAACCCACAATAAGGCAGCCCCCTTTCCCACATGTAAGTTCTCTAAATATCTTGAGGTTTTTTTCTCTCCCGAGCTAAACTAGTTCCTCCAGTCATTTTTCATATGAAGTAATTTCTAATCTTTCTACCACTCTGGACACCTCTGAGTTCCAATTTATACTTGAACTCACAGAAAAATTCCAGGTTTGGTTTAATAGCACATGCATTCAGAATTAACCCCCACACCCTGTCATCATTAGATTTTAACTTTATTAAATGAGTTTAATTACATGGAAGCATAAAAATTATAGTATGTTACTCAGCACTGATGTTGATAATCAATAAATTTTTATTTCGTTATTCATCTTCTTAAGTTTTCCTCCTATCACCATTTCACAGCTACACTGTGAGCTTTATTATTACAAAGTCCTGCTTCCACTCCTGGATCTTTAATTTAGGCCTCCAATCCAAACTCAATCCTTTTATCTGTCACCTCAGCCCCACTAGTCTCCTAATACTCTTCCCAATTCATCAAGACTATTAATCTTCTCAGGTACCAAGAATTCCCTTTCCTCAGGAATGATATGCTTCAAAGCACTGTCTAAACTCATCAGGCCAACCACACTATTCTTCAATGATCACCTCGACTATCACCTCTTCTGCTCCTAGATAAAATGCTACTGAAGACAGACAGCAAGTCATACAGGCCTGCACCTGCAGGCAAGTCTAAAATTCTTCCAATGTTCAAACCATTGTATAACAGGTACTTATAGAGGTAATACGGTGAGGGGTTAAGTGCCAGAGGGTTCCAGAGTTAGATTACCTGGGTTTAAATCCCAGATCCATCTTTACAAACTTGTGACTTGGGCAAGTTAGTCAACTTCTGTTATCCTCATCTGTATAGCAGATATCATAAACTCACAGGATTGTTCCTGTGAATAGATTTACAGGATAATAAATGAGATAATGCATCTAAAGCATAGTTCACTGCCTTGCTCCTAGTAAATACTCGATAAAGATTACTTGTCAATAACATAATTATTTGTGCATGCATCATAAAACTTCATGACATTATATGTCTTTGTGGTGTTTTTTCTAGAGATAATACTCCATAATTTTCGATGATTTTCCTTCATAGAACGGGTTCTTGCTTCCTCTCCAGCTGTCAAAATATTAGCCCTTCTATGGGAAACCCCAAGCCCCAATCTTCCACTGAACCTTAAAGATACACATGGCCATCAGTAATGTAGAATTTTCTTAACGGTTTACCTGTATTTATATTTTGTTTTTGTATTTCTTGATTTTATGTTGTCTAGAATTACCTTTTATATGACTAAGTCTAACGCCTACAATTAAATTCTAAGTTCCCTGAAGGCAAGAACTTTATTAGATACTTCTGTAGCCCATACAGCAGTCTACAAATATTAAGAGAATATAAATCAAGTGAACTGAATTGCCTAATGCTAAAATAAACAACTTCTGTAGATTTAATTCTCAAGGCTGAACTTAACTTGTAATAACTTTATTTGGAAACTATTTTCTGCAATTTCAGTTATCAAAGATCATCTTTGAAACTCTTTCCAGACTTTAGTGTTGAGTTTAACTTCTAAAATGCTTTGTTAATTTCAACATACTCAATTCATCTAATACACTTAAAATAGTATTTCGATTCTAGCTATTTTTTCACAGAAACTTGTACCATTCTACAAATGCCAAAAAACAAACATTCAAGAGAATTCTATTCTAAATCTACTCCCAACCATTCGCTGAAGATTACGCCCTATCCCAATACTAGTCGAGCTGCCAAACCACGTGGGTATGCTAAGATTTCAAAGTTCCTCCAAGAGTGAATGATTTGCACGTGTGAGGACTAAACCTTAAAATGTGACAATCCCTTCTTTATTTTACAAATCAGGCTTTGAATCCCATCTTCTCTGCCAATGAGGATGTTTTTTCTCAGACTTCTCTACATACATGCCCCCTCTCTTAGTCTTGAGGAGCGGGGAAGATCGCAGGCCGACCCCTCCACCAAGCACCATTTCCTCAAATCTAGTTCAGGTTAGCCAACGCGGACAGCAACGCTCCCTTCAACGCTCCTCCTCCCCCTAGAACGGAAAAGACGGAGGAGATCCAGTTCGGGCTGACAGTGAGAGGATGCAGCCCGGTGTCTGGGCGGGCTCTTACCGGCGAAGCGGATCTTCACGAGGTCGAGCGGATGCAGCGCAAGGTTGGATAAGACGCCGCCGCTCACGCCCGCTATCAGGTTCTCATACCGGACGTGGCGGAATACCGTGCTCCACGCCGACGACCCGGACGCCGACTGGCCCTGGCCCGTCATAGGCTCGGGGCCCGTCGACACCACGGCGCCCAGGGCCGCGGAGGTGGGACGCGATGCAGTGGCCGCCACCGTGGCGACGGTCGCCCCTTGTGAGCGCAACCCCACCTCCGGGACCAACGAGAGGACTCTTATGCCCAAGGCGCGTGAGCGAAGCCGGAGACTCTAGTACTGAGGGGGCAAGAACGGGGCACAGACACTACGTCACGCCGGCGGAAAGCGCGATGGAGGGGAGGTCCCAGCCTCTCCCGAGTCTCCGCCCTGCCTCGCCCACAAATGCTCCAGCCCACGGACGCGGAAGCGACTGCACAGCTAAAGAACCGCCCCTTGCTAACGTTTGCCGGCAAAACTACGGAGCGGCGCAGGATCCAGTTGAGCCAGCAGGCCGCCGCTCCGCGAGTCACGTGACTGGAAGTAGTCTGGGAAAAGCGGAAGTCGCCTGTGGGAGGAGGTGGCGGTGGGCGGAACTCCTAGCGGACACCTCGTGGAGTCCGGCCGGAAGAGCAACCGAGATGAAGGTGAAGATGCTGAGCCGGAATCCGGACAATTATGTCCGCGAAACCAAGTTGGACTTACAGAGAGGTAAGATAAGTTGGTAGGGAGAAAGGGACGGTTTCCGCAAGTCGTTGGGTCTAGCCTCGGCTTTCGCGGAGTAAAGCCGGGGGAGGCTGGCACTCTGGTCTGGTTCTTTCTCAGTTACCTTTCGCTAAGGCAAACTTTGTGCTTACGGAGTCGCTGCGGAACTGGATGGATAGCAAGTAAAGTCTGTTCAAGTCCTTTTTCTAAGAATTTCCTCTAGTGGTGAGTGGGAAACAGTTGTCTATAGTGGAGAAAAATTCCAGCTGCTGCTCTGGGATTGTCTTCAGGTTCCTATTACTGAAAAGTGGACTTGAATGAGCCAAACTCGTGGGTTGAAGGGCTGAGAGTTAAACAGGCTTTTAAAACCTTCCTACTGCTCTTCTTGCCGCTTTACTACTTCACATTAGTTGTGGATGTTGGAAGAGACAAAGATGAATTTAAAAGCATCAGTTTTCTCTTACCATCCCTTAAGAAGTTTGATGAAAGAATGGTTAAATGAAATTAATTTATCCTTCCTGGTCTGTTCCCCCGTTAACATGCTAACCACTTATAAATTGTACTTTGTGATACCTAAATGACAAGGGACCAACCATGCGTAAGCAGATTGTTCTAAATAAAGAGAATAACAGGAGCAAAGGTCTTCAGGCAGGAATGAACCTAAGGCATAGAAAGAAGGGCTGTGTCATTAGTTTGAATGAGGAGTAAGCGAGATGAGATGAGGCGAAAACAGTATTTCACTATTTTGGTTGAGTAGGAGATATTATCAACATGTGTGTGAGCATTGCTAATAAGTCTCTGCTCAAAAGATGTTTACAGTTTGTCACAAGGCAGTAATGTTTCTAAAATATAAATTAGATTTGTCACTTGGATTTGGCATCGTTCCCAGTCCTTGAATCTCTGGTCCCACCTTCCTTGCCACTTTAGTCAGTCACTACGTTTCCCACAAGTGGTTTAGTATTCACCCTTGCAAATCTCAGTGCGTTTCAGTCATCTTTTTTAAGGCCTCCTGTGGCACACACCCTTACCCAGTTTAGCCGCTTTCTCTGGAAGACTTTCACCGAACAGTAATCTGTTCCTGCTTACCTCCTGCATGAGCCCCGCCCCCTTCAGCACCCGTCTTCTGTGATTCTATCACTTCTTCACAGTGTTTATCACATTGTCTCATGATTATTATTTTGGTTAATAGTCTTTCCCATCAGACTTAGCCTCCAAAAAGGGGAAGAATCATGTTCGTGTATGCACTGTTAAGACAGCACCTAGCACATAGTTGCTTTAATAAATGTCAGTTTCTCCATCTATAAAGATTCATTTTTGCCTACATGAAGAGATTTAGAAACAAAATGATCTATCTTGTTGGGGTTTTTAAACTTCTGTTGAAATTATTAAAATGCTAATTTTAGTTGTAGGAACAGCTGCTGACATCAGAGTAGATAGAAATTTTCTAGACTTCAAAAATAATCTTTGCAAAACTGATGGATGAGACTGAAAATTAAATATATTAAATAAACGTGGCCAATTATGGACATTATCATTTTGGGTATGCTTTCTTTGTGAAGTACAGGCATTCTGCACTTTGCACAGTACCATATTAACTGAACCAGTCCCACTCTTTAAGAGGTTTACAGTGATTGAAATCACATCTGTTAACCACGAAACTTTGCAAAGTGGGGAATTGATTCCAGTATGCAACCCGTCCCGTTAATACAGTACAGTGCGAAAGTGAGTACTGCTTGAATTTTTTTTATAATAGTAGCCATTAAAACCAAACATTGAATTAAGCTGAAATTAGAACCTTTAAATCTATCACAGTGTTGAATCAAGATTTTTCTTAAAAAAAAAGATCTTTGGCTGGGCGTGGTGGCTTATGCCTGTAATCCCAGCACTTTGGGAGGCCGAGACGGGCGGATCACGAGGTCAGGAGATTGAGACCATCCTGGCTAACACAGTGAAATCCCGTCTCTACTAAAAATACAAAAAAATTAGCCCAGCGTGGTGCTGGGTGCCTGTAGTCACAGCTACTCAGGAGGCTGAGGCGGGAGAATGGTGTGAACCCAGGAGGCAGAGCTTGCAGTGAGCCGAGATTGCGTCACTGCACTCCAGCCTGGGTGACAGAGGGAGACTCCGTCTCAAAAAAAAAAAAAAAAAAAGAACATCTTTAATTACATGCTCTCATTAACATACACATATGTTGAGAAGGGATCTGCTCAAAAACTCTGTTATTAATGGGGCACACAGAAAGTTTGAAGACTACTATATAGGGAGCCTTTGGAAGTTTTAAGCATGGGAGTGACATGTAAAAAGCTGTTTTAAGATGACATCTGATAGGCTGGGCGCAGTGGCTCACGCCTGTAATCCCAGCACTTTGGGAGGCCGAGGCGGGAAGATCACGAGGTCAGGAGATCGAGACTATCCTGGCTAACATGGTGAAACCCCATCTCTACTAAAAATACAAAAAAATAAATAAATTAGCCGGGCATGGTGGCGGGTGCCTGTAGTCCCAGCTACTCGGGAGGCTGAGGCAGGAGAATGGTGTGAACCCGGGAGGTGGAGCTTGCAGTGAGCCGAGATTGCGCCACTGCACTCCAGCCTGGGCAACAGAGCAAGACTCCGTCTCAAAAAAAAAAGAAAAAAAAAGACATCTGATAATAGTGTAAATTGCCGCCAAATCAAGTAGGGATGATATTAAAGTAGCCCAAGTATAAGATAATGAAGACCCAAACTGCCTGGGAATGCAGTGGCTCACATTCATAAACCCAACACTTTGGGCGGCAAAGGTGGGAGGATCTCTTGAGCCCAGGAGTTCGAGAGTAGCCTGGGCATCATAAGGAGACCCCCGTCTCTACAAAAAATTTAAAGATTAATGGGGCATGGTGGTGCATGCCTCAGGTCCAAGCTACTTGGGAGGCTGAGGTGAGAGGCTAAGGTGGGAGGATCACTTAAGCCCTGGAGGTTGAGGCTGCAGTAGGCTATAGTCATATCACTGCATTCCAGCTTGGGTGACAGAATGATACCGCATCTCAAAACAAAAACAAAAACAAAACACAAAAAACTAGAAATAGAGAGTTGAAAGATGAGTAAGTGTTGCAAAGAGATGATGAGTAGGACTTTGAGTTTTGGTAGTAGGGAATATGGAAGATGGAATACATAAGAATGACCTAGGCTAGAGCTTTGTTGAATGTTAGATATAACACCATTACCAGGGAGTCAGAAAGAAACAGCAGGATGAAGTCATGGGGTAAGAAGATGCATTTACTTTTTACTCACTGAGTTTTTTTAGACATACGAGCTTAAAATTACTTTCTAAGCATAATTATATATATATATATATATATATATATATATATATATATATATTTTTTTTTTTTTTTTTTTTTTTTTTTTTTTTTTTGAGATGAAGTCACACTCTGTCAGCCAGGCTGGAGTGCAGTGGCGCGATCTCGGCTCACTGCAACCTCCACCTCCCAGGTTCAAGTGATTCTTTTGCCTCAGCCTCCTGAGTAGCTGGGACTGCAGGCACATACCACCCCCACCGCTGGCTAACTTTTTGTATTTTTAGTAGATGGGATTTCACTGTGGTAGCCAGGATGGTCTCGATCTCCTGACCTCGTGATCCGTCCGTCCCGGCCCCCCAAAGTGCTGGGATTACAGGCGTGAGCCACCACGCCCGGCCCTAAGCGTGATTATTAACCAAGACAATGTGTTTAGCAGCGTATCAGGACAGTTAAAACATAGATTCTGGAGCCATACTGCCTTGGTTTGAATCCTGGCTCCACCGTGTCGTATTCGAGTTACTTAACCTCTTTATGCCTCAGTTTTCCCATCAATAAAGTGTGAGATAGTAATAGAACTTAACACATAGGATGCTGTGGAGATTAAACGGTTAAGGTTTTTGGAACAGCGCCTGGCACTTGAACTCTTATGTGAGTCTTTTTTAAGTAAGTAAACAAACATAGAAAGTGCTCAGTAAATGATAGCTATATAATATCATCATAATCACAACTTCGTGTGTCTATCAGCACAGTATTTAGCACCAGAGATTAATAATGTTCCCTGCCCTACAGGAAGCTTAGAGTTCTGTTGAGCAAACATCTTGCACATATTTTGTCCCAGAAACTGTGCTAGGCATAAGGAAGTACAAATGAAAAGTGTATTGGAAGCCCTGACAGTGAACACTTACAACCCAGTTGAAGAGGGTACTAGGACATATAAAAGGGAGGCCGGGCACGGTGGCTCATGCCTGTAATCCCAGCACTTTGGGAGGCTGAGGCGTGTGGATCACGAGGTCACGAGATCGAGACCAGCCTGACCAATATGGTGAAACCCCATCTCTACTAAAAATAGAAAAATTAGCTGGGCGTGGTGGCATGCGCCTGTAATCCCAGCTACTCGGGTGGCTGAGGCAGGAGAATTGCTTGAACCTGAGAAGCGGAGGTTGCAGTGAGCCGAGATTGCGCCACTGCACTCCAGCCTGGTGACGGAGCAAGACTCCGTCTCAAAAAAAAAAAAAAAAGGAAATGCTGCATGTATATATACCTAGGGTCTAATTGTTTTGCAAGATGTATGCATCCCATGATTTTCCAGTAATTTCAGAAAGATTTCTGAACAACAGGTCTTCTACTTTTGTATTCTTAGTGTTAGGCATAGAACAATGTCACTAACTAAATGCTTATTGAATAACAGAGTGATTAGCTGAGGAAGACTGCAGGAAATATTAAGTGTGAATTATTAAGAAGGATCATTCTTATTTCAGTTCCAAGAAACTATGATCCTGCTTTACATCCTTTTGAGGTCCCACGAGAATATATAAGAGCTTTAAATGCTACCAAACTGGAACGAGTATTTGCAAAACCATTCCTTGCTTCGCTGGATGGTCACCGTGATGGAGTCAATTGCTTGGCAAAGCATCCAGAGAAGCTGGCTACTGTCCTTTCTGGGGCGTGTGATGGAGAGGCAAGTGTCAATCTAGATGATATTTTCAACTAAAAGTAGTTATATTACAAATGTTTTCCCTTTAGTTTTTAGTTACTGTAGGTTTTACTTTATTGGATTTCAATTTACTTCTCAAGACTAAATTTCGTTAGGAATACTGTTTAGTATTTTCTTCTTTAAACCTAAGAAATTATAAATGCAGTAGTTTAAGGATCAATTTGACAGTAAATTAAATAATCATGTTTATAATTAAAGTATTTAAGTATGAGTTTTTTCACAGATGTTGTCAACACCTAATTTCCTACTATGGCAAGTGAAAAAGTTTTGTAACACTTTAGAATCAACAGAGTATTTGTCAGGTTGTATTTTTTGCTCATCAGTATACTTATCCATATGCATTGCATTGTTTTAATCCAAAGGATTTTGGTTTTAGCTGCCCAGTAGAGTGATTCGTAGCCTTGTCAGTGTTGAATTTATCCTGAACATTTTACATTTATAGTTCACTGAAATTTCCTGGTATGCCTTATCATAGGTTAGAATTTGGAATCTAACTCAGCGGAATTGTATCCGTACAATACAAGCACATGAAGGCTTTGTACGAGGAATATGTACTCGCTTTTGTGGGACTTCTTTTTTCACTGTAAGTATAATACCATTAAGTCATTAAATTTGATCAACATAGGTAAGAATAATCTAATTGAATACATTTTTTTTCAAGTTCATTTATTTGTTCCTAGGCCCTTTTGGAGTTTCACAATGCAAAATAGCTTATTAAACCTTGAAAATTACTAGTTTTCTTTATATAATTCAGCCTTCCCCATAACTTAACATGATTAAACTAATATTCAATTTACCACAAAAGTGGAATTAATGAGAGGTAAGTCTAGAAAGAGTTTGGCTTACTCTGGAGGATTTTTGATGCTAAGATGAGTAATTTGTACTTTTGTTAGTCAGATAATAAGGAATCATCGAAGTTTTGTGCCTGTGTGTGGCAAGATATCCGGAACGTAAAATTTACTCTCTGTTTTTAAATATACAGTTTGGTGGCATCCAGTACATTCACATCACTGTGCAACCATCACCACCATCTGTCTTCAGAACTTTTTCATCATCCCCAGCTGAAACTATAGTCATTAAACAATAACTCCTCTGTCCCCTCAGTCCCCAACCCCTGGTAACTACTATTTTACTTTTTGCCTCTGTGATTTTGACTATTCTGGGTACCTCATATAAATAGAAGCATATTTTAAAGAATTATACCATTTTGTGTATGTGGAATAAGGCTTTTGGGTCTGGCTTATTTTACTTAACATAATTGTCTTCAAGGTTTATCCATGTTGTAGTACATGTCAGAATTTCCTTTCTTTTTATGGCTAAATAACATTCCATTGTATGTGTCACATTTTGTTTATCCGTTCATTCATCAATGAGCATTTGATTTGTTTCCACCTTTTGGCTATTGTGAATAGTGTTGCCGTGACCATTGGTGTACAAATACCAATTCAAGTTCATTGAAAGTCTTTTTAAACAAGGGGAACGACAAAATCTGAGCTGTGCTTTGAGTTAAGTAATTTGACAGCAGTTAGTGATCAGTTTGAAGGCCATTTTAATAGTTTGGCAGGCAATAATAAGAGGCTACCTTATTATGGAGACTGAAAACTAGAAATCAGTGGTTGATACTTTGGAGGATTGACAGGTTTGACAACTGAGAGGTGCCTGGGAAGAGGTTGGTTCCTGTTGCTGAGGAGTACCAGCAAGTTTTGAAGGGTGGCAATGGGAAGGATATGATGTGACAAACTGGACTGCTAATGGGCTGTTCGAGTGAAGATGTCTGTCATACCTTTACAGATGCAGGTCTGGAGCTCAGGAGGGAGGTCAGAGCTGAACTTGACATCATCAATATAGAACTAATCATTGAAGCCATAGTATGGCATCATTGGGAGGAAATGAGGAGGAAAATATAGAAATACAAAGATGTCAAGGAAGTAGCCTTGGGGAATGCCCACCTCTGGGAAGTGGGAAAACTCTAGGAGTAGCCAGAGCTCAAAGAATCTGTGAATGAGCATAGTGTCCTAGGAGGAAGGAATAGTCAGTTTTGTGAACTACTACAAAGAATAATGAAAAATGAAGACTGAGGAAAACATTTTAGAAATGTAGAGATGTAAAAAATAGAAAATTAAAGATTGCATAATTCTAGTCTTTCACTTCTAACACTATTAGTTTGGTGTATGTCTTTTCAAGTGTTTTGACCTACCTATACAACAGTTTTTGTATACACATGCGCTAATCAGTCAAATAGATCTTCCTTATTCTTTATTTACTGGTGACTTTTTAAAAAACAGGTTGAGCTGAGTTATAAAATGTAGGTTGCAATCCAGGTTGGCTGGGTGCAGAAGCTAGATTGCAAGAGAATAATAAAGGGAAAAGATGACTTCTGGGAAACCTGATAGCTACAATTTGAAAGATTGTCATGTGAAAAAGAAAATAGACTAATTTGTTGCTCCATAGAGAGGCACTGGAAATAGGTGTTAGTGTTAAAAGATTCGGTTTTGGTGTAAAAAAAAAAAACTTATTTGCTGTCAAAAAGCAGAATAGGCTACCTTGCAAAGCATTCAGTTACTTTTCACTAGAGGGGTGCAGATAAGCTGCCTGACCCTGCAAGCCCAGTGTTGTGCAAGGAATTGATTGGCAAGTGGGAATGGATGGCACCTAAGGCTTCTTACACTTGGTTATTCTCTTGGATATATTGATTAATAGCTCAGCCAGAGGACTTAGTGTATTTTTTTTTAATGCTTAAAATGAATAAAGGCTCATTTGCAGCATTATTCACAATACCCAGGATATGGAATCAACCTAAAGTGTCCAGCAATGGATGAATGAATTTTAAAAAAAAAAGTACACACACACACGCACACAGGAATACTATTCAGCCTTCAGAAAGAAGGAAATCCTGTCACTTGCAGCATACATGAATGAACCTGGAGGACATGATGCTAAGTTAAATAAGACAGATACCACATGATCTCAGTTGTGTGGAATCTAAAAAAGCCAAACTCTTAGAAATGGAGTAAAATGGTCATTACTAGGGGCTTTGAGGGAGGGAGATTGGGGAGATGTTGGTCAAAAGAGACAAAATTTCAAATAGATGGGATGGATGTTGTACAACACTGTGATTATAGTTAATAACAACATGCTCTCTTGACAATTGCTATGAAAGTGAATTAAATGTTCTCACCACAAAATAATAAGTATGTGAGGTAACAGATATGTTAATTAGCTTGGTTTATCCATTCCACAGTGTCTACGTGTATCAAAACACAATGTTGTACATCATAAATATATATCTTTTATTTGTAAATTAAATAAAAAACATTTTAAGAAATGAATAAAGACTGAAAATGTTTCATATTCACCACTTATTTCCCCCCACTTTATTTTTTTAAAGAGACAGAGTCTTGCTACGTTGCCCAGGCCGATGTTGAACTCCTGGGCTCAAGCCTGTCTCAGCCTCCCAAAAAGTGTTGGGATTACAGGCATGAGTCACCATGCCCACCTTATTGTTTCTCGGTTTTTCAAAAAGATTTTTTTTTTTTTGAGATGAAGTCTCCCTCTGTCGCCCAGGTTGGAGTGCAGTGGCATGATCTCTGCTCACTGCAAGCTCTGCCTCCCGGGTTCACGCCATTCTCTTGCCTCAGTCTCCCCAGTAGCTGGGACTACAGGTGCCCACCACCACTCCCGGCTAATTTTTTTATTTATTTTTATTTTTAGTAGAGACAGGGTTTCACCGTGTTAGCCATGATGGTCTCGATCTCCTGACCTAGTGATCCACCCGCCTCAGCCTCTGAAAGTGCTGGGATTACAGGCGCGAGCCGCCATGCCCAACCAAAAAGATATTTTTGAGTAATGTGTGCTTTGTCAGAGATAAGACACATGTGAAGACTACTTGCTGGTACAACTTTAAGAATGTTTTTAAAAATTTTAGTACACAGTGTTGCAAAACATAAACTTTTATTACCTAAAACTTCACTAAGATATACCAGTTTGTAATACCAACAATTCCTTCTTCAGCATAACCAGCCTGGAGATGAGATGTTCTAGCCAGGCACATATTCTTGTTCGGCTACTCATTTCTATAAAATGAGAAAACCCTTCCCAGAATTGGTGGTCCGCTGAGGTTTGTACTCAGTAGACGGCAGAACAGCTTGGTCATTTACAAGCAAATTCAGTCTTGAGCTTGCAGACACTATCAGAAACTTGATGGAGGGATAGCGTCTTCAGGAACGGGGTGCTCAGGGACACAGTTTATCCTGTATTCTGTAAGTGCTAAAATGTCTCTTTGGGTCAAGCCAGATCAGTCAAGACCTGGTACCTAGATTACATCTTAGTCTCCCAGTAGAATCAGGTTTCTAGAATTGAGTTTTAGTATAGTGCCAGTGGCTCAGATTCATAGTTGTTAATAAGATGTAGCCCTATTAAATACTTTTTGTCTATAACAAGGATGTAGTTAAGGATTCTGTTCATCGACATCCTCAACAAAAGACATCGCTGTGTAATCTTAGTACCAAAACCTTTCCTGATCACTTATCTGTTTTCATCTCATGGGCACTGTAAACTGTTTTGCAAGAAGCGTTTTCCTTTTTGAATTTGCTGTAAGAAAAGAGCTACATTCATACTCTTCCCTTAGATAAAGATATCTTTGTTAATGATTTTATCAAAAAGTGGATATAGATTGCATCTAATATATAAATGTAAGATTTTAAGTTAAAACTAGCAGTTTTGTATGTATGCAGTTATACAGTACCACATTTATGATTTTGTTTTCAACCTCAAACTACATTATATGTTCTGTTTTGTAGTCTGTTTCACCTGATAGCTTAAACATGTCTGCCAAATACCCATGTCTAAATTACCATAGTTTGTTGCTTTGCCTTGATTTGGGCTAACGTGCCAACAGTTTTGCTCACTGTTGCTTTTTTACTATTTGTGCAGCTGTCAGCACAGTGAAAAGACAAACTATGTCTTTACTAACATTATGAAAATAGTTTTGACTGTGTGGACCCTGAAAAGTTCTCAGGGTCCTCCAGAGGCCCAAAGTTCACAGTTTGAAAACCACTGACTTAGTAGTTTCTGCAGTTCATGCAGAAAAGGACTTTATCTATTTCAATATTATAACAATGCCTTCTCTCCAGTATTTTCATGTTTTTCATTTTATTTTTTACATTTAAAATTACCTGGAATTTTATTTTCACATAAGGCATCAAATTGGCTCAATTTTTTTGAATGACTAACCAGATATTATAATACCATTTTTTATAATCCATTTTTTCTCCAAGTTGAAATGCCATGTTTATCACAATATGCATGACCTAACTTTGCCCCTGTTCTTGTTTTTCTTTTGCTCTACTCATTATATTTTTAGTTTTATGTACTTTATGTATTTGTCACAAATCTTTACTAAAACAAGGTGGGATATAAATGGATCAATAAGTGTAATACTGGAATGATATGGTATGTTACCTGTTTTAAACAAGATACTTATTTGATATGTGTTGGCAAGTTTTAATTTATAACTGTTGTTCCTTACCATCATCATAATAAAACAAATATTTCTAGGTTGGTGATGACAAAACTGTGAAGCAGTGGAAAATGGATGGGCCAGGCTATGGAGACGAGGAAGAGCCATTACATACAATATTAGGAAAGGTACAAAAGTAAATTGACTAATAGCTTGCCTATTAACATTCTTTTATTTAAAATTATTTTATAGTTATAATTTCCTAAGATGGGGAAGAAGATGCAGATAAGAAACGAAAGACTTTAGGCTGTAATTGTTGACCCATTTACGCAATATTTAATGCAGCTAAAGTCCTTTGATGCTAAAGAATTTTAACAGTTTTTTTTTTTTTTGGTATTCATTGTAGTAGAGTTTGATTTCTGTTTTTAGCCAGAGGATACAATGAAACATTTCCCATGGGAAGACCACGGAGAAAAAGATAGAAGTTCAGAAAATGCTTCAGCTTGTCTAGTTGATGTCATCATAGATCTTACACAAAACTCAGAATTTCTTAGTTGAAAGACTCCTTTAAGAAATGAAGAAATTTAATAGTATTATGCATCATGTATAAATCTTATTAATGTTTCTACCAAATTATTCTGCAAATCAGGTGATGGGTGGTTTAGTTTTAGCATAAGAATAATTTAGAACATTTGGTCTATCCATGTTTTATAATGTTTACATTTTTATATTAAGCAAACAATTCCAAAATTAGATTTAATCTTTAAATTAAATCTACCTTTTAAAAATCACTTTGTCGTTTCAATATTATGGTTAGTATATAATATTTAGGTTCTGCTTTAGGTTTCAAGAAGACTAAATGTTCTTAAAGGGATAGGGGAATGGGGTATGAGTATGAGGTAGAGATAATTTGTAGTTGGAAACACGTTAGTAATTTCTAAAACAAAATTGGTTTCATTCTTAAAATGTCTTGTCTCATTATGGTATTGTTTCCCCCTTTAAGTAAGGACTTCAAAGAAGTTTCTTTGTGAACAGGGCTTTTCTCTAAAAAGATAGTATAGATAAATATATTTAAAATATTATTCTGCAGATTTGAATTAGTAATGAAAAAAATCCTCTTAACCTTTTTGCTTTTAAAGACAGTGTATACTGGGATTGATCATCACTGGAAAGAAGCTGTTTTTGCCACATGTGGACAGCAAGTAGACATTTGGGATGAACAAAGAACTAATCCTATATGTTCAATGACCTGGGGATTTGACAGTATAAGTAGTGTTAAATTTAACCCAATTGAGGTAATGTTTTTTTTTAAGTATGTTTTACTTATTATGGCTTAATAATTTCAGTTCTGTTTAGAAAACTTTTGAATGTATGATAGAAACTTCTGAATTTTAATGGTGTTTTGGCATTTTGTCAGTTTTCCCGATTGTAAATGAGTTCTGATACCTTTGCTCAAATCCCAACATGTTTCCCAGCAGTTTAGTCCCAGATACTAGAGTTAAGCATTGTTAGAGGAGTGGTGTGTGCATTTGCCCATTGGGGTAAAATCCAAGTAAATATAGTCTTGTTTTAACTTTAGTTTTACTCATGCCTTCAACTTCATGTTCCATAGATTATGTCATTGTACATTTAGGAAAATGTTAATTTTTCTACCTGCCTTGGAGGTCAGAAGAAGGAGCATTGGACATCATTTTGTCTATTTGTAATTGGTAAGGTACCAATGCTTCATAAAAACATTTGTGATTATTGTTGAACTGCATGGTAATTAGTTATAGTTATATTTTTCTTTGCTCAGAAGTCTGAATTGTGATTCCCAGTTCCTCCAGGCCTAAGGGAAGAGTTGGAGATTGGCCACTACATGTCGTCTGTTTAGGTCTGAATTTAGGAATGGAGGCTGTCCTGAAGGCTAAGCTAGCCCTTGGACTCCAGATCTTTCTCTGAACTTTTTCTTAATGCATAACAATAGATGAACTGATTGTCCAGAAGACTCAGTAGGGATATGTTTTTCCTGTTGAAAGAAAAGGCAATCATAGCATATATAAGCCAATTTTAGCAGTTATTGCGAGGCTACCATTTTAGGTAGTATGAGAGAAAAATCCTAATATGCAAGTGTTATGCTCTTAAAGACCCAACCTGATAAAAGATAGGAAGTAAGGTTGAGTCAAAATAGTAAGGTATAAAAATAGTTTGTATGATATACTGGAAAATGAGATGCTGCAGTGCGATGTGAGCTTGGCCTTGAGGAATTACTGAGAAGTCAGAGGACACTCTTCCTGCAACTACCACATGCTCACACACACACTTTCTAGAGACGCTACAGGTCTAGAATAGGTTGGCAAACTAGTCTGTGAGCCACATGTGGCCCACTGCCTGTTTTTGTAAATAGAGCTCTGCTAGAAGACAGCCATGTTCTCTTGCGTACATATTGTCTGTAGCTGCTTTCGTGCTATGATGGCAGAGTTAAGTAATTGCCACAGAGACCATATGGCCCACAAAACCTAAAATACTTACTCTCTGGCCCTTTACAGAAAAAGTTTTCTGATTCCTGGTCTGGAGTGTCTGTCTCTATTATATCTTTCTCACTCCATCCTCCATCTTCCTTCCTTATGTTTCCCTTGGTTGTAGAAGAGAGAAGTGGCATGGAAAGGCAGCTACCTTTGCAGAGCAGGACCAAGTGTAAAAGTTGATAACATATGTGAACATTTTTTAAAAGTGCTATCCAAATTCAAGATGGTGACGGTATTACGTACTAAAAAAAAAACACAAAAAAACCTAAACAGACACTGGTTCTTACTATTTAGAGGAACAAAAAAATCTTTTGCTTCTCTGCTTTGGTGAACATCTGTGTCAGAAGAGCCGATCACCAATTCTAAAATCGTAATTATTAGGGATGACCTAGTGACCATGTTTTTCAAACTTGCCTGTATAGCAGCTGTATTTGTTCAGCTGTTTTTTTTTTTAATTGCTATTAACCTTATGAACTTAGTGGTAAAAGTAAATGGTGTGTGTGTCTCTTATCCTGTTTTAAACTTAATGGAAAGGGCATGTTGCTGTGAACAAATGGAGTGTATTTGTATTTGTCTCCTCTAATCATTAATAATTAATTTTCTCTTAAAATATTGAAGCCTAGAATTCTGGTAAAGCCAAAAGTTTATGCTGATCATTGGGACGTTTTACAGTGTGAAAGGTGGCATTTGGTCTAGGTAGATTGTTTTGCTTTGTTCAGATCAAAGTCTTTCTTTTTAGAAATGGAACCTGGTCAGACCCTGAGGCGACATAATGAGAAGCCAAGAAAGGTTGAGGGACCTCACTAGGGAAGTCTCAGAAAAGCAGCCATTAAGATAGCAGGCTTTCAGAAAGAACTGAGAGGAAATCATGATCATAACATTAGCTTTATGATGTGTTATTTGAATTGCGTACAGACAGTAGGAGGAGTTAGCTGGCCATGCAACTATTTAGTAAATAGCTCTTCTTGCTGCCCACATACTTGCAATAGGAAGTAATTGTAGGCAGAAGCC
Source organism: Homo sapiens (assembly GCF_000001405.40). Taxonomy (NCBI): domain Eukaryota; kingdom Metazoa; phylum Chordata; class Mammalia; order Primates; family Hominidae; genus Homo; species Homo sapiens. Next base: position 103,429,476 of record NC_000008.11, read on the forward strand.
AATAGTTGTGAGTGTCAGGAACCATGAGTGAGGAGGAATGATGCTACAGAGAGAGGGTTTCAGGGATCCACTGGATGATAGAGGGCTTATTTTTACTTAATGCCAAGGGGTTATGTGAGTACCATGCACATTTATAATTGACTTACAAATAAAATAATTAGAAAAATCTTCAAACAGTTGGACAAAAGACAGGCCTAATTTATAGAGAGTTAACAACACGAAGAAACATTTACTAATAAAACAATAAATTTATATAGCTAGGAAATACTGTCATACAGATATTTTAAATGACACTTTTAAATGACACTACCCAGTGCTGCCCAGTTGCATTAAAATGGACATATCCCACATTGTAGTGTATACTGGTACAGCTCTTTGGAAAAATAATTAGCCCTAAATATCAAAAGCCATAAAATTGTTCATACCTTTTGATTCAGTAATGTCATTTGTGAAATTTTATCCTAAGGAAATAATTCAAAAGAAGAACTACGTGGGGGGGAAATGTTTATTGAAGTATTACTTATAATAGTAAAAAACAGGAAACAAGTCTTAAGTTGAAGAGTAGGTAAGTAAAATATGTTTTATTACAAATTAGAACACAGTAATATCTGTACATTAAAATACATGCATGGGGGCCAGGTGCGGTGGCTCATGCCTGTAATCCCAGCACTTTGGGAGGCTGAGGCAGGTGGCTCACCTGAGGTCAGGAGTTTGATACCAGCCTGGGCAACATGGTGAAACCCTGTCTCTTCTAAAAATACAAAATATTAGCCCGGTGTGGTGGCGCACCCCTGTAATCCCAGCTCCTCCACAGGCTGAGGCATGAGAATTGCTTGAACCTGGGAGGTAGAGGTTGCAGTGAGCCAAGATTGCACCACTGCACTCCAGCCTGGGTGACAGAGCAAGACTCTGTCTCTAAATAAATAAATAAATAAATAAAATACAAGCATGAGGATTTTACAGTGAAAATACTTGGTTTAAGTTGCTGAGATTATGGATGATTTATTGTACCCTCTTAAAATGGACTTTGTTTTTTAACATAAATATTAAGGGCAATTAAATCATTTGTTTACTGAATGGATGTGGTTTGCTGCCAGGTCTGGCTTTGAACTGGTGATTGTTATACTTGTTTTTAGACATTTCTCTTGGGAAGTTGTGCATCTGACAGGAATATAGTACTGTACGATATGAGGCAAGCTACTCCTTTGAAAAAGGTGAGTTTCAGTTTTGACTTTTGCTTTATACAGTTGGCATTATATATTTCTCTGTAAATAGAGTGACTAACAATATGGAGCAAATATTTTCTCAGAATTAAAAAAATCTTTTATACAGGTGTTCTTAGAACTCTACATGATGATAGTCATGTTCTTTCAGCTCCCTATTGCTTTTTAGAGACTCTTAAATTTCTGCTAGGTATTGTATCCTAGTCACCAACCTTGTGTCTTCCATGATGCCAGTACATTTTAGGCCTCTAATTAATACTTACTGAATTGAAAGTTCTTAAAGGTATTGCATCCTGTTACTTAACAGTGTAATAATATTCAAATAATATTCAATAAATTCAAGCCCCATGATTATCGTATGACATGTACACTATTTTATTCCAGAAGGTTTTAGAACTCATTCACGTAACCAGCTTTATTTGTTCAGTTACATGCTGATCAATACTAGTTTGACATTTAGGCAACCACTATCCTGTTCAAAGTAACAGATTTCCTAACAATTCTAAAGTAGTAATTTCAGGACTTACATATCAGAGCTAATAATACAACTTAAGCTAACTCTCAAGAGGGAGACAGATACTGTCTGTAAGTAAGGAAAGGAGTGCCATTGTAAGTAAAAGGGTATAAAGTTTATTTCAGGTACTAGAATTTTGAGTGACAGAAAGGGCTGGACATCATTGAGATGCCACAAGTCTGTTGTCGTAGTCCACATACAAAAGAAATGCTTTTAATACTTGCTTTTGTTATTCCTAAATCATTTTTATAACGTAACAACTAGATATTAGGAGAGTACATTCATTGAAGTTTGAAGTAGATAAATATGATAATCTTTCCAAAGTACCACTTATATGATTTCACTCATTCATGTGATTTAATGGGAAGATCCTATATGAACTTTGGTCTTAGACTTTTAAGCACGTTAACCTAAAATGTGTTTCTCCTGTAAGGTGGTGGTATTAATAACTATCTCGCAGCACTTCGCTGAGAATAAAACATGATACTTTAAGCATTTAGCAGAATGCTGACATGAGGTACTAGTTTAATGAATAGTCATTTCTGCCCCCTCCCACCTACCTAACACTCATTCTGTTTTTTTTTTAATTTAGTTTATTTTTCATTGTTATTGCCTCCTGCTTTGCACATTCTCAGTTTTTAATGGAGCTCCATTAATTTTAGGTTGAAGAAAATGTAGCCTGGCTTTCAAGGTGCTCTGAAATCTGGTTCTAATTTGCAACTCATTTATTTCTTTTAGTCAGTTAGGTAACATTGAATTGGAGTTTGTCACATGCAGGTCACTTTGATAGATGTAGGGATTGTTAGACACTGCTACTTTCTGTTGCTTCTTTGCTCCATCTACTAGTCTATCAATGTTTCTTTTATCCTTTCTCTCATAAATGTAGTAGTTCTTAGTCAGGGATTGTAGTCCCCTACCAGGTACAGTTCTGGGAATGCAAGAGGGACATGTAGTGGGAGGTCCCTGAGTGGCAAAACATCCTACAGTGGATAGTCATACACAACAAAAGATAATCCTGCTCAAAATGCCAACAGTGTTCCCATTGAGAAACACTGAATTACTGATCCTTCACAGGTCAGTTCAAATCATACTTGTCTTTAGAAACAGTTCTTTATGTTAACCCTAAGCTCACCATTAATTTTGCCCCTAATTTGATACTTAGTCATTTGTTACTTTATTGTTTATATTTTAACTTTTATTATGTGTCACATTTTTCTGACTAAACTGTAAGTTGTTTGAGATTAGGAGACTGGGAGTTAAGCATTTCTATTTTTATATTTACTATTCTGCCTGTGTATTTAAGAAGCAATTACTGATTGATTTCTCTTCCCATTGCACTGAGCTGAGTACTTTACACATAATAGGTGTTTATGAAATATTTGCTTAAATCAGTGGGGAAAAGAAAAGGAAAGGAAGTGGGAAATTCATCCATTCTTCCTTTCTCAGGTTATCTTAGATATGAGAACAAATACAATCTGTTGGAACCCTATGGAAGCTTTCATTTTTACAGCAGCAAATGAAGATTATAAGTAAGTTTCCCTCTTTTAAAAACTTGTGTATTTCTATCATGAATGGCTTAATTGTATAAGTCGTACTAATAAAATATATACCACTAGGTAGGTATACCTATAAAGTTTGAAAACTGTCATCTGTTTAGCTTTAAAAAGTTTTCCAAATTGGAGAAGAACTTCTTAGAAAAGTATTTATTTCGTCAGTATTTAGAATGATGTAGACCAGGGACAGTAAACAACTCGTGGACCAAATCCTTTCTGTTGCCTGTTTTTTATAAAGTTTTATTGGAATATGGCCACACCCACTTACTTATTTAGATATTGGATATGGCTGCTTTTGTGCTATAATGCCTGAGTTGAATAGTTGCAGCGGAGACCTTATGGCCCACTTGCCTGAAAATGTTTAACATTTGGCCCTTTACAGAAGAAGTTGGCTGATGTTTGATGTAGGTCTTATAAATAATGACTGAACCATACATGTTTTAATGGAAATGAAAATATCTGCCTGCAATGTTTGTATTGCGGTGAGTATCAGGTAGCTGATGCTCATGTGGTCATGTTATCAGCTATCACTGTTCAGTCAGATGGAAGAAAAATTATAGTTATCTTTTCAGTATCCATATGAGGTAGGTGGGACATGCATGTTATCCCCTTTTTAAGATATTAAAGCGGGGAGATTAGTCTCCCAGGGAGGAAAGAGTATCTTATCTTTTTTTTTCCCAAAGCATTTATTATAGCGCTATGCCTTTGATAGATTCTTAATACATGTTTTTTTTAAGAAGGCAGAAGTTTGTTGGTGGATTGAACTTTAGATCTTTGTATTGTTTTATGTTCCACTATGTAGATTTGGAAGCAAAAAAGTAGTAGTGTTAGCTCATAAAAGGATTTATTATATGATGTTTTAGTGGTACCAACTAAAAGCATCTTTTATGACTTTCTGCTAAAAAGAGGTTTAGTCCAGGAGTTTGAGGTTACAGTGAGTTGTAATTGGGCCACTGCACTCCAGCCTGGCCAACAGAACAAGACCCTGGTGTCTTAAAAAAATAAAAGAAGCTCAGTTAGACTCTCATTAACTAGCAATACCAAACCACAGTAATTGAAGCTTTTTTTTTTAACCTTTATTGATGTTTTGAAATTAAGTGGCATTGTTCCAGTTAAAGGCAATAAAAGACAAGAGTAATACAGCATTATTGTGACCAACCTCATTAAGATTTCTAAAGAATGTTCTAATAAGCTATTTTAGCAAGGTACCGTTTTTCAGAGTGTCCTCGGAATTTCTCATTCCTTGCCTTGAAAAGAATTGCATATGCCACCTGAAACAAAGAGCATATCCCTTATAATAAGTGACTGTTGGAGTATCATAATTGCTCTTTGAAAATGATCTTGCTTTTGTATCCCTTTTCTATATTTGTAAGTATTTTTTTCTTTTATTGCCCTTTAGATATTCTAGTCATTCTGAATTAGAAACCTAAGTTCAAGTCTAGGCCGACCAGTAATTACTGTATAAACTTGGGCAAGTCATTTAAACTAACTCTATATCATAGTTTCAGCATCTGTAAGGTGAGGGTTAGAATAGATGATCCCTAATGAATCCTATAATGTGGAACTTTGTTTATTTAAAGGTTTTCCATGTACACAAATTGATATGCTTAGAATTGGAATTCTTATCATTTTTCCCATGTAGAAATAAAGCATCTTACTAAAAAGCAGTTTGCTGGAACCAAGCAAACCTAGCTGAAAACCACTGTTCTTAGGCAGGAACTGTAAAGCAGTTGTCAATGTCTTACTACTAGTAATGTTAACCTTGATCATTTGGTTAGGGTGGTGTCTGCCAGGTTTCTCCACTAAAGAGTTACTTTTTTTTCCTTTTGTAATTATTATATATCTTTGGGGAGATACTTTGAAACTATGTAGATATCCTCTTCTCAGACTTCTACTCACTAATCTTAGCATCTTCAAGTATTTTTATATTAGGAACTTGGTCACAATATTGCTGTATTACTTTTGTCCATTGTTCATGTTGGTTCATTTGAAGCACTATTCTTTTAGCCATTAGATTAAGAATTTTTGAATCTTGAAACTCATGAAGTCATTGTTTTTACCAATTGTGCATAAAGTATAGTTTCTCATTTTGATTCACCCTTTGAAAGGCCATGTTCACTCTTACATATCACCAGTAGGAGTATAAATTAGTGCAACTTTGTTGGCAGTGATTTGGCAACTCAAATCAAGCCTAAAAATGCTCATGCCTTTAAGCTTAACAATGCTACTTGTAGGAATCTGTCCAGATTTAATTGAACCTGTCCCATTCAGTTAAAGATTGAATGTTAAAAATCCAAACGTTGGGAATTTAATAAGCATTATATATAATAAAATGTTGGAAACTATTAAAATATAGGGAAATAAATTATTTGAACTTATATATACAGCCATTAAAATATTTTCAAAGATTGTTTAATAACATGGGTAATGCTCATTAATATGCTACGTGAAATATCAGAATATAAAGCTTTACATAACATTTCAATTTTATTAAAAGTATGTATTTAAATAGTATGGTGAAAAAGGTTTTTTAAAAAATTATGCTGTACTAAATAACTGGCCTCTGGGTAGTAGAATTCAAGGTAATTTTTGTACTCTACTTTTTTTGAAATTTCCACATTTTCTACAATGAGATTTATAGGGTGGAAAATGTGTTGGTATATATATAAGTGGAGTCTTAAGGAATCATAAAAACTGTTGAAATTTTTCCTTATCCCTCACCTGCTTGTGTACAGCATTGAGCTTTTTGTTTAGATGTGCATTGTTTTGCAAATGGTTCTTGTTTTCAGTGGTATCTTTTAGTACTGCATATGGCATCTTTCTAGAAATATGTGTCAAATATTTAAAAATTCTTTTACAGCTTATATACTTTTGATATGCGTGCACTGGACACTCCTGTAATGGTCCATATGGATCATGTATCTGCAGTGCTTGATGTGGATTACTCTCCCACTGGGAAGGAGTTTGTGTCTGCTAGTTTCGATAAATCTATTCGAATCTTTCCTGTAGACAAAAGTCGAAGCAGGTATGTGCCTACCAGTAAGCCATTTATATTCATATGTCACTTAACAATGGGGATGCATTCTGAGAAATGAGTCATTGGGCGATTTCATCATTGTGTGAACATCATCAGAGTGCACTTAAACAAAACTAGATGGTATAACGTGTTGCACACCTAGGCTGTGTGGTCATATGATATGGCCTGTTGCTTCTAGACTACGAATCTGTTCAGCATGTTACTGTGCTGAATACTGTGGGCAATTGTAACACAGTGGTATTTGTTTATGTAAACATATATAAACACAGGAAAAGTACAGTAAAAATCCAGTATTATCTTAATGGACCACTGTCGTATATGCAGTCTCTCATTGACCAAAATGTCATATGACTATTTTTGTTTCATTTTTCTTTGTCCTGATTATTATTTATCTTTTCTGAGAGGGTACCTGAGTTTAATAAAGTTTTTTGCTCCAATACAGTTTAAGAAAAATTAGTAATAATACTTTACATTTGTTATTTTTTACTTAGTCAAATCCAACTCTGTATGCCAAACCAAAAATTAAAAAAGAAATAAAAGTAAGTTTAAATTGTCAAGACCGTTCTCCCTCTATTTCACTTTAGTAGGTATATGGCTTGGTTGATGAGAGGTTGAGAGGTGGGAGATTTGAATACTCAGCTGTCCCATAGTCTCGTGTGTGTCTCATTTTGTAAGCACATAGAGTGTGATTCTAATATTTAAGATTTTTATTGTGTTTTGTATAGTTTGGCCCTTTACTACATATTATATGTTATTAAATACAGTATCTATTTATACATCTATTATATCTTATTTTTGTAAAGAGGTAGTTTACAGAAAGTGATGGCATTTTAAGGAGTTTGCAAGGGGAATTTTGTTCTCGAGTTTTCACTTTACAGACTGACTTTAAAAACTAAGTCCTGTATAGATACAGCCCCCTGTATAGTGAATTATGGTTTACAAAGAGCTGTTATACACATTCCCATTGTTCCTTAGTAATGCTTTAGATGTGTTCCTGGAAGCATCCATAAAATAAATCCAAATAAATGGAAATAATTTTTCTCAAAAAATTATGATAATTGGATGATCATGGTCATAGTCAATCTGCTTATCTAACTCTTTGCTCTTTTACTTGTGATATTTAAGTCTTTTTCCACTGTAATTTGAGGAAGCCATATGGATTTCTACACCATGTATCGTCATTGTCAGCAGATAATTATCTTCATCACTGTTTATCTGATTATGAAGGTGCTTCAGTTAGAAGCATACTGACAGGAGTGTTCTGATGACTTTGATCTTCATTTCATCATTTCTGTTGTAGAGCTTCTGCTGTGTGTTCCTATGTGACTATTGCTTCCTTTGTTGCTGCCTTGATATTCTCCAAATTGTCATGAGTGTTTTTTTGGCATTATTCACTTAGGCCCAAGGCAAGACTAATAGCTTCCATATTTCTCTCACCTCTGGAAAATGTTGAGAATCAAGAGAATATGGTCCTCCATCATTTCTTGGCACCACAACTTCCAAAGGTAGTAGGATAGTATTTTTCCAACATGGTACATAAGTAGACAAAAGAATGAAACGAGAACAAAGAAAAAAACAGGACTGTGTAGTTACCTATGATCCCAAGGGGCCAGCAGCTGAGTTCAGGCTGAATTATTCCAAAGCTAGTGTGGACAGCTAAATGTAGGTCTAGCTAGAAAACTCACATTATTCCAAAATTGTATAAAAGGGTTCTTATATTTCATTTCTAAGAAATTGTCTCCTGATGTCATTTGGAGGTTTTGTAATCACAGTCTTAATATGTGTTAACGTCCTGTTGTGTTTAGATATAAATGGTGTTCCCTCTGACCTTTGCCTTTATCTGCTTGAAAGCTAGTTCTAATTTGTTTCTGTGGTTTGTTTCCTATCATTATAAACATCAAATAACTCATGCTTGGGTGAATAATCTGTATTTAAAAAATATTTTCCTTTAAAAGACCTTAAAATGGCTAAAGCATATTATTTTTAAAATAAATTTTGAGTAAATTTTTTAAAACTACAGTTAAGTCAGTATTTGAAAGTAGGCTTCTGTTGGAAGTTCATTCAGTATTTACTGAGCAAACAAGTAAATTAATAGTGTTCACATGGAAAAATTAGTGTGACTGTGTATATAAAGAATTTAAGCCTTTAAAAATGTATTTATCTCCTAATAGTAGAACTTTTGGTGAGCTTAATAAACTTAGCATATATGCAGACATAAACATATCTAGAAGTTAAGAACTCAGCATAGTTTACCATTGGGGAGGATTCTCAGTTACTTAAGTGACTAACCGTTGGATCTGACTGGTCTACTGCATGAACAGATTATGTTTAATGGTTACGGAAACCTGATTGAATTTCCCTACTTCAAATGCATTATACTGCTTTGGAAAAAAGGGCTTCTTAGGTATGTGGAGATTATAAGAAATGAGTCTTCAAAAGCAGAGCACTGAGCGGGAGAAGAAAAAGCAGTCTATCTCATCTAGTTTTCATTTTAATAGGACGTTCTTTTTAATCATCCCCTCTCTTTTAAAAATGAATTTCTAATGGTTTATCAAAGTGCTTAAAACATACCTATCAGAAACAGTGTAAAAGACCAGTTTTGTGAGTATAGTCGAGAGATTTTTTTTTTTTTTTTTGAGACAGAGTCTGGCTCTGTCAGCCAGGCTAGAGTGCAGTGATGCCACACGGCTCACTACAGCCCCTGTCTTCTGGGCTCTAGTGATCCTCCTACCTCAGACTCCTGAGCAGCACCACACCTAGCTAATTTTTAAAATTTATCTTTAGTAGCTATGGGGTCTCCCTGTGTTACTCAGGCTGGTCTCAAACTCCTGGGCTCAAGTAATCCTCTCACCAAAGTACTGGGATTATAGGCATGAGCCACTGCACCTTGCCTACTTTAGAGATATTTTTTATAGATATGAATATTTGATTTAGTCATTCTGTTTGAGTTTTATTTTACTGTGCATAGTTTATTGAGCCTGTTTCCTTCCTCTTTATATACTCTGCATTTTGAATAATTTAATCCAGATGCAGAAAATTTATTTCTCCAGAAGTTTCATCTTACTTTTTCTGACCTTGTATTTTACTTGCTTTTTAATGCCTTTCTTAACACTTACTAATATAGTATCACCTGTGAATTCTTCTAGCATATTTCACAGCCTTTCCAAATAGGTATGATATTTGACATCTCCATTTATTAAATGATTCTTTTTTTTCTTTTTTTGAGATGGAGTCTTGCTCTGTTGCCCAGGCTGGAGTGCAGTAGCACGATCTCGGCTCACTGCAAGCTCCGCCTCCTGGGTTCACGCCATTCTGCCTCAGCCTCCCAAGTAGCTGGGACTACAGGCGCCTGCCACCATGCCTGGCTAATTTTTTGCATTTTTAGTAGAGATGGGGTTTCACCTGGTCTCGATCTCCTGACCTCGTGATCCACCTACTGCAGCCTCCCAAAGTGCTGGGATTACAGGTGTGAGCCACCGCACCTGGCTCTATTAAATTATTCTTACCTCAACTTATCAGACACTTCTGTAGTCCTCCCTTCCTTTTCACACATGTAAATCATCAACTCACTTTAATTAAGCTTTTTTTTTTTTTTTTTTTTTTTGAGGCAGAGTCTCACTCTGTCACCCACGCTGGAGTACAGTGGCACAATCTTGGCTCACTACAATCTCTGCCTCCCAGGTTCAAGTGATTCTCCTGCCTCAGCCTCCCTAGTAACTGGGATTACAGGTGTGTGCCACCACGCCCAACTAACTTTTGTAATTTTAGTAGAGACAAGGTTTCACCATGTTGGGCAGGCTGGTCTAATTAATTAAGCTTTTTAAACAATTTAACCAAAACAAAATTCTGGCATTAGATTCAGCATATCAGGAGGTACTCTTTGAAGACCATTGCATTTCTTTCTTTTTCAGTAAAATGAAGGGGAAAAAAAGTGTGTTGACCTGAATTGATTTGATATGGGGAAGAGGCCTTTTAAGATCAAGTCCTTTCTTTTTGTTACAAAGTTACCTTGGTTGAACATCATATTTTATTTGCATTTTATGCTTTTAGTTATTCTGTGAACTTTTCTGTACATCTGGTTTTGCTTAGTTTGTTCATATTTATTTCTCTTACTAGATAGTAAGTTCTCTGAGAGCAGAAATTTGTTTACTACCCCAGCACTTAACACGGAACCTTATTAGTTGGGTTCAATAAAAATACATTGACAAGAATTTGAGTTTTTATTTTATACTCCTATAGGACTCAGAAATAGTATCCTGATACTTAATAGGCAGTGGTTACTCAAAATCTGTACCAAAATCCAAAGGGTTTTAACTTAATTCGTTTTCTATAGGGAGGTATATCATACAAAGAGAATGCAACATGTTATCTGTGTAAAATGGACTTCTGACAGCAAGTATATTATGTGTGGATCTGATGAAATGAACATTCGCCTGTGGAAAGCTAATGCTTCTGAAAAATTGGGTGTGGTAAGAGAATTCATTTTCTTTCATTGTCATAAAGCTGATTTCTAATTTTATTAGATATTACATTATGAAAATTTACTTTTAGGTATTTTTGGGTATTTTGATTAAATTGACATAGCTGTGATAAAAAAAGCAATAAATGGACAAGGTTGTATTGATAATTATTTGCTTCATTCTGATCTATTATTGTAGACACTGTACATTCAAATTGACATTTAAGACCTTCAGAATGCCTTTGTTAATTCAGATGTTTGATAATATTGAGTCTTACTGGTTTTTTGTGTTTTCCTTGAGGTAGGGACAGAAGATGCAGGAACTAGAGGCTCAGAACTTAGAGCTCGTATCTCTTGTTAGAGAAATAGTCATCCAGCAACTCAAAGGCTGCAAGTCCCTGGGAGATCTTGTAATATCAAAGACACAATGGAACATTTAATAAATACAGAAAGCTTCATACTTTAAAAAAGATTCCATGAAAAAATAGCAGGTGTTATCATTGGCTGGTTACCTCCAGGATAGGGGATTATGGTTGATTTTGTTTTGTTCTTGATGTTTTTCTAAATGTCCCATATTTTCTATAAGAAACAGAGTGTTTATATTAGAAATAAATATTAAGTTTAAGAAGGAAAGGGTAAGTGTGAATTATTTTCTACTTAGTCCTGATAGGAAAATCAAAGGCAATTCTGTTTTAGGTTTAATGATTGATAAGTATTGCATTGTGCCTAGGTCCATCATTAAATGTTCCTCTAAATCGTATCATCCTTAACATTCGTTAAACAAAGGGTAGTTCTTATGGAATTGGATACTTATTTTTTCTTTGCTGTTTCACTATGTTTAACTCACCTCTTTACCCACCCCCAAAATTTGAGTGAGTGATTTAGGTGCTTTTCTATGTTATTGATGCCTAGGGAAGGTCCAACTCAGTGATCCACGTGGCCCTACTCCTTCAGCACTGCTGCTTTCTACTGGGTGGCATCTATCTACATGGCGAGTGTGTTGCCTAAAAGGAAATTCAGTGCTTGCAGAGCTAGTGTTACTAATATAACCTTGTAAAGTGCAGAATTACATTGGCAATTTTGGTTGCATATCATAAAAGATTAGGTTAGGGGGAAAAGGGTGCTTTCTAGCTTTTTTATACTGAAGCAAAACAACACACTATTCATTAAGATACCAAAATGTGTATTTTCAGCTTACATCACGAGAAAAAGCAGCCAAGGATTATAACCAGAAATTGAAGGAGAAATTTCAGCATTATCCTCATATAAAACGTATAGCTCGTCATCGACATCTACCAAAATCTATCTATAGCCAGATTCAGGAACAGCGCATCATGAAAGAAGCTCGTCGACGAAAGTATGTTTTGAGGCATTTGACTCTATTACCCTTTTCTGACTTCTGCTCTCATCTCACCAAAAACAAAGTTAACTGCCATTCAAGGGAGTAGTTTATGTGCTATTATTTAATAGTATGTTAGTGATGTGTTTGAAGACTTCTACAGAAGGCCTTTTCTTTTTTCTTTTTTTTTTTTTTGAGACGGAGTCTCGCTCTGGAGTGCAGTGGCACAATCTTGGTTCACTGCAAGCTCCGCCTCCCGGGTTCATGCCATTCTCCTGTCTCAGCCTCCTGAGTAGCTAGGACTACAGGCACGCGCCACCATGCGCGGCTAATTTTTTGTATTTTTAGTAGAGACAGGGTTTCACCATGTTAGCCAAGATGGTCTCAATCTCCTGACCTCGTGATCGCCTGCCTCGGCCTCCCAAAGTGCTGGGATTACAGGTGTGAGCCACCATGCCCCGCCCAGAAGGCCATTTCTTTTTCTTTTTCCCAAAAAAGGGAAGCAGTGACTATCTGAGAATGGGAGAACTTCCATTACCTGTTTTTGAGAATATGTTTAAAGGACAAACGATGAAAATGAGTTACCAAAATAAGAAAACACTTGCTCATATTAAAAAATTATTGTAAAAAATGTTTTAAAAAATAATTTCTGATGTAGCTGGAATTAAGAGATTTTGTGTATTTTCCAAGTTAAAGAATTAATCTATAGTAGAGCTCTTTTCTTAAGTAAAAAGTGTTCTGATATACTTTATTATAACATGACATCTATCATTTTGGATATAGAGCAGAGCTACTACCACCACCACCATTTCCCGTGAAATATTCTTCTCTTTGAAATACTTGAAGTCATGCATGAAATTCTAAGAGCTCTTTATTTTTCAATTAGAATATACAAATGGCTCTTTTTTTCTGTCTTTGGGTAGATGTTGCAGTAGAATCACTTTTAGAAATTTTATTAACTGTGGAAGGTTTTTAAACTTAGTAAAGGACCCTATTAGGTAAATATGATAAGAAGCAATTAAATAAGTAAAGTTGATTTCTTGGTACTAGCTTCCTTTTACCTATTGTCATCGTGAAAATATTTTTTTAAATAGGTGTTTTTCTAGTGAAAGAAAATGCTTTGATTTTTCTGAGAAAGTTTTCTTTAAGATGAGTTCCCATAACTTGCTTATATTTTGTATATTTTATTTCTAGGGAAGTGAATCGTATTAAACACAGCAAGCCTGGATCTGTGCCACTTGTGTCAGAGAAGAAGAAACACGTAGTGGCAGTTGTAAAATAATTGGTATTCCTAACAATCCTGATGTATAATTATTTGTTACTTTTGATTTGAGAACTCTACAAATAAAAGTGCTGGGACTAGATTAATTGCAAACATTTTAGTTATATGTGTAGAGCTTTATTGTTACTCCTTTTAGCTACCCTGAAAAATGATCCTTAAAGGTGGCCTAGTTGGTAAGACTGTTTTATCCTTAATCTGCATTCTTCTTTCATTGTAGAATACAGTATTTGCAACTCATTTTTTCTTGTTTTTATTACAGATATACTTACTTTCTCTTTGATCTATTATTGTAGACACTATACATTCAAATTGACATTTAAGACCAAACATCTCTTATGTTATCTTTAATATTACTTTGAATAATGATTGCAATGATGTTTCTTCCTGTGATTCCACATAACATTTAGAATAATGATGTCAATTTTTTACAACTGAATTTATTTCTAGTGCTTTACTTATATTTGGCTTTTTGACTCTTTTAAAACAATCAGCCTGCATTTATATAACTTTTATAAATAATAATATAATTTGGGTCAAGTTAAGATATTAAAAGTTCCTTTCAGCATTGAAACTTTGGCCTATTTTTGGTAAATAATTTTCAATCTCACTAAATCCTAAATAGCTCTGTGTAACATAGGTTTTTCTTTTTTTAATCATCAACTTAATAAACTTTATTATAAATATGTATAAATCCAAATTTTAGGAGATGTTAAGTAAAGAAGAGATTTTAAAATCCAAAGAAAAGAATGTGTTAAGAATACAGTCATCACTCTGTATCTGTGGGAGATTGATTTCAAGATGTACCATTGATGCCAAAATCCAAGGATGCCCAAGTCCTTGATATTAAATGGCATAGTATATGGATATAACCTCTGCATATCCTCCCAAATACTTAAAATCATCTCTAGATTACTTATAATACCTAATACAATGTAAATGCTAAATAAATAGTTGTTATACTGTATTGTTTAGGGAATAATGATGAGAAAAAAAGAGTCTGTACATGTTCAGTACAGATGCAATTTCTTTTTTCCAAATGCTTTTGAGCCACAGTTGGTTGAGTCTATGGGCGAGGAACCCACAGATATGGAGGGCCGACTGTACACATCATTTATAGCAAAAATGTGCAGTGTGCACGGGAATGATAAAGATCAAAATCTGAAGAGTGGGAGGAGGATGCAGTCAGGGTGCAGTACACAGGAGATTTCAACTCTTTTGGTAACATTTTATTTCTTAAGCTGCATTTTTTTTTCTTTTTTTATGCTTTCTTGGATATCGGAAATATATTTTTCTTAAGGCTGGTAAGGGATTAACCATAGTTTTTAATTCTGATGATTTGTTTTTTGTTTTGTTTTGTTTTGAAACTGAGTTTTGCTCTTGTCACCCAGGCTGGAGTGCAGTGGCACAATCTCGACTCACTACAGCCTCTGCCTCCCAGGTTCAAGCAATTCTCCTGCTTCAGCCTCCTGAGTAGCTGGGATTACAGGCACCCGCCACCATGCCCAGCTAATTTTTGTGTTTTTAGTAGAGACGGGGTTTTACCATGTTGGCCAGGCTGGTCTCAAACTCCTGGCCTCAGGTGATCCACCCACTTCGGCCTCCCAAAGTGCTGAGATTAGAGGTGTAAGCCACCATGCCCAGCCTGATGATCTATTGTAGAACTCAAATTACTTGATTTTTAGGGTGAACCAAGTTCACTTGTGCACCTATATTGCTGTTAGTTTGGGTGTGGTTTCAAAGAATATGCAAATACTGATCCATAAATGTGAGCTCCTCTGTCAGTTTGAGTCCTTCAAGAAACAGATGACTAGATGGTATTAGACATGCAAGAAATTTATTGGAGGAACTCACTTGTGTAGGACAAAGCGGAGGGAGTAGGAGTAGGCAGGAAGAGCCTTCAGACTTCCATAAACCTAACACCTGTGGTAAGAGATGGAAGGAAGGAGGATTGGGTAAGAGGAATCTCAGACTGTTGGTGCAGTCCTACAGAAGGTTGGGCCAGGCTGATGGGGAGTCCTTAGGCCAAAGTTGCCAGCCAGAGGAGTTTGTGTTGTGCTTGCACTCATATCATCACTGTGCTGTCCAAGGCAGGGAGCAGCCCTGGGGCCTTGCAGCTAATGTAGTGGTGAATCCAGAGGGGTGGCATCTAGGACTGCCAGTCAACTGGGCTTCCTGTAGTGAGTTCTTTTGAAGAAATTCTAAGCAGCACATTTCTAGATCTGCCACCGTCCACCTTTTTGCACCACATAGATCTGTCTCTCGCAGGTTTTGGGAGCAACTCCTCCATGGTTCCATGTACATCTCTTAGAAGGTAGAGGTTGGTCATGTGATCAGTAGCCCTTTTCCCTGAAGGACCACAACAGATACTCATCCTCTTTGTCTTCCACTGCAAATTTTGAGCAGCTTATAATTAATTAAGGGGAAATAATTCCAGGTAGGAAAGCTGTTTCATCATGTAGCAATATGTCAACCTTTACAGGCACTGAAAAGAAGCCTAACAGAAAGGAGCATCCTTCTCTTAAAGCCTTCCCTTGAGTAATCAATTCCAGTTACTTGGGCCAGTTTTCAAGTGATTTACAAAGTTGGTAAAATAGAAGTTTACCTTACTTTTTTTACCTTTCCCTTTCACCACTTCACTCTGATCTTCTCTTTTTCTGCTTTTCCTGCTCATGTTTTGGCTCATCTAAAATCTGAGTGTACCTTAGCCCAGTTTATATACCACCTAAAAAATGAATGGACTGTAGTAAGATGTTTGCCTGGCATCTTGTCAGGGCATTTGGTAGTACTGCCTTGAAGTTGTTCCACCTGCTGAGTCACTGGCACTACTTCCTGCTACAAGCTGTGGTTTCCATAGTGATGTTTCAGTGACTTTCACACAATAGAACCTGACTGGTTAAAGACCTGAGCTGTTTTCTATAATCAAGTCTTTTACTCATCTAGAAATGGGAGCATGGTTTTGATCATTTTGAAATGCAACTTTATGAGTAAAAATCTTACAGAATAAAATGCACAGGTATGTTTTAAGGACTGAGGTTGTTAGGGTAGAATCCTGAGGAAGAAAATAAGGATGGTGGCAACAGGAAAGGGTTACTTACAGAGATAAAGAAACATAAGTAAATATAAAGGATTTACAGTAGCCCTTCAGGTAAGAAAAGTTATATCAAATGCCTTGTTATTAAGTCTTGCCACTTGGTCACTGTTTTGACTCTTCTCTTTGATGGACCCAGAGAAAGCAGGTTGCTATGCAATCTGTTCTTTTATATTCCCCATTCATCATCATATTTTTAGAGAAAAGGAGGGGGAAAGACTTAAGGGTTATCATGGGCAAGAAGAGTTAATCAGGAAATCAAGACATCTTGTTCTTAGGGAACATTCGTGGTCAGCTTGAATGTTTGAGCAATAAATTCAAAATTGATTGCTACCCAGTGAACATCGGTAATTCATACAGGGCCTTAAAGTCCCATATTAGAAAATACCAAATCAGTAGTTAATTCGAGGATTTTGAAACATGGATCAGTGTTTTCCAGTTTTGGGGTATTGTGACACTCCTAGTAGTGCTAATGGTGCATACATTTTAAAGTAAACATTGTTTGCTTTGATTCCCTTCCCTTAAAATTATTTAAATAGATTAAGTCAGGGCCAAGAACCTGGATGAATTAATGATTTATTGAATGAGCATTTTTTCATTTAGTCAACATGTATTGAGTCCCAGCTAGGTGTGTATGTTTTTTTAAGTCAAAGGCAATACCAGCTTCGTGGCCAGATGTCTTCACAAGCACTGAAGCCAGTATCCAGAAATGAGCTCATTATTTTGCTCCAGCCCCTAAATTTCATCTCCTATGTTCCCTGTCTCTGCATGACATACCATCCACAGGGATAGCCAAGACAGAAACCTGGGTGTAAGGGCACAAGTTTTATTAAATTAATACTATTAACAATAGCAGCTGATGTTTATTGGACATCTACAACACTGCAGATGCTTTACATGCACTTAATTTAATTCTAAGAACCACAAAAGGAAGGTCCTATTATAATCCATATTTAGTCTCAGTACTGTGCACTGAATCTATAAAAGATTCTAAAAGAGCTCAGTCTCAAAGGAAATAAACATGAAAACAAGTAATTGCAGCACATTATGATGTCTTAGCAGGATACTATAGTAGTGCCCAAGAGGAAAGCCTGACTTCCTGCTGGGGAAAGAAGCCCTTCAGAGGTAAATGGCATTTATCAAACACCGTTTGATTCTGGGATATTGCATGAGTGAGTAGAAATACAGTAGGGCTGTTTTCAAAATCTGTGATCCATCATTCAGATATGGCACTGTTAATGAAAGAAAATTCCAGCAATCTGTATCAGAAAGTCATTATCTTAGGTCAAATAATTCACATTTGTCCCTTGTATACATGGGGGATGGGTTCCAGGACCCTACAACCCTGTCCTGCACATACCAAAATCCATACATTTTTAAGTCCCCAAAGTCAGTTCTGTGGAACCCCTGGGTATGAGAAAGTTGGGCCTTTGTATATGCATGTTTCGCATCCCATGAATACTGTGTTTTTTATCTGTTTGAAAAAAATTTCTGCATGAGTAGAGCTGTGCAGTTCAAATCCATGTCATTTAAGGGTCAACTATAAGATTTGGGCTAATATTCTCCAGAGAGATAAGCGACTTATGGGATAGAAGCTTCATTAGGGTACTTAAGATTAATGGATCAGAAAGCACAAAATATAGATCTAGGGGGTCTTAGGGAAGAGGAAAAAAAGGGCAAGTATTAGGTAAAAATGAAGGTGGGTGTGAGAAATGGAGGCACGGAGCCAGAGCTGAGTGTGTTGCAAATCCTGTGGATGGATGGGCCCATGGCAAGATCAGCCAGCAGCGACAGAAGTAGGCTTACAGCAGGTGCACACACATGCCCGTGCATACTTAAAGGAACAGAGGGAAAGCCAGCAGCAAAATATATACAATACACACACACACACACACACACACACACACACACACACACACACACACACACACACACACACAATCTTCTGCTCTTTACCCTCCATAATTCATCCACCCAAGGAGAAAATCAGTTTTATCTGTAGGGCCAGCTTTAAAAATAGGCCTGGATGATTTTATGATTCTGTCTTCTGCCTTCAGTGAATAAAACATCTTTGCTGCAACTGAACACAAAGATTAAAAATACAATGGTTAGTTGAGTAAATAGTTTTCTTGTAGACTGGGGATCATTTTGTTACAGGGAATGATATTTTCCTCAAGGCATTTCAAGCAGTTTGTGAGCAGGAATCTCACACAGAAACCCAAGTACAGGAACCCCAATACAGCTGGGCCAGACATCCAGGACTCTGGGGCTGGACAGTAGATAGCCACAAAAATGAGACTTTCTGTGCCGCTATTCTGTACGTTTTCTACTAATTATCTTGTCCTTGCTCCCAATTTCTACTCTTCCATAGCTTCAGCTCTTCATGTCCCAAAATGGCTGCCCCAGACTGACTTGACATGACTTTGCAGTTCCAGTGCCCCATCAATTATCCACTTACGTCTGTCTTTCAGTTTCAGTTCCTAAGAGAAGAAAACTTAGCTAGAAACGTGTATTTAGGGGCAGGGTCTTTTGTAGCAGTGTTCCATCAGAGGTCCTGGTTAGCGGCTTTCAGATGTCTACCTTTGACAGCTGTCTTAGCTTGGGCTAGAAGTAGGGGGTCTTCAAAATGAGCTGTGGGTAGGCAAGCCTATAAAATGCTCAGTACATATCAGTTAATCATCAAAATAAATAGCAATACCAAATCAGTATTTTCACATGGGGAGGGAGGTGAAGAAACTAAGAAGAAAGTAGCACAGGTGGCCCCGAGTCAATAAAGGGCACTGGAAGAGGGGCAAATCTTAACTTTATTTCCACTGCCTGTTTTCCTAGATCCATAATCCTAGGCTTTCTGACATACACCCCAAAAAACAGCTCTTAGGCTCAGTCTTGCCTCTGGTGCTACTGAATGAAATAAGAAGTATAATGAGGGCTTGGAATCCAGTTAAGCTCCCTAGACCCTCAGTGTCTCCCAGGTCTGGGTGTAGACCCCAATTGCCATCTTTTCTCCAAGTGGCTCCACCCTGAGCCCCTGTGTTGAGTAGTGTCATGGAACCCTGACTAGCTCCTACCAAATCTGCTTCCTCATGGCTGCCAGCCATGCCTGGCTTATTACTAGCATAATGGACACTTTGGTATATGTCTTTCCTGGTTCCTAAATTGAACTACCACACAGAAACCCTCCCTCTGTGCTCTGGCCAACCACCAATGAACCCCTGAATTCTGCCCAAACTTGCAAAACCACACTGCTGAGAGTACTGCAGGCATTCCCAGTAAATGCAACCCTTAATTGGCCAAGCAAGAGCTGAGGTCTTAGCATGCATTGCATCTGAGAAGAACACAAATTTTGCAGACTTCATAATTATCTCAAAGGGAATTTTATCTTCACTTTAGCAGGGATGAAATAGAAGCTTTATATAGAAGTGTTGCTCTCCAGCTAACACATTCAGGAAGCCTTGCTTTGCATCATTTATGAAGGTTTTTGTTGGTTTTAACACCTTGAACTTCCTTATGAAGATACTTGTTTCCCTCAAGGACTTCTTAATCAAAACATCACACAAAAGTTCCCTTAAACAATTAGAATTGGGAGGAAGATAAGCCCAAATATTGCGTTTGGCATGATAATACATGTTCCTCAAAGCTACTCTCAGTATTTCTAATTTTAATTGTAAAATTCACTTGGTTTTACGTGTGTTATCACGGCTTATAGAATCCCAAATATAAGAGTTTCAAGCTCGAATATAAGTATTAAGTAATTAGAACAAATATATTTGAGTTTAGTTTCAACTCTATAAGAAAATAGGTCAGGAAATTAATTTGTAAAAAGCAATCTTGTTAATTAGATTTCTTTCCAGGTGAAATATGAAGCTTTGAATAGCATTATCCAATCTGATTTATAATGAATGAATTCAATTTCAGCTGTAACAAGTTTCCTATTTATCCATCTGGGACTTTCAAATCACTATGATTCATTTTATGAGAAAAAAATGTGAAATATTTTCTAGAGGAAATACATATCTTAAAATACTTTTACTAATCATGTTTTGCTTAAGTTAGAGTAAATAAGGTAGAAGAAATTAATTGCTCCAAATCTGTTGGTATTCTATAATAATCAATTATGTCTCTAGTAAGTGCTTGTAGGGCAAAACACCTCTGAAATTCAGTCATGTCTTATGTCAAATGGGTGTATGAAGGTGGGCACACCCACGTCTTTAGAGCTGAGGATTTCTAATGAGACAATGCTGTGCCCTAGGCAAGTAGCAATCTTGACAAAGATATCTGCTTCAAGATCTAAGAAAGTCAAGGGTAGGCCTGAGTGGTGTTTGTTATTTGAGTTGATCAGTGGAGGTAACTCATGGGCAGAGCTCTTTTGCTGCCCTTAAAAACATTTCTGAAATCCTTGGCTGAAATTCTACCCCTTTATTACCATAATACTTTTATAAATTATCATAAGCAGTGTGAATGAACATTTGTCCTTTCCCTGGCTGCACAGCATCTATTTTGATGGAATCCGTACTATGTAATTCTTGGAAATGATGGAGCCAGAGACTTCCTTTCCCCACTCCCTTAGGGGCAAAGCCAATTGGATGTTCCTGCCCAGGACTTTGCATCTGGGGTTAGTGAAGCCAGTGTGCAGAGACAGCTTTGAAGTGACAGGGAGGTTCATCTAGTTACAGCAGTGGCAGTCATGTTCATTGAGACATCCCAAACAGACCATTCCTGCAGTAGGACCTTGGCCTGGTTCCTTCTCCCTAACCTTCCCTGGCCCCTATCACATTTCTAGCCTTCAAATCCAGCCTTCCTGTCCAATCTGTGAGCCATCCTATACCTTTGCAACAAATTCCTTTTCTACTGAAGTTAGCAAAAGTCAGTTTCTGATGCTGTAACCTAGATGTGTATAGTCCTTGGCCAATTAACTAGAAACCTACCTTTTAGAAGTTACATTAGAGAGGGTTCTAACTAATTAGCTTTTCTTAAGTAAATCTTGCCTTCCTAAGAATTATTTTTCTTAAAAAAAAAAATTGGTGGGGAATGCTGCAAAGAAGGTAAGCCCTGTACTATCTTGATCTGAGTATTTTGCATTTGAGCTGCTGCTTCTGGTTTGGATAGGAATTTTTTTCCTCCTATTGGGGCTGTACATTTCCTTCTCTCTCTCTCTCTCTCTTTTTTTTTTTTTTTTTTTTTTTTGGTAACTGTGTCTTGTTCTTCCCAAGACCATTTTTTTTTCTCAACTCCTGCCCCTTCCCACATTCCTACCACTGAATTCAAATCCTGACTTTGCCAATGACAAGGAGTGTAACTTTGAGTAGATTGCTCAACCTCTAGTCATGACAGAGTTTCCTCATTTGTAAGACAGTAGAAATACTTACCTTAAAGGGCTGTTAGAATTAAATGAAGTAATATATGTCAAACAGAACAGCACCTGTATATAATACATGCTATGCAAGTATTTGCTATTATCATTTTGAACACAGACTCTGTGCTACATAGACTAGCAAAGACTTCTATGACGGTAGGGCTTATGGTGGCCTTGTTTATTTTGATTTGCTCAATGACTAGCACAGTGCCTTGCATTAAATAGTTGTACATTAAATATTTGTAGCAGGAATACAGAATGAGTGAATGAATGGTCACCATTCATTAAATATCATCATAATGGATAATAGCAGAAAAGATACCTAACCCTTATTAAGAAATTTCCATAAACCTCCTGTCCTTATCTGAAAAATGAGGGAAATAATAGCTTCTTTACAGGACTGTTATGAGATTTCAGTGACAATAAAGTATGTAAACTACTATACCAGTGCCCAGCACACTAAGCTCAACAATCACGGGCTTTTCTCTCTGGACTCAAAAGTTAGTAGGTCTAACTCTTTCCCTGGGTTCCAATATTAGGTTCTCAGTTTGGCGTCCTTGGCTGTCCCCTTTATTATGGCATTTGTGACAAGATGATCTGTCTTCTCAACCTCCTATTGTTGTTATAAAATCTCTGTGAAAGGCAGCAGCCTCCTCTGCCTTCCATATTAACCAGCACTTTCCCTGTCCAGAAGTTATTCCATCTTACGGATATTGAGAAGATAAATGGAAGTGATTAGAATGTACTTTCCAAACATAAAACATTGTACTGTAGGAGTTTGTCAAAGGGGATTAATATTACCACATATCTGTAGAAGAACTTTATGAAGACCCTGTGTATCTCTCAACCTTAATGACTAAGATTGTAGATATGATAGAAATCTGTAAATAGCATGGAAAAGCAAATTTATTGAAGTCTAGGACAACTGCATTACCCAGCTGTACATAGTGTGTTCTTTCTTCAGAGATTGCAATAAATGAAAAAGATGGTTGCCATAGAGATAAACTGTGCCCTTTGGCTAGCTGATTAGAAGACCATTTCAACCTACTATAAGAGAATATATTTTGCCTGTAAGTGGTATTTACAGATAATTTCTATCACAGTTGTAACCCAAGTTTTTAAAGCTGAAATGTTAAACCTATAAATGTTGAATTCCATAAAGGCTTTTGTTCCTTTAGTAAAACTTATTTTAACATTTATGTGCTTTTTGCCTTGGAAAATGTGTTTTTAAAGTTCTTCCCCCTAGGATACTATAAAAGTCTTCCTTGAAAGCTACTCTACCATATAGTTGGTTTCATTTTCTTTAAAGCTAATATTTTATTTTTTGAATCATTTGTCAGAGGCAATATGCAGTATCACAAAAGCTGCACCAGCACAGGAAATGCTTATGAAACATGGAAAACCCATTTAATAATAACTCATAGTAATCAGTTAGCACAAAGATTTGTGAATGGTAATATTCAGATCCTTATGTAGTCATTTAATCTGTTCTTCAAAATTCAGAAAGTAATTACAAATACACAGCTGGGAAAATCTGCCAGTTGATGCAAGCATTTGCTGCAGGGAGAAAATTTGTCAAGGTTAAGCTTATTTTGTCTGGTCGGGTAAGATAGGTTCTGTGGATAACAAAGAGGAAGCTGGATTATTTTATAAATTGAATGAATTTTATGTCATAAATCTGACCACTGTTCCCTGAAATATTGGTGCATAAATCCAGTTTTTAGGTGTGATAACTTAAAAGAGATTTGTATTCCCCAGGGAAATAATAATTTTCCTGACATTGGGGATTCAGTCACAACCTTAATTTGCCCAGACCAACGTTTAGAAAATTGCTTTCTTCTCCTATGCTGGTGACTATGTTTATATCACTTTGCATGTGTGTGTGTGTGCGTGTATTTAACTGGGCATTTAAAAGTAGGGAAAATAGTAGAGAAAGAGTGTCTTACCAAATATCCTGGATTCCAAATCATGACCCCTTAAAGTTCTAAATTTAGGTGAGTAAATGGTCATGTAGCTTGTTTCTCATCTCCCCCATCCCCAACCTGCAGTGTCTTTCTCTTAAATGTAGTAAAACCAAATAGATCAATATACATCAAGATCTTTTAGGACCTGAAAAGTAAGGCCACAAATCATTAAGGGTAGAATGTCAGTTTTCTTTTTTCCTGTGATGTAGTGAAACTTAAGCCACTACATACTTCCTAGGTTGACAGCTGAAATAAAAATCACAACATTGTTCATGTTCTTGTTCATTAGGCCTAAAATCAGTTATTTTATTTCTTCGTCTAAGAATCTCTTTTACATTTGTACAAGGAAGAGTGTGGGAAATAGTGAAAGCTGGCTAGCCTAAACCCCATTCCCAGCCCTCTTCTCTGTCTGCAGTCCTCCACTAGAGAGGCTGAAAATGCTGAGTATTTTTTTTCTACCTCCCTTGCACCTAGGGGTGGCCATGTGAACCTGTTCTGGCCAATGTGGCATAAGCAGAAGTCTACTGTGAGGTTTCTTTTTCTAGGAAAGCATTTCTTTCTTAATAAAGGAACAGATGTTGTTGGTGCTACCTCTTCCCCCTCCACTTCTTTATGCTTTAAATGTGAACCTGATACCTGTTACTGTGGTGACCATATTGTGACCATGAGTCCAAAAGAATAAGGTGAAGGATGGTGGAATGAAAAAATAGAAAAGGCCAGGGTCTTTTAGGACATCATTCACCAGGAGATCCAACCTGCTGTCTCCTGTCTTCTAATTATAAGAGACAAATAAATTACTTTCAGCTTAAGCCAGTGTTAGTTTGATTTTCTGAATACTTAACAACCAAGAAAACATCCTAATGACAAGACTTGTTTTTAAGTTTCAGTCTAAAAGCCACCCCCCACTCCAAAGGGTAAGTGAATACTTTCCATTTCATTTCTTATCTATTTTAGGTGAGACTGTTCTATCTGTAATAATCATTATAACTTTTCTTTGATTCAGTAAGTAAGCTGGACCTTTCGAAAGAATGAAAAAGAAGTGATAGTTTGGTATTATGCAAACAGTAGTTCATCATCAAGATGTGCAAGTAACACAATTCAGTAATCATCCTCTGGGTGATAATAACTTTTAACCAGTTTGGAAATGAGGCCGTTTACAGACCATGAAGGGGCAGGGTTCAGGTGGCTTATCATATCAAGGCATTTTCTTTGGAAGGTAATGAAACTGACTTCTATAAAGCGGAAAGTACATCCTCTCTGTAAGGATTCTTAATTCTTCTACCTCGATTTTGTATTGAATAGATACAAAATAGAACTCGCTCTCTTGACAGGCTCCTCTGTTTTTAGTAGAATGAGGTACAACTCTTCCAAAGCACCTTTTTTGTGGACTTTGTCTGGTCCTAATAAGTACTCCACAGAATAGTAGATGTACTTCTATAGTTTCTAAGCTATCAGCTGCAATGCCATGTATCTATCAGCTTTGTCATCTGACACTATCAAGTTCCCCATGATCTCACAGTCACTTCAGATAGCCAGTCTAGTTCGTTAATGCCACCTGTTCTGAACCAATTCTCCATCAATTGTTCGCTGATTCTGGCTTCAAATTTCCACATCAGATCATTCAATAACAACCGCCAACTGCTTTTTGTTTTAAATTGAGGTTAAATTCACGTAACATAAAATTGTCCAGTTTAAAGTATACAATTCAGTGACATTTCATATATTCACAATGTTCTACAACCACTAACTTATCAAGTTCCAAAACATTTTCATCACCCAAAAAGAAAACCCTGTACATATTGGCCAAGTGTGGTGGCTCACGCCTGTAACCCTAGCACTTTGGGAGGCCAAGGCGTGTGGATTGCCTGAGCTTGGGAGTTCAAGACCAGCCTGGGCAACATGGTGAAACCCCGTCTCTACTAAAATACAAAAGAAATTAGCCGGGCATAGTGGCGTGCGCCTGTAGTCCCAGCTGCTCGGGTGGCTGAGGTAGGAGAATTGCTTGAACTCGGGAGGCGGAGGTTGCAGTGAGCCGAGATCGCACCACTGCACTCCAGCACTCCAGCACTCCAGCACTCCAGCACTCCAGCCTGGGCGACAGAGTGAGACTCCATCTCTACAAAAAAAAAAAAAAAAGAAAAGAAAAAAAAAACCCAGTCACTCAAAATTATTCTCTCCTTCCAGCCTGACGCAATCACTAATCTGCTTTCTGTCTCTATGGATTTACATATTGTGGATATCTCAACAAAATGGAATCATATATGTGAACTTTTGTGTTTGGCTTCTACTTAGCATACTGTTTTCGAGGTTCATCCATGTCATAGCATATATCAGTACTTCGTTTCTTTTTATGGCTGAATAATATTCCATTGTGTTCATATACCACATTTTGTTTATCCATTCTTTCATTCACGGACATCTATGTGGTTTTCACCTTTGAGCCATTGTGACTAAGTGCTGCTGTAGACATTCGTGTACAAGAATTTGAGTACTTATTTTAAATTTTTTTGTCTATATACCCAGGAATAGAATTGCTGGGTCATAGGGCGATTTTATGTTTAGCCTTTTGAGGAACAACCATACTGTTTGTTGTATGTAAATGCTGTAGCAGCTGCACCATTTTACATACCCCTAGCAACGTACAAGTGTTCCAATTTGTTCACATCCTTACCAATGCTTATTTTGCTTTTTAAAGAAAATGATAGCCATCCAAGTAAATATAAAGTTGCATCTCATTGTTGTTTTGACTTGCATTTCCTTAATGAGTAACACTGTCGAGCATCTTTTCATGTGCTTGTTGGCCATTTGCATATCTTCTTTAGGGAAATGTCTATACGAGTTCTTTGCCTATTTTTTTTTTTTTTTTTTTTTGAGATAGAATCTAGCTCTGTTGCGCAGGCTGGAGTGCAGTGGCGCAATCTTGGCTCACTGCAACCTTTGCCTCCTGGGTTCCAGAGATTCTCCTGCCTCAGCCTCCCGAGTAGCTGGGATTACAGGCGCCTGCCACCACACCCAGATAATTTTTGTATTTTTAGTAGGGACGGGGTTTCACTGTGTTGGCCAGGCTGGTCTCGATCTCCTGACCTTGTGATCCACCCACCTTGGCCTCCCAAAGTGCTGGAAGTGCAAGTGTGAGCCACCGCACCTGGCCTCTTTGTCCATTTTTAAATTGGGTTGTTTGTCTTTCTATTGTTGAGTTATGTATATATTCTGGAAATAATTCCTTTGTCAGATATACGGTTTGCAAATATGCTCTCCTATTATATGAGCTGTCTTTTCAATTTCTTGATAATGTCCCTTGATGCTCAAAAGCTTTAGATTTTGAAAAAGTCCAATTTGGTTTTGTTGTTCATGCTTTTGGTGTCATATCTAAGAATTCATTGCCAAATCCAAGGTCCTAAAGATTTACCATTATGTTTTCTTCTAAGAGTTTTATGACATCAAATACTTATGTGAAGTTTTCAGCATGACTAACTGAAATGAAATGTTGAAAAGGAATATAGTTTATGCACTAATCTGCTCCAGAGAGCACTTACCTAGTGCCAAAGACTTTTTGTTTTCAGTACTATATAATTAGATGTTGGTCCTGAGTTCTGCTACCTAGACATCACATTGTCCTCTTAGCATCTAATTAACAGAAAATGTTAACTGATGAGCTAAGTGAGCAAAAGACAATTTAACAAGAAGGTCAGCATATCCCTTGGACTTGGAAGATAGACAGATGGTTCAAGGACAAGGTGCCAAGCTTCTTACCAAATGAAGACTTGCAGCACAAACCAGTCTTTGCTGTGTTGAAAATACTTTACCTGCCACATAAACTCATTTTATTTCTTAAACAGCTTCATTAGTGAATAGCTTTCATTGAATATCATGACAGAGCCTCCACCAGTAAGATATAAGTGATAGCTTTGAAATGTAGTAGGACTGCCTTCATAATGATATCCAATAGACAAGGCCAGCCTTTGGAAAATTAGACTAGAGATTAAGTTTGTTTTTAGTATCTATTGTACTTACTGAAGTTTCAAAGAAAGCACATCCCTCTAACTAGACTGGGCCCCAAATACAAGTGATATAAATTTTCTTGGTAGAGGAATCATTGACTTTTAGCTTTCTGGGCTTAAAAACTAGATTTTTTTTTTCACTTCCTACAAAGTGTGCAAGTTTAGGGGGAACACTTTCATTCTAACTTAACTCACAAAAGGATGCTTTATAAGTCAGGAGGCCAATTTCAGAACTTATAGGAGGCAGAATTTACATCTCCCCAGATGCCAGTATTGGCTATTTGCTACAGCTTCTTTCTCTTAGTGGTAAATCCACTTGAGAGAACAAATTGTTGGTGCTGCACTATGGTGAAAACAGTAGAAGGGTGTGTGATGGGTCCAGGTAGGAGGGATCTTCACCTGCCTCTCTTAACTCACAGTATGAGTGTACTTGCATAAATATTAGTTGATTTTCCTCAAAGAGGTCTGTCTTTCAATAGGTACCTGTTCATTCCCATATAGCTTTTCTCCTTTGTAGCCCTGATAGAAGTATATTCAGAGTATCTATCTAGGAGAATCTATCAGAAGACCTGTAGTTTTACCCATATCAGAGAAGATAATGCTTTTCTCTTAATCTAAAGCCCAGTTACCAAACTGCTGCTCCTCTAGAGGGCTTATACTTCCAGTAATCCAGCAGTTTCAATAACTTAAAATAAGCTCTGGAGCCATCCACGTAGGAGGAAGTTAGTGATACTTTATTTTCTCCTGCTTTTTTCTCTCAAAAAAGCAAGATTGAGAGGCTGGGCGCCTTGGCTCATGCCTGTAATCCCAGCACTTTGGGAGGCTGATGGGGGCGGATCACCTGAGGTCAGGAGTTTAAGACCAGTCTGGCCAACTTAGTGAAACCCCATCTCTTCTAAAAACACAAAAGTTAGTGGGTCATGTTGGCGCATGCCTATAATCCCAGCTGCTTGGGAGGCTGAGGCAGGAGAATCGATTGAACTCAGTAGGTGGAGTTTGCAGTGAGCCAAGATCGTGCCATTGCACTCCAGCCTGGGCAACGAGTGAAACTCCATCTCAAACAAACAAACAAACAAACAAAAGCAAGATCAAGTCTGAAGCAAAAGTGAAGTGAGTCCTAAGTGCATTTAATACTTCCCTTCCTGCACTCCAAACTACAACATTACTGTGGACAAACAATATGTATTTCAGGGTTTCTCAGAATGGGATCTTGGTATCACCAGTAGTACATAGGTTGATTTTAGCTTTTACCCAGGTGAAGAGCTTTTATTTTTAAAGTTATACATTTATGTTAATGTGTGTTAGCAAAAGACCTAACTAGCTTATCAAACTCCTGGTGTCCTAGATATTGTGGCTTAGAATGAAGCTAAAGTGTAAAATTTTTTTTAATTGTTTTAAATAATTATATTAAGCAGATAAGAATGGTATGAGAATATGGCAAAGATGATGAGGGTAGAACTCAAAGACTAAAATTTGGGAATTTATTTCTCACCTTATATTAGTAGCAAAGTTTTAGCAGCATTTACACAATGTGTCTTTATAGCTGATTTGACCCATCCAATGAATCTCATTCTATTCCCTATCTCCTACTTTATTTGACTGGTTATACTCATAAATGCTTACCCCTCCATCACTTGACATAACAAAGCATCAACTTCATTTGGAAAAATGCTTACTATGGCAACCTCTCCATGGGACATCTTCTCTCAATTTTCCTCTTCACTCAAGCATTCAGATTCAGTATTTATCTACAAATGCACTCCCTGTGATTATGTCTCATCCTAACGTTCTCTTATCAGTAGGTCACCCTTGCCTTTCTCCAGTCTTTCTTTCTGTTCACCCACTCCTGAGCTGCATCTCTCTTGAAAACTTCCATTTGGGAATTTATTTCTCCATCTTGAACTAAATAAATGTGCATTATTTTCCTCTCCATGACATTCCTAGGCACTCCTCTTCCTAGTTCTTTCTGCCTACTACAACACTTGATGAAAATAATTGCAACAACAATCGTTAGATATAATTACTGGCTATTTTTATAAAATTAGATGTAGCTTGCCCTGGTCTATTTTAGGTGTATTCTTACGTAGACATTGACATTGGTCTTCTAAAGTGAAAGTGCCCTTCCCTCTGGAAAGGCTGGATAAAACTAATATCAATTTGTTTTCTTGCATTTCTTTTCTCCTCCTGTATGGCAGCACAACAGTAATCTGAGGCATTTGACAACATCACTGAGTACACTACAGCTTTTTGAAAAATCCAGCGACTTCCTTAATTGGACTAAGAGACAGTGGCTCTATTTGAGCTTGTTTATAAACCACTTAATGGGAGTTATTTCTGCAGGTGCATCTAATTTTTATTAGTTTTAATATCAAGTTAACTTTTCCTTGATTTTACCCCCAAATTATATATAGGATATATAATTATATATAGGATAGCTATATCCTATTTGGAGCCTTAATGAATTACTACACTCTTAATGAATTACTACACTCTTAATGAATTACTACACTCTTCTTCCAGTATCTCTACTCCCTGGCTCTAGTCCATGCCCTATAATAAGACCTTCTTATCTCAATCAGGTGCTCAGTTGTAATGTAATTGTTGTTGCTAACCAGGTTTTGGTTGGTTAAAACTTGTGATTCAAAAAGATAACTCTTCCCTCAATGAGTGTGTGGGTTTAAGGATGTAGTACTCCTGTCTATATGGAGGCAGTAATAATTGAGATGTAAATGGGCTTTATGTTGTACCAAGTGGTATAGGATGAAGGTTCTGAAAATACTGACAGGAGAAGACTAGAGATATAAGTATGAGAGAAAAGGATGGATAGAATTAAATCTGGATGTTACTTAGAGAAACACTTGGGAAAAGCTCAGGAAGCATGGGAAACTGGAGCAGAGACAGGAGGTTGTAAGGATGCTTGGAGAGTCCAATGAGAGAAGGGCATAAGCTTTATATAGATCAGTTATCTAGAAAAGCCTTGAAAAGAAGCAGCAGCTTCAATCACTTCATCTAAGCAGACTGAAGGAACCTTGAGATGAGAAATTTGATAAAGAGCTTTAGGATGGAATCCAAATATTAAATACAACTGCCCAAGCAGTATCCGAAGGTTGCGGGGAACATTATATCTTCAGTTGGGAGTGAAAGCAGTAACTGGTGGCCAGGACAAAGCTGAATTACCAGCTGACCTGGCAATGAATTTTGAGGAACAATCTATTAAAATTGGGTTTAGTGAGTTAAGAAGCATCAAAGCTGGTTTAAGTAGCCAGACTGTATTCCTGTGACTCTGAATATTCTGAAATTTCCTCACTGTAGAACAATGTCATATTAAAACCCAAGTGACTGACTGGGCTGAAATAACAGGAGCCAGAAAGCAGAGAAAGCAAGAGACATACAAGGATAATAAAAAGAAAAACCCTTGGCCCATAAGGTGGTGACAGGGAAATTTACCAGTCATGGAATTCTAGGAAGATTCTCTCTAGTGGTTGCTCTGATATGTTTTTGTACCAAAGTATAAAGATAATTATTTTGGGTTGTAGGATATTTCTAGTACCCTTCAAATCATGCCCATGTCTAGTACTGAGGAGGAACTGAGGTAGGTCAAGGTGCACTTAAAAAAATGCACATAGCAATCCCATGTGTAACTGAAGTCTAAATGAAATACTTTTATATGTGTTTTCTTTCAAATCAAATTTACCCCATATTAAAAGTTAAATTAAAAAACCACACGACTAAATTCTCTAGTCTTCATTTTTCTGCCACAATTCCTCTATTCTTCCCTGCAGTCAAAGGTTCGTGTTATCATTTGGATTTAAGGAGCAATAATATGTTTTTGATTGCTTATGATGTAAGTTTCTTTTAACTTGTTTTATTTTGGATTTGATAAAACCTCAAAAATTTTTCTCAGAGCCTTTTCCCTCAAAATACCAATTCTATTATAAAATAGGATGTGTTTATTTTTCTAGTTTTTAAAACAAAGCTGCTAATTGACCCCAGTGGTTAACATGGGCAGCACAAAATACTGATTTTGGAATGTGGAAAGTTTATTAAAATGAAGTGGCTTGGGTGGTAGAGTCAGAACTGTACCAACAAAGAAAAACATGGCATATGACACTGTGCTTCCTCAGAAATGGGAGGCCCATGTCAAGTGTTAGGCATGGCTTGCATCTGGCACAGGGACAGCCATCAATCAAACCTGGGATACTCTCCTGGGCTATTTTGTGCTTCGATCCCATGCACTGCAATGGGGTAAAAACTTAGTGCGGGCCAATCAGTCAAGGGGAGAAAGAGATGATCTATCAAAGATTTGACATTTGCACATGCAAGACCGTGGAAGAAGCTAGGGTAGATGGGGATGATAGATAAAACGTTTTTTGAGAAGGGAACAACCACATTAAAAAGCTGCCACACATTGTCTTCCTGCTCTACCATTTCTCAGTATCAATTTCACTCTGCTTCCTCTGTGTCCTTCCATTATGATACTAACAACTGCTATGTCTCAAGTTAGATATTGTTGAAGAGTCACACTATGGTTGACCCCTAAAACCCTTCATTTCCAAGGTAAATTAAACGAGAATTCATGTTCCCCACCAACTCCTTCATGTTCCTTCCCAAACACAAACGCATATGTGCCTGATGTTCAGGCTATATATAGTCTTCTGTGACATTTTTTTTTTTTCTCCACTAAGGTGTCCTTGGTTTTCACCTGTAAATGTTCCCTGTCCCTGTGGAATGGCTCTGTTTAGACACCATGTGCTCTCCACTACACATATTTTGAACACCTATTTACTATATACCCCAAATGGATATGCACAGAGAAGAGCCTGCAAGTAGGTATGATTTCCCTTTGTGTCTGCAGCTTCCAGGGATTCTAAATTCTCTCACTAGCTCACACTGAGCTTTTAGCAATATCCTTAAAAAATGCTTGTATTCTTCTTATCTGCTTGCATGGCACCTGGGGTTTCTTCCTCCTAGGCTGTGCCACGAGTGAGTCAATATTCCCACTTATCACTCCTTGGAAGTTTCTGTCTCTCTTTGGATTTCAGTATACTTTGTTGCCCTGTGATAGCAGATCCTTGATGGGTTTAAGAAAAGTTATGATTATGTTGATTTATCTGTGTTTTCTTTTTGTTAGGATGGAAGCAAACTTCTTTCCAGCTTTCTACATTCTAGATGGGAATGGAATTACGTTCACTTTTTTTTTTTTGAGACAGTCTTGCTCTGTTGCCCAGGCTGGAGTGCAGTGGCGTGATCTCGGCTCACTGCAACTTGCATCTCCCGGGTTCAAGTGATTCTCCTGCCTTAGCCTCCTGAGTAGCTGGGATTACAGGCACGTGCCACCAAGCCAGGCTAATTTTTGTATTTTTATTAGAGATGGGGTTTCACCATGTTGGTCAGGCTGGTCTCGAACTTCTGACCTCGTGATCTACCCGCCTCGGCCTCCCAAAGTGCTGGGATTACAGGCGTGAGCCACCGCGCTGGGTGGAATTATGTTCACTTTTAAATATAATTGATTTGGGCTGGTGGCAGGATAAGGAAGCAGATATTTCCAAGAAGTAGTTGCAGATAAAAGACACAAGATACACAAATTCAGATGTCTTCTTGTTGACGAAGAGGGTCAAACTCTAAAATATTTGAAGAGATTTATTCCGAGCCAAATATGAGTGACCATGGCCTGTGACGCAATCCTCAGGAGGTCCTGAGAACATGTGCCCAAGGTGGTTGGGATACAGCTTGGTTTTGTATATTTTTAGGGAGGCGTGAGACATCAATCAAATACTTTTTTTTTTTTTGAGACGGAGTCTCGCTCTGTCCCCAGTCTGGAGTGCAGTGGTGCGATCTTGGCTCACTGCAACCTCTGCCTCCTGGATTCAAGCAATACTTTCTGCCTCAGCCTCCCAAGTAGCTGGGATTACAGGCTCGCGCCACCCCGCCGGGCTAATTTATTTTTGTATTTTTAGTAGAGATGGGGTTTCACCATGTTGGCCAGGATGGTCTCGATCTCTTGACCTCATGATCCACCCTCCTCAGCCTCCCAAAGTGCTGGGATTACAGGTGTGAGCCACCATGCCCGGCCTATTAAATACATTTAAGAAATACATTGGTTTGGTTCAGAAAGGCAGAACAACTCAAAGTGGGGTGGTGGTGTGGGGGTTTCCAGGCTATAGGTAAATTTAAACATTTTCTGGTTGACAATTTGTTGAGTTTATTTGAAGACCTGGGATTAATGGAAAGGAATATTCAGGTTAAGATAAATGACTGTGGAGACCAAGTTTTATTGTGCAGAGGAATCTCTCAGATAGCAGACTTCAGAGAGACAGCAGGTTGTAAAATATTTCTTATCAGACTTAAAAGAGTGCCTGGCTCTTAGTTGATTACCTCCTGGATCTGGAAAGAAACAAAGGAAAACAAAGGAGAAATCCATATTCTCTACAGAATGTGGATTTTTCCCACAAGAGACTTTGCAGGGCAATTTCAAGGTATGGCAAAGAAATATATTTTCGGGTAAAACATTTTTTCCTTGTCTCACAATGTTATGCCAGAGTCAGATTGAAAAGTTAGTCACAATATATAGGGTCAAATAAAACCCATCTGATGAGAATTTATGGTTTGTAGGGCATGACTCCCCAGGCCCCTTAGATAGGAATTTAGGCAAAATAAAAAATCAGAGCTTAGTCCTCAATATGTAGAAGTGATAAGCAAAGCTGATAGAATAGATAATATTTTAGGAAAAAAATAAAATGAAAAAAACCCTGATGATTGGAGACTCAGAATTAAATCACTAAATTTACTGCATAAAGGATAATATTTGTATGTATTGTGTGTTTGATGGGAAGCAGATGGTTTGACAAAATAATAATTATACTTTCCTTGTAGTCTGCTCTCATTCCAGTTTTATATCTGATTTCCAGCTATCTATGCCTTTTAGTTAAGCAGAACTGTTCTTAGAGAATCATCTGAAGGTTTTTGCTCTCTTCTTTCTCAGCAAGTTAATATAGATGTATTTGGGCTTTATCAACAAAGAAAGAAATTACTATTTCTTTAATTTTTTTTCCTTTGAATTCCTTTCATTATTTAAAGTGGTGATGCTTCAAATAGCTAAAGACTAATTTAAAAAAAAAAAAAGGTGATTCATTCATTTCCTCCACCAGAGCCACATCTCAGCCTCAGGGCTCAAGGATGGCAGCAGCATGAGGTTAATTTTGGACTCACAGGCTGCTTGCTTGAAAACTGTTAGCTTCACTTCTCATCTCCTTGTGGGTAGGGAGCTGCCACTGATGGCATTTACAGAATAACAAATGAGGATTAAGCTTTCTATTTGGGAGATATTTTGAGCAAAATTAAACATGGTGTAGGCAGAGTGGATTAGATTGAAATGATCCCCATTCTGACAAAGCCCTTAAAACACACACACACACACACACACACACACACACACACACACACACACATAAAGCCAGTATTAACCCTCAAGAACAAGGTAAATCACAAAACATCTGCAGTGTCCTACCAGTTTTCCAGTAATTGCAATAGAGTATAATTAAGGTAACTAAGTCTAAGGACTCTGTGTTTAAATGCTGGCTGTACCACCTGCTAGCTGTATAACCTTGAAAACATATTTGATCTCCCTAAGTTTCAGTTTCCTCCAATGTTATATTGGGGTTAATAACGACAGCTAACATTCATTGAGTATATATCATGCCCAGAGTGTCCATTCACTTATTTATTTCTGATTTAACAAATTGGAAGATGGGTCAGAAGAAAATACTCAGACTTAAGCCCAAAGTTATGGAAATTACAGAAAAGATAGTAAAAGATAAATTGACACAGCAAATAGGTTTAACACATGTGCATCTGGAGTCCCAGAAGGAGATGTGAAAGAATATGGAGAAGGTTATTATTTGCCAGCCACTGCTTTAAGTACTTTACAGATATATCTTATTTAATCCTCATAAAATCTCTCTGAGGTAGGCACTATTCTTGCCACACCCATTTTACAGATGAGGAAACCAAGGCACCAAGTTAGGTAACTTGCCCAGGGCCACACAGCTAGTAAGTGGTAGAGCTGAGATATAAACCCAAGCAGTCTGAGCTGTGTCCACATTTTAAACCAGCCTTATTCTGAGGACCATACATATGTCAACTCATTAAATGCTCACCAATAAGTCCTATGAGTACTATCATTATCCCCATTCTATAGGTGAAAGAGGTTAGGCAATTTGGCCAAGATTACATAATTAGGTAATGATAGAGCTAAGATACAATGCCAGACAAGTCTGTCTCTAAAACCCACAATCATAATTTTTATGCTATATCCTCTGTCAGTAATAGTACCTTTATCATAGAGTTCTTTAGTCCAGTCCTGGCATACACTCAGATATTATTATCATTTACGATTACTATTACTGATTGTCCTCTGATAGTTGTAGCTCCCTAAGAGCTCAAGTTGCAATCACAGTGAGGTGGGAGTAGCAGGAATGTATAGCATGCTGCCTGAATATGACACCCTGCTCTCAGCAGGTTCCTAAGATGAGGAAACTATTAGAGTTCCTAAAATGAAGGTCCTTGCTAGAGATTCCATGTATTTCAGTTCATTTACTCTCTTTGCCTAACTGCAGTATAGAAGGTGACTGGATACCAGAAAAATTGTAGGGAAAGAGGAAGGGAGTTTTAATTCTTTGTTTTAATCCTTTGTTGGGAGTTTTAAAATTTGATAGAATTCCAATCTGTCTTGACTGAGAGCAAGCTAGCACAGAATACCACATCACACTCCCCAAATGATGCTAAGGCATTTATAATAGTAGGTTTTTTTTTTTTTTTTTTTTTTTTGAGATGGAGTCTCACCCTGCCACACAGGCTGGAGTGCAGTGGCACGATCTCAGCTCACTGCAACCTCCACCTCCTGGGTTCAAGCAATTCTCATGCCTCAGCCTCCCAAGTAGCTGGGATTACAGGCACATGCCACCATGCCCGGCTAATTTTTATATTCTGAGTAGAGACGGGGTGCTGTGATTACAGGCGCGAGCCACCATGCCCGGCCATATATATATATATAATTTTTTTTTTAATAAGCCTTAACTCTATGCCAACTACTTTTCCAAGTGCATATGTTAATTTATGTGTTCCTTAGAAAAGCCCTAGGAGATGCATAATATTATCTGCTCACTTTATAGATGAGGAAATTAAGGCCTGGTGTTCAAGGCCACACAGTCAGTAAGTGATAAAACTGGAATTTGAACAGTTTTGCCCCAGAACCCAAGATCTTATGTTCCTCTCACTTCAATACTAGTTTTTTTTGAGATGGAGTCTCGCTCTGTTGCCCAGGCTGGAGTGCAGTGGCATGATCTCTGCTCACTGCAACCTCTGCCTCCCGGGTTCAAGTGATTCTCCTGTCTCAGCCTCCTGAGTAGCTGGGATTACAGACATGCGCCACAACGCCTGACTAATTTTTGTATTTTTTAGTAGAGACAAGGTTTCACCATGTTGGCCAGGCTGGTCTCGAACTCCTGACCTCAGGTGATCCACCCGCCTCAGCCTCCGGAAGTGCTGAGATTACAGGCATGAGTCACCGCACCCAGCTTCCAACACTAGTTTTAATACTCTTCCCACATTACCGATTACCCCTCTATCTCATGAATGAAACTAAATATTAAATATATAATTGTAAAGTACAAGGTGATTTTCATGAAGTTGTTTTGCGGTCCTCTTAAAAATGCTTCCCATCTCTCACCATTACATTGTACTCTGCTTTTTTTTTTTTTTTTTTGAAATAGGATCTCATTCTGTTGCCCAGGCTGGAGTGCAGTGGCGTGATCTCAGCTCACTGCAACCTCTACCTTCTGGGCTCAAGTGTCACCTCTGCCTCCTGAGTAGGTGGGACTACAGGCATGCACCATCACACCTGGCTATTTTTTTTGTTTTTTGTAGAGATGGGGTTTTGTTATGTTGCCCAGGATTGTCTCAAACTCCTGGGTCCACACAATCTACCTGCCTAGGCCTTCCAAAGAACTGGGATTACAGGTGTGAGCCACTGCCCCCAGCCCATTGTACTTTGATTCTTTTGCCTGCAATGTTTTCAGCCCTTCGCCCAAGGTGAGATTTTTGATAATACAAAAGTTCTGAATCCATTTGACAGGGTTTACTTGTCAACAAAGTGGATACAGGTATCTTCTTCTTGTCCACAGCCAAATCTTGTGGCGATAGTCAGATAGTAGAAGGTGGTGGTGGGGGATGTCTACTCTGCCTTTTTTTTTTTTTTTTTTTTTTTTTAAGGAGATAGGGTCTTGTTCTGTCACCCAGGCTGGAGTACAGTGGCACGATCATAGTTCACTGCAGCTTCGAACTTCTGGGCTCGAGTGATCCTCTCACCTCAGCCTCCAAGTAGTTGGGATGACAGGTGCATACCAACATGCCCAGCAAATTTTTCTTGTGGTTTTTTAAGAGATGGGGGTCACGCTGTGTTGCCCAGGTTGTTCCTGAACTCCTGACCTGAAGGGATTCTCCTGTCTTAGCCTCCCAAGTCACCGCAATTACAGGTGTGAGCCACTGTGCCTGGCTCCCCTCTGCCTTTCGTTACCTTTCCTAGGGCAGGAATTGTTGGCATATACTGGCACCAGTGCCCAACATTGTTTCACTTTATTTTGGATCCTAAAAAATTAATTTCTCCTCAATTTATTTATGAAGAAATATATCTTATCAAAAGACCAAGGAAGCAGGATTTGTAAGCAAAGAAGATTTCAGGAATTTGTAGGTTTTACATGTTCTTCTACCTCAGATATATAGCTGACTCTTTTTTTGGGAAGGGGCACAGAAAAATTTATGTACCCTGTTAAATAGCAGTAGACAATAGTTACGGTCTGCTAGCCCCATCTACTTCTCATGAGAAGAAAAAAGGTCTACAAAGGCATTGTCACAGAGGTTTTTGGCCTCTTGTAAGAGACTTTCCTGAGGTTTTTATATAGCCAAGTGTTTTGCTTATTTACTACTTTGTGGCACTGGATCAAATAATGTATGCTGATATATAATACATTGATTAATGCATTTTCCAAACTCATGACCAGCTTGAAATATATTGTTTTTTGGTTTTTTTTTTGAGACAGAGTCTCGCTCTGTTGCCCAGGCTGGAGTACAGTGGCACGATCTCGGCTCACTGCAAGCTCCACCTCCCGGGTTCACACCATTCTCATGCCTCAGCCTCCCGAGTAGCTGGGACTACAGGTGCCCGCCACCACGCCCAGCTAATTTTTTTTTTGGTATTTTTAGTAGAGACGGGGTTTCACCGTGTTAGTCAGGACGGTCTCGATCTTCTGACCTCGTGATCCGCCTGCCTCGGCCTCCCAAAGTGCTGGGATTACAGGCAAGAGCCACCGCGCCTGGCCCAGCTTGAAATATTTTTATAGAATGTCTCAGAGTCTATAAAATAATTTTTAATATTTTGTAATATTTTTAGAGATATCAGTGAAGGATTTAAAAAATAAGAGACAGACAGTATAATGTAAAAATTTTCTCATGGGATATTTTTTGTTACCAATGTGAATTTATTGATACTACCTTGATGCTAATAGTGAATTCTTTGAAGGCAAGACATTCATTTGTTTTTTAGTTCACAGTGAACCTAACATAGTAACTTGAATGTAATAGATGCTTCATTATTGTTTGTTGAATGTATGAATGATTAAATAAATAAATTTAGTACCATCACTATGTAAGTTCCAATAAATTTTAAATCATAAATAACTAAATAACACATTAAAATGGATTCAGGAAAAACTGAAATATTTTTAATTGTATTTGGGCCATGTAATAAATATAATGGTGAATATAGTGAGAGTAATAAAAATTGAATTATTTTAATACGATGAATTATCACTGAAAGCATGTCATTTGCGTATTTATTTTACATATATTAACAAAACATTAGCAAAAAACAAAAGGGCAAACAAGAGAGGGAAAAAAGTAAATATAAAGAATTGGCGATTCTATCCACCATTTCATGTGATAGGAGACATGAATCTGCTATCTCTGAAGGCCATCTTAGTTTCCGTATGCCTCCAGTAGTGTGTGCATCTATATCTGGTGCTTGAAGAGACAAACTTTTGTACAAGGCGATCCTTATCCAAACCAACTGTTTCATTTGGTTCTCAACCATAGAAACACTGGAGGACAAAAACTGGCAGTATTGTTCTTATTGAGGGAAGAGATGTCGGTCTCTTATATAGGAGACTTTCAGTACTATGTTGAGGATATCTGTGTCTATGTTCATCAGGGATGTTAGCCAGCCATTTTCTTTTCTAGTAGTTTCCTTGACTGGCTTTGGTATCAGGGTAATGCTGGCCTTGTAAAATGAGTTTGGGAATATTCCATCTTCTTCAATTTTTTGGAAGAATTTGTAAGAGTTTGAGCAGGACATCCAGTTTGTTGACATATCATTGCTCATAGTAGTTGCTTATGATCCTTTGTATTTCTTCGGTATCCATTGTAATGTCTCCTCTCAAATTTCTAATTTTATTTGAACCTTCTCCCATTTTTCTTAATCTAGTCAAAGGTTTGTCAATTTTATCTTTTCAAAAACCAACTCTTAGTTTTATTGATCTTTTCTATTTCTTTTTTTTTTTTTTTTTTTTTTTGAGACAGAGTCTCGCTCTGTCGCCCAGGCTGGAGTGCAGTGGCGCCATCTCGGCTCACTGCAAGCTCCGCCTCCCGGGTTCATGCCATTCTCCTGCCTCAGCCTCCCAAGTAGCTGGGACTACAGGCGTCTGCCGTCACGACCGGCTAATTTTTTTGCATTTTTAGTAGAGACGGGGTTTCACCGTGTTAGCCAGGATGGTCTAGATCTCCTGATCTTGTGATCCGCCCACCTCGGCCTCCCAAAGTGCTGGGATTACAAGCGTGAGCCATCGCGCCCGGCTCTATTTCTTTTCTAATCTCCATCAATATGATGTCTTAATTACATCTGCAAAGATTCTGTTTCCAAATAAGACCATATTCTAAAGTTCTGGGTGGGTATGAATTTTTGAAGGACACTTTCAATTACAACAGATATTGGTTGTAGAGGAACAGCTCCATGCTGGCACTTAATGACCTTCTATGTATCCACATAGGCCAAGTAGGCAAGTTGAACTGCAGCTGACTTGACAGGATGCTTGTGATTTTGCCTGAACACAAGAGAATGGGAGGCTTGTGAGTTGTTACAAGGCCATTTCCTACTTGCCTCCTACCTATCTACCAAGGATGGTGTCTTCAAACAGTTTCTCATCACTTTCTGGGTTTTTATAAGGTATGAGGGTTTTTGCCTTGTTCTTAGCCCCTACTTAGGGCACAGCTGCACCTTATAAAACTACTTATCTGCAGTGTGGCATTGGCTTCTCAGCAACAGGTGTCTCATCATTTGTATGGCAGTCATCTGGCTCCCTATGTTTTGGTGTTGCCATGCCCAAGGTCTGCAGGGACCTGGCACCTTATGATACTCTTCCCTTTGTCTACGTAGGTAACAAACTGTTTGAATCTAAAAAGGACTTGTTCCTTTTACTGGCAAAATCTGGTAGTCAGACCTTGCTTTTTGCTTCACAATAATAATTTTAAAAGGCAGTTAATTTATATGTATCCTAAATAAGTAAAAAAAAAAAAAAAAAAGAGACAAATTATTCAATGAATCATTTGGGGAAAACTGGCTAGATATTTAGCAAAAATCTGCATCTCTACCCCATTTTAATTTTTATTGAAAAAAATTTTTGGGGACAAAGTCTCACTTTGTCACCAGGCTGGAGTGTAGTGGTGCAATCATAGCTCACTGTAGCCTTGAACTTCAAGGCTCAAGCAATCCTCCTGCCTCAGCCTCCTGAGTAGCTGGGAATACAGGCATGTGCCACCACACTTGGCTAATTTTTTTTCCCACAAATGGCCAATAAATCTTCGTTATTCATAATTAATGAATGGAACATTAAAATACCAATATTTTTAATCTACTAGATTGGAAAGATTAAATATAATTGTAATATCCATGTTGGTGAGGGTGTGGAAAACAGCACTCTTGCCTGGTTGGTGGGAGTATAAGTTTGTGCAGACTTTGTTGGAAGATAGTATTTGGCACTCATTTAAAATTGTATAATACAACCTACCATTTGACCTAGTAATTTCTCTTCTAGGATATACTTTCTTGAATACATGAAGATATGGAAAAAAATGTTCATTTGACCAACAACTCCCTATTCACTTCCTCCCCTAGCCCCCAACCTCTGGTAACCAACATTCTACTCTCTACTTCTATGAGTTCAACTTTTTTAGATTCAACATATAAGTGAGCTCATGAGGCATTTGTCTTTCGGTGCCTGATTCATTTAATTTAGCATAATTTCCTCTAGGTTTATCCATGTTGTCGCAAATGACAGGATTTCCTTCTTTTTAAAAGCTGAATAGTATTAGTTGTGTATATGTACCACATTTTCTTTATCCATTCATCTATTCATGAACATTTAGGTTGGTTCCATATCTTGGCTATT
The DNA here is from genome assembly GCF_000001405.40 of Homo sapiens. NCBI lineage: Eukaryota > Metazoa > Chordata > Mammalia > Primates > Hominidae > Homo > Homo sapiens. Next base: position 103,471,784 of record NC_000008.11, read on the forward strand.
GTGAGTAATGCTGCAATGAACATAAGAGTGCAGTGATATATTGCTTTCAATTTATTTGGATGGACATTGAGAAATGGGATTATTGGATCAATGGTATTTCCTTTTTTAGATGTTTGAGAAACTTGCATACTGTTTTCCATAATGGCTGTACTAATTTACCTTCCCACCACCAATGCACAGAGTTCCCTCTTTTCTACATCTTTGCCAACATTTCTCTTTCATCATCTTTTTGATAAAAGCTGTTCTAAAAGGTGTGAGGTGATATCATGGTTTTTAATTTGCATTTCCCTAATGATTCGTGATGCTAAGTATTTTATCATGTACTTGTTGGCCATTTGTATGTCTTCTTTTCAGAAATATCTGGTGTTTGTCCATATTTTAATCAGGTGTTTTTATCTTGCTATTGAGTTCCTTGTATAATTCGAAAATTAATCTCTTATTATATGTATGGTTTGCAAATATTTTCTCCCATTCTGTGCACTGTCTCTTCACTTTGTTAACTGTTTCTTTTGCTGTGCAGAAGCTTTTTAGTTTGATGCCATCCCATTTGTCTATTTTTGCTTTTGTTGTGTGTGATTTTTGGGTTAGAGCCAAAATGTCATTGCCCAGATCGATGTCATAGGGCTTTTCCTGTATGTTTTCTTTCAGTAGTTTTACAGTTTCAGGTTTTATATTTAAGTATTTAATCCATTTTGAGTTGACTTTTGTATATGGTGTGAGGTAAGGATCCAATTTCATTCTTCTGCATGTGGATTTCCCAACATCATTTATTGAGGAAACTTTCTTTTTAACATGTATGTTCTTGGCACTTTTGTTGAAAATCAATTGACTGCAAGTGTTTGGGTTTATTTCTGGGCTTTCTGTCCTGTTCAATTGGTTGATGTCAATGTTCTTATGACATCATTGTGCTGTTTTGATTATTATTGCTTTATAATATGTTTCAAAATCAAGGAGTTACCTCCAGCTTTGGTTTTTTCACTCAAGGGTACAAAGTTTGAGACAGATGGGAGAAATAAAGTAGGGACTTGAGATCTATTAATGTATTGTACATTCCAAAATAACTAAGAGTAAATTTTGAATGTCTCACCATAAAAACGGTATTTTTTTTTTAAGATCAGAAGTTTTCAATTTCGATGAAGTCCAGTCTATGAATTTTCTCTTTTGTGAACTGCACTTTTGGTATTTTATCTAATAAATTTTTTCCCAACATGAGGTCACAAAGGTTACCTCCATAAGTCTAACAGTTTTAGAGAAAATATTTGCAAATCATGTATCTCATAAAGCCTATGTATCTAGAACATATTTTAAGTGCTCTCAAGAATCAATAATACAAACACAAGTATTTTAAAATTGGGCAAAAGATTTAAACAAACACTTCAAACAAGTTGCACTGTTGACTAGTAGGCACACTGATAGAAAAAGATGTTAATACCATTAGTCATTAGAGAAGTGCATATTAAAACTAAGAGATACCACTACATTTCTACTAAAATGGCTAAAATTAAAGCCTGACTATACCCAGTGTTAAGAAGAATGTAACTCTCACATACACACAAAATGGTGTGAGTCCTTTGGAAATCAATTTGGGCTTTTCTTAAAAGTTAAATATCCACTTACTATATGATCCAGACATTCTACTCTAAGATACAAAGATCTGTAAACCAATGTCCACAGCAGCTTTATTCTAATAGAAAAAAAAATCAACTCCAATGTCCCTCAACAAGTAAATACATACACATATTTTGATATGTTCATACCATGAAATACTATTCAAAAACTAAAAGGAACAAGTTATCAATTAACACAACATCATGGATGGATCTTAAAATAATTATTGTCAGTTATAGAAGACATATCCTCCCTCCCCACCAAAAAAAAAGGGAAAGAGTGTGGACTATATGATTCTGCTTATATAAAAGTCTAGGAAATGCAAACCAGTGTATAGTGATAGAAGGAAGACCGTGGTTACCTGTTGCTTATGGTCGCTTGGGTTTATGAGAGGGAGAAATAACAAAGGGGCATGAGGAAGCTTTGCAGTGTGATATATGTGTTTATTATTTTGATTTGGTAACGGTTTCATGCATATATATATATAATTCAAAATTAACCAAATTTTATACTTTAAAAATGAAGGCTTTATTCTGTGTCAGTTATACCTCAATAAAACTGTTAATAATAAAAGTAAAAACAAAACAAAACAAAACGGTATTTTTTAAGCAAAGTATGCAAAGTTTATGAATATGTTAATTAGCTTAATGATAGTTAAGCAAAGTGATGAATATGTCAATTAGATTAATCTAATGAGCTTTAGCTACAATAAAATCTACTTTGTCTGCATATATCAAAACACTGGGCCAGGTGCAGTGGCTCAAGCCTGTAATCCCAGCACTTTGGAAGGCCAAGACACATGGATCACCTGAGGTCAGGATTTTGAGACCAGCCTGGCCAACATGGTGAAACCTCATCTCTACTAAAAATACAAAAATAAGATGGGCATGATGGCAGGCTCTGTAATCCCAGCTACTCAGGAGGCTGAGGCAGGAGAATCGCTGGAACCTGGGAGGCAGAGGTTGCAGTGAGCTGAGATTGTGCCACTGCACTCCAGCCTGGACAACAGAGCAAGACTCCATCTCAAAAAACAAAACAAAACAAAACATTGCATTGTATCCCATAAATGTATACAATTATAATTTGCCAATTAAAAATAATATTAATAAAAAAGAACACAGGAAATTACCACAACACACAATATTCAACGTTTTGTGAGAAACCAAGATAGAAAACTAACCATAATAACACAGAGCAAGTGTGCAAGTGATGTTCCATGGATGTGAAATCTAACCCCAGTGATTCTGCAAGTCAATAGGACCTACGTCTGGGTTACTTGGCAGAAATGATGATCACAAGTGAACAAACAAATCAGGTAATTGATCAACTGGTGATGATCTAATTCAATTATCTTCTAATATTACCTAGACTTCTTTAGGTAGGTTGTCCAGGAGACAGTATTTGCTGATAATTGTGCCTCCAAGAATGTACATATGTTTCTATGATAATAATGCATAATTTGCAATATTATGGAATGATATAAACCTAGGGAGCCAAAGTCCTGTATTAGTCAACACTGCATCATTTTTCAAGTGAAACAATATTTATTGAGCACATACTATATACCTGACCAATTTGGATGCTGGGAATACATCAGTGCACAAGACAAAACTCTTTCTGTCATGAAGATTACATTCTGGTAGGTGAGAGAGATTAAAAAAACTATAAACAGAAATATATGTACAGGTTGAGCATCCTTAATCCAAAAATCCAAAATCCAAAATGCTCCAAAATCTTAAACGTTTTGAGTGCCAACATGGTACCACAAGTAGAAAATTTGATGCCTGACCTCATGTGACAGGTTTCATTAAAAACTTTGTTTCATTTACAAAATTATTTAAAATAGTACAAAAAATTACCTTTAGGGTATGTGTATAAGGTATATATGAAACATAAACAAATTTTGTGTTTACAGTGATTTCACCCCCAGGATATTTCATCATGTATATACAAATATTCCAAAATCCACAAAAAATGTGAAATCCAAAACATTTCTGGTCCCAAGCATTTCAGATAAGGGATACTCAACCTGTAATATAAATTCAGGTAGTGAGAAGTTACATGAAGAAAAATAAAGCGAATCAAAGATATTGAGAATGACAAAAGGCAGGTGATCTAATTAGAAAACACGGTAAGGGACAGTTTCTCTGAGGAGGTAGCATTGAACAGAGACCTGAGACATATGACTCTACAAGGCAAGAAGCTTCCAGGCGTGGATGAATGTTCCTGAGACACAAGTTAGCTTCATACAGTATATATGAGGAAGAGTGAGAAAAGGCCAGTGTTCCTGAAGTGGGGAAAGAGACCAAGAGAGTGGTAGTCAGGACCCAAATCACATAGGGTTTTGTAGTTCAGATTGTATTATGCATATTTTGGAAAGCTTTAGAGGCTTTGGAGCAGAAAAGCAACATGATTCAGGCTACATTTTGAAAATATCACCATGGGGAAGAGATCCCATGGGAGACAAGACTGAAAGGAGGTAGACTAGTCAGGAGACTACTGCTATGGTCCAGGTAAGTGCTGACAACAGCCTGGGCCTATTGTGCAAGTTGTAGTAATGGTGAAAAGTGATCAGATTCTATATATATATAGAGAGAAACCATATATATATGTAATGTATATATACACATATATATAATTTATATATGTAATGTATATATACACATATATATAATTTACATATATGTTGTTTTTTGTTTGTTTATTGTTGTTGTTGTTTTTGAGGTGGAGTCTCACTCTGTCACCAGGCTGGAGTGCAGTGGCGTGATCTCGGCTCATTGCAACTTCCGCCTCCTGGGTTCAAGCCACTCTCCACCTCAGCTTCCCGAGTAGCTGGGACTACAGGTGCGTGCCACCATGCCCAGCTAATTTTTGTATTTTTAGTAGCAGCGGGGTTTCACCATGTTGGCCAGAATGGTCTTGATCTCTTGACCTCGTGATCCGCCCACCTCGGCCTCTCAAAGTGGTGGGATTACAGGCGTGAGCCACTGCGCCCGGCCCATAATATATTTTAAAGGTAATGTTGGCAGGTCTTGCTGATAGATTGGCTGAGGGATGTGAAAGAAAGAGAGGAATCTGACCTTTCTTATCAAAAGATGTCATAAAATAGTCACTAAAATTTAGCTGCATGAGGATATGTACTACCAGGATATCCTACACCAATGCTAAGATGAATGATAGAGTTGAAGTTTCTCAAACTACTTAACCTTAAAGTAATCAATTAATGACTGAATTAAATCATCAGTTTCCACATAAATGTTTGAATTAATTCTTAAAGAAATAAAATACATTAACCAGGTGTGGTGGCTCATGTCTATAATCCCAGCACTTTGGGAGGCTGAGGCAGGAGAATCCCTTGAGGCTAGGAGTTTGCAATCAACCTGGTCAACATAGTGAGACCTCATCTCTACAAAAAATAAAAACATTAGCCAGGGCTGGTGGCAGGCGCCTGTAGTCCCAGCTACTCGGGAGACTGAGGCAGGAAGATTGCCTGTAGTGAGCCAATATTGCGCCATTGCACTGTAGCCCCTCCCCCCCAAAAAAAGTGCATTGTAGCATCGTTTGTAATAGCAAGAAAACTGGAAACAACTTTAATGACTATCACTAGGGCACTGGTTAAATAAAATATGGTACACTGATATAAATGGCAAAGTATGCAAAACATTAAGAATGATATAATTCTACAGTACTAATATAGAAAGGATTCCAAGATATATTTTAAAGAAAAGTGCAAATTGGTAAAACAATGTGTATATAATAAACTCATTTGCCTTAAAAATTACATGTATATGCATAGCAAATTTCTGAATGATTTTAAAATAAATTATTAACATGGGTTACCTCTGGAGAGTGGGAGTGGGAATAGAGTGGTTGGAGATAAATAAAGAAACTTTTGAATTTCTTTTTTGCCATGAGTATAGCATATTTTATTTCATTATTTAATTTAATTTATTTATTTAGAGACAGAGTCTTGCTCTGTTGCACAGGCTGGAGTGCAGTGGCATTATCCTAACTAACTGCAACCTCAGACTCCTGGGCCCAAGTAATCCTCCTCAGCCTCTGGAGAAGCTAGGACCACAGACACACACCACCACGCCCAGGTAGGTTTTGTTTTTTTTTTTTGTATTTTTCATAGAGATGGAGTCTTACTATGGTGCCCAGGCTGGTCTTGAACTCCTAGGCTAGAATGATCCTCCCACCTCAGCCTCCCAAAGTGTTGAGATTATAGGCGTGAGCCACAGCACCCAGCAAGAATAGTGTATTTTTAAAAAATCTATTTAACATAAGTTGTAAAAACTTACACTGTATAAGTACTCTATGTCTAAATTTACACAAATCTCTAAAGATTTTTCCCAAATCACAGTCTTCAAATTTAAATTTCAGTTTTATTGTGAGTCAAAGCACTAAGAATAAATAAAGGGTCAGCACATTTTACATACTATTGGAGAAAAAAGGAGTTAAAAACATGGCCCATGTCATCAAGTAGTTTCCAATCTTTCTAGCAAAGCATAAAAAAACAAGTAGTTGTCTGCACTAACTGTAAGGCCAGAGTGATTTCAGAAATATGAGGCATCTATATTAAGAGTTGGAATAACTGGAAAAAAGTCTCATTCTGGCTGTGGGACTTGAACTGAACTTTGAAGATGAGAGAATTTAGAGGGGAGGGAAGCAGTAAAGTCATTTCAGCAATATGCCAACACTTGTGCAGGCATTAAAGCAAGAATGTGCTTGGTATTGTGGGGAAAGTGCCTAGGTAGTTATCTCTGCCTGAAGCAAGTGTATGTTTTAGGCATTAATGGGAAATAAAATTTATACATCTTTGGGTAGAGTTGGCTTACGGAGAGCCCTAGCTTCTCAGAAAAAGAAGCTCGGACTTGACACTCCAGGCAATGTAGATTCTTAAGCAGGATGAGTAGTGACATGATGAAAATCATGTCTTTCTTTATTATTAGAAAGATTAATCTGGTAGGCACATATAAAATAGATTGGAGTAGGATGACCTATACTGGAGTAGTAACAGTGAGAAGGAAAGAAAAAGAGTGAAAGTAGAGAGAATGGTTAAAACAGAAAGACTTAGGAATAGTATGAGTATAGGGGATGAAGTGGAGGACAGAGTCAAAGGTGCGTCTTAGTTTTTCTAGCCTACATGCCTAGAAGAATTGATAAAGTTGATAATGTTATGCAAGACACTTTGCTAATTGGTTGAAGCTAATGAGAACCATATTTCTCTACCCTTTATCTACCTCCTAGGTATCATCTTTGCTTCCCTAGTATATATAATACATATAACATTTTTTATATATTAGGATTTTTTCCTTAGCCATTTATTTTATTTTTTCTTATTTATATCGGTAAATAACCAATCCTAAATTCTCCCTGTTCTCAATGCTATGTCTCTTTTATTTTTAACTTCTCGAAACTTTCCTCTAACTAAATTTTCATATCTTCTTCTTCTATCTCCCATTATTATTTCAAATCTGTTAAATCTCATATTCCCAATTATTACTTGAAGCCATTACGGAGTTATCTTAGTACCAACCCAGCACAGCACCATGTGGAGTAGAAGTTAATCATCAGGCACCATGGGGATCTATAACTAAATTGAAGATGAAGATAATAGTCAAAGATGTCCCCACATCTTTTGTCTTGTTTTTCTGAGATTTATTTATGCCATCTCCTTCTCTTAGGGAAACCATATGAGTTGACATGCTTAAGAATGATCTTATAAACTTCATAAAAATATTACATGCTGAGCCACAGTGCAATGTCCTTTTCTTATAAAAGGTAAAACACAAAATCTTCTAAGGTTCATTCAGTGAAAGTTCTAGAAGAAAAATCTCTAGGAGGAGAAGCTGACTAAACTACCTTCATTTTTCCACCTTTACTCAACTTCCCTTGGGAAGATTTGTGCTGTTACAATTTGAATTATGCTGGGCACTAAACTCTGGTCCAAATGTGAACAATATTTAGGTGGTTATTTTGAAAACTTCATTAGATATTAGAATAAAAGAAAAAACAGCAAAGAAAATCAAGCATAAAAGATACAAGTTTTGGTGATGAGATAATTATAACTATACAGCAACCCTAAAGAATTAATTCAATTTTGAAAGCGTGGTTTCCTTCCCTTTCATGTTCCTGCCTCCATATCACAGGGCATCTCATTTACCATCACAAAAGAACTGTTTTCTTGACATAATGACTCATTCTTGGGCCAAGGCTTAGGAGCCTGGTTTGAACTTCTCAGACTAATTAAGATCTTCCCACCCAGTTCAGGTTTTAGCCTGAGGTACACAACTTATCCATAGTGTTTTACTGGAATTACAGTTGACACAGTTATTCATCCAAAACTTTCTTACTGAGGTTAACAGATCTGAGCATTTCTCACTGAGGTTAACTTCTTGAGTATTCTGTGAGACAGTGACTTAAAGGACTATCATCATCATAATCATCATCACAAAATGGTATGAATCATTATCACCATAATACCTACACAGTGACAAACAGAGTAGTCCTTTCATAGAAACACACAGGGAACGAAGAAGGAAAAAATATCCTGGGGTAGACAGTTATGACCTCCTACCCTCTGAGTTAGAAAAGTATTTAATCATTTTTCATTTTTTCTAAAAAAAAAAGAAAGTTAAATTAAAATGTTCATTTGGGCCAGGCATGGTGGCTGACGCCTGTGATCCTAGCACTTTGGGAGGCTGAGGTGGGTGGATTGCTTGAGTCCAGGAGTTCGAGACCAGCCTGGGCAACATGGCGAAACCCCCTTAAAAAAAAAAAAGTTCATTTGCATGTGAGCTAGAATGTGAAGTAATGTTTCACCGATTCACTTAACCAGATAGATTTAAATTTTTTCAAATTTGTTAATAATAAAAGCTAAAAGCAATAGAAAAAATTCTTCAACATTTTAAATGAAAATAATATTCCTATACCTAGATATTTTTCTTTCACATGTCAATATTTTAGGGTCAAAACATTGCCTGTCAATTGTAGGCTTATTATCAGGACTTACTGATTTTAAATTAAATTCAACAAATATTCAGTGGTGTAAAAGACACTATGCTAAGAGAATAGGCAAATATAAAGAAAAATAAGACACTTTACATATTTCTTTTTCTTTTTAATTTTTTTTTTGAGACAGGGTCTCTCTTTGGAGTGCAGTGGTGTGATCTCGGCTCACAGCAACCTCTGCCTCCTGGGCTCAAACTATGCTCCAACTGCAGCATCCCAAGCAGTTAGGATTACAGGCATGCACCTCCATGGTCGGCTAATTTTTGTTATTTTTTTGTAGAGACAGGGTTTTGCCATGTTGCCCAGGCTGGTCTTGAATTCCTGGACTCAAGGGGTCTGCCAGCCTCAGCCTCTCAAAGTGCTGGGATTACAGGCGTTAGCCACTGTGCCCGGCTGACATTTCACATGTTTTTAAGGAGTTCATAATAATCCAGTGGAAAAGACAGAATAACTATTAGAACTAATACCTTGGAATGTTCTTTTTCAAGGTTTGAGAAAGATAAACTGTAGTAGTTATTTGAACACTTACTGTTTATTGAATCTGCTTTTAGAAAGGAGTTTTAACATGTTATTAATTATCACCTCTATTCTTTGCTACGGTAAATTTAACTTTACAAAGATCCTTCCTTCCCTTTATTATTAGGAGTATGTTTAATAGAGAGAAAAATCAATAGATGAGTGCTAACAATCTTAATTTATAAATAAAATGTTGCATCATAGATAGCTGATTTTGCTTTCTTATTTTGCAGTGCAACAATTCAAGGATAATTTTTGTTAATATTTCAGGTCAATCATATTTGAATTAAAAATTTAAATTAAAAAATTAAAATGCCAGCCATCTGTAAATCTACAAACAACAGTTGTACTGTGAAGCCTTTATTATTAGAGACATATCAGATTCCCCAATTTCAAGTCATAACATAAATTTCAAGTCATAACATATGTAAAATACATAACATGTGGTTTCCATTAATAAAATATTTTGTATAGAAATAGCAAAATATTTTTACACAAAGTATTGGGTCTGTCATCACTTCCATTTGCAAGGGATGAAGACTGCCAATATTAAGTCAGGTTTACAAGAGCATCTTGGGTTGTAATAGGGAAGCAATAAAGAGGTCAAGGGAACAGTTATAAAATAAATGAATAGAATATGTTTTCCCAGGTGCCACTTGGGGAAAAACACTTTGATAGATCCAAAGGAAATAAGAAACTTAAATAGATATTTTCAAGGCTAAAAAAGCTACTGATGGAGGAATAAATATAATCATCAAACACAGCTATTAGAAAATCATATTGGAGGCTGGGCCAAGGTGGGCAGATCACCTGAGGTTGGGAGTTTGAGACCAGCCTGACCAACACAGAGAAACCCCGTCTCTATTAAAAATACAAAATTAGCCAGGTGTGGTAGCGCATGCTTGTAATCCCAGCTTGGGAGGTTGAGACAGGAGAATCGCTTGAACCCAGGGGCAGAGGTTGCAGTGAGCCGAGATCAAAACAGCCTGGGCAACAAGAGTGAAACTCCGTCTCAAAAAAAAAAAAAAAAAAAAGAAAGAAAGAAAAAGAAAAAAAATGGAAATAATATTGGCCTCAAACTCATTCTGAAAGCAGAAATGGGATTCTGTGGGCTCTTGTTTTAGAGAGTGAAGTTGCTTGAGTGAACCCAGGGACTCATTGCTTAATTTGTTACTCTCACCTTAGGACAATTCTAAGAGCTGTAATATTCCCTTCCACCCATCTATACACTTTTTTCAACCACCTAGTTCCACTTTCTAAATATATATCGCTGAATGCATGCTAAAACTATTTTATCCATCATTGAGTGCTCTCTGTTGCAGCTCAGCACTGAGTAGGAATCTAATGTCTTTAACTTCAAGGGACTTGTAATATACTTAGGGAGGCAAGACTTATATCAAATGCATAAAATATACAGTAGGCCAGGCATGGCGGCTCATACCTGCAATCCCAGAGCTTTGGGAGGCTAAGGCCACAGGAGTACTTGAGGCCAGGAGTTTGAGGCCACCTTGGGCAACATAGTGAGACCTCATCTCTACTAAAAATAAAAAATTAGCCAGACAGGGTGGTGCATGCCTGTAGTCTCAGCTACTTGGGAGGCTGAGGTGGGAGGACTGCTTGAGCCTGGGAGTCCAACACTTCAGTGAGCTATGATTGCACCACTGCACTCAAGCCTAGACAACAGATTGAGACCCTGTCTCTAAAAAAAAATAATAAAAATTAAAACACAAACAAACAAAACAAGCAAACAAAACAAGTCAAGGCAGTTTTTATAGAAACTGACATTGTAGCCAGGTGCAGTGGCTCACACCTTTGGGGGCCGAGGCAGGCAGATCACTTGAGGTCAGGTGTCCGAGACCAGCTTGGCCAACATGGTGAAACCCTATCTCTACTAAAAATACAAAAATTAGCCGGGCATGGTGGTGTGCGCCTGTAATCCCAGCTACTTGGGAGGCTGAAGCAGGAGATTGCTTGAACCTGGGAGGCAGAAATTGCAGTCAGCTGAGATCATTCCACTGCACTCCAGCTTGGGTGAGAGAGTGAGACTCCATCTCAATGAATAAATAAATGAATAAATAAACCGACATTGGTAAAGAGGTTATCTTTAGTTGGGCCTTAAAGACAATGGAGTGGACACTGTCTGTTGGCTCCATAGCTAACATTCATTACTTGCCTTCCCATTACTAACAGCGTCCAGACTTTAACTTGGATAACATATATGCTTTACCATAAGCTCAAGTACTTTAGGGAAAGCTGATCCCACTTCAAGCTTCAGTCGGGGAGTTGGGGAGGGGTCTGTGGCTTGTTTAAAAACAAACATTGGTACATTCAATTTCCCCTGCTTACATCATTTTTCGGTTGAGGGTGGGGATGGGGAATGGGAAGGGGAGAACACGACCCAACCAGGGTGAATTTCAGGACCCTTGTTTGAAATGCCAGCTAAGAAATGTCTGGGAAAACACCAGGAAGAGAAAACATCTCTGTTCCTCCAACACCATGTTGTATGCATGTGAAGCCTGGAACCAGTAGAGTCATTTTGCTAGATGTAAGCTGAGGGCCAAGGAAATATATGGAGGAGGTTACTGCCAAGATACCTGCAAAGAAACAGAAGTAGAGCCACTGGATCAAGCCAACGTGAAGCCTGTCTTACTGCTGGACCAATATATTTTCTTACTGTTTAACTCAGTTTAAGTTTTGTTGGTTTGTTTTGTTTTATGTAGTTGAAAGCCTTCTGATTTAGATGGGTACATTTCAAATAAGTAAAGAAGTTAGATTGTTCCAGAAACAAGTAGTACTCAAGAAATGCAAGTAAGTTAGAAAGCCCTGGAAGATAAAAAGTAGAACAATATTTTGAAGATGGAGGGTGTATACAATGTAATGGTAAACTGTAAAAAGTGTACAAAAAAAAATGGTTCAGAGGCAGATGCAGAAAAATGTAAAACTTGAGCTATGGATTTTGGACCTTTTGTAGGCAAGGTCAGTTAATGGGTTTTGACTGGGGAATGTAAAAACAATAAACATTTACTGGCTACTTATTATGTGCTGGGCATGATACTTATATTATCTCATTTAATTATTGCAGTATTTAACAAAGTCCTACGATTTTTCCTGTTTTGCAAATGAGGAACATGCTTAGTACAGTGGCTACTAAGTAGTAGAGGTGACATAAAACCCTTGCATTTGACCTCAGAGCAGGCACTCTTAACTAATGCTTTAGTCTGCCTCATAATAAAAGTGGTGTTTTTAAACGATTAATTTGATAGCAGCATACAGAATAATTTGGAGGAGAAGGACAGAAGAGACTGAAGCAAGGGAAAATAGTTCTGGCATAAAATTTTAGTACAACTGAAATATTACAAAGAAATAACTGATGTATTAATACCTGATAATTGATAGTATGTAGAAATTGATTAAAAATAAGAAACCATAAGGAATAATCATGGATGTTTTTGACATTCCTTCCTTGGGAGATTTATGGAAAATGATGACATCAATGACAGAAAAATGGAAGTCAGAGAAAGAATTGGTTTTTTGTTCTTGGAGGAGATAGTGTATAAACTGTTTTAGATATATTCAGTTTGAGGTGATAGTGAAACCCTCAAGTATACATGCTATATAGACAACTGGGAATGAATAACTGAAAATGGAGATACAGTTTTAGATATTAGCTTCATTAAAATAATAGTTGAAACCATAATTTTATCATTAATCTTAAAGTGAAGGTAAAACAAAGTGAGGGCATCATCATTATTTTAAAAAAATTTCCTGCATCCATCTAGGGTCCTTTTGGTTGTTTGCAAAAACTTTTGTCAGCTACTTGGGAGGCTGAGGCTCAAAAATCTCAAAACAAAAAAAAACCTTTTGTAATATTTATAGTGAACTTGGGTAAAAATTCTCCAATATTCTCTTATGAGTGAAGAAATGATAAGAAATAACATGTTTATGGTTGTACCTTATCATGGTCATCAAGTCAATACATGCTTATATATTATAACAGGGACTCTATTTATAAAGTAAATAATTCCTATGTATGTATTGTTTTAACAGTGGGGTGGTCAGAGTCCTTCTATTTCACTTTTGGTGCTATTTATTTTTTCAAAGATTCTTATCTATAGTTTTAGGGTAAAATCTGGATATATCTCAATCATCTCTTCATGACATTTTAAAAATTTTATTTTCCCTCATTTTTTGATTATATTGAAAATATAAAATTTACTACTTTCATGCTATTTTTTTCCTTATGCTATCTCTGTTATTTTCATTGTGATTCTGAAATCAACATCATTTGCTCACTTTTACGCTTCACATTATATACATATATATTGAGATAGAGTTTCACTCTGTCGCCCAGGCTGGAGTACAGTGGCACGATCTCAGCTCACTGCAAACTCCGCCTCCCAGATTCAAACGATTCTCATTCCTCAGCCTCCTGAGTAGCTGGGATTACAGGCACGTGCCACCACACCTGGCTAATTTTTGTATTTTTAGTAGAGACGGGGTTTCGCCATGTTGGCCAGGCTGTTCTGGACCTCCTGGCCTGAAGTGATCTGCCTGCCTTGGCCTCCCAAAGTGCTGGGATTACAGGTGTGAGCCACTGCGCCTGGCCCACAGCATATTTTTTGTGTGTGTGAAAAAAAGTACTTAAAATGTAAAGATTTCAAAAATTAGTTCACATTAATGAAAACTAAAAAATAATACTTTCTGTCCACCAACATAGTTAAGTATTATGATTATTTCCCAGCATCTATTTCACCCTTCCCTATTATGTGGCAACCATGTGGTTTTGTTGGGTCAAGCCTATCAAGTAATCCCACTCTCTTGCTACAGAGATAGGTTCAGGTTAGTCAGACTTAAGTCATCAGAGCATGGCCTGCCCTGGCCACAGGGATGAATAAAAGGTGCTCAAATTAGTGCACAGTTCAGAACTTCTATTGAATGGATATAGGAGTAGACTAGCTCAGTTGTGGAAAGGCCTGACTGTTTTTGTCAGCCACATTATGTCTGTGAAAGGAATCACTGTTAAAATCAATACCATGGACAGCAAAGTACAGAACCAGAATGAAATTTGAGTCCCTGACAAAATAACTAGGCTGCTGGATTAATCAATTCTGATTATCTATTTCTGAATTTTCTAGTTACATGAGCCAATAAATTTCCTTATTGTTTGTCATTTTATGTCGAATTTCCTTTATATGTTACTGGAAGTGTCCTAAGAGGTAGAGCTTTCTTTTTCTATTGATAAGCTAACTGTTATTATACAGGAAAGCCCTGTAGATTCCAACTTTACACCTCTATACTTAGTTCTTCCTTCTTGACTAAGCTACTCATGGCAGTTGCACAAGACTTTGAAATTGAGCTTTATTTATCCCTTACTTACATGCGAGCAGTATGTCTGTTATCATTCTCATAGACTTACTTACAAATGAGCTCATTCCCTCAGGGGTGTTATGATCTTCTGGGATTTCCAAAGCATGATGTTGTTTCTTAAGAGAAAATCATGTTGTTGAGCCTGCCAAGATTTCCCCACCTTCAATATGGTTTACGAATATTTCCATTTCTTAATTCATTGACCATCACATTAAAAAAATTAAAGCATCTTACAAGAAGAAAAATATACATTTTAAAAGAAGTAAACAAAAAATAAAGACAATGGGATGTTTTCCATGTTGACTTCTTGCAATACAGATGCTTAACTAATCCTCTATCAGTGCTGTTCAAGAGAAATTTCTTCCAAGGTGAAAATATTTTATATCTGCACTATGCAAAATGGCAGCCAGTAGCCATATATAGCTATGAGCACTTAAAATGTGATTAGTGTAACTGAGGAACTGAATGTTTAATGTTACTTAATCTTAATTAACATAATAAATTAATATATGTTTAAATTTCAATAGCCACATGTGGTTAGTATGGCTATGGCTAGTGCTACCATATTAGACAACACAGCAGAAGATCAACCCTAGAATATTGCAGGGTTAAATAAGTGGCAGTTGAATGCTTTAGCCTAACAAGTGTACTTCTACAGTGTTTTTTTTAATCCTTGAGATGTTGTTCAATGTGCATTTAATGAGGTTTTGTTTTGTTTTCTTTCTTTTTTTTTTTTTAAGAGACAGTGTCTCACTATCTTGCTTAGGCTGGAGTTGAACTCCTGGGCTCAAGTGATCCTCCCATCTCAGGCTCCTGAGTAGCTGGGACTACAGGCGAGAGGCACACCTGGCTTATTTAATAAGATTTTATTAACTTAAATCAAATTGAGACTGGATTACTGTGTGGGCTCCTCTCTCTCCTTCATCTATCACAGGTGCCTGGTCACCAAGTCCTATTCATCCTACATCTTAAATACATTTTAAAGATACCCCTTCTTTCCATCTTCATCACCACTGTTTACTTTCGATTTGACCTTTATTATTGCTTCTAATATTTCTCTTTATACCACTCTTGGTTCCTTCCATTTCACTTCCTATCTCCTCATAGAATAACCTCCCTAAATACAATCTCACCATAACAGTTCCTTGCTGTAGAATACGCTTCCCCCACTCAAAATGTGCCCAAGACCAGTAGTATAGGCATCAATTGGAGCTCGAGAGAAATGCAGAATCTCAGCCTCCACTTCAAACTAACTGGCATAGTGGCACGCACCTGTAATCCCAGCTACTCAGGAGGCTGAGGCAGGAGAATCGCTTGAACCCAGGAGGTGGAGGTTGCAGTGAGCCAAGATCACGTCACTGCACTTCAGCCTGGTGACAGAATGAGATTCCATCTCAAAAAAAAAAAAAAAAAGAAAAAAAATTCTTACTGATCACTTTATAGAGAATTTTTATTTTACAAGGGGAAAACTGAAGCCTTCAAAGTTGAATGACTTTTCCAAAATTATTGGCATGGTAACATTTTCTTTATACTAGGCACCCCATAAAATATGCAGCTAATAAACATGACAAACTTATTTTTCTTTCTCTGGTATTGGGATGAACTAAATTTCTCTCCACTAGTAAGATAAAGAGTCTAATAAAGTTGGGTTACTTCTTGATTTCTTCTGCTAACCCTTCTTTACTCTTCCCTTCTGGGAAACGACATGGCTTTTTTCTGTCTCCCTTTCACTTTAGTGTTATATGATGCTAATCAGAAAGATAGTGAAGTAATTAGGGATGCAGTACCATCAGTACACAGCTGATAGTAAGCTTTGCATCTCCTTTCATCAGATCTAGGATGAGGTTTCTTGAATTTCATAGTGTCTGGCAGAGTAAAGGACATGGAGGAAAGCAGTTGGATCAGGCACCATCTAGATAAGATTAAATCAATCCTCGTAGGCACAGGGGGACATTTGAAGCATACAGCAGTCAGTCACACTGTGGAAGATAAACCCACCTTTTGTTTCAGAAAGCCACAGTTGTGGGAAATCTTGGATTGCAGGCTATTTCTAATTTCCCAAATTTTGCCCCAAATTTCTATAGTCACTTCCTATATGATTTTACATAAACAGTGATTACTTTTTTTTCCAGTTGGGAAGCTTGCTATGACTTTATCTTCTTGCACTGAATATCAGGCCTATGTTGATTACTTCTATATCAATTATAATGCTTTTCTCACAAACCCCTGGGTAGTTTGACTCATTTTTTTTTTTTGCCATGAAACTTTATTAGAAGATGGGCTCAGTATTCCTGGTATTTCTATTATTAATAGTTATTTCTGAATTCCAGCTGGTGTCAAAAATCTTTTCCTGGGGAGAATATAACCTAATCAGAGTGATTTATTCTTTTCTATTGGGGAATTAATTAACTTAATTTCAACCAATATTTATTAAATGTCTACATGTAGTATTGCGATTACAGGATGGTCACGACATACACCTTTGCTTTAGGAACATATTGTCTAGATTTTAAAGATTTTCTACACCCATTACATATTGTGCATCTGAGTCTAATTCATGTTACACTAAATTTAGCAAGACTATGTAATGTGAACTGCAAACTGGGATACTGTGGGGAGTGAAAGGAGTTGTAATTAATAATCATACCTGATCAACAGATTAAATAAAGACTGTCTTGGGAAAACTGAGATAGTGTCAGACAAAGTGGAACATATGGTCACCTTAATTAAATATCAGTTTCTGTTATACTTGTATTTTCACATTGTACGTATGATAGTTATTAGGGACCATGTTGGGTTAAATATAACTACTTTATGATGCCTATTATATGACAGGCACTACAATAAAAGTGTGCTCAGATTTGAGTCAGGGAAACCAAATATATGCATACAATCATATTGAGCAAATGCGTATAGCGGAATGAATACTGGACAGGGAGCCAGGAGACCTAGATTTGAAAATTAGCCTTGAATTTCAAGCACTCCCTTTGGTCACATCATTTAACCCCTCTGAAGCTCAGTTGTCTTACCTGTAAAATGGAATGATACTAATTTTTCACAGAATGAGAAGGTAAAAAAATGTGACAGCACTTGACACAGTATGTGTCAAATAATGAATGCTTGATAAAAGGTTATCTGAGTTTGCTGATGTTCTAGTTTAATGAAAGGCAACCAGAAAGGAAGCTAGAAGACTCAATCTCTTTGTGAAAACTTATTATGCAGATTTTTTTTCTGATCTTCCATTGCCAATCCTGCTAGTCATATTATTTTGAAGCAAATCTCAGATATCACATCATTTCATCCAGAATTATTTTAGTATTTATCACTAAGGATTTATTTTTAATATCATTACAATACAATTATTATCCTAAAATTAACAATAATTCCCTATTATCTTCAAATACTTACTGTCCAAATTTCCAATTCTCTTATAAAAGTTTTTTCCAGTCTTTTAAAAAAATTCAGAGTCCATAGGCCAGGCACAGTGGGAGGCCAAGGCAGGAGGATCGCTTGAGACCAGGAGTTTAAGATTGGCTTGGGCAACACAGTGAAATTCTGTCTCTGCAAAAAAATTTTTTAAAAATTAGCCAGGTGTGGTGGTACCTGCCTGTGGTTGTAGCTACTCAGGAGCCTAAGGCCAAGAGGACCACCTGAGCCCACGAGGTGAAGGCTGCAGTGATGCAGTGAGCTATGATTGTGCCACTGCACTCCAGCTTGGATGACAGAGCAAGACCCTGTTTCTAAAAAAAGAAAAGAAAGAAAGCAAAAGAAAAAAATTCAGGTTCTAAATGAAATTTCATGAATTATTTGCACTTGGTTGATGTCTTTTAATCTTAACTATATATCCTACTTGCAATATGCTGAAAAAACTGGGTTTTGTCATGTAGAATGTTCTCAAGTGTTCCACAGACGGCAATCTCCTGGTACAGTTTAATACATTCCTCTGTCTCCATTATTTCCTGTAAATTGATAGGTGAAACTAGAAGATGTTCAATTTCAGATCTGATTTTGTTTTGTTTTTAGCAAGACAACTTCATGGGGGGGTGTTGTGTTGCTCTATCAGGAAGCATACAATGCCTGGTTGTCTATTTTCTTTGATGTTAGCAGCCGTTGTTGTTTAATCGATATTGAATATCTAGGTCCACTTGTTCATTAGGAGTTTTAAATTTATTTCTGATCTCATAAAATTCAGTTGTTTTACTTCTGTAAGCAGTCAGAGTTATAATTAAGATAAAGATGTACACACAAAACACTTATCCACCATGATCAAGTAGGCTTCATCCCTGGGATGCAAGGTTGGTTCAACATAGCGCAAATCAATAAGTGTGATTAATCACATAAACAGAACTAAACACAAAAACCACATGATTATCTCAATAGATGCAGAAAAGGCTTTCAGTAAAATTCAACACCCTTTATGTTAAAAACTCTCAATAAACTAGGTTTGAAGGAACATACCTTAAAAATAGTAAGAGTCATCTATGACAAACCCACAGCCAACATCATACTAAACAGGCAAAAACTGGAAGCATTCCCCTAGAAAGCTGGCACAAGACAAGGATGCCCTCTTTTACCACTCCTATTCAACACAGTATTAAAAGTCCTGGCCAGGGCAGTCATGCAAGAGAAAGAAATAAAGGGTGGAAAAGAGAAAGTCAAACTATTCCTTTTGGCAGATGACAGGATCCTATACCTAGAAAACCCCATAGTCTTGGCCCTAAAGCTCCTTAAGCTGATAAACAACTTCAGCAAAGCAAAGTCTCAGGATACAAGAATCAATGTACAAAAATCACTAGCATTCCTATTCACCAACAGCAGTCAAGCCGAGAGCCAAATCAGGAACACAATCTCATTCATAATTGCCAAAAAAAGAATGAAATATCTACGAATACAGCTAACCATAGGTGAAAGATCCCTATAAGGTGAACTACAAAACACTGCTCAAGAAATCAGAGATGATACTAACAAATGGAAAAACATTCCACGCTCATGGATAGGAAGAATCAGTTTGTTAAAATGGCCATACTGCCCAAGGCAGTTTAGATTCAATGCTATTCCTATTAAAATACCAAAGACATTCTTCACAGAACTAAAAAAAACTATTTTAAAATTAATATGGAACCAAAAAAGAGCCCAACTAGCCAAGGCAATCCTAAGCAAAAAGAACAAAGCTGGAGGCAGCACACTATACCCAACTTTAAACTATACTATGCGGCTACAGTAACCAAAACTGCATAGTACTGGTACAAGGACAGACACACAGGCCTATGGAACAGAATAGAGAACCCAGAAATAAGGCCACACACGTACCTGACAAAATCTGACAAAAACATGCAATGGGGAAAGGACTCTCTATTCAATAAATGGTGCTGGGATAACTGGCTAGCCATATGCAGAAGATTGAAAGTGGATCCCTTCCTTATGCCATATACAAAAATTAATTCAAGATAGATTAAAGACTTAAATGTAAAACTCAAAACTATAAAAACCCTGGAACACAACCTAGGCAATACCATCTTGCACATAGGAATGGGCAAAGATTTCATGACGAAGATGCCAAAAGCAATTGCAACAAAAGCAAAAATTGACAAATGGGATCTAATTAAACTAAAGAGCTTCTGCATGCAAAATAAACTATCAACAGAGTGAACAGACAACTTATAGAATGGGAGAAAATTTTTGCAAACTATGCATCTTATAAAAGTCTAATATCCAGCATCTATAGCAAACTTCAACAAATTTATAAAGAAAAAACCAAAGCACCCCATTAAAAAGTGGGCAAAGGACATGAACAGACATTTCTCAAAAGAAGACATACACGTGGCTAATAATAACATGAAAAAAAGTTCAATATCACTGATCATTAGAAAAACGCAAATCAAAACCATGAGATGCCATCACACACCAGTCAGAATGCCGATCATTAAAAAGTCAAAAAATAACAGATGCTGCTGAAGTTGCAGAGAAAAAGAAGCGTTTATACACTGTTGGTGGGAGTGTAAATTAGTTCAACCATTGTGGAAGACACCATGGCGATTCCTCAAAGATATAAAAAAAGAAATACTATTTGACCCAGCAATCCCATTACTGGGTATATACTCAAAGGAATAGAAATTGTTCTGTTATAAAGACATGGAATCAACCTAAATGCCCACCAATTGTAGACTGGATAAAAAAAAAATGTGGTACATATACACCATGGAATACTATGTAGCCATAAAAAAGAATGAGATCAAGTCCTTTATAGGAACATGGATGGAGCTGGGGGCCATTATCCTTAGCGAACTACCACAGGAACAGAAAACCAAATACCGCATGTTCTCACTTGTAAGGGAGCTAAATGATAAGAACACATGGACACATACAGGGGAACAACACACACTGGGGTCTATCGAACAGTGGAGGGTGGGAGGAGGGAGAGGATCAGAAAAAACAACTAATGGGTACTAGACTGAATACCCGGGTGACAAAATTATCTGTAAAACAAACTCTCAAGACACAAGTTTACTTATGTAACAAACCTGCACTTGTACCCCTGAACTTTTTCTCTTTCTTTTTTTTTTTTTTAGAGACGGAGTCTTGCTCTGTTGCCCAGGCTGAAGTGCAGTGGTGCGATCTCGGCTCACTGCAACCTCCGCCTCCCGGATTCTAGCAATTCTCCTGCCTCAGCCTCCTGAGTAGCTGGGATTACAGGTGCATGCCGCCACACCTGGCTAATTTTTTGTATTTTAGTAGAGATGGGGTTTCACCGTGTTGCCCAGGCTGGTCTCGAACTCCTGAGCTCAGGCAATCCACCCGCCTCGGCCTCCCAAAATGCTAGGATTACAGGCATGAGCCACCACGCCCACCATACCCCTGAACTTAAAAGTTAAATAAAAAAGGATAAAGATGTAATTAAGAAAATAACATCAGTTATGCTATGTCTCTACCTCTAATATAGTCCTATTTCACTTTACAGATGTGCTTATTGATTGCTAGGAGGGAAGCAAAAATAGAAACAACTTTATAATGCTATAAATGAAAGATGAAGGCTGGGCAAGGTGGGTCATGCCTGTAATCCCAGCACTTTGGAATGCCGAGGTGGGTGGATTGCTTGAGGTCAGGAGTTTGAGACCAGCCTGGCCAAAATGGTGAAACCCTGTCTCTACTAAAAATACAAAAATTAGCCAGATGTAGTGGTGCGCGCCTGTAATCCCAGCTACTAAGGAAGCTGAGACGGGCAACAGAGCGAGACTCTGTCTCAAAAAAAAAAAAAAAAAGACAATTATTATGTTCCCACTTTTAATATGAATAGCTCTATGAGTTTTATGACATAATAATAAATAACTTCCTATATTGCTAAATACACAAAAAGTAATTAATAATGCTTACCTACACTAACATCCATTAAGTTTTTCATTATTTTTTGGCCTTGAATTCCAATAATTAAATTTTACTAATCTCTAGCTTCTTCTCCAGGAACAAACAATGTATGTTTCTCTCTGAGGTTGTGCTCTTTGGTCATCACTAATATAATACTATTATTTTCATTAAAATGAAATTATAGTCCTATAACCAATAGCCATGTACTTTGAGTTGCTTCTACAATAATGGTGATTAACTTTGGATGAACCAGTCATAGTCTCTCACCCAATTCCTGGTCAAGAAATAACATGTTGTCATCTGACAACTGGCAAAGATTAACAGTCAGCTGTGGCCACTGCACTGACTGACTCACTCAGGGATTTAAACCATGACCTTGGCCTCATTATCATGCTGTTATAATCTACTGAGCAAAATAGCTACAAAAATAAATTCTGAAAGCAGGAAGCAAAAAATTCTGTTATTTGTGTCTCCAGGCCCAAACCATTATGCATCTGTGTCCATTGAGTATTCTACTAGTAGGCATTTTAGACATGGGTGAAGAACTGAAGGCAGGATATCCTCCTGAAAATCAAAGCTGATCATGTCAGTTCTCTCACTAAAAAACCTCCACTGTCTAATGATATAAGTTCAAATTCTTCAGCACAGCATATAGGATTGTAGCATAATCTTATAACAACCAATTTCTCCAGCTTTATCTTTTGCTACAACTCTTTGCCTCCCTTTCTTCATACTCTAACAACTGTAATTTTCTCATTATTTTGTGACTGCTCATATATTTTTTCAGTATACATTTATTGAGTCTCTATAATGTATGAGACGCTCTGATAAGCCCTGGGGAAACTGAAGTTGAAGGCACATTACTTGATCTTAAAGAATTCATGGTCCAGTCGAGACAGACAAGGAAATAAATGGCCACAACACACTGTGACAAGTGCTATCTATAAGCACAGTAGGTATATTGGTATGACAGTCTAGGGAAAACACGTGGAAGAAAGGGAGAGAGAGGGATGAGTATATGGTGAAGACAAAGAAATTAACTAAGAAAGTTATGAGAGAGGGAGTAGAAAAGGTGATCTAAGCTGAGGGAATAGAAAGTCAGAGAGATGAGACAATTCACATATTCAGTAAAGTGCAAGTAGACCGTCATGGCTGAAGAGGAGGATGTGTTTGTAGGCTGGGTTGGAGGCAACGCTAGAGAGGTAGACAGCAATTTAATCCTAAAGGAATCTGTACAGTTTGGCAAATACTTTAGGTCTTACTTATTTGCACTGCTTTTCTCTTTTTTCAGAATGCTTTTTCCCTTTTGCTGCCCAACTTAGACAAATATAATGTCAAATCCTCTTTCCAGAAATTTATTGAACAAATATTTGTTGGAACACCTACTATGTGCCATGTATTGTTCTAAGTGTTTGGGATACATTAATAAAATGCATACCCTGTCCTTGTGCTTATATTGAAGTACAAGGAAGTAGATGATAAATATAATAAACTGGTATATATTTAACTTGGAGTAAAAATACTGTTGTCAGAGAGAGTGGTAAGTGCTGTGGGAAGAAGAAAAAGTAGGGTAAGGTAAAGAAGATCATCATAATGACCAGGGAGGGTGTGGGGCAGGTAGGACTATTAAATAAGATGGACAATTGAGCAAAAATTTGAGGAAGAGGGATTTAGCCAAGTGAGTATCTTAGCGAAGGGTATTCTAGGCACAGGGAACAGCTCGAGGAAAGCCTAAAAGAAAGTACTAGGAGATGAAGTCAGTGATCATGTGGGACTTGTAAGCCATTTAAAGAACGCTTGTGAATAAAGTGGGGAGCCACCTTGGGATTTTGACCAGCAGAGTGTTTTGATCTAATGTTTTAGGAGGCTTCTGGTTTGTGCAGTGTTGAGAAGAGACTATAGAGCTGCAAGCACAGAAGCAGGGAAACCTGTTATGAGAATCGATAGAAATGCCAACCATCGAAGTATATTTACATGCACTAAGGGGCACTGCAATGATTCTGAGCATCGTGAAACACCCAGCTTTTGTAGCAGAGTACTAGGTCCTCAGTAAATTCTCGTGAGGTAACTATTTTAGTTTGTGACTTTAGATATACCTCCTAATACTGATTTACTAGATTACAAGTAGCCCTTACTCGTATGTAAAAATGAAAGTTCACAGAATCATAGACTTCAAGAGCCTATAGGAACTGCAGAAAGGACTTGCAGTTTTTTGTTTGTTTGCTTGTTTTTTATTTTTTGGACTCTGTCACCCAGGCTGGAGTGCAGTGGCCTGATCTCAGCACACTGCAACCTCTGCCTCCCAGGCTCAAGTGATTTTCCTGCCTCAGCTTCCAAACTAGCTGGGATTACAGGTGTCTGCCACCAGGCCTGGCTAATTTCTTGTATTTTTAGTATAGACGTGTTTTCACCATGTTGGCCAGGCTGGTCTTGAACTCCTGACCTCAGGTGATCCACCCGCCTCGGCTTCTCAAAGTGCTGGGATTCCAGGCGTGAGCCACCATGCCCATCCTGTTTGTTTTTTATCTGTATTTATTTATTTTTTTTGAGAGAGAGTCTCGCTCTGTTGCCCAGGCTGGAGTGCAGTGGCATGATCTTGGCTCACTGCAACCTCTGCCTTCAGGGTTCAAGTGATTTTCCTGCCTCAGCCTCCCGAGTAGCTGAGATTACAGGCACCCGCCACCATGCCCGGCTAATTTTTGTATTTTAGTAGAGACGGCATTTCACCATGTTGGTCAGGCTGGTCTGGAACTCCTGACCTCAGGTGATTCACCCAGGTCCTCCCAAAGTGCTGGGATTACAGGCGTGAGCCACCATGCCCAGCCAGCCTGTTTTTTAAGACAGGGTCTCAGTCTGTCACTCAGGCTGAAGTGCGGCAGAGCAATCATAGCTCACTGTAGCCTTGAACTTCTGGGCTCAAGGGATCCTCTTGCCTTGGCCTTCCAAAGTACTGGGATTACTGGTGTAAACCACAGTGCCTGGCCAGGACTTGCATTTTGGGATTAGTTTATGGCCTGTCAAGACTTGAAAATTCAGTGATGAAGACAGCTGTTACTTCTAAAGTTAACGAAGAATACTGGTTTTGACTCAACTTTAAATGTGTTCATACACTGAGGGACAGGCCAAAGTAAAAGATAATGCTGTACAGGACAAAGTCAGATGTGATGAAGATTTTAAGTAAAACACTGTACCAAAACAAACAAAACACCTCTAAGATCCATATTGTAGAAAGACCAAAAGACAGAGATCTTGTGAATACATTTTACTTTCTTTAGTTCTGAGCCCAGCAATTTTATGTCAAACTGGGGCAAGTATTTTGAAAAGTAGTTCATTTACGCTAAAGCCAATTTAAAAATTCTATATGATATATATTCTATGTATGCGATATATAAATACTGTGACAAATTTTTACTTCGTCCAGGTGTGTGAATAACAGTGGAAGATGGTTTAAAAGACTTCCTTCCACTCCTAAGTAGTCCCTTTAATAGGAAAAACACATCTAGTTGTAGTAAAAACTGTAAAAAGGAAACACCGTAACAGTAACCCCACTCACTTCTGCTTCATTCCTGTAAAAAGTCATATGTTCCAGTGATACTGGCTCATGCCCACTGTATTTCATGAGCTGGCACTGTCTCCAGGTAGGCGAAGCATGGGTGGGGGTGCAGGGAGACACAGCCTCAGGCACCCAGCATGCTAACCATATGACCGCTAGAAAGCAGTGCAGGGCCCAGGGGGTGACCCTCTACTGTAAAGGAAGCCAAAATCGTCTAATTTGGACCATGACTTTGAAGTTCACATTTTATAGACTCAAAATAACTAAGCTATTTTAACCTCAAAAAGTTTAAACCTCAGAGTAGTGTGTATATTCTGGCTTCTGGTTCTGCTTGGGTTGATAGTTAGCTGGGGGTGGGAAGTGGTGTTTGTTTTTTTAAATCTGGCACAGAAATAGTTGAATAAGGTAGACTGTTCCACCCATTCCTTTTGATTATTTTTAGTTCTGCTCTCCTTTCTTCTAAAGGAGCAGTTTGTGGATTTTAGCAGCACTTAGGTTTTCCTAAGCGAAAGTCAAAGATAAATGTATTTACTGGTACCTGTCATTGTGTATGAGAGGAAAGTACGGATAGTAAGCGTCAATTTCAATTTCAGGTAAAAAATTATGTTCTCTTTAAAACTGTTGGTTTTAGTTGTCGCTTTTTTTTTTAGTTTGTCACTTTTTTTTTCCTTCTCCGTTATTTATTTTGCAATGCATATAGTGCAGTTCTCAACATTTGCTATACCTTAATCACTTGGGGAACTTTCAAACTATATTCACAGCCAGGGTCCTAACACCAGAGTCTGATTCATTTGACCTATGGGCCCAGGTGGTATTTTAAAAAAGTGACCCAGTGAATCTTTAACTCAGATGACTGGAAAAAAAAAAAAAAAGTGAGCCAGGTAATTTTAGTGTGCAGCTACGGTTGAAAACCAGCATGGTTTCAAAGTTGCTTAAAAACATCTAGGTTCTAGTTCCAGCCCCGCCACTTACCAGCTGGCTGTTCTTGGTGGTCTTCTGTTTCCCATAGGATGATGAGGTTGGATTAGAAATTCATAAAAATTGTTGAACTCTACAACAAAATGAAATAAACTGGGATTCATATAATTTCATCTGGTTTGCTCAGCTCCAAAGAGATGAAAATTGAATTATCTGGAGTATGAGAGTGTTGTTTGAAACAAGTTAGTAATAATTTAAAAAACAGCTCTTAAGTAAACTTTTCCCTCTTCCCAATTACAAGGCATGGGAGAAAAGAAAAATAGACATTTAAGCTTAGAAATCACAGGAGACTTCCAGGGCTGCTTTGCCTGTCCCCAGCTCTCTTAAATGGGGAGCTAGTCAGACGGTACCTGGGGAACAGAGGGAGGAGGGAGAGCACTTACTACACATCAAGAAGGTAAATATAAACCCCAAAGGCTTACGTTACTCATCAGACCACAATATGGCCTGGTACTAAGCAGCGCGCGTGTGGAAGGCTGGGTGGGGTGCGCACACACGCTCACTTGTGTACGTACACACACACACACACACACACACACACAGGCACACACACCCGAGCTCAGTCACCCACATTGCTTGCCCAGGGCGCCTGGAAGAGCTGGCGAGCCCGCCCAGCTCTGTTCACCCGGCCCCGCCCCGCCCCCTCCGGGAGGGCTCTCCGGGCGGCGCCCAGCCCCGAGCAGAGCAAAGGACGGCGGCGGCCACCTCCGTTCTCCGGCCGCTGGTTTCTCGTCTTTCCTCGTCCTTTCATTGAACCCATCTCCGTGCTTCGAAAATCTGACTCTAACCCGATCTCTTCGCGTCTCCGCCTCTTCTTTCTAGAGTGAGCGCCAAAAAGGGCCTGACAGACAGAAGCCTTTGGCCCCAGCACCGGCCCAGCCCGTCTCTAGACGATTCTTGCTCCTTTCACCCTCACAGCCTCCAGTGGTCGCTTCATCTTCGCACCCTCCCGGCCAACCCTAACTCTCCTCGTCTCTCCTCGCGCTGTCTCGCGTCCTCCCCTCAGGATCCTTCCGCACATTCTCAGCGTCCAGCGCGGTTTCCCACAACTTCCTCACGCCCCGCTCCCCTCGCCCTGTCCCCGCCCTCGACACCACCTGCGTTCCCCACTCGCTCCAACCTCCCTCCCCCGCTATCCCCACTTGTGGGCCTCCAGCTCTCTGCCCCTTTCCTGGCCCCCATCCCTGACACCCCAGGGACCCTTCCTCCCTCCTCACGTTCTCCCTCCTTCCAGGATCCCGCCCCGACACTTCGGGGCCCTCCCGCTACGCGCACTCTTTCTCCTCAGGTCCTGACACCTGGGCGCCCCCTCCCTGTCACCCACCTTCAGCTCCAGCCCTGACTCTCGGGCGCCTTGCCACCCTTACGCTCCCCGCCCCGCCCCGGTCCCTCGGGCGCCCCCACTCGCCGCCTCTACCTCCCTACCTGCTACACCTGGCACCCCTGCCCCCACCCCTGCTCATACTCTTCCCCCGCCCCCGACACCTCGGGCGCCCCCTCACACGCTCCTATTCTCCACACTTCCGTCCCCGAAAACTCGGGCGCCCTCTCCCTTCACGCTCAGTCTCTCCTCCCTCCCCGCCCGGCCCCGGACCCAGCCTGGAGATCGCGCTCGGGAGGGGCGGCTGCCGCCCGCGGGGCGCCCGCGGTGCCCGGGCCTGGGCAGCGAGGAGGTGACGCCGCCCCCGCGGGATGAGCCCGGGAGGCGGAGGGGCGGAGGAGGTGCTGGCGGCGGCACTGAGCGGCGGCGGCGCAGGGCGCGCGGGCCTTCCGCGCCGACTCCATCGACCCAAGGGGCGGCGGCGGTGGCGGCGGCTGAGCGACCCTGGGCCGGGCGCGTGATGAGGAGGGGCCGGCGCCAGACCCCGCTGCACGTCGGAGCTCGCCTGGATCCGGGCGTTGGCAGCCGAAGGGCCCTGGCCCCGGGACTCTCCGCCGCTAGCCCCCGTCATATCTTCTCCGCTTTCGCTTCTCCACTCTAGCCGGGGGTGGGGTGGGTGGGGTTGGGGTCTCCGCGGGGGTTTCCGGCCCCGCGGCCCGCTCCCGGGTGTGCCTGGAGGAGTTCTCCCTCTGTGGCGCGCGGGAGCCCTGTGATGCGTCAGCCGGCGGGACGGATGAGTTGCTTCTCCGGGAAACCGTCCTCGCTTCCTCACGACCCTCTCGGCTCCCGCCTGGGTGCCCCTCGGGCCGGCAGTACTCCGCCTCCGGGCGCTCGAAGCGAGTTCCCCGGGGGCTTGTTCGCAGGCACCCCTTCCCCTCCGAGGCGGCGCGCGCGCTCCCGGCCCTGACCGCGGCCGGACACACTCGCGCCCCGGTCCGCCTGTCGCCCTCCCGCCTGCTCCCTCCAGTCACCCCACCCTTAGCTGTCCCCGCCACCTTACTCCACCACCCTCCCCCGCCTCTCCGCGCACTCCGCGTCCCGGCCTCCAGTTCCCCTTTCCCTTGAACCGCTCACTTCACAGCCCTTCGCCCCCGGGAAGAAGAAACATTTCCCGAAGCGCACTCCTCAGCCCTCCTTCCCCACGCGCTCGCCCTCCCCTCCCCCTGCTTTTCTTGGGGGAGGGGGGCTGTCGCCTTGGATTGAAGGCCATTGATTTGTATGTATTTGTCCCAGCGCTGGAGGCTGCCCCAGCCGCCGCGCCGGTGCCGCCGCTGCCAGTGGAGTTGCCTCCCCGCTTCCCTAGGGTGGTTCGGCTCCACCAAACATGTCGGCTCCTGTCGGGCCCCGGGGCCGCCTGGCTCCCATCCCGGCGGCCTCTCAGCCGCCTCTGCAGCCCGAGATGCCTGACCTCAGCCACCTCACGGAGGAGGAGAGGAAAATCATCCTGGCCGTCATGGATAGGCAGAAGAAAGAAGAGGAGAAGGAGCAGTCCGTGCTCAAGTAAGGACCTGGCTCCATATTCCCGCCTCTCTCCCTGCCCTCCGCCCCCTCGCCCACTGCCCTGCGGCCGCCTGCGCGCCCCAGTTCGCCGCCCTCCCTCCCGCTGGCGGCGCCCAGGCCACGAGGGCTGCGGCCAGCGCCGGCCGCCCGGGCTGTTTTAGGGGTGTCTGAGAGCAGGGGTGTGTGTCGGGGAGGGAGGGCGCCAAGGCCGGCTGAGGTGAGGGTGGCGAGCCTTAGGCGGTGTGATTTTCCTTGGCGCCTTTCCGGATTTCCTCGCTGGTCATCTTGGCTCCGGGGCCCCAGCGGGACTGGGGCTGAACCCAGGCTCTGTGCGTACCCTCTCCTTTCCCGCCGCGCTGAGGCAGTGACTGGGGCACAGAATCCAATATGGCCGTGCACAGGTGCTCCCTGGACGGACCCGGGCGAAGGCGCGCTGGCAGGGGATGCGGACGCCACCCTGGTCCCACGCCTCCGCGGGGCGGCTCTACCAGCAACGCGGGACAGAGCAGGGCTGCCCACAGTGGCTGCGAGCAGCGGGCGGCGGCGCGGGCTAGGGGCCTAAGCTCTGTCGCGGTCGGGTGGGTGTGCGTCCGCCGCCATCTTCCAGCCCCTCCCCCTCGGCGAGTGCTAACACCCTGCACTCTGCTGCTCTTCCTGTTTGCAACTAGTAAATCTGTTTAATCCTGAAGAGACTCCAGTTCCTACCATCACTGCAGTTTGGGATGCTCCCTACCTTGTGAAGTTCTACTATTCTTGCTCACGGTCTTGGCAGGCCGGGTTTTTCTGAGGGTGGTAGGAGTGAAAGCAGCACCCAGGCATGCGTTTACCGGCTCTGGAACTTCAGCACCAGGGAACTGTCCAGACAGGGTTATCTTTAGCTCTGAGACTACTTTTCTGGTTAGCGTAGCAAAGAGATTTGTTTCTACAAGGTTTGCTTTTGAATGTTTTATGGTTATTTGATTTCTCAGTTACTTTGTGAAAGAGGTTATTCAGAAGATGTGTAACCTTTTTATGTTTTTCCAGCTTGGCTTTTTTCTTTTTACTTGAAAT
Organism: Homo sapiens; assembly: GCF_000001405.40. Lineage (NCBI taxonomy): Eukaryota > Metazoa > Chordata > Mammalia > Primates > Hominidae > Homo > Homo sapiens. Next base: position 103,502,113 of record NC_000008.11, read on the forward strand.
GAGTTATTCAGATGATTCTTTTGCGTTTTGTCAAGTATACGTTTCCCATATTCTCCACAGAAATATACAATTGAAAGTGTAGAGTTCCTCTGTGAAGGAACTAATACACTCACCTCTATTCAGGTACATTTTAAAAGCAGGTTGTTGAATTTAGTAGTCTTTCATGTACTAATAAAGAAACAGGTTTCATTGTCAATAGGTATATATTTTCATATTTTAATGAAAAATACCACTTTAAATAATTTATAGTAGCAAACATCAAATATTCACAAATCTTAGAGAAAGATACTATTTCTCACAAAATATTGAGTGGCTAAAAGAGCAAATATGTTCCTGAAATAACTGAAATTAAGAATGTCTTCATGAAAGCTAATTTCTGGCGTTGAATACTTATTTGGGAATGTTATTTATTAACAGCCTTCAGATATGAAGAAATTAAGAGACTTAAGCAGTTTACTCTAACTAATAGAAGAATAAAGCATTATTTTTAGAAGCTTTTTGAGCATACTTCTTACTGTGCTTAACTTTTTTTTTGTATACTAACAATGCCAAGCTTTTGATGACTTGCAGTTTGATATTTAAATATGTGAACTTAATGCCTTTTACTATAATTGATAAAAATCAGTGCGGCCAAAATGATGCTCCAGTAAAATGTAGTTTTATTTTTTTGACTTACCTATTTAAATGTAAAATGTGTTTTTATTTCTTCATAGTAGAAATACTATGTGGCTAGTTCACTGTAGTTCTAAGTTTATTTGTTGTTTTAATATAGAAATTTAAGTGGACTTTAAGTATTAGGATTATTCAAAATGAACAGTATGTTAGGAAGATGTTGTAAAAGGGTTTTTCAGGTAGCTACATATGTATATATTATTTCTGTATGTAAACCTACATACTATTCAATACATATAATATTTACATATTCATATTTCCATAGTTTAGATAGAAACAAATGTTCTCTAAATACATATTCATACAATCTATAAAATTACATTGATGAAAAATATATATTCAGATTTATTTTAAATATTTGTTTGCATTGCTACCTAACTTAGTCTTAGAAAGGAGTCTTACCTCAAAATGGCTTTCATGGTTTCACATTCTTGTTATATTTATTTTAACAAAAAGTTATTTGGAGGTTAAAGCATAATATATTTGGACATTTGGTTTTAAATGTTCTTAATTTTTTTTTAACGAAAGAGTAGGCAAGGAAATGAAATGAATAGACTTTATAATGGAATTATAGTAATGAGAGACAAATCATTTTGAAGATTTTGACAGTTTACTAAATAATACATTATCAATATTGGGTATTAAATTACAAATACATAAGAAAAATAATACTAACGGTCTTCAATGGTTACTATTTCCCATGAAGTTTTAGGGTTCGCTTACCTAGTCATTACTATCCTTTGTTTCTTTTTAGTGCTGTTCATTACATTGAAAATTAACATGTATTTTAAGAGTAGAGAGAAAAATAAACTGAAATTTAAATGCATGTCTGCTGCCTTTTAACATTTATGTTAAAAAATACATTTGATGTGTGAAGATACTGCAATGGTTAGATAAAAATATTTTTGCATGATCTGTGAGTTTCAATGTTCATATTAAGTATTCATGCAAAGTGGAGAGAAAGAAGGAATTTGAACCTTATTAATATTTAATATATAGATGACAATACCTAGATGCATATAATTTTAAATATGCATGTAGTGAAAGATTCATGCTTGAGATATTTTTAATAAGAGAACTGAGTGATCAAAACTGAGACCATTACTGTTATCTCTCACCTTAGGAGCCTGAATAATTAAAAGCTATTCCTAATTATTAGTAATTTCCTCAAAGTCCAGCTGAACATCCACATAGGAAGTCTATCATCATCAAATAATACCATTTTACATATGAGCGAGGTACTATAATTTTGGAAGCATTTAAAAATCTCAGTAGAACCCTAATCAGTAATTACTTTAAAGAATCCTTTCATGTATTGCTGTAGCAGTTTAAATTTGGCTAATTCAATTTATCAGTAAAATTTATAATGTCCTTTTACTGACTAATGTTTTTTTTTCAATCTTCCAAGACATCTGAATGATTAATGTTTTTAAGTCTTGTCTTTCAAGATTGTAAACTTCTTGAGGGCAAGAATCAAAATTTACCCTTTTTTTGAGTTTGTGTTTTGCAGCATCCTTAACACCTGCACGTAATAAGTACTTAATAAATTGTGTTTATTTAAATTGTGGTAATGTTAATGAGGTAGCTTATCAATTTTGTGGGACAATGAGGAATCATTGTTTGAAAGAAAAACATAATTTATTAAAAGTTGAATTTCCAGTGGGTTTTTGTGTAATTGTGAAAAAATGTCTGAGGAAAGCAAACCCACTAAATCAATAGAAAAGTATTCAGTAAATACTGAGTTTCTAATATGTACATATCATAGCCTTTCAGATAAGCTTTTTGTAACACAAATTAGAAATTATGTGTTTCTTGATGTGTATATTTTCATTCATAGTTTAGATTTTCTGTTAAAGGGTTAATTTGCTTCCCAAATAAAGGAAGGCAATAAGTAAAAATTTTCCTGATAGGTTAGGATAACAATTAGTATATATTTAGCACATATATAGTGAGCAGTTCTCTATTTTTTAAAATAATTCAATTTTAAAAGTATTTTCTAAAGTTAATTTATAAAATTTTGAAATAAAATCTTTTTTTTTCTTTCTTTTCTTTTCTTTCTTTCTTTTTTTTTTTTTTTTTTTGAGATAGGGTCTTTCTTGGTTTGAGGCCCAGGCTGGAGTGAGATGGCGAAATAACGGCTCACTGCAGCCACGACCTCCTGGGCTCAAGCGATTCTCTCACCTCAGCCTCTGGAGTAACTGGGACCACAGGCAGGTGTCATGACACTCGACTAATTTATTTTTTATTCTTGTAGAGATGAGGTCTCCCTATGTTGCCCAGGCTGGTCTTGAACTCCTGGGCTCAAGTGATCCTCCTGCCTTGGCCTCTCAAAGTGTTGGGATTACAGGTGTGAGCAACCCGCAGCCCCCAAATTTCTTAGCTACCTATTTCCCCTACCCAGAGCCAACTACTGTTACTAGTATATTTTATATTGTATACTCTTCTAGAGACAGTCTATGCATAAGAATAAATACATGTGTATATATAATATTGTGTGTGTCTGTATATGTGTGTATGTGTGTGCTCATACATGTATGTATGGATGGATGTAAACGTAAAAACAGAAATGTGTCCTGCAGTTTGCTTTATAAGAGGTCAGTTCCACATCTGTGACTGTATAGCTGCCTCGTTAACCTTAATGGATATAGGATATATACTATCCCTTTTAATGAATATTCTGTAATTTCTTTAACTAGTACCATATTTGTGGGTATTTAAGTTTTTTTCTAAGTATTTTGTCATTAGAAATTTTTAGTATTTATCACAGTATTATCTGTGATAAATATCTTCGTACATGCATTTCCTACATGTATGAATGTATATTTGAGACAGATTCCTAGAAACAAAGTTGTTGGGCCAAAGGGTTAGTATATTTTAAATTTAATAAATATTGTGAAATTTACTTTTGTAGAGGAAGTGTGTATAAGTGGTGTGTACTAAGGGGACTTTCCCACATCCTCGCCAACTCAGTGTATGGCAATCTTTACCAATGTTTCAATGAAAAAGATGCCACTGTAGACTTATTTGCAATTTTCTTGTCAGAAAGATTGAGAGCCTTTTTAAAAAAATTTGGTTACAGCCATTTGTATTCCCTTTTCTATTAGTAATTTTTAGTGATTTGTGGAGGCTCTCTTACATGTTATTTGTTTTAGGACCTTGTTTATGCCTTTTTTACTGGTCACGATTTAAAAAAATTGAATTTATTGTAGTTTTGTTTTATGGATTTTGAGTTTGTGATCTTCTTAGAATGATCTTCCCTATTCTAGTATTTTTAAAAAGTACCAATTGAATCATGAATACTTTTAAATAAAAATTGCATATGTAAACCACTGTTGCCATTGCCAAAAAAATGAAAAACTATAGTTTTTAAGGATTCAAAATGCATTCTAAAAAATTGATTGACATTTTATAAGAAAACAAGCAAACAAAAAATTGACTTATATTTTATGAAAGAGTACCCAATAAATTTATATATATTCTATTTTGAAATAAGGGCAATTAAATAATATCTTCCTCTTGACAATAGATTTTGATAAAGAACTAATTATATTGTGCGATGAAGAAAGAGATAGTGGAAGCAAGTGTGATAAACCAGATGAACTTTGACTTGACACCTTACTTTACTAATTAATAATGGTAACGTTTTGCTTATATTATTAAACTCTGAGTTTCCTCATCTATACTATTTGAGTAATAACACCTATTTTGAAGGATTGTGATTGTTATTATTAAACTCTGAGTTTCCTCATCTATACTATTTGAGTAATAACACCTATTTTGAAGGATTGTGATTGTTATAGACTAAGTATCCTGGCATAAGTAGTGGTGCAATAAATAATCATTATTGTTAACTGACATAGATAGCACTCTTTAAACCTTATCATAGGATTGCTGGGTGAAATTTTCTTATTTTCTAAAAATTGAGAGATTCTTTTCCTTGTCTATTATGAAGTCAAAATATGCCAGGAGGGCTTTTAAGCGACTTCATTATTTGTTTAGAAGACTAGGGATGGGGAGAGGGTGGGTGACAACTTGAAAATAGTTTCCTCAGCAAATACCATTCTTAAGGAGCCTGATAACTAAGACATAGCAGTGAAAATAGCACTGACATCAAGTTATTGGTAATCGGCAAGATACTGATAGTCAAAGGTGAATTGAGGGGACTTACTTGTGGAAACTACTTTGTAATTGACTTTAGATTTGCCTTGGTTAAACTTTTTACTCTATTATTTAACTAAAATCTATATTTACCTATTTGTCTTATTCACATTGTATCTAAGAACCCAGAGAACCGTATTAGGTTAAGCTAATTCTGAAGTATGGTTATTGAGCTTAGAATGCTGATCTTCACATCGCCCCTCAAATACACTTAAGCTTTGTATGATTGCCGGTTTCTCATCCTTCTGGCTTAGCTTCAAATTTGGATCTTTAGAGAGCTCTTTTCTGACCACTCTTTCTTATGTAGATTCTCTCCATTATTCTTTATAACAATACCTTTTATATTTCCCCAATTATGCTTATCAAAATTTATAATGATTTATTTACTTGTTTATGGTCTGTCCACTCTGCTAGATTATCAACTCAAAGAGAGCACACACCATGTCTGTTTTGTTCACTAATGCAGCTTCAACTTCTAATGTAATACAATGCCTTACACATAGTAGTACTCAAAAATATTAATCGGGTGAATGAACGCACATTGGGAATGAAATATTATGTTCATCTAGGTGGTACAAACTTTCAAGGTGAACTCCAATAATCTTAAAAAAAGATTTGCTTATGTAGTAGTGTCCTTATTTTTGAAATCAAATGTAATTTTTAAACATGCCTAATTTTGCTTATTTTACATGGAAGGAAACTTACAGTGTTTGTGTATGATTGCAGCTTATCTTTCTTTTGGACTAAGAGCATATCTTTTTTGACTAGAAACTAGAAGAACATTGTGATAGATATCATTTTTAAATTTAAGGAATATTAGGAATTAGGGAAAATTTGGCTGTAAAAGTGATCCTTTAAGAGAATTGATACATTTCCATTGTGTTTAGCACAGATGAGTGATAAAGAGTACACAGAAGGCTTTGGATAGAAATAGTTCATGCCCTCCAGGGACAGATAATCTAAGGCCAACCATAATCATATGAACACATAAAAATGTAAAGTGTCATGAAAAAATACTGTAAAGGTGTTTTTAGTACATTATAACCATGGTAAAAAATATGTCAGACTAATCTTACTAGTAGTTTATTGCCTCTATGGTATTGTTTGATTATATTGTGTTATATTACATGGTGTCACATAGTTTTTCCTGTTAAAATATCTGAAAGTTTCACTGCTAGATATTAAAAACTTTTGTATTCTCTAGTCACCTAATGAAATACAGATATCTCTGGGAGTTGAAATAATTTTAACCATTATCAGGTAATTCTTAAGGAGCTCATTGTAAGAAACGTGATAAACCACATGAAAATTTTGCATGGTAAGTACCAGGAGACTACTGTGCACTACAGTGTATCATGGATATATTTTACAAGAGGAGCACGTGATTCAGTCCTGGGAAGATGCCATCTAGGCTGAATCTCAAATGATGAGTAGATGTTAGCTGGGCAGATTGTTCTCTAAGCAAAAATCTTAAAACTCCCAATTCCTCTTTGCCCCCAAAACCTTTCATTTGTTAAAAAAAAAAAAAAAAAAGAAGACGATGCAGGACATGGTCAAGAAGTTTGCTTGAAGTGGTTCAGAAGAGCACAGATTTAAATGGTGATGCGTCAATAGAGGAGACTGGAGAGATGGCAAGGTTCAGAGCCTAAAAAGCCTTCTATGCTATTCTTTGGATTTGGCAATAGGGAGTCATGGAGGGATTTTAAGCAGTGACACAATATAATTAGACTTCTGTTGGAACAAAAACCACTCTCATTTAATAGATTGGTTAGAAGGTGTAATACTAGAGATAAAGGCACTATTTAGGAGATTCTTACAGTAATCCAGGTAATAAATGATGAAGACATGAAATAAGGCAGTAGAGGTGGAGGTGGAGAGTCAAGACAAATTTTTGAAAAATTGAGGAGCCAAAATTGCCAGGATTTGACAGCTGTGTGTTAAGGGTCAGGTAAACTCTTATGATGCCAGACTTGCGTAACTGACTACTGTACATAATATATATCTGCCTGTATCTGCTTATCTCACTTATAGTTAGCTCTGTGAAGTCATCTGGTCCTAGGACCAGTGTTCTCTTGAGGGAGCAGTTGTGAAGTGGCTTATTTTATTGTTTTAGTTATTCTAGAGAGTTTGTAGCATTAATATGAGTAATAGAAGTGACTATAACTTGGTATAATGGGATGGTAGTAAAAAGGACCAAAAGGGACAAAGAAGAAAAGAAAGGACAAAGAACAAAGGGGAGAAAGTAAGATTAGGGCTCTTGGAATCCATTCATAATTAGAAGGAACCCTTCTTAATAGCTTATAAAATTTTTTCTACTGGGTATATTCACACCATGTAATCTTTTCAGAACTTCAGGACTATCATCCTTTTACTGAATATTCCCTACTCCCATTGATAACTTAGTCTCAATGAATTTCTCACCCTCTGGTTTTATTTCATTCTTTGTGTATTTTAAACTATCACACAATCTTTGTTTTATATGTTAGGCTTAGCAAGGACAAATTTCCTTCCCTGTATATATTTCTGTATCACCTCTAAGGGAATTTTGGAAATATGAGTGTATTTTAGGAAAATATAGAGAGGAGATTAGTTATGGAAATGACATGTGGAAGTTGGTGAAGATTCTGTGCATCTTTATATTAGCTTACTGAATTATTGCAGAATTTCAGAAAGTGCTTGTATTATAAAAGGGAGATAAATTTTATTGGGTTTTGTGATGGGAAGCTCCAGAAATAGGAATTGAGGTAGAGTTATGGAAAGGGGAAAGTTAAGAAAAGGTTTACACAGGAGTAATATATTATTTTACCTACTTTCTTTCTAATACGGGTAACCTACAAAATTGAAGACAACTAGATAGTATAAATTAATTGGTCAAGAACTAACAACTTTAATACAGTTTATATATTATGAACACATATCTATATTATATATACCTGTCAAAACTCTTACTTTTTGTACAATATAGTGCTAGCTAAATGCTTTTTAAGGCATTTGGAATTAACAACTTTTGTATAGTTACATGGTTATAAACATTTAGTATTTTTATATAATACAAATACTTTGATAGGTTCTGCTAAACAGAGGAACTGGATAAATGCTCCTTTAAGGCACAGGAGGAATGCCCTTTAGCATTTTTTTCTTCCAATCAAGCTTATGTTCAGCTCGAAGAGACAAATAGTTTGGTAGTTTCTTGTATCCTGTAACTAGGCTTCTGGGAGGCTAAAACTAGGGGAAAAGGATACACTAAACAATATAACTGGGTAGCAGAATAACCACAATGGTGTTTGGTGCTTTGGTATTGTTCAGTTGACAGATGGAGGTGGTGCTCACATTCATCTTGTTTTGTTGGCATATTTGGTATCTGTTATCATTTTTATAATAGTTTGCTTCCCAGGCACATAGATGAAAATCTGTTTTATCACACATAAAACAGTCTTCAATCTGAAAGAATTAATTAATACTTCTATTAGCACACTTATTTTTCTCACTGGGCCAAAATCTAGGTGTAGGTAGGGCCGCATTTCTTTCTAGAAACTAAAGGAGGATTGTTTCCTTGCTCATTTGGGTTGTTGAAAGAATTACGTTCTTTAAGTTATAGGACCGAGATTCTTGTTGGCTATTCAGCTGAGGGCTGTTCTTACCTCCTAGAGGCCTCTTTCTGGTACTTGCACATAACTTGCTATATCTCTGAACAAGCAGTGGGGCATTTTGAATCTTTATTGCGATGCCGTCTCTCTGACCTTTCTTCTGTCATTGCATCTCTCTCTGCCCACGACTAGGAAAGATTTTTTCTCTTTTAAGAACTCATGTGATTAGCTTGAATTCACCCAGATATTCCGGAATAATCTTCTTATTTTAATCATATCTGTAGAGTTCTTTTTGCCATATAAGGAAACATATTTATGTGTTCCTGCAATTAGGACAGAACATCTTTGGGGGGCCATTTATTCTCCTTATGACATTCCTCTAAAGAGTGCCAGTAGATATAAATTTGGATATATATTTTTTTATAAAGTAGATACTGAACTATTCTTATTTTTTAAAAAGTATTTTGTATTCAGAGATACAAATTCCAGAATATCTCTGAAATAATATTTTACTATATATGTTGTACTATAGTTTATAATACTATATTGCCTTCAAAGTGCCGCCAATCTGCATTCCACTTTTTATTTATTTAACAGTTTCCTCCAGAGTTAAAATGTTTGTGTAACTGGGTTTTAGGTGGAGGGACTGGGGGCAAGAAGTGTGAATTGTTCTGTGCCCTGTACGTAAAGATTAAGTACTATTCCTAAGCAGTAGTCATGTTAGTTAATAATTGTATTTATTTTTATAGGGAGAGGAGTAAATAATTTTACCATATGACTAACATAGTGAAGAGTCATTGAAATATTTTCATATGCAGTATTTTCATTATCCAATGGTCATGTTAAAAGACTCAGCATAACTTTATATTCCAGTATGAATAAGTAAATATTTGAATTTAATATTTCCACAAGAAGTAGTTTCTTTTGGCATGTTTGGTTGAATATCCATACTCTACATAAGTGTGCCTTCATATATTACTTTTTTGTAATTTTTTACCCTAGAGTCTGGTTTAATGAAAAGATGCACAGTAGTGTATGTTATGATTAAACTTCATGACAGGGTTTAGGATATAATCAGTTGTTTAACTTAGGCATGTAAAGATTAAAAGTAGCTATGAAATAAAGTAGAAAAAGAAAGTAATCCAAGATTTTTCTTTAAAACTACTAATATAAATTTATGTTGCAGTTGACAGTATGTTAGGATAGACTAGATATCAGAGTCCAGTCTTGATAGAAACTATAATAGTAATTTGAACAGGGACATTTTGATATAAAGTATTACTACTCATAGCAAGGAGCAGCCTTCTTCTAGGGGTAAGGTAGAGTACCTATGACAGAAACAAATTTCAGAGAAGCCCTTCCTGTGTGTCTGAGGCTGAGATTCAGCCCTCATTGGAGGATGTGATTGTGGCTCACTGAGCTGTCTCAGGCTGTGGCAGGCAAGCAGGACATCATCTGTGGGAACGTTGGTGGGACTTGCAGAGAAGCTGGCTGAGGTGCTTAGGAAACTTATTGGGAAGCCACCTCTTGGGGTGCCAGTGAGACTTCTTGAGAAACTGTCTGCTGGGGTGCCACTGAAACTTGCTAAGAGGTTGAGTAACACTGGGTGTCTATAAGCTACTGGCAACCATGCACTGTAGCAAGAACAACGAAACACCCAGAACCTTGAAGTCCTTTCTTCCTTTAATGTCACTATGGCTCCCTCTAGTGACAAAGTTTAACATTTTGCCAACTGCAAAGGAGAAATGGTGACAGTCCAGATTCACTATCACAAAGCAGGTCAAAGAAGGGTGGATTTGGAGCTGAGAGGCAGTAAATTTATAGTAGGCTATGTTATCCCCAATATTCGTATCTTAAAACAACAAAGGTTTATTTCTTTTTGGCGTTATATGTTTCTCTGGATCTCTTTGGGTCTCTACTCCATGTCATCCTCATCCTGGGACACAGGTTAGTGGAGAAAATGCTTTCTGGAACATTCTGAGCAGCTGAAAAGGGAGGCTGCAGTGAATCCTAAGTTGTCTCTTAAAATTTCCTCTCAGAGGTATGCATACAACTTCTGCTTGCATTTTGTTGGCCAAAGCAAATTTCATGATCATGCCTACCTAACTCAGGGTAGAGAAGGACAATCCTATCATGTATAGAGGGAGAACCAGGAGAATTTGTTGAAAAATATAACTATCACAGGATTGATAGAATTGGCATTAGAAAAGTGGGCAATCCTTAGGATAATTGTAGTTCCCGCTTTACAATTTTGTCTTATTTGCTTTCTACTTTTTAAAGAATAAATTTTAGTGAAAAATAGTATCAACATACAAATTGATGATGCTTTTTACTTCTGAACCAGTGAACTCAAACTAGACAATGAGCTTAGTCATTTGTGTAACATAGTGAAGCTGATAAACTAAATCAGCAGGAAATTTTTTTTTGAAGGTTAGGTACAAATAGACTTTTATTTTGAAATTTTGCATTTTTAAAATGTTGTGTTAACTAATTCTTATAAGATATAGAAAGTGGCAGGGCTGCTGTCCAGGTCATGTCATTCCTGGATGTATGCATAGTCCTTGAACTGGATTTCCCAGGATGAACCCAGAATGTATGGGCTTGGAGGCTGCCTGCAGTCGGCAAGTGCTCTGGGTGAGCTGGGCCAGGGAATTACAGGTACATGTAATATGAAATGCCTCTATATGCCTCTATAGGATTTTTTTCCCATTTATGGTTAGTCTTGGATAGGGGATAGAAAACGAGATTTAGATATTTGGATAATAGTCCTGGCTCCATCATTTATAAGCTGTGCTATCTTGAAGAAGTTAGTTAACTTCCTGCATTCTATAAAATGAAGATTGAAAACACAAGTCCACAATTCTGTAACTGAAACTCATGGTGGCAGATGTTTTGGAATTCAAGTATTTTAGACTTTAAAAATGTAAAGGTGTATATACTATAAGATATGTAACTCTTAGCAGGGTTAGGACAGTAGCCCCTAATCAAACATTGATATTTCTCTCGTGAAACATATGAATATTTACAAAAGGGTTAAATAAGGACTACATATAGTCAGGCCAGGAATTTTGGCCCAGACTTACACAAAAATAATTTTTGTTTTCAGAGCTTTTTGGATTTGGGAATTGTGGTTAAGGAAGTATGGGTGTGTGGTATCTTTATCATAGGAGTAAAGTGATGCTATATAAATGAAAGTGCCTGTGAGCTGTAAATTGCTGTAATATGTTAATTATTGTAATCATAGTGGCTGTTGATGTGACCATTATCACCAGCTATTTAAAATAATATTTAAAGGAAAAATTGAAAATTAGATTTTGCTACTTGTAGGATTTTACATAGATCAATATTGGGGTCTTTATTGATCCCAGGTCATTTGAATTTTGATTTAAAACAATTTAAATTTTACTCTTTCCAGAAAGAGCGTTACACATAAAATATCTGATTATATAACTCTTTTGTTTAACGTATCAGTGTTTCCCTATTGCCAGCTACATGCAGCCTTTAACTGGATTCCTTCTCTGAACCATGGAACATACAAAATAGTAAGTAATTCTTTTCTTCTACCAGGGATGGATACATAAATAGTACCATTCTAGAAGCATAAGAAATAAATTAATGTGTTACATACAATGGATGACTTAGAACATTAGAGCTTACCTCTCTTCCAGACCTCTAGCTGACAAAGGCTAGAAAAAGTGTAAAATTCTTAGCATGTCAAACTAGGTCCTTCATGATTTGTCCTCTCTTCATTTACCATCTTTTAGACTTTTCTTCTCCCTTCCCACTGTATATTTTGGCTGAATAGTTAATTTACTTTAACTTAATGCTTCCTAACCTTTTTCACGTGATTCCACATGTAGAAAACAATAAAGGAGGTGTATGTCATATTGAGATAAACTGGGAAAGATTGGGGGCATCTACATGAAAGTTGGTAAAAAAATTAATCACATCTTAAGTTACAAAATTCTAAGCAAAACAAAAGGCAAGGTATTATGGAAGATAGCAAATGTTGAGTTATGAAAACTTTAAATTTTTTTCAATATCTACAATGAGACACTTAGCCAGCTTCTATGAGCATATCTTTTTAATATCAGGTTTATTTATTTATCTTTGGACAGAAACACATTATTCCAAGGTTGTTTAATGATTATCTTTTCAAATTCCTGTTGGTCACCATTGACGAGAAACTCTTAAAGTAGTTGGTAGAAAATTGCAGAGAAGAACTTCATTTTCTGGCATGTGCCTGTAATCCCAGCTACTTGGAAGGCTGAGGCAGGATAATTGCTTGAACCCGGGAGGTGGAGGTTGCAGTGAGCTGAGATGGCGCCACTGCACTTCAGCCTGGGCAACAGGGCAAGACTCTGTCTCAAAAACAACAACAACAACAACAAAAAAACAAAAAAACAAAAAAAAACACACACAAAACAAAAAACTTCATTTTTTTCTGATTGATGGAAACTGCTTTTATGCTATTAGAATTTTGAAAATTCATCCTCTTTAAATTTTACTTCAAAGCTAGTAATATCCTTTAACTCATGTCCTTTTCTTTCAGTGACAATTATAATGTTGAAATTTCCTCTGATAATGAGAATGGTATTCTAATCCATTTGAACTTTAAAAACAATATCAAATATTTAAAAATAATGTTGGTATTCCACAAGCATATATAATGCTCTGCTCATCTTAATTTTTCTTTAGGACTCATATTGTAACATTTGACTATCACTTTAACCTCACTATTCTGGAGCTAAACTGTTGCTTTGAATCTATAAACTTTGTCATATTCATTAATATACTTTCACACAGTTTATGAAAATTTTTTATTAAGTTCGTTCAGATGTTCTAAACTCAGTTAAGCCATTTTTTGAAGTCAATAACTACCTTTCAACAGATCTGTACAGTGAGAATCACTTACAATTTCAATGATATTTTTAACCCATAAACTTCAGAATACAAGCTTTTCCTTTCATAGACAACAAACTTAGGTATGGAACAACAGAGAACAATATTCTGATCTCGTTTCTTTGTGTAAAGCCAACAGTAATTGGGATTGAAGCAGCTTGGAATTGATTAGATTTTTCATTTTGATAACATTTAATGTGGAATTCATATCTAAAGGCAAAATTTATATTCAAGAGCTCTGGAAATAAAATATTACTTGAATTTCAGATTTTTCAGAATGAACTCTGATTATAGAACTTTTCTACTTGTCATCGCAAATTTATACAATATTTCTATAATATTTTATAAATATTAGTGTTTCAAAATCTTAATTTACCAATTTGAATATATTTTGTTTTTGGTACATCTTTGCAGGACAAATATCTTTTTAGTTTTTCCTCTTTAGTGGCTATAGTGTCAGTTATTAACTTAATACTGTTTGCTGACTATAGATTCATTAATCTGCAGTGAAAACTTTAGTTAGTAATTTTGATTAGTGTTGTCTCTATATCCTCTCATGTGCCATCTATACACTTACTAATATCATTGAAAGTGACACATGTTCTTTGTCTTTTTTTCTTTTTGGTTCATCGATTTCAAATATAGTGTTGGCAGTTGGCAGTTTCTATGTAGACTTCTAAATGAGAGGTTCTGTATTATGCTTTGTTATTTTAAACTTGCAGACATTTTAAAAAGTTAAAATCTTGCTTTGTGGCAAGGTGCAGGCATTGTTTATTGGCCCCATAGCTTTATGTGCTAACTTCTTTATACAAATAGGACATTTAGTTTGAGAAAGAGAAGAATTATAGGAGTACAGGAACCAAAATTTGAGAAATGTATTATATTGCTGAAATAATTATTTACTTCAATAACTAAAATTTCAAAAATTTCATACTTGTACTCATACTTATATTTTCAAAAAAGTCTGCAGTCCCTTTACTGAACTTATTTAATTAAATTATGTTACATTATTTTTTATTTCTAAAATTAAAACAATCCACTATGAAATTCTGTCACGAATGACTCTCTTGGTAATTGTTAACATTAAAAGCCAATAAGAAAGAAATAAAGAGGGCCAGAATGAAAGATGGAAGAAAAGAAGGAAATACAAACAATAAAAAGATTGACAAAATAATTTATATCCTATGTGGGACATCTAATACTAGATGTTGCTATTGTTGCAATGTAGTATTCCTACATACTTTATGTGCTGGAAAAATGTAGAAACAAGGGAAAATTAAAAATAAATGTTTTACATGTGTATATTAGACAAAGAACTTCAGTAATAATAACCCAATTGGGACAAAAGTAATAATTGGACTACCTGAGATGATCCAATGGGAAGGTCGGGGAGAGGTACTACATGGCGCTGCTTCTACAAAGCCATATACACTCTACTCTCTAAAAGAATTTAAAAAATGGATATCCCCTTATACATGTTTAAGTCTGCATCTAAAAATTTCCAGCAATACAGTATAGGGAATCAAAGATAATGATTGTTTTTGATTTAAGTATTTATTTGTTCTTCCTTTAAACAAATGCATTTTGAGCATCTGTTCTATACCAGCCACTGTACTAATTTAGGAAACAGAGAGGAATAGGACACAGTCTCTGCCCTTGAGGTGCTTATAATTTAGTGGTAAAGAGTCATGTAAATAAATAATCCAAATGCATGATAAGTGCCTTAAAGTAGTTATATACCAAGTGTTGAACAGAGGAAGGGGCTAGTATACGAACATGGAGGATTTAAGGAAGTCTTTATAACCAAAGATCACATTCAAACTGGCCTTGCAGGAAAAAGTATGTGGAGAAGAAGGGCATTTTAGACATATGCTGTGAAAAGCATTTAGACACGGACTGTGAAAAGCATAGTGCATGGTGTCTTTGGGGAATAGCCAGTATTCCTATATTGCTAGGTGCATGGAAGATGGAAAGAAGGGATGGAGTGGTGGAAGGTGAAGCTAGTTGGTGAGAGTCAGTTACAAAGGGCATCATATGCAGGACTGATATTCAATTGACCTGCACCAGTACAGAGACACTAATTTTTAAAAACTGAATCACTTTGATGCATACTACTAAATATTATTGAGAGAATAAATTATCTAATGATGTTGTCTAGTGCAGTCTTATAGAATTATGAAACCTAGTAACCTTGCTGGTATGTATTAACATGGTCCTTGGAAGGCATGTACTGCCTGTAGTGTCAGTGCCTACCTGATACCCCTGTGCCCTGTTGTTGGTGGAGGCAATGGAAGGCTGCAGTGCAAGTGGTTTTCGTGGTAACTGCATTTTGCAGGGAGTGTCCTGAGGCACAGTGCTTTCAGTCTCTGTGGAAAACACTAACAGCTAGATCTGGGGTATCCAATCTTTTGGCTTCCCTAGGCCACACTGGAAGAAGAAGAATTGTCTTGGGCCACACATAAAATGCACGAATATGATAGCTGATGAGCTAAAAAAAAAAAATTGCAAAAAAATCTCATCATATTTTAAGGTTTACAAATTTATGTTGGGCCACATTCAAAGCTGCCCTTGGCCCGCGGGTTGGACAGGCTCAATCTAGATGTTTATGTGACTATGACATGCAGGCAGCCTGCCCAGTTTGTTTTAAAGTTGTAGCAAAATGGTGGGTATCAGGGACCTAATGACTCTCATTTTAATTATGAATGTGTCAGGAGAAGTCTAATATTGTTCTAAATATCCAACCATGGCTCTGTTAAGAGATTGACACTTTATAAAATTCAAAAAATGATTTGTAAGTTATTAGAATGACTGTATAAATAATTTATGCTATAACTCCCATGTGTCCAATCTTTTGGCTTCCCTGGGCCACAATGGAAGAAGAGGAATTGTCTTGGGCCACACATAAAATACACTAACACTAACGATAGCTGATGAGCTAAAAAAAAAAATCTCATAATGTTTTAAGAAAGCTTATGAATTTGTGTTGAGCCTCATTCAAAGCTCTTCTGGGCCACATGTGGCCTGCGGTCTGCGGGTTGGACAAGCTTGCTGTAACTCTTGTCATATGGAAAGCAGGTATCTATATATCTACATCTATACTTTATTTGGAAAAAAGAAAATATATTTTAATATTAATTTATATATTGATTTTTATATTAATTTTATATTGCTGTATCAGTTGTTAAATATTTAGAATCACCTATGGTTATATGTCATGCTAAGAAATTTGGGTTTATCTTATTGGCATATTTGATCTGTAGTGAAAGGTTTTGAAATGAGATAGTGATAGGGCCTGTTATGATATGTTAACAAGTGACTTCTGATGACTTAGTGTAAAAAATTCTCACTAGCATGAGAATTCTTACCAGTGCTCACTAGCATGAGAATTCCTACGAGTGCATTTTCACTGGTACTGCCTTGTATCCTGAGATCTTGTGTCTCTATTCTGGGTTTGTCCTCTGTATTGCTGCAGAGTATCTTCTTAAAAATGAAATTTAAATAATTAATTTTATGGCTGAAGAATCTTTTTAGGCTTTCTATTGCTTTGAATAAAATTCAAACTCCTTTTGCATACACGGTCCTTCACAGCCCCTCTCCAACTTGTTTTTCCAGCTTCATCTTCCACTCCACCCTTTCATGTATCTTTACTTTTAGTTATAATAAAATTTTTACTGTTTCTGGAGCATTGAAGGGGTAAAGGGGACCCTTTCATAAGGGAGATATGTATAGAATAAACAATTCAGTGAATTTATATGTCATATATACTATATATCCTGAAATATTTGAAATTGGAACCAAATCAGTGTTGCTTTCATTTTAAAATCACCTTTGGAAGTAATTCAGACAACATTAAAGACATAAAACTCTCATTACTCATTTTCTTCAACTTCAATAGGAAATCTTATGGAATTGTTTTGGAACACAGGCTTCCAATCTGCCACCAGATTTTGCAGCAGGAATTTATATAATCATGCCATAGCTCAAACTGTCTCACAATTTACCATATGTTTCAATATTTCCAATGTTTTCAAACACTCTTCTCTCTTTCCCACCCCTTCCAGTTCACATTTCTCAGCTTTGTCCCAGCTCTTACCCCACAATTCTCATTTATTTCTCTGATTCATGGTTAATCTTTGTTATAGCCTTCCAGTTTGAAGTTCATTCTATACTGGTTCTCCTTCCTGGACTTTTTTTAAGTCACTTAAAATAAGCAGTGCTTAATCCTGAATTTAGAATTCTTGATTTCTGGCTTGGGTTCTGATCTCTCAGATCTCTCAGTACATGTTTTCGTGGCTTTACTACTTTTTTTTTTTTTTTTTTTTAACCTCTGTTTAAATTTACCAGAGCCAGAAACATTACGGTTTAGACTCAGGCTGGCTCCTGTAACAATATAATATTTTCAGGAAAAATTTTCCTCTTAGAAACCCTGTATTCATCTGGTTAGAGCTTAGGGGAATTTCTGTAGTCTAAATCTAATCAATTAAAATGGCTTTTTATAAGTAGCTGGATTTTTATGACTGCAAATATTGCTTTCCTGCTTATTTTCCTTCTAATCCTGTGTTTACTTAGCTAGTTCAAGGAGTCAAGGCAGTACAGTGTATATAAGGAAGGGCTTTGGCATTAGTCAACTCTGGGTCATATCCTAGTTTCCCAGTTACTAATTTTGTGACCTTGAGCAAGTCACTTAATCTCTTGGACTCTCTGTCTCTTTATCTATAAATTAAAAACAATGACTATTTCATAGGGTTGTGGTAAGATGCAAATGTAATGTGACGGGTACACAGAAGACATTCAATAAATGTTAAAAGGAAAACAGATACTATGAATTTTAGGCTACTTTTTCTGCTGCCATGCTTGTGCTCTACATCCCCATCTGAAGTTAGATTCATTTGTTTACATGAAGTCTTGAGGGTTAGAAGATGAGCCTAGAGTGAGAGGAAGTGAGAAGAACACAGGTTAAATTCATCTGAGTATTTGTCCTTGAACATTATCTTTACTAGAGAGTTTTTGAGATTGTTGATAACAGCAAATTGCTCTCTTGGGGTAAGAAGATGTTTTTTGTTTGTTTAAACATTTTAAAAAATAAACAGTGTGCTGAAAATAGTTAAACAGAGTGTCATCTTTGCTCTTTGCTTGCCATTAGTAATCTGACAATTATAATTTTAAAGTATTTTCATAACTATTTCAAAATAGTAATAATTTAAAAATAGTTTAAAAAATTCTGCAAACCATCTTATTCACATCTAAGCCCTGCTATGGACTTACCATGTAGTTTGAGAAGTATGTATTTCAAGGCTGTTCATTACTTTTTCAAATTTTATCGAAATAATAGTATTCTTAAGTTTATATTAATTCTCTTCTGACCATTCTAAGTACTGAAATCACCATCTTTCAAATAGTTTCATCTGGAGCTCTGATTACCTTATATAAACATAGAAAGTTCAAAGACTATTCATTTTTTATCTCAATTTTCATTATAAAAATGTAATAACAATAATAGTTTTTATCCTTGCGATAGTTTGCTGAGAATGATGGTTTCCAGTTTCATCCATGTCCCTACAAAGGACATGAACTCATCATTTTTTATGGCTGCATAGTATTCCGTGGTGTACCAAACACTGCGTGTTCTCACTCATAGGTGGGAATTGAACAATGAGAACACATGGACACAGGAAGGGGAACATCACACTCTGGGGACTGTTGTGGGGTGAAGGGAGGGGGGAGGGATAGCATTAGGAGATATACCTAATGCTAAATGAGGAGTTAATGGGTGCAGCACACCAACATGGCACATGTATACATATGTAACAAACCTGCACATTGTGCACATGTACCCTAAAACTTAAAGTATAATAATAATAAAATTAAAAAAAACCAATAGTTTTTAAAATGAAAAAAGTGTGTAACCTCACCATCCTATACAACTGTTCATTTTTATATCTTCCTCTCTATTTTTATCTGTATGCATCATATGTTTTACATAGATGCAGTTATGGTATATATACAGTTTTATATTTTGCTTATTTATTATAATTTTTTACTTAATAGGATATCATAAATATTTCTTCCATGAATAGATTTTCTCAGCCATCTACCTCAGCATCTGTCACATGCTTGCCATATTCAATTAAATGGGTTCCTCTCCATTCTAGTTTTCAGTAATTGCAGAAAATTTCATTGCAATTAAAACAAAAATAGTCAACATTTTACTATTCATTTTTGCTGTGTGTTTTGCTTTGATTTTTGCTCCGGTGTCATGCCAAATGTGGGACATAACCCTATTTCCTGGATTCTAAAGTTGTACTCATATCAGGCAGCTGCATTAGTAGCATTTCTCTGGAGATTTGGGGATAAAGATGATGAGGTTCCCAAGAGTGGATAATTCAAAATTGAAGTAGACTTTCTCATTCTTAAAAAAAAAAAACAAAAAACACTTTGAGCATTTCTACCCACTTATGTCCATTTTGTTGCCCCTGCTTCTTCCTGCTCTACCTTGCTTCTCTCATTTCTTTTCCACTCTCCAATCTCTATTAGTTTTGTAATATCAGGCTAGTAATGTTTTTTTTCTTTCAGTCTATTTTCTGTTGGAGTTTCCTTTCAACTCTGCAGTAGTTTATCAAAGTATTTTCCTAAATGGACAGTTTCTTCCTCAAAGAAAAAATCTTCAATATCATTTGGTAAAGTATTTTTCCTCCATTCTACTGCATAGTCTTTTCTATCAATTGTTGTTCAATTGAATTTTGTTGGTCTTTAGGGGATTCCTTCAGACTTAGGTTTGCCTAGACCTAACTAATATTAAGATTTCAGTAAGGGTTTTACTGCATCTACTTAAGCGAAAGGTGAAGAGCCATTAGGTTGTCATTATAATTAGATTTCAGCAATTTTTTTTCTTAAGATCATATGGAGTAGAGTGATACTTTGATTAACAATTCTTCGAGGATATAGCTCCTTTAAAATAGCCTCGGTAAAATAGAAGAAAAAATTATTGGTCATGTTAAACAGAGTTGTTCTGATTCTTGTGGCTCTAAGACAGTGTTACTAGTGGCAGTGCAGTTTCTATTTATCTGCCCAAGTTTGATAACAATGAAGCCTGGGCCAAGGTAAAGTAGTGAGCTTGTTGGAACCTATCTTGTGCTCTTTGTCATTTTCCCATTTGATACCTTTCTTTTTACCACTTACAAATGACTTCTTCCTTTGGGTATCTGATGGTTTCCAACTCTTTATTCTCTCCTCAGTCCCTAGTGCATTAGAAAAAGAGTAATCGATTATTTATATTTTTCCAAATGGGAAATTACAATAACCTTAATTTCTGAATGGCTAATAAGTTATAACCTTAAACAGATATTTACTTACCAGTTAAGCCAGTTATTGGTAACTTACTTTTTGTGGAGACTGAGAGCAGAAATTGAGTGTGATATAGTGTTCTTTTCCTCCTTGAGTTTAGCACAGTGCCTGACACATAGTAGGTGTAAGTAATGAATTAATGAAGGAGTTAAAGACACTTTGTTTAAAGAGTTTCAATAGATTGGTAGAAGAAATGAAGGGGTACAATGACAGGGAATTTTAGAATCATAGTAAGAACACTTTAAAAACTGACCTTGAATGTAAACTGGAATTAATCATTTTGCTGTGGCCAGGAATGATGATGGGATGTGTGTGTTTATGTGTGTGTGTGCATGTGTGTGTGCATGTGTGTGTGTGTGCAGTATGAGAGATACAGAGAGAGAGAAAAATGGGAGAAGCACATGGGAGATTATTTACTCTTTACATAGAGGATGTCTTGAGTCTTCAGTATCCATTCTGTGTTAATGCATTACTTGCCAAACTGTGCAGATTCATCATTTGATTTTGCATTGGGCATCAGTTCACTTGCCACCTATTATTTGCCTAGGAAAGATGTGATTGACTTTGACTGCAGCTATTTGGGTCTTGCCCATGGACTTAAAGTAATTTTGTGTGTGTGTTTGTGTGTGTCTGTGTGTGTGTGGTGAGTTAGGATTGAGTCATTCTGTGACCATTAGTTATTTTTAAAATATCTGTCTTGAATAAGGAAAGTAGATAAGTTGAAAATGGACCAGTAGGTTGGGGCAGGATTAGGCAGGGACTTGTATGACATGGCAAGGAATTTGGCTTTATTCTAATTATACTGACAATGTAAAGCAGGCAGGTTGAGGGGTATGGTGTTGGGGGACATGATGATAGTCAGTGTTATAGAGTGAGGGCAAATGAGGTGGCAGATTTCTGCCTCAAATAACAGTTCAGTTTTGAACAAACATGAAGTTTGGTTTGTGATCCCAAGTAAATAGATGAAGTCTTATGTCTCCCAAGACTTGTGATTTTTTTTTCAATTTTTCAGATGAGTTAGGCTATCTTGACATTTTATTATTTCTATCTTCTAAAATGTTTACTGTGTTTCTGTTTTTGCTTATGGGATAGTGCTGCTACATTTGAAATGATACATTAAGTACAACCTATAGGTATGAGTTATAATTCCTATTTTAATTAAAATTGTTACTTGCCTTTAGTCTTCAAAACTAAGATGATTTTGCTACCCAAAAAATGAATTGTAGTGTTTGTGGAAAATATTTTCTAAGTACTGACAACTGTAATTGTAATAAAAATTGGATTATATTTTAATAAAGATTTATAGTTTCAGAGGGACTTTCTGTTTTTGCATTTGAACTGCTGATTGTTTCAGTTGAAAATGGTCCAACTTCATTTGCCCCAAGTGTTATTAAAATACATAACGACATAGGTGTCATTGGTATACTTAAGAAATAGGCTAAGAAGAAAAAAAAAGGAGTTGAAGAGAGAGTATAGAGAATTGGAATGGATGAATGAGAAAGAGGAAGAATGGACAAGAAACACAAAAATGACAGGGTTTCTCTTTTTGCTCATGGGATAGTGCTGATACATTTGAAATGAAGCATTTGAAATGAGGAGATCCACGCCACCGAAAGTTGTGTGATTAAGAAAACAAAAACCACACTAAATATTTTAAACAAAGAAAATTTAATACATACGGAATCAATTGCCAAAAGTCCTGGTAGGGCTGGAGAAGCAGAAAATGGACAGTGAATTCATCAAAAGATCAGTAACTGCAGGAAGACACTACTGCTCCTAGGGCTGGCAGAGAAAAAAAGGAAAATGGTGTTAAACAGCTAATGAGTACTATGATGCTAAGGTTGTTGGAGTACTACTGCTACCCTTGAAGCTGCTGCTGCTGCTTTACAGGATGCTATGAGCCTGCACTTCTATTGATCCAGAAAACCTATAGTCCTGTTGATGGTGCTGGACTCACCTCAGAGGATGCTGGAGCCTGCAGTCACCCATTGCTACCCCTGCCAGAACTGCACTGTTGTTACAGTAGCCAGAATTTGCATTGTAGTTATCTGGTGCTGCTATTGCTGCTAGAACCAGAGACCATGGGCAATCTGCTGAGTTTCCTGGAATACTGATGCTGCTCCTGCAGGAATTAGAAACAGAAGGAAGAAAATAAAATGATCTACCTTCTTCTGTCATCCAGTTTTTACCAGTGCTTCCCAGTGGCAGAACATAATTGGAAACCAGCTTTCAAGGGAGTGTGACAAATGTAATCTTTAGAGAGGATAGTCTGAAATAAGAGCAGGAATGGGCTGAGAGCCAATATAAAGCCAGCACAGGAAGAAGTTACAAAATATTGATTCTTTAATCATAATAAGAAGAAAGAAGCATTTTTGCAAATTTTCTGAATAACATCAAGACTCTTCTTTTTTTTGTGGTCAAATGATTAAGTTACAGGGGCTGGTAGAAAAACTTTGAAAGTGTGATAGTTCTTCATTGAGGTATCAAGGTATTTTTGTTTCAAGCAGCAAAAATGGCCCCTGTTAACTTAAACAGAAAATAATTTATTGTAAGCCCTAAGGAATAGCTCTTAGAAAAGTTGACTAGTCCCTGGAAAAGACAGAAATTAGGTTAGCTCTGGATAGCTGTTTGCAGAAACTAATGGATGGCCTGTTCAATGTGCTACCCACTGTTTGTATGGATCAGCTTCACTATTTGCTGCTTGAAGTTCACATTACATGGAAAGAGGCAGTCCGGCCTAGCTTGGGTTAGTTACCAACCCTTGGACAGAGGAGGGTATGGCACCTTGATTGACATCAAGACTATATTCAATAATTGAGGACTAGTTCTCAAAGAAAATTTGAGATATTAGAGGAGAATAGATACTAGACAGGCAAAAATGACAAAATATCTACTAATTGAAGCTTGTTTTAAATTAGCAATAGGTAGCTCAAAACCATACCTGAAAGTTCTTGAGCCCTTAATATGTAATAGGCACTATGATCTCTTTTAATAATATCTTTGAGGAAGTTGTCATTATTATCCTCATTTTACAGATGAGAAAAATTGAGAGGTGCACTTCTGATGATGGTGGATTAGGCAATTTGGACTAACTCTTCCACTGAGAACAACTAGAAAAGCTGGATCAAATATAAAAATCATCTGTTCGTATCAGAGAGCTAACACATCAATGAAGGCTGTGGAGACAAGATCCTGGAGAAGAAGGAAACCCAAAAGGTGAGCTGTGCATTTGAAGCCTCTTTCTACTATGGGAATCTCGCTGTTTCCAGTAGAGGTGGCCAAGAGGCTGAGAAGCTAAGAAGAGCTTTTGACACACTCATGGGGTGGGGCTAATGGAGCAACAGTTTGAATTCATGGTCCACTGAACAGGGAGATTGCCTGCTAAATCCCCCAGGCTTTGGGTTGGGACCTGAAGGGTGATTCCTTAGGAGTAAGGATGAGCTGCGAATTGAATGGTCCACATACAGAGGAAAACCAGTTTAGAATCATCGTAGTCTTTAATTAGATTACAGACATCTAAGATTGTTAATGACTCTAGCTACTTGTTAAAGCAAAAGTAAATTCTTTCTGGTGGAAGATAATACCATCCTAGGCCTCAAATAATTTCTACAGTTTTTACTTATAATGTCTTACATGGACACAAAAATAATCAGGCATACAAGACATAAGTTATATGATGCCATGTAACTGAAACTAAGATAAACAATAGACCATAGTAATAGACCAACAGGGGATTCAAATAATGGAGTTCTGTCATTGAATTTTAAAAAATGAATCTGTTTAGACTAGCAAAATATAAGAGCGCTTTGGCAGAGCACTATACATCATGAAAATTAAAAGCAAAAAAAGAACTGAAAAAGGTAATAAATGAAATTAAGAACCCATTGAATGTATTTAACAGCATTAGATACAGCTGAAGAGAGAAATAACTAGGAGAAATGAGAAAATATGTGTAATAAAGCACAGAAATATAACAGTATGTAGGAGAAAGAAAAAAGTAATAGAAATGGGGAGTATGTATAGTTGGAGTTTCAGAAGGAGAGAAGGAGAGTGCAAGAGACCAAATATTTGAAGAAATAATGGCTGAGAACTTTTTCAATACTGATGAAAGACACCAAGCCATAAATTCACAAAGTGCTGCAAAACTACGAAGGAGAAATAAAAGAAAACCATAGCTAGGCATATCACAATAATGGCCAAAACCCCAAAACAACAAAAATCCTAAATGTATCCAGAGGGAAAATGTAGCCATTTTCAAAGTATCTCCAATAATGTTTACAGCTGATTCTCAACAGAAACAATAAATGCTATAAGACAATGGATTTATGTCTTCAAAGTGCTGAAGAAAAAACCGCACAGTTAGCATTTTATGTCCAATGAAAATAGCACTCAGAAATGAAGGCAAAATAAAGGCCTTATCAGACATATAAAGCCAGAGATATGTCACCAGCTTCCCACACTTAAGGTAATACAGTTATCCCTCAGTATCACTGGAGAATTGGTTCCAAGACCCCTTGCAGATACCCAAATCTGTGGATGCTCATGTTTCTAATATAAAATTGCATAGTATTTGCATATAGCCTATGCACATCATCCAGTATACTTTATTTTTTATTTATTTATTTTTTTATTATACTTTGAGTTCAAGGTACATGTGCATAACTTGCAGGTTTGTTACATATGTATACATGTGCCATGTTGGTGTGCTGCATGCATTAATTCATCATTTCCATTAGGTATATCTCCTAATGCTATCCGTCCCCCATCCCCCCTCCCCACAACAGGCCCTGGTGTGTGATGTTCCCCTTCCTGTGTCCAAGTGTTCTCGTTGTTCAGTTCCCACCTATGAGTGAGAACATGTGGTGTTTGGTTTTCTCTCCTTGCAATAGTTTGCTGAGAATGATGGTTTCCAGTTTCATCCATGTCCCTACAAAGGACATGAACTCATCCTTTTTTATGGATGCATAGTATTCCATGATGTATATGTGCCACATTTTCTCAATCCAGTCTATCAGTGATGGACATTTGGGTTGGTTCCAAGTCTTTGCTATTGTGAATAGTGCCGCAGTAAACATACGTGTGCATGTGTCTTTATAGCAGCATGATTTATAATCCTTTGGGTATATACCCAGTAACGGGATGACTGGGTCAAATGGTATTTCTGGTTCTAGATCCTTGAGGAATCACCACACTGTCTTCCACAATGGTTGAGCTAATTTACAGTCCCACCAACAGTGTAAAAGTGTTTCTATTTCTCCACATCCTCTCCAGCACCTGTTGTTTCCTGACTTTTTAATGATCGCCATTCTAACTGGTGTGAGATGGCATCTCATTGTGGTTTTGATTTGCATTTCTCTGATGGCCAGTGATGATAAGCATTTTTTCATATGTCTGTTGGCTGCACAAATGTCTTCTTTTGAGAAGTGTCTGTTCATGTTCTTTGCCCACTTTTCAATGGGGTTGTTTTTTTTTTTCTTGTAAATTTGTTTGAGTTCTTCGTAGATTCTGGATATTAGCTGTTTGTCAGATCAGTAGATTGCAAAAATTTTCTTCCATTCTGTAGGTTGCCTGTTCTCTCTGATGGTAGTTTCTTTTGCTGTGCAGAAGCTCTTTAGTTTAATTAGATCCCATTTGTCAATTTTGGCTTTTGTTGCCATTGCTTTTGGTGTTTTAGACATGAAGTCCTTGCCCATGCCTATGTCCTGAATGGTATTGCCTAGGTTTTCTTCTAGAGTTTTTATGGTTTTAGGTCTAACATTTAAGTCTTTAGTCCATCTTGAATTAATTTTTGTGTAAGGTGTAAGGAAGGGATTCAGTTTCAGCTTTCTACATATGGCTAGCCAGTTTTCCCAGCACCATTTATTAAATAGGGAATCCTTGCCCCATTTCTTGTTTTTGTCAGGTTTGTCAAAGATCAGATGGTTGTGGATGTGTAGTATTATTTCTGAGGGCTCTGTTCTGTTTCATTGGTCTATATCTCTGTTTTGGTACCAGTAGCATGCTGTTTTGGTTACTGTAGCCTTGTAGTATAGTTTGAAGTCAGGTAGCCTGATGCCTCCAGCTTTGTTCTTTTGGCTTAGGATTGACTTAGCAATGTGGGCTCTGTTTTGGTTCCATATGATCTTTAAAGTAGTTTTTTCCAATTCTGTGAAGAAAGTCATTGGTAGCTTGATGGGGATGGCATTGAATCTATAAATTACCTTGGGCAGTATGGCCAGTTTCACGATACTGAGTCTTCCTATCCATGAGCATGGAATGTTCTTCCATTTGTTTGTGTCTTCTTTTATTTCGTTGAGCAGTGGTTTATAGTTCTCCTTGAAGAGGTCCTTCACGTCCCTGTAAGTTGGATTCCTAGGTATTTTATTCTCTTTGAAGCAGTTGTGAATGGGAGTGCACTCATGATTTGGCTTTCTGTTTGTCTGTTATTGGTGTATAAGAATGCTTGTGATTTTTGCACATTGATTTTTGTATCCTGAGACTTTGCTGAAGTTGCTTATCAGCTTAAGGAGATTTTGGGTTGCTTTGTCTACCTACTCAAGCCTCAGCAATGGCGGGTGCCCCTCCCCCAGGCTTGCTGCCACCTTGCAGTTTGATCTCAGACTGCTGTGCTAGCAATGAGCGAGGCTCCGTGGGTGTGGAACCCTCCGAGCCATGCGCGGGATATAATCTCCTGGTGTGCCATTTGCTAAAACCACTGGAAAAGTGCAGTATTAGTGTGGGAGTGACCTGATTTTCCAGGTGCCGTCTGTCACAGCTTCCCTTGGCTAGGAAAGGGAATTCCCTGACCCCTTCTGCTTCCCGGGTGAGGCGATGTCTTGCCCTGCTTCGGCTCATGCTCGGTGCTCTGCACCCACGGTCCTGCACCCACTGTCCGACAAGCCCCAGTGAGATGAACCCGGTACCTCAGTTGGAAATCCAGAAATCACCCATCTTCCGTGTCGCTCACGCTGGGAGCTGTAGACTGGAGCTGTTCCTATTCGGCCATCTTCCAGTATACTTTATATAATCTTTAGATTGCTTACAATATCCAATGTAGATTCTATGTAAATAGTTGTTATACAATATTTTTAAATAAATATTACTTTTTATTGTTTTTATCCCCAAAATATTTTGATCTGTGGTTGGTTGAATCTGTGGATGCAGAACTCATTGCTATGGAAGGCTAACTGTACTAAAGAGCGTTCTTCAGTTAGAAGGAAAATGGTCTCAGACAGAAAGCTAGAAGTGGAGAAAGGAATGAGGAAAGATGAAAAGGATAAATGTGTGGATAGATGGAAATTAGTGTTGGGTGTAAAACAAAATATCTTAGTGCGTTTTAAATATATGGTAAGAATTAAAAATACATGATAGTAGTGTATATGTTGGGACAGTATAAATGGTTTTAAGTTACATTGCCAGGAAGAAGTAAACATATCACATATGTTAGGGTTTGATGATTTGTAGATGCATATTATAATTGCTGAGTTTATTTTAAAATGTTAGTAGCATAATGTACACCTTCCAAGCTAATAGAGAAGAAAAATATAATAAAAAGTATTTAATTAATTAAAAAAGACAAACAAGGAGAGAAAAATAAACATAAAAGAGTTGGAGGCAAATAGCAAGTAGTAAAACAGTAGATTTGACCACGAATCTGTTAACACATTGAATGTAAATGGACTGTTATAATAAAAAATTGACAGATTGGATAAAAAACAGAATCCAACTGTATGCTATTTATGAGATGTGTCTAAAATCTCTTTTATAGATGGTTAAAGTATATGATATAGAAAGATTAAAAATAAAATGATATTAAAATATACTTTGCAAGCGTTAAGCAAAAGAAATCTGGTGAAGCTATATTAATATCAGATAAAGTAGAATTTAAAGCAAAAATATCACTAGAGGTAAGGAAGGACATTTTAAGTTTTACTTCACCAGAATTTATAATAAATGTATAATACCTCTAATTTTTATGCATAATAATATAGGCTAAAATATGTACAAGGCAAAATTTTACAGAACTGTAAGTAAAAACAAAAACAGACAAGACAGATCTATGGTGTTAGAAATCATAATGATATTGACTGGGAGGCAGGGGCTAGAACTGTTTTATTTCTTGCTTTGAAGTGCTGGTTACATGGATGTATTAAATGTGAAAATTTAATGACCTTAACTTTTATGGTTTAGGTACCTTTCTGTCTGTATGTTATACTTTCATTAAAAGTTTATTTTAAAAATGGGCAGAATTTAAAGGTAAATACGAATTATAATGAGAAACGTTAACACATAGGCAAAACAAGATTATCAGTAGATCAAGCAGATAAAAAATTAGTAAAACTATAGAATATATGAACAAGTAATTAATATGCTGGACTTTACCAGCATATACAGAGCACTTTACCCAATGACTGCAGAATATCTTTAATGTGCACACTAAACAACTGCAGAGTACATACATATTCTTTTCAAGGACACATGGAATACCAAAATCGACCATCTCCTATATTATAAGGCAGTTCTCAAAAAAATCAGAAGATTGAAATATACAGACTGCATTCTCTGATCACCATGCTGGAAATCAATAATGAAAAAAATAAGAAGATTCTTATATATTTAGGAATCAATAAATCATCTTCTAAATAATCCAAAGATTAAGGAAGAAATCACAAGGAAAATTAAAAAGTATTTTTACTTGGGAGTTTCTGGGTTGCTGAACACCTGGAGTTGCTGGGAGGTGTTACACCTGGAGAGGGCATGGGAGCTCTGCGTGCCCACACCCTCATACCTCACCCTTTACATTACAGTGCATATCTGATCCACTCTTTGGTTTTGTAGACCTATGAGTTAAGAATGGCTTTTACATGTTTAAATGATTTTAAAACATCAAAAGAATATGACTCATAAAAAATATGGAGTTCAAATTCTAATTCAAATGCCTTTTCATATGAATTGGAATTTTAATAAACTAGTAAATGTTTTAATAAACATTTTAATAAACTAGTAAATGTACCATGTAGGTAGTGTTGTGAAAATTAAGTGAAAAAACCAATGAAGTTTGTAATACAGTCCATAACCATGGTATTTACAGTTGCTAAATATTTATTTTCTCTTATATCCTCTCTTTAACACTATCTCAGCAGACTTTGTACCTGAGGCTACATAATGACAAGAAAAATAATTAGTTAGAAATGACACTATGCAATATTAAATAATTATAGTCAATTTAGGCATGAATTATATGCAATAAAGTAGAATAAAATGCAGATATAACTATTGTGTACTTCTAGTGTTAACTTCTAATTCTCCCTGATTAAGTTATGTCAAAATGCTGAGCCAGGCATAGCTGAAGGAAATAGCTTTGTTATGTTCCCAGTTAGATCATCTTCTTTCATTTTCTGGCTCTTCATTGTACACAAATATGATCTTCTTTTCCATTCAAACCTACTTCCCACTTATTACACCATAGAATTGTGATTTAGTAGCTCTGAGATGTGGTCCCAGGAGGGAAGGAAAAAGTAGTTTCTGAATGTTCTGATTTCTCTATTTCTCATTCCATTGGTTGGTTTTGGCCAGGAGTCAGCAAATACTGCTTATGGGCAAAATCTGATCAACTTTTGATTAAAACAATAGCAAATTAGGAATTGACAGGAACATAGCTAATCTGTTAATAATATCTGATCCAGAGAATGGATCAGATATTACAGTGCATATCTGATCCATTCTGTGGTTTTGTAGACCTGTGAATTAAGAATGGCCTTTACATGTTTAAATGCTTTTAAAAAGTCAAAAGGATACGACTTGTGAAAAATATGGAATTGGAGCAAAGCTATGCTCATTTGTTTATGTATTGTATGGGCTGCTTTTGCACTACACTGGCAGAATTGAGTTGTTGAGACAGTGACTATATGTGGCACACTTGTGACCAAATGTGGCACACTTCACTTTACACTGCTGTTTGGTCCACTGCAAATTGCAATAATACAGTTACAACTCAACAGCATTTTGAGTGCCATGAATATAGCTGTACTATGACATTTAGTTCTATTAACTTTTTAATTACTAGTGAGTACATATCATGTCAAATAATAAAAGAAGAGAAACAAAAAAACAAAAAAAGAAAAAAGGGAAAATGGACTTCAAATGTGACTTTAAAGTACAGTAGAGTATGAGTTGCTAAGTTAGATGACAAAGCACTGGGTTTATTATGTATTAGTGCTGTAGTTATACTAAAGGAATATAATATATGTTGACATTACCAGACTAAGCATTGATCACAATATTCTCAAGTAGGGAAAATTAGAATATTAAAGTGGAATATAAGCTGATTTTCTTTACGAAAGTAATAAATGAAAATAAGGCTGTGACCAAAAAGTAAGTTTCTAAGTGGTTCTCTTGTTAGCCAAGCAAATAAATCCATTTAAGATATGGTTAGTTAATTAAATCATATTTGATTGCAGGAACTGAAAAAATGTATCTAGAGAAAATAAACATTAAGCCTTTTGGTGGGAACAGTTTCTCAAAGAGTTGAGGGTATTGGGAGCAGCATTTCTAGTCAGTTACAAAACACAACAAGTGATTTTTGAGTGGTTTTCCTTGACTCTTGGTGAATTGACAAATGTTATCAATACTTTTCTGTTGTTTTTTATTTTAGGAGTTAGTATTGAGTTTTAATAAGCCTCTGAATAGTCAGTGTGGAACAATTAGTGGCAAGAACATTTTCAAATAATTTGAGAAAACATTAATTTAGTACAACCTGAAGTGGAATCTGCTAAGATGTGTTAAAAACTGATAAAACATGGGAGGCTGAGGCAGGAGAATTGCTTGAACCTAGGAGGCAGAGGTTGCAGTGAGCTGAGATCATGCCACTGCACTCCAGCCTGGGGGACAAAGCGAGACCCTGTCTCAAAAAAAAAAAAAAAAAAAAAGAAAAAGAAAAAAACCTGATAAAAGATAAAAATAATGTATGGAGTAGAAAAAGTCTTAGTTGGACAACTTTTCAAAGCTTGTAAAAATTAAGGTGTTTAGAGCTTATGGTTATTCATTGTGTTATTTATGAGTAGATATTCTGCAGAAAATATTTGAATCATCATGTGTTACTGAGTCACTAGTGTCAACAGTGAACTTCGTTCCTTCTTGTAGATGTAACCATCATGACTTCTGTGCATTTTTGTCAGAAATTGAATATTATGACTCATTCTATCAAATAGAAGTGTGATGGTCTAGCAGTCATAAAATTTTATTTCAATTTTTTGAGCTCAAGGCTGACGTTGAACTGTTTCTGAAAAATACACTAAGCCCTGTTATTGAACACTGGATGGCTTTGGAAATTTGCTTTTGCTGCAAAATTGATAAATTTCTGTGTTCAACTTAGAAGCTCCACATATAAGGTAAAACTGTGCTTACATATGGAATTTATAAGTTCTACCATGGAACTTAAAGTCATTTCAATGACAATGTTTATCACAAATAATTTCAAGCTACTTTATATGCTTCCTATGCTGTCAATAGTTAAGTAGTGAGCTCCTCATTCCCACACAGATTTTCAGTTGATATATTTTCCAAGCTCAGACTATAGTATCAACCTAATTTTTCAGACTTTGAAGCAAGTACAAAAGACATATACATATTTCAAAATTTATTTAACTGTGTAATTGAAGAGTTAATATCCAACTTTCATCTGCAATGTATGATGTATAACATGCTAAAAGGCAAATGTCTAGAGAAGTCTCAAACTCAATTCTATAAGTATCCTCTAAGTGATGAATATCATCAATTAAAAACATTCTCATTGTTTGATATCAGTACGTATTTGTATTTCCTATCTGTGCAAAAATATATTACTAAAATGAAATACATAAAATCATATTACAGATCAGCATTAACAACAGGACATTTGCAATTGATTTGGATCATTTGGAATACTAACTTTGAATCCCAATTGAGTGAAATATTTTCCCCCCAAAGAGAATTCCATTATTCTCATCAGTAGACCTGTATTATTACATTCAATTATTTGAATTTTATCAATAAGGGTTTTGTAGAAATTTGTTTTTTATTGTTCTGTTAGCACTACACATTATCCTTAATTTTGCCTTTTGACTTACAAAGCCTTATTTACTGTCTGGCACTTTACAGGAAAAAAAGCTTGCCAACCCTTGATTTAGGCCAGTAAAAAATACCAGTTGAGACTTATTTGAAATCTTTACATTGTATTGATTTTCTTCTTTGAATGAACAAGAGAAATTTATTTCTCTTTAGCTTGAAAATATCCAGTTTACTGTTGCCTCTTTCTGGCTAAAAGAATGTTTTTTTGCCTTTG
Organism: Homo sapiens; assembly: GCF_000001405.40. Classification (NCBI taxonomy): domain Eukaryota; kingdom Metazoa; phylum Chordata; class Mammalia; order Primates; family Hominidae; genus Homo; species Homo sapiens. Next base: position 103,535,077 of record NC_000008.11, read on the forward strand.
AATATAAATTGTTATTTACGACTTTAGAATGTACTTATATATGGTTAATTTCAACAACTACCTTTATCATCAGCTCTGAATGTCAGAACTTTCTCTTTGTGAAATTTTATCCTAGTCATGTAAGCATTAGCTGTAGCAGAGGTTATGCTAGCAGAAGTAGAGTAAGTTTGGAGGAGGAGTATAAATGCTTCCTCTTCTCTTGCTATGCAGCCTATCGATTGCCCTTAATTATTTCTACATAGTTTGGCAATGAGCTATACTGCTAGAAAAGCCTTCTCTCTACCTAGACTTTTGACTCTGATATTAGAAACTACCAGGAACCTTGCTCAGAAATGTGATTATTCATTCCATAGGTGGCAGATCAGGCTCAAGTATATCTACAGGATTTTAATACTGTAATGTGTAGCCCCATTATTGAGTCGATTACAGCTAGAAGAACTGATTTGAATGCCCGCAGAGCTTTGCCAGAATTCAACGTTAGCTTTTGGCTAGACTCCAGGAGCCAGTGGTGTACTTTGGCCATCTGTTCTGCTTCCTCACCTTCAGTTCTTCCCAAACTGTGGGGCAACAATTTGGTGCATTTTGATTAATGATAGGTTTAGCAATGGGTGATGGCTTAGTCTTTCAGGTAGCTAAATGTGACAAGATAAGTAGAGCTCAACTTTAATAAGCTTCTGAATACTCTGAGATTCGAGTGATGAAGAGAATGTGAAATCACATAAGGAACAAAGTTCAGAAGGAGCTAACATGTATAGAGCAGTAGGCATGGTGTGAGGTGCTTTATGTGTATCATTTTATTATAGCAAAAAATCCAGGGGGAAGTTGCTACCATGCTTATTTTATAGGTGGAACTCAGAGTTCAAGTAATTACAGTAGCAGGTAGTATGTTAAAAGCCAAGTCCATCTGTCTTCAATACTTGTATTCTTATGATATAGTTGACACAAGTAGAGACTATAGCAAAAGTAGAAGCAGCTAATAATAAAATAGTAGTTTGGGTCACCTCTGACTTTAGTGTCATCATATTGTGTTTTACTGGGGAGCCAATTATTTGGTTCAGACTTATTTTCTGGGAATGGAAACTGCAGAGATATTCTGATAACCTACTTTGGTTGTAGTAAGTTCTAGAAAGATGCTCTCTTGACTTTGTGTTAGCAGAAACAAACAAGGGCACTTTTGTGTGTATGGGACCAAATTAAAAATTTAAAGTTTATTTAAATACTTTTATAAATGTGATTTATGGCAGAGAAGACTTTAAGACTCTCCATGGACCTAAGAACAAGCAGTAAGAAAGGAGAAGTATTAATGCAGAGTATAGAAACGGTGAAATAATCTTAAGATGTACATTGGTCACTGTATCAGTCCATTCTTGCATTGCTGTAAAGGAATACCTGAGACTAGGTAATTTATAAAGAAAAGCAGGTTAATTTAATTAACCTCATGGTTCCTCAGGCTGTACAGGAAGCATGATGCTGACGTCTGCTCGGTTTCTGGGGAGACCTTTCAATCATGGTGGAAGGTGAGGGGGAAGCAGGCACATCTTGCATGGCCAGAGCAAGAGCAAGAGACACTGAAGGGGGAGGTGCTATACGCTTTTAAATAGCTAGATCTTGCAAAAACTCACTAACCATCATGAGAACAGCACCAGGAAGTGGTGCTAAACTATTCATGAGAGCTCTGCCCCTATGATCCAATCACCTCCCACCAGGTCCCACCCTCCAACACTGGGGATCACAATTCGATGTGAGATTTAGGTTGGGACATAGATCCAAAACATATCAGTCACACTTTGAATAATGTCTATTTTTGGATTGTAAATTTAAAAATGACAAGAACTATAACAAAGGAAAACTGCAACACTTGACAATAGGTTGTAAAACAAAAACCAAACTCACAACTGATAAATTAATTCTCTGATCTATTCATTGAACTTTTAATTCACTATATGGCAGCATATTTGCCAGGCACTGGGGATACATAGATGAAGAAGACATGGTTTTTGTCCTAATCTCTATTAAGTCTCAGTTTCTCACCCATAAAATCATAATACTTAGCTCAACTTATTTTGCGTGTGTGTGAGGTTTAAATAAGAAAATACATTAAATTCATATAAAGCACTTGGCTACATAGTTAGGAGCTCAACTAACACAATGGTAAAGGAGACAGAAATTAACAGTGATTATATTGTAATTGAGGTTTCTACAAATGCTATATGGTTAACGCCTGAGAGCAAATGGCATTGAATCCTGAAGAAACCTGAATGAAATTAGAAAAATGTGATTTTTGGAATTGAAAACTTAGAATAGTTCAAAATGTATCTCACTAAACACATACTTTATTCAGAGATATTGTTAAGGATATGACAGTTTTAGTAAGATCTAATGTATTTGTCAAAGAGTAGTTCTTCAATCCTTCTGTTCTACCAGGACAGCAATTTGAGACCTTGAGATTTGGGTTCTAAGCCTGGTTTTTAAGCATCTAACCTTTAGCAAATTCATTTTTTTTTGCCTCAGCCTCCTTATATAAAATGAGGATAATAGTACTTCCTTCATAGGGTAGTACTTACCATGTCTGGCTTTACCAAGCCAGATCACTGGCTTTACCAAGTGATCAGTGAAGGGAAATTATAATAATGGTTTTTAATAATGTAGTAATATTAAGTAGTCAGGTAGTATTCCCTGACTGCTGCTTGATTATAGTCTTTGCCATGGTCTTTTGCTTTAATCTTTCCAACTAAGGGGAAAATGGAAAGGTTAGTTTTCTATGGCATATTTTTTTTTTCTGCCAAATGAGAATGGGAGATGTTTACCAATATACAGTAATCCTGTGCCTCTCTGGAGGGCCATGTGATACATTTTGGTTACCTGCAAAAAAAGATAACTTTCTGAATTTTCTGGCCAACACAGTTAATTTCTGTTTTATTGACAATATATGGAATATGTTTACTGTAGTATGAGATATTTAGGATAAACATTAGAAAGAATTTCCTGATATGATCCTAGAATTGATATAAAATCTCTCCTATGGTCTTTAAAATGGCATATATGTATACATATATGGCATAGTTAGGCTTTGACCTATTTGATAGAAACCAACAAAGACCCAATTAGATACAAAGCCCTGTTGCTTCTTCCTCTCTTTGTAATATTGCTTTTCTTTCTGTTTCTTCTGTTAATATTCTAATAACAATCTTATCTTATTCTGGAATTATTGCAATTATAACAGATTTCCTTATATTCACCTTTTATTCTTTTTTAAAAATTTTATTTTTCCGTAAGTTATTGGGATACAGGCGGTATTTGGTTACATGAGTAAGTTCTTTCCTGGAGATTTGTGAGAACCTGGTGCACCCATCACCTAAGCAGTATACACTGCACCATACTTGTTGTCTTTTATCCCTCGCCCCCCTCCACTCTTCCCCCCCAAGTCCCCAAAGTCCATTGTATCATTCTTTTTTTTGGAGATGGAGTCTCGCTCTGTTGCCCAGGCTGGACTACAGTGGCGCAATCTCAGCTCAGTGCAAGCTCCGCCTCCTGGGTTCACGCCATTCTCCTGCCTCAGCCTCCCAAGTAGCTGGGACTGCAGGCACCCACCACCACGCCTGGCTAATTTTTATATTTTTAGTAGAGACAGGGTTTCACCATGTTAGCCAGGGTGGTCTCAATCCCGTGATCCACCCGCCTTGGCCTCCCAAAGTGCTGGGATTACAGGCATGAGCCACCACGCCCAGCCTAGTCCATTGTATCATTCTTATGGCTTTGCGTCCTCATAGCTTAGCTCCCACATATCAGTGAGAACATACCATGTTTGGTTTTCCATTCCTGAGTTACTTCACTTAGAATAATAGTTTCTAATCTCATCCTGGTCATTGCAAATGTGGTTAATTCATTCCTTCTTATGGCTGGGTAGTATTCACCTTTTATGCTTTGCATATTGTATCCAAGTTAATTTTTCATAAGTTATTTTTTAGAAAATTTAGCCAGGAGTAATGGCATGTGCCTTTAATCTCAGCTACTTGAGAGGCTGAGGCAGGAGGATCACTTGAGTACAGAAGTTTGGGGCTGTAGTGTGTGATGATTGTATCTGTGAATAGCCACTGCTCTCCAGCTTGAGCAACACAATGAGACTCTGCTGCTGAGAAAAAGATGACATTATTCTTCTACTAAGAAATCTTTGATGGCTTCTCATTCATTTAGGGAAAAATGTCCAAACACTTCTGACTGGCATTTAAAGGCCTCAAATACACCACCAAGATGGCAGAGTAGGAGATACCAGCCTTTATTTCACACACACAAAAACAAGTATAGACAGCTATCCATAAACTGAAATAGGCCTGAGAGGGCTCAAGGGCCCAATAAAGTATACTGAAGCAACAAAGTGGAGCAGAAAACATGGAGAATATCCAAACAGAAATAATCACTGGTGAATTGGCTTACCTGAGATGCCAGGAGATATCTAGGGGCAGGAAAGAAAGGAAGAGACTATCAGTATGAGCTATATTGTTGAAACCACCATCATCCCCAAGAGCCTGCTCCACAGAGCATACAGGCATTTTTTGCCACCAAGGCAACCAACAGTCATTCCCTCTGAGGGATCCCAGAGAGGGCTACACAGCTGTATATTCTTCTCCTGCCCAAGAAGCAGCCACTGTTAAGTTGCTTCAGAAAAGGAAATGTCCTCTCTTCCAACCCTGCCTGTGCCCTAACCCCTGAGCTGCAGTCACCCTGAGAGTGCTCACACTTCAGACTCAGGCTCTGTGGCTGCACTGTGCTTGCTCACATTCCAGACATTGGAGCCATTGCCATAGTGAGTTAATTTGCATACTGGGCCTTGGAGCCAAGCTCTTGCTGTGCATGCCAATGCTCCACGCACCAGCTCAGCCACCTAACAGAGCAAGAACCTGACCAAACCCTGGAGCCACAGTAACTCTGTGCACATCTGTGTTCCCGTTCTTGGCTCTTGGCTGCTTCACAAGCATCATGTACTATTTCCAATATGGCAGTGGGGTTGCCTGTGCCACAGACAACAGTACCATTTCTGCCCTGGATCTCAGAGCCATAGGTACTCCACACGTTTGTGCCTCAGGCCTCAGCTCCATGGGTACTTTACAGGTGCCACTCATCTGACACTGTTGCCACCACCAACATGAGTGGGCTCATAAGCGAGACCCAACATGAAGAGGGACCCCTTTAGTCACAACTTCCTCGGTGGGAGAAAAAGAAATTGGGTGGACCTTAGCAGTCATCACCACTGAAGACTCCAGTCCTTGCCACCATTGTGGCCATCCACAATGTTGGCCGCTGAGGATCCTTGCAGTCTTCATCAACACCGACCTCAGCTGCCAGAGCTGCACAGAGACAACATAGCGGCACCCTCACTGGTGCCAGAACATCTGTACTCCACTCATGTAAGCACCCTTGTACCCCCACCATAGGGGAAAGTATTTCCACAGTAAAACTAGCTCATAAAGTCTTGAAGAGTTGGCTACTGCACCAGATGTGCAGCCATCAACATAAAATGACAAGAAACATGAGAAAGTGAGGTATAACACCACCAAAAGAACATACTAATTTTCCACTAACTAATGCCAAATAAATGGAGCTATATAAGCCTGCCTGAGAAAGAATCCAAAGTAATTGTTTTAAGGAATCTCAGCAAATGTCAAGAAATACAGAGAAACCATTCAACAAGATCAAGAAAACAGCAAATGAACAAAAAACTTTTGAGTTGGAATTGTAAATAAACAAGCAAACAAACAAAAAAGAAAATCTGGAGGAGAAAAAACAATGACTGGAATGAAAAATGCAATAGGGAATGTCAGCAGCAGAGTTGATCAAGCAGAAGAAAGAATTGGTGAATTCAAAGACAAGTTACTTGAAAATATACAGTGAGAGGAATAAAAAAGAAACAAAAAAGAACAAAGAAAGCTTATGGGATTTATGGGACATCAAAAAGGCAGTTTTGAATTATAGGGATTTGAGGAGAAGAGAGAAAGGGGCAGAAAGTTTACTTAAAGAAATAATAGCAGAACAGTTTCCAAATTGGGGAAAATGTAAATATCCAATTACAGGAAGGTCAGGGAGTTCCAATCAGATTCAGTCCATAAACGACCACATCAAGGCATGATCAAACCATCAAAGACGCAGAGAGGATCCTGAAAGCAAGAGAAGAGAAACAAACCACACATAACGTAGTTACAGTAAGGCCAACAGCCTGCTTCTCAGCAGAAACCTTACAAGCCAGGAAAGAATGGGATGATGTATTCAAAGTGCTGAAGGAAGTATCTGTTAACCAATACTTTACCCACAAAGCTGTTCTTCAGAAATGAAGGAGAGGTAAATACTTTCCCATACAAACAAAAGCTGACAGAGATAATCACCACCAGACCTGTCTTACAAGAAATGCTGAGGAGAGTTCTTCCAGCTGAAAGAAAAAAAAGAAATGCTAAGGAGAGTTATTCAAACTGAAATAAGAAAAGAAATGCTTTCCAAGTGAAATGAGAAGGGTGCTAACTAGTAACATGAACACATATTAAAGTATAAAACTCACTGGTAAAAGTAAGTACACAGTCAGATTCAGAATACTCTAGTACTGTAATGGTGGTGTGTAAATCGCTTATAGCTTTAGTTATGAAGGTTAACTATTAAAAATAGTAATAGCTACAATAATTTGTTAAGGGATATACAATGCAAAAAGATATAAATTGTGACAACAAAAACATAAAATGTTGGGGAGGGGTGTAGTAAAACTATAGCTTTAAAAATGCAATCAAAGTTTAGTTGTTATTATGTTAAAATAGTCTGTTACAACTATAACATATTTTAGATAAGCCTCATGGTAACCACAAAATGAAAACCTATAGTAGATATATAAGGCTAACAAGTAAGGAATCAAAGCACACCACTACAGAAAATAATCTAATCACAAAGTAAGACGGCTGGAGAAGGAAAAAGGAACAAAAGATCCACAAAACAACCAAGAGCAAGGTTAGAGGGAAGGAAATAGTAAACTGACAAAACTTTAGCTAGACTATGAAAAGAAGAGAAGACTCCATTAAATGAAATCAGGAATTAAAGAAAAGATATTCCAACTCAGACCACAGAAACACAAAAGATCATAAAAGTCTACTATGAATAACTATACACCAAAAAACTGGATAAACTAGAAAAATACGATTAATTCTTTAACACATGTAATCTACCAGGACTGAATCATGAAGAAATAGAAAAGCTAAACAGATCAATAATGAATAAGAGGCTAGAATCAGTAATAATGTTTCCCATCAAAGCAAAGCCCAGAACCTGATGGTTTCACTGCTGAATTTTACTAAACATGTAAAGAAGAACTGATACCAATCTTTCTCAAACTTCTCAAAAATAAATGAAGAGGAGTGAATACTTCCAGACTTATTTTATAAAGCTGGCATTATGCCAATATCAAAGCCAGACAAGGACACTAAGAAAGTAAGAATTTCTTAAAATTTTTAATTACAAAGAAAATAAATTCACAGGCCAATATTCTTGATGAGCATAGATGCAGAAATCCTCAATGAAATACTAGCAAACTGAATTCAACACCATATTAAATGGACCATCCACCATGATCAAGTGGGGTTCATCCTAGGATGCAAGGATAGTTCAACATACACAATTCTGTAAATGTGATATACCACATTAACAGAATGAAGGACAAAAATCATATGGTCATCTCAATAGATGCAGAAAAGCATTTGAAAAAACTGAGCATCCATTCATGATAAATAAACTTCTAAAAAGTTAGGTAGAGAAAGAATGTACCTCAACACAATACAGGCGTTACATCACAAACTCACAACTAACATCATTCCCAATGGTGAAAGTTGAAAACTTTCCTGTAAGATCAGGAATAAGACAAGGATGCCTGCTCCTACCACTTCTATTCAATATAGTACTGGAAGTTCTTGCCAGAGCAATTAGGCAAAAGAATGAAATAAAGGCACCCAAATTGGAAAGGAGGAAGTTAAATTGTCTGTATTTGCAAATAATATGATCTTATATACAGAAAACCCTATAGACTCAGCCAAAGAACTGCTAAAACTAAGAAATGAATTCACTAAGGTTGCAGGATACAAAATCAACCTACACAAATCAGTAGCATTTTTGTGCAGTAAGAATGACGTACTGGAGAAAGAAATCAAGAAAATATCCTGTTTACAATAGCTACAAAAAATATCTAGGAATAAATGTAACCAAGGAGGTGAAAGATAAGTACACGGAAAAGTATAAAACATTGATGAAAGAAATTGAAGATGACACAAATAAATGGATAGATATATCGTTAATGAATTAGAAGAATTAATATTGTTTAAATGTTCATACTACTCAAAACTATAGATTTAATGCAATCCCTATGAAAATTCCATGATATTTTTCACAGAAGCAGAAAAACAATCCTAAAGATATTTATGGAACTGCAAAAGACCCTGAAGAGCAAAAGCAGATTTGAGCAAAAAGAACAAAGCTGGGGCATAACAATACCTGATTCTAAAATCTCCAAAGCTATAGTACCAAAACAGCATGGTACTATAAACAGATATATAGACCAGTGGAACAGAATAGAGAGTCCAGAAATAAATTCAGGCATTTCTAGTCAATTGATCCTTGACAGAGATGCCAAGAATACACAATGGGCAAAGGGCAATCTCTTCAATAAATGGTGTTGGGGAAACAGTTACTCACATGTAGAAGAATAAAATTAGACCCTGATGTCACACCATGTGCAAAAATTAACTCAAAATGGGTTAAATACTTAAATCTAAGATCTGAAACTCTTAGAGGACAACATAGCAGAAAAGCTGCATGACATTGGTCTGTGCAATGATTTTTTTAGATATGATCCCAACAGCAAAAGTAGACAAATGGAATTACATGAAACTAAAAAGCTTCTGTACAGCAAAGGAAACAACAGAGTGAAGAGGCAACCTACAGAGAAGATATTTGCAGACCATACATCTGATAAGGGGTTAATATCCAGAATATATTAGGAAGTCAAACAACTCAATAGCAAGAAAACAAAGAGCCAGGCAGGCAATCTCTACTAGAGCTTCTGGCCCAGCAGTCCCGCTTTTCTGTTCAGCAGTTAGTTGCAGACTCCTGTTGTCCGGGGAAACACCTGAGTGACAGGGCAGGTGACTCTGCCTACCCCTGCTGCTGGTAGCCAGGTGGGCAACGCCTGCTACAGCTTCTGGCCCCACCATACCTCTTCTGCCTGAACTCAGCTGGTGGGTGCAGCTTACGCTTGTCCTGGGAAATAACTGTGTAGCAGGGCAGGGCAAGTGGCCCCACCCACCTCCACTGCTGGTAGCCAGGCAGGCAGTCAGTGCCTGCTAGAGCTTCCAGCTTTGTGAGCATATTTCTGCCTGCATTTGCTGAGGGGAGCAACCTCCTATTGCGCTAGAGACACCTAGATGGCAGGGCAGGCAACTCTACCCTCCCCCACCTCTTACAGCCACACCTGCTAGAGCTTCCAGCCCAGTGGTCCCACTTCTGCCTGAACTCTGTGTGCAGCCACAATGCCATGTTCCTGTGGGAAGCACTCAGACAGCAGATTAGGGTTAAGGTGGCAAAGATATGGCTTGTCTGCCAACTGTGGCCCCTGCCTGAGGGAGCCCTGTGCACCAGAACACCCAAGAAAAGAAATACAGGCATGGAGACAGTAATCGGAGGGGGCTCCTACAAGACCCACGAACAGACTAGAATCAAAGCGAGTTGAGTGAACCCAGCTTATACCACAATCAAACCATCAAGGGCATCAAAGAAGATATAAGAAAAAAAAACACATCCAAAGAACAACAACTTCAGAGACTGAAGGAACATCAGCCCACACATGTGAAAAAACCAGTGCAAGAACTCTAGCTACTCAAAAAGCCAGTGTCTTCTTCCTTCCAAGTGACCACACTGGTTCCCCAGCAATGGTTCTTAACCAGGCTTAAATGACTGCAATGTCAGAAATAGAATTCAGAATGTGAATAGGAATGAAGATCATCAACATTCAGGAGAAAGATGAAACTCAATCCAAAGAATCTAGGAAATACAATAAAACAATACAAGAGATAAAGACAAAATGGCCATTTCAAGAAAGAACCAAACTGAATTGATAGATTGGCTGTATAATGGAATTACAAGTATTCACAGCAGAATCAACCAAACAGAGGAAAGAATCTCAGAGGTGAAAGACCAGCTCTCTGAAATAACTTAGAAAGAAATTAAAAACAAAAAAAAACAAAACAGAGTGAACAAAACCTCTGAGAAATATGGGATTATGTATAGAGACCAAATCTACAACTCATTGCCATCCCTGAAAGAGAGGAAGAGAAAGCAAGCAACTTGGAAAACATATTTGAGGCTATCATTCACAAAATTTTCCCAACTTTCCTAGAGAGGTGAACATTGACATCCAGGAAATGTAGAGAATCCCTGTGAGATACTATACAAGATGACCATCACTAATATACATAGACGTCAGATTCTCCAAGGTCGAAATGAAAGAAAAAATGTTAAAGACAGCTAGAGAGAAGGGGCACACCCCCTACAAAGGGAACTCCATCAGGCTAACAGTGAATTTTTCAGCAGAAACTCTACAAGCTAGAAGAGATTGGGGGCTTATCTTCAGCATTCTTAAAGAAAAGAAATTCCAATAAAAAATTTCATATCCAGCCAAACTAAGCTTCATAAATGAAGGAGAAATAAGATCGATCCTTTTTTAACAAGTAAGGTCCTTAGGGAATTCATTATCGCTGGACCTGCCTTACCTACCTACCTCTCTGATCCTTAAGAGAGGGCTAAATATGGAAAGACTGTTACTGGTCACCACAAAACACAAGTACATAGATCACTGACACTATAATGCAACCACACAATCAAGTCTGCCGTAATAACCAGCTCACTACACATTGACAGGATTGAACCTGCACATATCAGTACTAACCTGGAATGTAAACAAGCAAAATGCCTCAGTTAAAAGGCACAGGGGGGCAAGCTGGATAAAGAAACAAGACCCAATTGTATGTTGTCTACAAGAGACCCATCCTACAAGCATTGATACCCATAGGCTCAAAGTAAGGGGATGGAGAAAAATCTACCAAGCAAATGGAAAACAGAAAAAAACAGGAGTTGCTATTCTAATTTCAGACAAAACAGACTTTAACCCAACAATGATTTAAGAGACAAAGAAGGGCATTACATAATGGTAAAGGGTTCAATTCAGCAACAAGAGTTAACTATCCTAAATATATATGCACCCAAAACAGGAGCACCCAGACTCATAAAGCACATTCTTAGAGACCTATGAGGAGCCTTAGATAATGACGTAATAATGGTGGGAGACTTCAAAACCCCATGGACAGTATTAGAGACATCATAGAGGCAGAAAGCTAACAAAGATATTTGTGACCTGAACTCAACATTTGACTAAATGGGCCTAACAGACAGCTACAGAACTCTTCACCCAAAACCAACAGAATATACATTCTTCTCATCTGCACGTGCCACATACTCTAAAATTGACCACACAATCAGTCATAAAAAATTTCCTCAGCAGATTCAAAAACACCTAAATCATACTCAGCAGTCTTGGACCACAGCTCAATGAAAATAGAAATCAATGCTAGGAAAACCACTCAAAACCATTCAGCCATGGGATGTGCTCTCTGCAGGGGTGCTGGCTGTTCTCCCTGAGTCCCTGACTCCCAGCCCCACGAAGCAGTCCCCATCCTACCATCCTCCAATCCCTGCTGCTTTCTGACCAGCTTTGCTTTTCATCTGTGCCTTTAGGAAATGTTTTCTCAGGCTTTGGCAAACAAGGTACATCTTAAGATTGTATCCTTTATATGATTACAATTATCTTGAGTTATGCGGTGCCTCACTGAGACATCCTAGCTAAAATTAGGGTGTCTTCCCCTTAGGCTTGAAGTAAACTCCCATGGAAAGTGTTCACAGACACAGAAAAACAAATTGACCAAGTCGGCAGAATTCTTAGTTTACAGAGGTAAAAGATGTACTTTTCATGAAATCCTAGGCCACTGGTATTTGTTAGGCTTGAATGGAAAGAGGTTTCCCTGTTCCTTTAGGAAAGTAAATTAAGAAAGAAAAAGTGAGAAGAACAATAGGGACTTTTTCTTGGTCTCATGTTATCCTTCCCAAAGTAGAAGAGAGATTCCTTCTCTAGAGCTCTGTATCTTGTCACGCATTGCTGGCTTTCAACAAATGTTGAATAAATGAGTGAATGAAGATATTGAAAAAAAATCGCTGAAAACCATGCAGTTACATGGAAATTAAACAATCTTCTCCTGAATGACTTTTGGCTAAACAATGAAATTAAGGCAGAAATAAGAAATTCTTTGAAACTAATAAGAACAATGATACAACATACCAGAATCTCTGGGACACAACTTAAGCAGTGTTAAGAGGGAAGTTTGTAGTGCTAAATGTTCACATAAAAACATTGGAAAGATTTTAAATTAACAGCCTAACATCATAGCGAGAGGAACTAGAGAAACAAGAGCAAACCAACCCCAAAGCCAGTAGAAGACAAAAAATAACCAAAATCAGTGCTGAAGTGAAGGAAATTGAGATACACACAAAAATACAAAAGGTCATTGAATCCAAGAGTTTGTTTTTTGGAACAATAAATAAGAATGATAGCTTGCTAGCTAAGTTAATAAAGGGAAAAAGAGAGAACATCCAAATAAACACAATATGAAATAACAAAGCACATATTACCACTGATCCCACAGAAATACTAAAAAACCTTCAGAAACTATGATGAACACCTCTATGCACACAAACTAGAAAACTTAGAAGAAATGGCTAGATTTCTGGAAACATACCACCTGCCAAGATTGAACCAGGAAGAAACTGTATCCTGGAACAGACCAATAAGGAATTCTGAAATTTAATTAGTAATAAAAACCCTATCAATTAAAAAAAGCCCAGGAGCAGATGAATCCACAGTTGGATTCTATCAGATTTATAAAGAAGATCTGGTACAATTTCTGCTGAAACTATTCCAAAACAACTGAGGAGAAGGGACTCCTCCTTAACTCATTCTATGAGGCCAGTGTCATCCTGATACCAAAACCTGGCAGAGACACAACAACAGCAAAAAAACTTCAGGCTAATATTCTTGATGAACATAGATGCAAAAATATTCAACAAAATACTAGCAGACTGAATCTGACAGCACATCAAAAAGCTGATGTGCCACGATCAACTAGGCTTTATCTCTGGGATACAAGTTTTGTTCAACATATGCCAATCAATAAATGTGATTCACCACATAAACAGAATTCACCACATAAACAGAAACCACATGATCATCTCAATAGATGGAGAAAAGTCTTTCAATAAATTCAACATCCTTTCATGTTAAAAACTTGCAACAAACTAGGCATTGAAGGAACATATATCAAAATAATAAGAGCCATCTATGTAAAACATACAACCAACATTATATTGAATGGGCAAAAGCTGGAAACATTTATCTTGAGAACAGGAAGAAGACAAGGATGCCCACTCTTAACCATTGCTATTCAACATAGTATGGAAGTCCTAGCTAGAGCAATAAGGCAAGAGAAAGAAATAAAATGCATTTAAATAGGAAGAGATGAAGACAAACCATTTCTCTTTGCCAACAATATGATTCTATACCTAGAAAACACCATAATCTCTATCTAAAAGCTCCTAGATCTGAAAAACAACTTCAGCAAAGTTTTAGGGTACCAAATCAGTGTACAAAAACCAAAAGCATTTTTATACATCAATGATGACCAAGCTGAAAGCCAAGTCAAGAATGCAGTCCCATTCAGAGTAACCACAAAAAGAATAAAATACCTAGGAATACAGCTAACTAGGGAGGTGAAAGATCTTTACAATGAGAATTACAAAACATTGCTCAAAGAAATCAGAGATACCACAGACAAATGGAAAAACATTCTGTGCTGATGGATAGGAGAATCAATATCATTAAAATGGCCATACTCAACATTCGAATTCAGGAAATACAGAGAACGCCACCAAGATACTCCTCGAGAAGAGCAACTCCAAGACACATAATTGTCAGATTCACCAAAGTTGAACTGAAGGAAAAAATATTAAGGGCAGCCAGAGAGAATGGTCGGGTTACCCACAAAGGGAAGGCTATCAGACTAACAGCAGATCTCTTGGCAGAAATTCTACAAGCCAGAAGAGAGTGGGGGCCAATATTCAACAATCTTAAAGAAAAGAATTTTCAACCCAGAATTTCATATCGAGCCAAACTAAGCTTCATAAGTGCAGGAGAAACAAAATCCTTTATAGACAAGCAAATGTTGAGAGATTTTGTCAACACCAGGCCTACCTTACAAGAGCTCCTGAAGGAAGCACTAAGCATGGAAAGGAACAACCAGTACCAGCCACTGCAAAAACATGCCAAATTGTAAAGCCCATCAATGCTAGGAAGAAACTGCATCAACTAATGAGCAAAATAATCAGCTAACATCATAATGACAGGATCAAATTCACACATAACAATATTAACCTTAAATGTAAATGGGCTAAATGCTCCAATTAAAAGACACAGACTGGCAAATTGGATGAAGAGTCAAGACCCATCAGTGTGCTGTATTCAGGAGACCCATCTCACATGCATAGACACACAGAGGCTCAAAATAAAGGGATGGAGGAAGATCTACCAAGCAAATGGAAAACAAAAAAAGGCAGGGGTTGCAATCCTAGTCTCTGATAAAACAGACTTTAAACCCACAAAGATCAAAAGAGACAAAGAAGGCCATTACATAATGGTAAAGGGATCAATTCAACAAGAAGAGCTAACTATCCTAAATGCAGGAGCACCCAGATTCATAAAGCAAGTTCTTAGAGACCTACAAAGAGACTTAGACTCCCACACAATAATAATGGGAGACTTTAACACCTCACTGTCAACATTAGACAGATCAACGAGAGAGAAAGTTAACAAGGATATCCAGGAATTGAACTCAGCTCTGCACCAAGCAGACCTAATAGACATCTACAGCACTCTCCACCCCAAATCAACAGAATATACATTCTTCTCAGCACCATATCGCACTTACTCCAAAATTGACCACATAGTTGGGAGTAAAGCACTCCTCAGCAAATGTAAAAGAACAGAAATTAGAACAAAGTGTCTCTCAGACCACAGTGCAATCAAACTAGAACTCAGGATTAAGAAACTCACTCAAAACTGCTCAACTACATGGAAATTGAACAACCTGTCCTGAATGGCCCCTGGGTACCATAATGAAATGAAGGCAGAAATAAAGATGTTTCTTGAAACCAGTGAGAACAAAGACACAACATAACCAGACTCTGGGACACATTTAAAGCAATCTATAGAGGGAAATTTATAGCACTAAATGCCCACAAGAGAAAGCAGGAAAGATCTAAAATTGACACCCTAACATCACAAGTAAAAGAACTAGAGAAGCAAGACCAAACACATTCAAAAGCTAGCAGAAGGCAAGAAATAACTAAGATCAGAGCAGAACTGAAGGAGATAGAGACACAAAAAACCCTTCAAAAAAATCAATGTATCTAGGAGCTGGTTTTTTGAAAAGATCAACAAAATTGATAGACCACTAGCAAGACTAATAAAGAAGAAAAGAGAGAAGTATCAAATAGATACAATAAAAAATGATAAAGGGGTTATTACCACTGATCCCACAGAAATACAAACTACCATCGGAGAATACTATAAACACCTCTGCGCAAATAAAGTAGAAAATCTAGAAGAAATGGATAAATTCCTCGACACATACAAGACTAAACCAGGAAGAAGTTGAATCCCTGAATAGACCAACAACAGGCTCTGAAATTTAGGCAATAATTAATGGCCTACTGACCAAAAAAGTCCAGGACCAGATGGATTCACAGCCGAATTCTACCAGAGGTACAAAGATGAGCTGGTACCATTTCTTCTGAAACTATTCCAATCAATAGAAGAAGAGGGACTCCTCCCGAACTCATTTTATGAGGCCAGCATCATCCTGATACCAAAGCCTGGCAGAGACACAACAAAAAAAAGAGAATTTTAGACCAATATCCCTCATGAACATCGATGCAAAAATCCTCAATACAATACTGGCAAACTGAATCCAGCAGCACATCAAAAAGCTTATCCACCACGATCAAGTGGGCTTCATCCCTGTGATGCAAGGCTGGTTCAACATACGAATGTCAATAAACATAATCCATCACATAAACAGAATCAAAGACAAAAACCACATGATTATTTCAATAGATGCAGAAAAGGCCTTTGACAAAATTCAACAGCACTTCATTCTAAAAACTCTCAATAAACTAGGTATTGATGGGATGTATCTCAAAATAATAAGAGCTATTTTTGGCAAACTCACAGCCAATATCATACTGAATGTACAAAAACTGGAAGCATTCCCTTTGAAAACTGGCACAAGACAGGGATACCCTCTCTCACCACTCCTATTCAGCATAGTGTTGGAAGTTCTGGCCAGGGCAATCAGACAGGAGAAAGAAATAAAGGGTATTCAATTAGGAAAAGAAGAAGTCAAATTGTCCTTGTTTGCAGATGATATGATTGTATATTTAGAAAACCCCATCGTGTCAGCCCCAAATCTCCTTAAGCTGATAAGCAACTTCAGCAAAGTCTCAGGATACAAAAATCAATGTGCAAAAATCACAAGCATTCCTATAAACCAATAACAGACAAACAGAGAGCCAAATCATGAGTGAACTCCCATCCACAATTGCTTCAAAGAGAATAAAATACCTAGGAATCCAACTTACAAGGGATGTGAAGGACCTCTTCAAAGAGAACTACAAACCACTGCTCAACGAAATAAAAGAGGACATAAACAAATGGAAGAACATTCCATGCTCATGGATAGGAAGAATCAATATCGTGAAAATGGCCATACTGCCCAAGGTAATTTATACATTCAGTGGTATCCCCATCAAGCTACCAATGACTTTTTTCACAGAATTGGAAAAAACTACTTTAAAGTTCATATAGAACCAAAAAAGATTCCATATTGGCAAGAATATCCTAAGCCAAAAAAACAAAGCTGGAGGCATCATGCTACCTGACTTCAAACTATACTATAAGGCTACAGTAACGAAAACAGCATGGCACTGGTACCAAAACAGATATATAGACCAATGGAACAGAACAGAGCCCTCAGAAATAATACACATCTACAACCATCTGATCTTTGACAAACCTGACAAAAACAAGAAATGGGGAAAGGATGCCCTGTTTAATAAATGGTGCTGGGAAAACTGGCTAGCCATATGTAGAAAGCTGAAATTGGATCCCTTCTTTATACCTTATACAAAAATTAATTCAAGATGGATTAAAGACTTAAATGTTAGACCTAAAACCATAAAAACGCTAGAAGAAAACCTAGGCAATAGCATTCAGGACATAAGCATGGGCAAGGACTTCATGACTAAAACACCAAAAGCAATGGCAACAAAAGCCAAAATAGACAAATGGGATCTAATTAAACTAAAGAGCTTCTGCACAGCAAAAGACACTACAGAGTGAACAGGCAACCTACAGAATGGGAGAAAATCTTTACAATCTACCCATATGACAAAGGGCTAATATCCAGAATCTACAAAGAACTTAAACAAGTTTACAAGAAAGAATCAAACAACCCCATCAAAAAGTGGGCAAAGGATATGAACAGACACTTCTCAAAAGAAGACATTTATGCAGCCAAAACACACATGAAAAAATGCTCATCATTACTGGCCATCAGAGAAATGCAAATCAAAACCACAATGAGATACCATCTCACACCAGTTAGAATGGCGATCATTAAAAAGTCAGGAAACAACAGGTGCTGGAGAGGATGTGGAGAAATAGGAACACTTTTACACTGTTGGTGGGACTGTAAACTAGTTCAACCATTGTGGAAGACAGCGTGGTGATTCCTCAAGGATCTAGAACTAGAGATACCGTTTGACCCAGCCATCCTATTACTGGGTATATACCCAAAGGATTATAAATCATGCTGCTATAAAGACACATGCACATGTGTGTTTATTGTGGCACTATTTACAATAGCAAAGACTTGGAACCAACCCAAATATCCATCACTGATAGCCTGGATTAAGAAAATGTGGCTCATATACATCATGGAATACTGTGCAGCCATTAAAAAGGATGAATTTTTGTCCTTTGTAGGGACATGGATGAAGCTGGAAACCATCATTCCGAGCAAACTATCACAAGGACAGAAAACCAAACACTGCATGTTCTCACTCATAGGTGGGAATTTAACAATGACAACACTTGGACACAGGGTGGGGAATATCAAACACTGGGACCTGTCATGGGGTGGGGGAAGGAGGGGAGGGATAGCATTAGGAGATATACCTAATGTAAATGACGAGTTAATGGGTGCAGCACACCAACATGGCACATATATACATATGTAACAAAGCTGCATGTTGTGCTCATGTACCTTAGAACTTAAAGTATAATAAAAAATAATAATAAAATGGCCATACTGCCCAAAGCAATTTACAGATTCAGTGCTATTCCTATCATACTACTAACAGCATCCTTCACAGAGTTTGAAAAAGACTATTTTGAAATTCATATGGAACCAAAAAAGAGCCCAAATAGCCAAGGCAATCCTAAGTAAAAAAACAAAGCTGAAGGCATCATGCTACCTGACTTCAAACTATACTACAAGGCTACTGTAACTAAAACAGCATGGTACTGGTACAAAAACAGACAGATAGACCAATGGAACAGAATAGAGAGCCAAGAAATAATGCTACACACCTATAATCATCTAATCTTCGACAAACTCAACAAAGTCTAGCAGTGGGAAAAGGACCCCCGTTCAATAAATAGTGCTGGAATAACTGGGTAGTGTTTGTGAAAGATTGAAGCTGGACCCCTTCCTTATACCTTATACAAATAGCAACTCAAGATGGATTAAAGACTTAAATGTAAAACCTGAAACTCTAAATATCCTGAAGATAACCTAGGAAATACCATTCTGGACATAGGCCCTGGTGAAGATTTAATGAGGAAGACGTCAAAAGGAATTGCAAAAAAAATGCACCTTGACAAATGGAATCTAAAGTACTTCTGCATAGCAAAAGAAACTGTCAACAGAGTAAATAGACAACCTACAGAATGGGAGAAAATATTTGCATACTATGCATCCAGCAAAGGTCTACTATCCAGCATCTGTAAGGAATTTAGACAAATTTACAAGCAAAAAACAAACAGCACCATTAAAAAGTGGGCAAAGGACATGAACAGATGCTTTTCAAAAGATGACATATACGCGGCCAACAAGCATATGAAAAAATGCTCATCTTACCATTAGAGAAATGCAAATCAAAACCATGATGAGATACCATCTCACCAGTCAGAATAGCTATTATTAAAAGGTCAAAGAGTAACAGATGCTGGTTAGGTTGTGTAGAAAAGGGAACACTTATGCACTGTTGCTGGTCATGTAAATTAGTTCCGCCATTATGGATGGCAGTTTGGTGATTTCTCAAATAACTTAAAACAGAAGTATAATTCGACCCAGCAATCCTATTATTGGGTACCTACCCAAAGGAATATAAATCACTGTACCATAAAGACACACGGAGATGTATGTCCATTGCAGCACTACTCTCAATAGTAAAGTCATGGAATCAGTCCAGATATCTATCAACAGTAGACTGAATAAAGGAAATGTGATACAGACATAACATGAAATAGTATGCAGCCATAAAAAGAAGATCATGTCCTTTGCAGCAACATGGATAGAGCTGGAGGCCATAATCCCAAGTGAACTAATGTGGGAACATAAAAACAAATACCACATGTTCTCATGTGTAAGTATGGGCTAAACGTTGAGTACACATGGACACAATGAAGGGAATATCAGACATCAGGGCCTACTTGAGCATGGAGGGAAGGAGAGGGAGAGAATTTTAAAAACTACCTATCATGTACTGTGCTTATTACTTGGGTGATGAAATTATCTGTACACAAAAGCCCCAAGAAACACAACTTACCAGTATAAAAAACCTGCACATGTACCCCTGAAGCTAAAATAAAAGTTAAAAAAATGGGCAAAGGACCTGAATAGAAATTTCTTGAAAGAATACATATCAATGGCCAATAGGTATATGAAAAAATGCTCACCTTCACTAATTATCAGGGAAATGCAAATTAAACCCACAAAGATATATTACCTCACAACTATTAGAATGACTACTATAAAAAAGGTAAAATATATGTTTTGGAAATTATGTTGAGAGAAGGTAACCCTTACACATGGTTGGTAGGAATGTAAGTTAGTACAGCCATTATCAAAAACAGTATGGAGGTTCCTCAACAAACTAGAAAGAGAACTAACATATGATATAGCAGTCGTTTAACCAAGTATATATCCAAACTATATGATTTCAGTGTGTCAAAGAGATATCTGTACTCCCATGTTCATTGTGGCATTATTCGCAATTCCCGAGATATGGAATCAACCTAAGGGTTCATCAACAGATGAATAAAGAAAAAATCTGGCCAGGCATGGTGGTTAATGCTGGTAATCCCAACACTTTGGGAGGCCAAGGTGGGAGGATCACTTGAGCCCAGGAATTTGAGAGCATTAAGGTGTGATTGTGCCCCTGTCCTGCAGCCTGGGTGTCAGAGCGAGACCCTCTCTCTCTCTCAAAAAAAAAAAAAAGAAAAAAAGTGCTATAAATGCACAGTGGAATACTATTTAACTTTTAAAAAGAAGGAAATCCTATCATATGCAACAACGTGAATGATCTCAGAGGATATTATGTTAAGTGAAATAAACTATGGATAGAAAGACGAATACTGGACGATTTCACTTATATGTGGAATCTAAAGAAGTTGAATTCATAGAAAGAGAGAGTAGAATTGTGTTTACCAGGGACTCTGTGGTGGGGTTGAAATAAGGGGATTTGTGAGATGGTGAAAAGACACAAAATTTCAGTTAGATAGAATGAATATGTTCAAGACATATATTGTATAACATGGTGACTATAGTTAATAACAGCATATTGTACAGTTGAAAATTTCTAAGAGTAGATTTTAAATGTCACCACACAAAAAATGATATATGAGGTAATGCATTTGTTTTATATATTGATTTAGTCATTCTACAATGTATACATATATCAAAACTTGTGCACCATGAATATATACAATTTATACTACTTGTCAATTAAAAAATGAAGATAAAAAATTCCTGTAAAGCTTGATCCAAAATAGCTATTCAAATGTAAAATGACATACTTTCTCAAGTTATTTTCAGCTTAAAAGCCCTTTTACAAGTTATCTCATCTTATACTTTCAGTGATCCCATAATGTAGAGGAAATAATATTATTTTTACAGATGCAGTAACTGAAATTTAAATAAGTTAGGTGACATTCAGAGTTATACTGGGGTAGCCAGGACTTCATCTAAGTCTTTTGAATTTATACCTACCTCTTCTCCATAGGAAATTATATGTATTAGTTAAGGCTGGCATAATGCTGTGTCGAGATCAATTTACTCATAGAACTCAGAGAGTATTTTGTAAGCTATTATATTTTCTTTATAATATTGAGAAGCCACTGCCAGAGAGTTGAACGTGTTCTCAGTAAGTTTGTGTTTTCTTGGTATACCACATATTTCTATAGGAAAAAAAATACTGATAAGGGTTAGGTTCCCAGGGTTAACCCAAAAACCTACCTAACAAATAGGTAGGTTTAATGACAAAGCAGGGTTTGTCATTTGTTGCAACATTATAGCATTTTATCTATATTAGCTTCTATGGATCATGGCGGGGACCTAAAGCTACTTCTATGGGAATATGCATTATAGGTTAAAACAACTGATTTAGGAAAGATAATTTTAGAATATAATCAACTTGAAAATTAAATCTCGATAAATAGAGTTAGGATCAGTGGTTTAGGAAATACAAATCAAAATATAAATCTTCTGATTCGGGAGAATTAAATGAAAAAATGTATGTAAAGTACTTAACACAGTGTTTACCTCAATAAATGCTAGTAGATTCTCAAAAACCGATAGCTCATTGTCTCTCTTCTTTTTACTCATATTACTGATCCTTAGTGATTACCAACACTGCAATATAATCTCCATTCTGTCTCCTGGCTAGGATAGAACTACCTTATCTTAACACTGGACTGCTAAGCAGTGTGTTTTCAAAAGCCCTTTCAAGGCTCTTCTGAACTGCCAGCATCAAATGTTCCATTCCCCTTACCTGTCTTTCTGGGCCTTCTTGGTCAGGAAAAATGTCCATGTGTTCATTCTGATTTTCTTATTTTCTTTCCCACTTTTAGGGAAAAACACAGAGTAAACATAGTTTTATATTGGTTTTAGACTTTGTGATATTTAAAAACATGTTTTATATATCATTTAGAAAATATTTATCACCTGCTGTGTTCCAGGCACTGTTCTAGAAATTTGGGACACTACAATGAATGAAACTATCAGATAAACCCTTGATAATTTCTACCATACAGGAGTTTACATTCTCTATCATTGCTATTTCCATAAGTAATGACTGTAACAATCTTATGGCTGAAATACATTTTTGTTTTTATTCAACACTTTTCACTTATAACTAACTGAATTATAACTCCTTGATTTATAACTAAATTGTAACCTTTTCAGTTATAATTTAGGCCTAACCATGTACAATTTTGAAAATGTACATAAATCAAGCATAACAAAATAATCTCTAGTATTATAGAAAGAGTACTGAAAATGAGTAGTCTGTGCTCCAGTTCCAGCTCTCCTGTAAATGAATGTGCAACCTTGAGCAAGTTACATAAATTCTCCCAACTATGGGTAAAATTAAAATTTAAGATTGGGTTATCTCCAAAGTTCCTTCAGTTGTAAAAATTTCTGTGATCTTAAAGTTTTCAAAAAGGTGCATAAAGTACCTTTATTTTTTATTTTATTTTTTTAACAAGTCAGCAAACTAAAATTCCAGTTTATTTTTGGACTGCATTGTTTTACAGGTAGGCATTAACTCAAAAAACAAAGAAAAAAACCCAGCAATTCAAAATTTGATAGACAAAAGAGGAAAAAAAAGAAACCTTGTATTTATTTTTATTTTATTTTATTTTTGAGACAGAGTCTTGCTCTGCCACCCAGGCTGGAGTGCAGTGGCGTGACTCTCGGCTCACTGCAACCTCTGTCTCCTGTGTTGTTCAAATGATTCTTGAGCCTCAGCCTCCCGGTAGCTGGGATTACAGGCATACACCACCACGCCTGGCTAATGTTTGTATTTTTTGTAGAGATGGGGTTTTGCCATGTTGGCCAGGGTGGTCTCAAACTCCAGGCCTCAGGTGATCTGCCCACCTCGGCCTCCCAAAGTATTGGGATTATAGGCATGAGCCACCGTGCCTGCCCCAAATCTTTTATCTTTGGCCTTTTTAACCATTTCATACAAACCAATGACTTATAGTACAGCTAAGTACATACATGAAAAAATTTACTGGAATTCTTGGGATAAGATAGTTTTTTTTTTGTCGTTGGTTTTGCTTTTTTTAAACAGGATTTTTCCTCCTTTGAGATTGTAAATATGAACATGGTCACACCACAAGTAAAGTCAGAAGTAGGACAGAGAACAATCTGAAGGGTGGTTTGGTCATTGGAGATCATTAAAAATGGCTGACCCAAACAATATGTGCAAAAATATAAAATGTAAATTAAAAATACAAACAAATTTCCTTTTTCAAGTACTTTTAAAAAACAAGCAGGGCCTTTAGTTCTTTTTCCTTCTCTGTTACAAATTCTTGTGGTTTTGTTTGGGTGGTGGAGAGCATGCATCATTTACAGGTAGCACTGCTGGGCCTCTCTCCTCAAAGGTGACCATGTGTTTAGATTCTGAGATGGAAATGGAGAGTAAATATGTCATGGTGGCCTTTCAGATATTTTTTAACTTTTTTTTTTTTGCTCTCTGATCATCCTTATTTGGTCTATTTTGGTATCAACATTGTCATCCTCATCAGCTGCCCATTTGCCCCCAGCAGCCTCAGCTCCCTCATCTTCATCTCCATCCTGTTCCTCACCATTATCTTCTTATTTCTCTTCCTCTTCCTCCCCACTTCCTTCTTCTTCTTTTTCATCTCTCTCATTGCCAGCCTTCTGATCCTGATTTTCCTAATTAGCCTTCCCATTAGCAGGGACATCTCTTCCATTTTCTGCCTCCCCATAACTTCCTTCTCCTTTATGCCCTTGGTGGTGATCTCGGAGCTGGTGTCCACGGCTGCTTCACGGTGGAGCATGCCAGTGATCCGATGCAGGGGATTAAAAAGAAAGAGAGAGTTCAGGGACTCTGGTGATCAAGCTGCAGAGTTTCCTGCTGTGGAGGTGGCTGCTGTGAGAAGGGAGCAGGACTGAGAACAATGCAGAGATGGCTTTTAAGAGCAGCCAGTGAGGCTAAAGTATCTTTTCTTTAGAATGTGATCTTTTCCTAATGACACTGTCAACTCATGGTGGATCCAGAATTCAAGTCTCATTATAAGTTAAAACTAGTGCTAGCACACTGAGGACATTCAATAGATACTTAATGAAATTATATCAATATGTGTTAGATTATCAAAAACCATGAAATGTCTGAGATTTTATTCTATTGACAAACTAACAAGTTAGCCTGCCGTGGTTTCAGGATGCTGGCAGAAGAAATGAAACTCTGGGTCAGAGATGAAGGGCTGTTGGTTACTCACAGCAATAATAGTAGCCAGTGTATTATTTGTTTCAATTCTGTAAGCTCCTATTCCCACAGGATGAAATAAAGAAGGCCAGATTATACCTACACATGCAGTGAGCTGAATTATAGGAGAGGAGCTCTGAGGCTAGGGCGTCAAATCTTTTATAGCATGTAGTAAGTATGCTTTACTGCCCTTTGACCTAGAAGGAGACATTATTATTTCCAAAGCTGCCCCCAAATCTGTTGCTGAAGCAGAGCTTATCTTCCAAGTGTTTACGGTGTAAACAAAATAGTTCAGAACAATAAGTCAGTGCATCTTCTCACAGGACATGAAGAAACAAGGGACATCGATGAATTGCCTTCCAACAGAGTATTAGAATTATTGTTATATTAAAGGATAAAATAGCTGGGCATGGTGGCATGTGCCTGTAGTCCCAGCTACTCGGGAGGCTGAGGTAGGAGAATCACTGAACCTGGGAGGTGGAGGTTGCAGTGAGCCAAGATTGCGCCATTGCACTCCAGCCTGGGTGACAAGAGCGAAACTCTGTCTAAAAAAAGAAAAAAAAGAAAAATAGCTAAGTTTAGACTTGATCTTATCTATCTCTACCAACTAAAATATTAGAAACTGATAAACATGTGCCCTTTATATAAACAATCTTCAGAAGGGAGCGCACTCTGAAAGCAACATTTAAGTAAATTCTTGAATGTTGCTGAATACACAGATCAAACATTTAACTATGCTTACTCATTGACTCAAGGAAAGGATGGAAAGGTAGCTCATATAATAATTCAAGTGTTTTACATATAAAGTAATTGGGCTGTGTGTCAATGTCTGGGGATTCAGAGATTGTTAAAGAACACAAGGTAAACACAATCATTTGAAATTTAAGATATGTTTTTAAATTTCAAGAATAAGTTTATTTCAGACATTTCTTTCACTTTATCAAATCTCTTAATCAAAAATGAAACCCCAGATACCATATTTATGTTATTTTGAGGTTGTGTTAATAAATATAGGTGTTCTTTTTATGTTAAGTAGGAATCCTTAGCAACTTAACTAGTAGTGCTTGTAAACAGACAACAACAACAAATCCTAAAAACCAGACATCAGTGAAAACAAACCAACAACCAAAAATTACTATCTGTACCTTTAAATTTGTAAGCATTTTTTAGAGTTTGTTTGATAAACTTAGGTTGGTTTTAAAATTTAGCTCAGTGACTCAGTTGCAGCTGTTCCAAATAATTGGTCATGAGCTTTTTATACTAGCTGGCTTAATCTAACAGAGTGCAGCTTCCTGCGGCTTTTTCCTCTCTGTGACCAAGAATCTGAAATATATATATATCTTAAGAGATTATCTTAGTCATTTATATTTAAGAATAACAACTTAGTATGGGCTTAACAAAGAGCAATTTTTATATACTTTTTATTTTAGATAATTTTGATCTGGCTAGATAAAAATAATAGGAATTCCAAATGACTATATATTTGAAAAATAAGAAACATACCCATTGAATCAATTTAGAAAATCCAGGCATATGAAAGAAGTACTCCTTTCAGTTAGAAATAGCTACTTTAACACTTGTTATATAGCCCAATCACTATGTCTTGATATT
Organism: Homo sapiens; assembly: GCF_000001405.40. Classification (NCBI taxonomy): domain Eukaryota; kingdom Metazoa; phylum Chordata; class Mammalia; order Primates; family Hominidae; genus Homo; species Homo sapiens. The sequence goes on from NC_000008.11 coordinate 103,561,441, forward strand.
TGATTTATTGCTTCTGTAATGATTAAAATTATTTCTCTGTTATGACAGTGGTAGAAGTCAAGAGATACATAAACATTACCAGTTCTTACCCATCGAAAGACATTTCTTGTTTAAAAAAAACCCCCAAACCACAGCACCACTTCTTTTCTTATATCAGCAACATCAAAACTAGAGCAACAAAACAAAAAAGTGTGTTCCTATTATATCTTGAGTTAATAAATGTTAGCTTCTTGACAGCCATAAAAGTGAGTTAATGCCTACCTGAATGGGTTACTCAAGATCTTTATATGGGCAGGTATTTTTTCCCCTGCCTTTGTTTTTATGGCCTGTATTAGTCCATTTTCATTCGGGTGATAAAGACATACCTGAGACTGGGCAATTTACAAAAGAGAGGTTTAATGGACTTACAGTTCCACATGGCTGGTGAGGCCTCACAATCATGGCGGAAGGCAAGGAGGAGCAAGTTACATGTTACAAGGATAGTGATAGGAAAAGAGAGAGCTTGTGCAGGGAAACTTGCTCTTATAAAATCATTAGATCTTGTGAGACTTATTCACTATCATGAGAACAGCATGGGAAAGACCTGCCCCCATTATTCAGTTACCTCCCACTGAATCCCTCCCACAACATGTGGGAATTCAAGATGAGATTTGGGTGAGGAAACAACCAAACCATATCATTTCACCCCTGGTCATTTCCAAATCTTATGTCTTCACATTTCAAAACCAGTCCTGCCTTCCTAACAGTCTCCCAAAGTCTTAACTCATTTCAGCATTAACTCAAAAGTCCACAATCCAAAGTCTCATCTGAGACAAGGCAGTCCCTTCTGCCTACGAGCCTGTAAAATCAGAAGCAAATTAGTTACTTCCTAGATACAGTGGGAGTACAGACATTGAATAAATACAGCTGTTCCAAATGGGAGAAATTGGCCAAAACAAGGGGCTACAGGCCCCATGCAAGTCTGAAATCCAACAGGGCAGTCATTAAACCTTAAAGTTCCAAAACAGTCTCCTCTCCTTTGACACCATGTCTCACATCTAGGTCATGCTGATGCAAGAGGTGGGTTCCCATGGTCTTGGGCAGCTCCACCCCTGTGGCTTTGAAGGATACAGCCTCCCTCCCGCTGCCTTCATGGGCTGGCATTGAGTGTCTGCGGCTTTTCCAGGTGCATGGTGCAAGCTGTCAGTGGGTCTACTATTCTGGGGTCTGGAGGACGGTGGCCCTCTTCTCATAGCTCCACTAGGCGGTGCCTCAATAGGGACACTGTGTGGAGACTCCGACCCCACATTTCCTTTCTCCACTGCCCTAACAGAGGTTTTCTATGAGGGCCCCGTCCCTGCAGCAAACTTCTGCCTGGGTACTCAGGCATTTCCATACATCTTCTGAAATCTAGGTGGAGGTTCCCAAACCTCAGCTCTTGATTTCTGTGCACCCGCAGGCTCAACACCATGTGGAAGCTGCCAAGGCTTGGGGCTTCCACCCTCTGAAGCAACAGCCTGAGCCGTACCTTGGCCCCTTTTAGTCAAGGCTGGAGCAGCTGGGACACAGGGCACCAAGTCCCTTGACTGCACACTGAAGGGGGACCAAGGGCCTGGCCCACAAAACCAGTTTTTCCTCCTAAATCTCCAGGCCTGTGATGGGAGGGGCTGCAGCAAAGGTCTCTGACAAGCCCTGGAGACATTTTCTCCATTGTCTTGGTGATTAACATTCAGCTCCCTGTTACTTTTGCAAATTTCTGCAGCTGGCTTGAATTTCTCCCCAGAAAATGGGATTTTCTTTTCTATCACATTATCAGGCTGCAAATTTTCCACACTTTTATGCTGTTTCCCTTTTAAAACTGAATGCCTTTAACAGCACCCAAGTCACATCTTGAATGTTTTGCTGCTTAGAAATTTCTTCACACAGATACCCTAAATCATCTCTCTCAAGTTCAAAGTTCCACAGATCTCTAGGGCAGGGGTAAAATGCTGCGTCTCTTTGCTAAAACATAACAATAGTCACCTTTGCTCCAATTCCCAACAAATTCCTTATATCCATCTGAGACCACTTCAGCCTGGATTTCATTGTCCATATCATTATCAGCATTTTGGTCAAAGCCATTCAACAAGTCACTAGGGAGTTCCAAACTTTCCCATATTTTTCTTTCTTCTCCTGAGCCCTCCAAACTGTTCCAACCTCTGCCTGTTACCCAGTTCCAAAGTCACTTCCACTTTTTTGTGTATCTTTTCAGTAGCACCCCACTCCTGGTACCAATTTACTGTATTAGTCCATTTTCACGCTGGTATTAAAGACATACCCAAGACTAGGCAATATACAAAAGAAAGAGGTTTAATGGACTTACAGTTCCACGTGGCTGGGAAGGTCTCACAATCATGGCAGAAGGCAAGGAGGAAAAAGTCACATCTTACGTGGATGGTGGCAGGCAAAGAGAGAGCATGTACAGGGGAAACTCTCTTATAAAACCAGCAAATCTCATGAGACTTATTCACTGTCATGAGAAAAGCACGGCAAAGACCTGCCCTCATGATTCAATTACCTTTCACTGGTCCCTCCCACAACACATGGGAATTCAAGATGAGATTTGGGTGGGGATGCAATCAAACCATATCATGGCCTTAAATCACAGTCCACATTGTTGCACTGCAGTGTCTAAGTCTGTTGCATACTCTTGGTCTTAATTCTCCTGCACAGGAGAAGAACATAACTTTTGTTAAGACATGCACTAAAGTTAATCTCTTTGTTCAACTCATCCAAAGTGTGTTTATTTGAAATATGATTACGTGCAAAATTTAACTGATTTAAAACAACTCCATCAGATTCTGTACCTTTAAATGAGTATTGTCTTCTTCAAAGTAGTCACTTTGGGAGACTATGGTTTTATTCCAGCCATCTGTCATTGTTTGTATTAGGGTTCTCTAGAGGAACAGAACTAATAGGATAGATGTATATATAAAGGGGAGTTTATTAAGGAGTATTGACTCACATAATCACAAGATGAAGTCCCACAGTAGGCCATCTGCAAGCTGAGGAGCAAGGAAGCCAGTCTGAGTCCCAAAACCTCAAAAGTAGGGAGGCTGACAGTGCAGCCTTCAGTCTGTGGTTGAAGGTCCAAGAGCCTCTGGCAAACCACTGGTGTAAGTCCAAGAGTCCAAAAGCTGAAGAACTTGGAGTCCAGTGTTTGAGGGCAGGAAACATCCAGCATGGGAGAAAGATGAAGTCCAGAAGCGTTGGCCAGTCTAGTCCTTCCACGTTCTTCTGCCTGCTTTTATCCTAGCTGTGCTGGCAGCTGTGATTAGATGGTGCCCACCCAGATTGAGGGTGGGTCTCCCTCTCCCAGTCCACTGACTCAAATGTTAATCCTTTAGCAACACCCTCACAGATACCCAGGAACAATACTTTGCATCCTTCAATCCAATCAAGTTGACACTCAACCATCACGCTGGTCTTACCATTTTTTAGGAATTAGGTGTGGTAGGTGTGGTTATCTTTTTAAAGAGTGAGAGTGAGGAGAGAGAGACTAAACGTTATATGACACAGCTCTATCTTCAGCTTTTTAACCACACATGTAGAGAAGCCTCATACTTGGGACTTTTACTGGGTTCTATTTATGTTGTCATCTGAGACTTGACAGACATATGGGCTAAAGACATGTATGTGTACGGAAGTTCATTGTTTCTCATTAAGATTTACACTAGCCTAGGAACTACATAGCACCTGTGCCCTGGTTAGTGACAGAATGAATAGTCTAGGTGCAGTTTATAAAAGCTGCCGTACAGCAACTCTCTTTAGCTCCAGTGGCCTTTGTTAGATGTAAATGTACTAAAGTTAAGGAGGGAGGGAGAAGGAAATCTGATTTTGTGCTGTTTAATGTTTTTTTTTTTGGAGACGAGGTCTCACTCTGTTGTTTAGGCTGGAGTGCAGCGGTGCCATCTCAGCTCACTGCAAGCTCGACTGCCTGGGATCAGGTGATCCTTCTACCTCAGCCTTCCAAGTAGCCAGGACTACAGGCATGCACCACCACACCTGCTAATTTTTGTATTTTTTTGTAGACACGTCGTTTTTGCCATTTTGCCCAGGCTGGTCTCGAATATCCGAGTTCAAGCAATCTGCCCACCTTGGCCTTCCAAAGTGCTGGCATTACACCGCACTTGGCCTAGCAAGTGTTTTGACTCTGTGGAATTTTATATAATTGTATAAAAAGGAGCAAGTTGAGAAGAATGAGATGTAGAATTTTACTGAAGGTGAAGGCCAAGAATAGGTCTACTATACTGTTAATATTGGTGCTGTAGTCTTATGGAGTATCAGTGATGCCAGTGGGCTTAGGGAGGCCTCTGAACACTGGTGAGACCTTGACCCCAGCCACTGTCCCGGTTCTTGACACCTTTGCGAGAGAGTTCAAGGACGAGTCAAAGCAAAAGTAGAAAGTATTTTTTGTCAAGTGAAAGTACACACTCAAGGGTGGGAGTATAGGCCTACTCAGGAGAGTATGTTATGCCCAATATGTTTGGGGTTTGTCAAAACCAAAAAATGTTTTTCAAATTAAGAGGCAGAATGATCATAAGGATTTCTGGGAAGAGAATAAGATTTCTTGAAATTGAGGTGCCACTGAGTTTTATAACAAACATAGGTATACCTGGAACTGTCATGGTTCTGCTGAGATGTGGTTTAGTATAATAATGAGTTTATAATTGAACCTGGGGTACAATTTGAGTCAAATCCAGTGCCATGTTAGATCTAGCTTGTCTTAACTGGTATTTCTTACATCCTGTTTGTCAGGGTCTTATTGGCTCCTCCCCCTTCCCCATTCCTGTAGCTGGTTTCTGTGTTCCTTCTATGTTAGTCATGTGAAACTGTTGCCTGGTATTTCCTATTTCTTCTGTGACCACCCCATATTCCTGTCTCATAAGGAAGCAAGAAAAGGGCTCTCTTTCTCAGTTGTTTCAGGGAGATGTTCAAAGTTGTCATTTTCTATAGATTTTCAACACTGCTCTGATACCCTTAACTCTCAGCTGATACCCAAAGACTTCCTACTTTGTTGGGAAAATGGAGTGTATAACATGTGTACTCTCAGTTTTTCTACTTTCCACTTAATACTTGCTTGGATATATTTACATATATTCATATTTTGTAGTGAACATTTATTGATTACTTCTCCCAGGATAGAAACCTGTTCCTTCTATCTAATTGTATGCTAAATTTCCTAGCCATCTATTTTAGGTGGTAATTCCTTTGGAACAAGATGTATGGAATCTTCAAGAGCAAAGGTGGTCTTGTTCTATATCCTTTCCTATATCCTTGTACTGATTATTCCTGTCCTTTACTAACCCTTCATTTTCCTGGCCAGTTCTTACTCAGTTATCTCCCTTTCTGTCTCCTTGAATCCCTTCATTGAGATAATTCACATACTGTACAATTCAGCCTTTCAAAATGTTGAGTTCAATGCTTTCTAGTATATTCTCAGAGCGGTGCAACTATAACCATAGTCTAATTTTAGAACATTTTGTTCTTTTGTTCCTCCTGAAAGAAACCCTGTACCCGTTAGCACTCAACTCCTCCCTTTTCCCTTCCCTCATCCTAGGCAACCACTAATCTTTCTATGGATTTGCCTGTTCTGGAGATTTCATATAAACAGAACCATACAGTATGTTGTCTTTTATGACTACTTTCACTTAGCATAATGTTCTCAAGGGTCATTCATGTCATAACATGTGTCAGTACTTTACTTCTTTTTTTATTGTGGTAAAATGCACATATAAAATTTTACCGTATGGCATTTGGTACATTTGCAGTGTTGTGCAAACATCACCACTATCCAGTTTTGGAATATTTTCATCACCCCAAAAGGAAACCCTGTATTCATCAAACACTCACGCCCCATTATTCCCTCATCCCAGCCACCAATCTGGCAACCACTAATCTCTTTTCTGTCTCTCTAGATTTGTCTGTTCTCATTACTTTATATAAATGGAATCATACAGTATGTAATTTTTGTGTGTGTCTGGCTTCTTTTACTTAGAATACTGTTTTCAAGGTTTATTCATGTCGTAACATGTATAGTACTTTTTGTTTTCTTTTGTGGCCAAATAATAATCTGTTGTATGAATATGCCACATATATGTTGACAAATGTCCATCAGGTGATTTGTTTCCACTTTTTTGACCATTATGAATAATGCTGTGAACATTTATGTACAAGTTTTTGTGTAGGTGTGTATTTTCATTGTGCTTGGATATATACCTAGGAGTGGAATTGCTGGGTCATATGGTAACTCTAGGTTTAAGTTTTTAAAAAACTGCCAGACTTTTCCAAAGGGTTGCACTATTTTACATTCCCACCAGCAATGTGTGAGGGTTTTACTTTCTCCACATCCTTCTCAACACTTGTTATTTTCTCTTTTTGGTTGTTTCCATCCTGGTGGGTATGAAGTAGTATCCCACTGTGGGTTTGCCTTGCATTTCTCTAATGACAGATGATGGTGAGCATCTTTTCATGTGCTCATTGGCTGTTTTTATATTTTATTTGAAGAAATATATATTCAAATCCTTGGCCTGGCATGGTGGCTTATGGCTGTAATCCCAGCACATTGAGAGGTTGAGGTGGGAGGATTGCTTGAGCCCAGGAGTTCAAGACCAGCTTGGGCAACATAGTGACACCCTATCTCTACAAAACAAATAAATAAATAAAAGTAAATGAAATAAAAACAAAAATTTAGCTGGGCTTGGTGGTGTGCCTCTGTAGTCCCAGCTACTCAGGAGGCTGAGGTGGGAGGATTCCTTGAGCCTGTGAGGTCGAGGTGGCACTGATCTGTGATCCTGCTGCTGCACTCCAGCCTGGGTGACAGAGCAAGACCCTGTTTCAAAATAAAATAAGAATAAAATAAAGTAAAATAAATTAAAATTATGGTTCAGAGATGGTTTAATCACAGTTTTATAACCTTGTTTATCAAGAGTGAAAATTGGAGATTATTAAAAGTAGCTAAAAAGGTAACACATGTCAGTGTTTAATGTTTCTGTAACTGTTGGTAAGGCTTACCATCTAAATCTGAGACAGAATTCTTAATGTTGTTGGAACAATCCTTTTCTCAGCCACATAGTATTCACTGGTGCTATAAGTCTGGAAGAGACTGGCCATGGGTACTACTTCTTGTCTTCAGCTGTAACTGTGATCAGTTGTGACTGTGCAATATCAGCAAGTGCACTTTGTATCTTTTCTAGAAGCATTTCCCTAGATAAACAATATGTAGCAGCTTCATGGTTTTGTTCTTCTAGCTTACATAAGGGAGTAGCCTATAAAGCAGCTGTAGATTCTTCACTGGGTAAGGAATCTATCAAAACATGAATGTCTTTTGCTGTTTGTGCAATCAGTGCTATAAGAAGCTGAGCATATTCTTCTGTAGGGTTAGCTGGCTGGTCTTTGTTAATTGCTGTCTGAATATTATTAAAAGAGGCAGGAAGACCACATTGCTGCAACACATCAGTGGCATTGCAAAACTGATCTGAAAGCGAGTTCATGGTGTCTTACAGCTGCATGAGCTGATCACCGTGTTCCTATCGCTCTTTTCACTTTCTTGATGGAGGCCTTTGCACAAAGTTAATTTTGATGTCCAATTTATCTTTTTTTTTGTTTTTGTTGCTTTGTGCTTCAGTGTTATATCGAAGGAAACCATTACCTAACCCAAGGTCATGAAAATTACTTTTATGTTTTCTTCTAAGAGTTTTACAGTTTTGGCTTTGACATTTAGGTCTTTAATCCCCTTGGAGTTAATTTTATATGATGTGAAATAGGAGTCTAACTTCATTCTCTTGTATATGGATAAACAGTTTTCTCAGCACTATTTGTTGTAAATACTATTCTTTCTCTACTGAATAGCCTTTGCACCTTTGTCAAAAATCAATTTGTCATTGATACAAGGGCTTATTTCTGGACTTCAGATTAATAGAACTGATCTGAAAAAAAGCTAACTTGGATTTCAATACTAATTGTATTGAATCTGTAGGTCAATTTAGGGAATATTGCTGTCTTAACAATATTAAGTTTTGTGACTTATGGACATGGGGTGTCTTTCCATGTATTTAAATCTTCTTTAATTTTTTCCCAATAATGATTTGTAGTTTTCAGTATACAAATCTTACACTGCTTTTATTAAATTTGTACCTCAGTATTTTTTTCTTTTTGATTTTTTTTTTGTTTAAAGATACAGGGTCTTGCTCTTTTGCTCAAGCTAGAATATAGTGGTGTTGATTTCAGCTCACTGTAGCCTTGAAATCCTGGGCTCAAACAATCTTCCTACATCTGCCTCCTGAGTAGCTAGGACTACAAGCATGTGCTACTGCCCCTGGCTAATTTTAATTTTTTTTTTTTTTTTGGCAGAGACAGGGTCTTGCTATGTCTGGTCTTTCGCAGGCTGGTCTTGAACTCCTGGCCTCAAGCAGTCCTACTGCCTCAGCTTCCCGAGTTGCTGGGATTATAGGTGTGAGTCACCATGCCTGGCTCATGCTATTTTAAACATGCAATTGTTTTCATAATTTCATTTTGGAAATGTTCTTTGCTAGTGTCTGGAAATACAATTGATCTTTGAATATTGGTCTTGTATCCTGCAATTAGTTTTAATCTACTCAGTTCTTAAGACTTTTGTCAAATATCACGTGTTCCAGGAAGTTTTTACACATCCTTTAGAACTGCATTAGGTAACCCTTCTTTGTGTTGCCCTAAATCCCTCCCCGTACCCTCATTATACAATGTACTTCTATGCTGTTTTGTTGTTGTAGGTTTGTTTCTAGACCTCTCATCTAAACTCTTAGATTGATTTTCAGTACTGATGTTGCCAGCACATTCTCCACAAAGAATAGAGTTTTGGAAAAATAACACCAATTAAAAAATAGAGTTAGAATTGAAAAAATTATGAGTTATCACATGCTTTATTACTTATTTATTCATTATCAAAAGGCAATTTTTTGAGTTCTTTAAATGAGTTAGCTAAACTCACATGCATATTGAATGTTCTTATAAATAAGTCTCTCCCATTTCATAAATCCTCTGATGCTTTGCTTCTCTAAACTTTTCCAGGAAAAAATTTTTGCAGGAGATTGTAAATGTGTTTAGGGGTGGAAAAGGTCGATAATGCTCCAGCACACTGAGAGTACCTTAGGAGCATGGAATTGTGTTTTATTTCTTGGTAGCATAGTCCCCGGTTGTTAGCATGATCCCTGATAACATGATAGGTATCAATAAATTAATTATTGAATTAATGTTTCTACCTGCAAATCTTAAAGATAGCTTGTTCAAAAATAACACATTTATTGAGCACCTACTAAGTACCAGTCACTAGTCTAGTCTCTGTTTTGTATAGTGATTAGAGCTTTCAAGGAGCTTAGCTTTTAATAAGTAGGGAGAACTCAATATTTCCAGATAAAGTTTGCAATTAAAAGTAATTGCAAAAGCTGCAATTACTTTTGCACCAACCTAAGTATTTATTGACAAAAGCTATTGTTTTTACTGTTTTTCCTATACCAATGACACAAAATAAATATTTTGGAGCCTTCTTTGACTGTTCTTGTACTGTCCTAATGATCAATTGGTCTACTTATAATTTTTCCTTTTTCTTGTCTGTATAAATTCTCACTCATTTTTCTTGTCTGTTATGATCTGCCATCAATGTTAGAGAACACAGACCTGTTAACTAGATTATAAATTTGACAACAGCAGCTGTGATGTGTCTATGCTCTAGTATTGTGTTTGGTACATACTATGTATTCATTAAGTGTTTATTGAATGAATAAAGAATGTCACTTATGATCTCAAAAACATCATACCTATGTTCAACAAAATAAAATTTCAAATCCCCTAATATACAACATTCATAATAGTCTGATCAATTTACCTTTCCAGCCACATTTGCATTGTTCCCTTTTTCCCACCTTAACACACACAAGCCTCCTTGAAGTTTCTTGAAAATACTGTAATAGGATGTTAATGGAGATGGAATATTAACTTATCAACTAGGAGTATAGAATAAAGCTGCTTTCCTTTTTTTACTTTTGGTGTGGATACTGTGACAGCAAATAATGAAAACCTAATTGTTTGACACACAGATTTCTTATATATGGCATATATATTTGTCATATGTATATTTGTGTGTATATGTATATATGTACCTACTATATGTGTATATATGCATTTCTATTTTTGTGATTTATAGGCAAAAGGTGTTATATTAATACTTTTTGTTGTGAGTAAAAAAGAACTCACCTTACACTAGCTTAAGGAAAGAAAAAAGAAATGTATTCGTTCATATAACTGGAAAGTCCAATAGGTAACTGGATTCAGAGCCTCAGAGAATATCTTTAGGACTCTCTCCATTGGTCTCTTGGTTCTGTTTCCTTTTGTTTGCTTCAAAAATTTTCTTCTGTCTGTTCTGCAACTGGGAAAGACACACAGCTTCCATATTTAGGCTGCATTGTCCAAAATTAATAGTTCCCTCACATATTTCTAATGCAAATGACAGAAGCAACAGCGTCAATAATAGTAATAGTGTGTCCAGCATTGGTTCCTTCCGGTGGGTTCTTGGTCTCTCTTGACTTCAAAAATGAAGCCACGGACCCTCGCAGTGAGTGTTACAGATCTTAAAGATGGTGTGTCAGGAGTTTGTTCCTTCCGATGTTCAGAAGTGTCTGGAGTTTCTTCCTTCCAGTGGGTTCATGGTCTCGCTTGACTTCAGGAGTGAAGCTGCAGACCTTCTTAGCAAGTGTTACAGCTCTTAAAGGTGCCGCGGACCCAGAGTGAGCAGCAGTAAGATTTATTGTGAAGAGCGAAAGAACAAAGCTTCCACAGCATGGAAGGGGACCTGAGCGGGTTGCTGCTGCTGGCTCGGGTGGCCAGTTTTTATTCCCTTATTTGGCCCTGCGCACGCCTTGCCGATTGGTCCATTTTACAGAGCACTGATTGGTCCATTTTACAGAGCACTGATTGGTCCATTTTACAGAGTGCTGATTGGTCCATTTTTACAGAGTGCTGATTGGTGAGTTTACAAACTCAAGCTGCTTTCTACAGGGGCTGAACTAATGGACATTCACACCAACAGTATGTAAGCATTCCTTTTTCTCTGCAGCATTGCCAAAATCTGTTTGTTTTTTTTTTCACTTTTTAATAATGGCCATTGTGACTGGTGTGAGATGTATCTCATTGTGGTTTTATTTGCGTTTCTCCAATGATTAGTGATGATGAACATTTTTTTCATATGTTTGTTGTCCACTTGTATGTCTTCTTTTGAGAAATATCTGTTTATGCTCTTTGCCAACTTTTTAATGGGGTCATTTATTTTTTATTTGTCAATTTATTTAAGTTCCTTATAGATTTTGGATATTAGTACTTGGATACATAGTTTGCAAATATTTTCTCCCATACTGTAGTTTGTCTGTTTACTCTGTTGATAGCTTCTTTTGCTGTAGAGAAGCTCTTGAATTTAATTAGGTCCCAGTTGTCAATTTTTGTCTATGTTTCATTTGCTTTAGAGGTCGTAGTCATAAATTCTTCCCCTAGGCTAATGTCCAGATGAGTATTTCCTAGGTTTTCTTCTAGGATTTGTATGGTTTGAGGCCTTACCCCTACATTTAAGTCTTCAATCCAATTTTTTTTTTCTAGATAGAGTCTCGCTCTGTTGTCCAGGCTGGATGTGGTGGTGTGATCCTGGCTCAGGTCCTCTGCCTCTCAGTTTCAAGTGGTTCTCATGCCTCAGCCACCCAAGTAGCTGGGACTACAGGTGCATGCCACCACGCCCAGCTAATTTTTGTATTTTTTTTTTTTCAGTAGAGATGAGGTTTCACTATGTTGGCCAGGCTGGTCTTGAACTCCTGACCTCAAGTGATCCACCTGTATCAGCCTCCAAAAGTGTTGGGGTTACAGGCATGAGCTACCACAGGTGGCCTTGTCTTTAATCCATCTTGAATTAATTTTTGAATATGGTCACAGTTAGGGGTCCAGTTTCATTATTCTGCATATTGCTAGCCAGTTTGTTTATTACTATTTATTGAATAGGGTATACTTTCTCCATTGTTTATTTTTGTTGACTGTCTAAGATCATTTTGTTGTAGGTGTGCAGCTTTGTTTTTGGGTTCTCTATTCTGCTATGTTGGTCCCTGTGTCTATTTTTGTACCATATCGTTTTGGTTATTATAGCCCTGTAGTACAGTTTGAAGTTGGGTAATGTGATACCTCCCACTTTGTTCTTTTCACTTATGATTGCTTTGGCTATTTAGGCTCTTTTTTGGATCCATATGAATTTTAGAATTTTTTTAATTCTGTGAAAAATGATGCTAGTAATTTGATAGGAATTGCATTTGATCTGTATATTGCTTTGGGCATTCTGGATATTTAATGTTATTGATTCTTCCAATTCATGAGCATGGAATGTTTTTCCATTTGTTTGTGTCCTCTGTGATTTCTTTCATCAGTGTTTTTTAGTTCTCCTTATAGAGATCTTTCACCTATTTGGTTTGATGTATTCTTAGGTATGGGCAAAAACAAAGGTTTTTAGATAACTATTATTTTCACTGGCATGTCAGTATTGTATTTATTTGTTTCAGGTTTTTGCATCTTACATGTTCCCGATTGGCCATTGACTTCAGTAAGCAATACTTTTTTTTTTTTTCCTATCTAAAAGTGTTTCATCTGGCCAGTGTATGTATGCTTCATTCTTTTGCAAGTTGAACTGCTTACTTATATTATAATCTGCTTAGAACGACCTAAGAGATATCACTTACTGGATGCTATTCAAATAAAAACTGGATATCATATTTGCCCTAGGTTCCCCCACTTTAGTAAATAAAAAGATATTTGGACAAACCATAATAATTCTGGTATGGAGTGCTTTTGCCATTCTTCTTTATAGCAATGAATCTTCAGACAATACTCTCCAACACCAGTCTTTGTGTAGTTTCCACTAAGCTTTGTTATATAAAAGCAAGCATCTCACAGACCGATATTGTTCACAGCCTTGTCCTGAACTCCTGCTCTAGTTTATTATGGTTGACTTGCTCTTATTTTTAGAGATTACTTCGTCTGTTTATTTCTTCACTTTATTCCTCTGATATGGAGCTATTCCAAGAATGTCATTCTCTGTCTATAATGTTTGGATTCACTGCAATTCCATTCTCTCTTTCTAAACTGTCTTTGGTTCCCCTTTATAAATATGCTTCTTGGTCTTCCCTGGTTCTTGGGACTCCCTGCGTTGTTTCAGTGTTACGAGTGGTACTTGGCTGGTAGACATTTTCATGAACTTTAGTAATTGTAACTGGTGGGTTAAAAGAAAGCCCTTGGGAAGAGAAATACATTGTTTACCTTAGAGCATTCTTTGATTTAAATGTTTACTTAGCGTACACCAAATGTGTACTTAATGATTAGGATCTGCCAAAGATACAAAGGAGATAGAAGATATTTCTAGCCCTTGTTGTGAAGTAACTTTAAATCTAGACTTTTAACCATATTACAATGAATGCCTGTGATAGCAATCACAATATCAGCATTGTAGCTATTAAAAATTTTTACATGGAAGGATTCTTGGCAGAGCCACAAGAATGTGTCCCTTTTTACTATCATAAGGTCCTAATTTATCTGACAGTGGACTCATATCCAGAATATATAAAACTCACACAAATCAGTAAAAGAACATATCACTCAATTAAAAAATAGGAAAGACACTTATGAGATTACTAGATAAAAGAACTTATATAAATGTCCATTGAACACGTGGAAAGTGCTCAACTTCATTAGTCGCAGTGGGAATACAGAATAAAACCACAGTGAAACACTACTGTGTGCCCACTAGAGTGGCTTAAAAAAGAGACAATAGTAGGTGTTTTAAGGTTATGGAACAATTGCTACTCTGATACACTGTTTTTAGCAGTTTAAACTAAAGTCAACTGTTTTGGAAAATGGGCAGTATCTACCAAAGCTGAACATATGATACCATATGACCCAGAAATTCCATTCCTAGGTATATACTCAGCAGAAATGAATGCATGTACTCACCAAAAGAAAAGTAAAGAATGTTCACTGCAACAATGTTTATAATATTCCTATATTAGTTTCCCATTGCTGCTATAACAAATTACCACAAATACTGGTTTCAAAGGTGGTGAAGTGAAGCTGGCTGCACTCCCCCACCACAGGAAATATGTATTTATATAATATATATTTATGTTTTATATATAATTTATATATATAAACACACACATACACACACACACACATATATATATATATACACATACAGCACTGAGATTATCACCAGTAATATCCCAGAATTCAAATATGAGGAAGAGACAGTTCCTGAGACTACAGAGAATTGAAAAAACTCTGAACGGATTAAGAGAATTGGATTTCCATGATGCTCCTCCCCACAATCTGCCTGGCACCAGATATGCCTAAAGTTTCCCCAAAACTACAGTTTCTACACTGGAAAAAGTGAGATCAAGGTGGATAACTAGTTTTGCTTCTAACTTCAGTTCCCTAGCAGGAGACTGTCCCTGCCTCAACCCAGGGGAAACATCAGGAGTACCTGAAGGAAAAATTATCCTTGAGGACAACCAAACACAAAGTGGGAGGGCAGGACCACTATCCTCAGCATGGAAACCCTGCTATGTAAGTCAGCCAAAGGAGATGCCATGCTGTAGAAGGTTTGTTCCACAGGTCCCCTGGGCATGAATCCCTAGCCAGCCTTCCCACACTATAAGGCTATCCCCTTTGGGACTCATTTGGAATGGGTGGCACTCTGAATATTTACTACAACCAAGGCAAACTTGGGTTTAATGCACCAACTAGTGCCAAAACGGTGGCAGCAACATGGCAGAAAAAACAAACAACCATAAGAAAGAAAATCAACATGTAAATCACAAAGCATCTGTAAGCAAACATATCCAATAAAAACCACAATAAGCCAGATAGGTAAGACTGGAATAAATAACTAATCCTTGAATGCAAAGATGTAAATGTACATTCAAAAAAACAAGAGCAAAGAGGGAACCATGGTCTCCTCAAATGGAGAACGAATGAAACCAGTGGCTGACCCTAACGAGACAGCCATATGTGAACTCTCTTAAGAATTCAAAATACCAGTTTTAAGGAATCTAAATGATCTCCAAGATAACATATAAAAACAAAAAAAGAGCCCATATAACCAAGACAATCCTAAGTAAAAAGAACAAAGCTAGAGGCATCATGCTACCTGACTTCAAACTATACTACAAGGCTACAGTAACCAAAGTAGCGTGGTATTGGTACCAAAACAGATATATAGACCAATGGAACAGAACAGAGGCCTCAGAAATAACATCACACTTCTACAACCATCTGATCTTTGATATCCCTAACAAAAACAAGCAATGGGGAAAGGATTCCCTATTTAATCAATGGTGTTGGGAAAACCGACTAGCCATATTCAGAAAACTGAAACTGGACCCCTTCCTTACACCTTATACAAAAATTAACTCAAGATGGATTAAAGACTTAAATGTTAGACCTAAAACCATAAAAACCCTAGAAGAAAACCTAGACAATAACATTCAGGACATAGGCATGGGCAAAGACTTTATGACTAAAACACCAAAAGCAATGGCAACAAAAGCCAAAATTGACAAATGGGATCTAATTAAACTAAAGAGCTTCTTCACAGCAGAAGGAACTATCATCAGAGTGAACAGGCAACCTACAGAATGGGAGAAAATTTTTGCAATATATCCATCTGACAAAGGGCTAATATCTAGAATCTACAAGGAACTAAACAAATTTGCAAGAAAAAACAAACAACCCCATCAAAAAGTGGGCAAAGGATATGAACAGACACTTCTCAAAAGGAGACATCTATGCAGCCAACAGACACATGAAAAAAATGCTCATCATCACTGGTCATCAGAGAAATGCAAATCAAAACCACAGTGAGACACTATTTCAACCAAACACTGATAAGTGGGAGTTGAACAGTGAGAACACATGGACACAGGGAGGGGAACATCACACGCCGGGGCCTGTCAGGGGCAGCTAGGGGAGGGATAGCATTAGGAGAAATATGCAATGTAGGTGACGGGTTGACAGGTGCAGCAAACCACCATGGCATGTGTATACCTAGGTAACAAACCTGTACATTCTGTACATGTATCCCAGAACTTAAAGTATAATTTTAAAAAATTTAAAGTATTAATACAGTTACTGTGTGATCTAGCTATTTCATTTCTTGGTATTTACACAATATGAATGAAAATAAATATTTACAAAAATGAAAAAACAATTCAGAAATCATCAGAGAAATTTGACAAAGAAATTAAAATAATTTTTAAAAGCCAGACAGAAACCTTGGACCTGAGAAATATATTTCCTGATCTGACAAACTCATTAGAGGCTCTCAATAGCAAAATGGATGAAGCAGAGGTAAGAATTAGTGAGTTCAAAGACAAGTTTTTTGAAAATACTGAAATATGAAATACTGAAAATAGAAGAGGAATAAGAAAAAATTTAAAAGGAATGAAGATCATCTACAAGATATAGAAAATTACCTTAAAAGAGCAAATCTAAGATTTATTGATGTTCCAGAGGGAATTGAGCAAGAACAAGGAGTGGAAAGATTATTTAAAGAAATAATAACAAAACTTACCTAACCTTGGAAAAGAAATAAATATCCAGGTGCAGGAAGGTCAGAGAACACCAAACAGATTAGACCCAAATAAGAGTACCCCAAGGCACATAATCAAATTCTCAAAGGTCAAGGACAAAGAGAGGATTCTAAATGCAGCAGGAGAAAAGAAGCAACTAACATATCGGCCAGGCATTGTGGTTCATGCCTGTAAGTCCAGCACTTTGGGAGGCCGAGGCAGGTGGATCATTTGAAGTCAGGAGTTCAAGATCAGACAGCCCAACATGGTGAAACCCCATCTCTGCTAAAAATACAAAAATTAGCTGAGAGGAAATGATGTGCACCTGTAATCCCAGCTACTCGGGAGACTGAGACGGGAGAATCATTTGAGCCTGGGAGTTGAAGGTTGCAGTGAGCCAAGATAGTAACACTGCACTCCAGCCTGGGTGACAGAGTGAGCTCCTGTCAAAACAAAAAACAAAAAACAAAACAAAACAACAACAACAACAACAAAAAACCCAACAACATATAAAGGAGCTCCATTTTGTCTGGCAACAGACTTTTCAGTGGAAATCATACATTCCAGGAGGGGAGTGGGGCAACATTTTCAAAGTGCTGAAGGAAAAAATCTGCTGTTTTAAGAATACCATGGCTGAGCACAGTGGCTCACACCTGTAATCCTGTAATCCCAGCACTTTGGGAGGCCAAGGCAGGCTTATCACCTGAGGTCAGGAGTTTGAGACCAGCCTGGCCAACTGTTTCTACTAAAAATACAAAAAAATTAGCCGGGCATGGTGGCACACACCTGTAATCCCAGCTACTCAGGAAGCTGAGGCAGGAGAATCACCCAACTGGAAGGTGGAGGTTGCACTGAGCTGAGAATGCACCATTGCACTGCAGCCTGGACAACAGAGCAAGACTCTGTCTCAAAAAAAAAAAAATAGAATATTGTATTTAGCAAAACTATCCAACAGACATGAAGGAGAGAGAAAGTCTTTCCCAGATACACAAAAACTGGGAGAATTCACCACCATGAATATGGGAAGAAATACTTAAAGGTGCCAGGCACAATGGTATGTGCCTGTAATCCCAGCTACTTGAGAGAAAGAAGTGGGAGAATTGCTTGAGCCTGGGAGTTCAGGACGAGGGCAGCATAGCAATACTCTCTCTCTCTCTCTCCCTCTCTCTCTGTCTCTGTCTCACACACACACAGACACACACACACACAGACACACACACACACACACGAAATGCCAAAGGGAGTTATTCAATCTGAAAGGAAAAAATACATGCAAAAAGAAAACATCTGAAGGTATAAAACCTACTGATAAAATTAAGTACAAGGACAAACCCAGAATAATAGTGTAATTACAGTGTGCAGTCCATTCATAACTTTAGTATGAAGCTCAAAAGACAGATCTAACAATAATCATAGTTATAGCTACCTTTTAAGAGAAAGTCTATGTATTTTGAGACAACATAAAGTAAAAATGGGAGGGAATGGATTTAAAGTGTAGAGTTTTTTTTTCTTTCTGTGTTCTTTATGATGTAAGGTAAGTTTTCACTTATTTAAAATAACTTCTTAACCTATAAGATGTTTTTTATAAGCTTCATGGTAACCACAATGCCAATTAAAATATAATACCAGAAGCGTTGCTTAACCACTGTATTAGTCTGTTCTCACACTGCTATAAAGAACTACCTGAGACTGGGTAATTTATGAATAATGACTCACAGTTCTGCAGGCTGTACAGGAAGCATGGTTGGGAAGCCTCAGGAAACTTATAATCATGGTGGGATGGCAAAGGGGAAGCAAGTATGTCTTCAAATGGTGGCAGGAGACAGAGAGAGTGAAGACGGAGATGCTGCACATTTTTAAACAACCAGATCTGGTGAGAACTCACTCACTATCATGAGAACAGCAAGGGGGAAATCCGCCCCCGTGATCCAATCACCTCCCATCAGGTCTCTCCTCCAACACTGAGAATTACAATTCGACATGAGATTTGGGTGGGGACACAGAGCAAAACCGTATCAACCACTAAAGGACACAGTAAGAAAGGAAGAGAGGAATTACAGAACAACCAGAAAACAAGCAACAATTGGCAGTAGTAAGTCCTTACCAATTATAACCTTGAATGTAAATGGACTTAATTCTCCAACTAAAAGGCAGAGAGTGACTGAATAGCTAAAGAAACAACAACCAACTCTATGTTTCTTACCAAAAACCCACCTCACCTGTAAAGATACACATAGACTAAGCTTGAAGGGGTGGAAAAAGATATTTCATTGCAATTAGAAACCAAAATCAAGCAGAAGTAGCTATACTTAGATAAAATAGACTACAAATCAAAGACTGTAAAAACAAAGACTATATGTGTGCATGTGTGTGTGTGTGTGTGTGTGTGTAAAATGATAAAGGGGATCAATTCAACAAGATGACATAACAATTATGAATTTCTGTGTACATAACACTGGAGCTCCCTAGTACATAAAGCAAACATTAATAAATCTAATGGGAGAGATAGACTGCAATGCAGTAATAGCAGGGGACACATGCAATCTAAGAAGATTTAACCATGAAGAAATAGAAAACCTCAAACCAGTAATGAGTAATGAGAGCAACACTGTGGTAAAACGTTTACCATCAAAAGAAAAGCTGACAGCCTGATTGCTTCACAGCTGAATTCTACCATACATTTAAAGATGAACTAATACCATGTCTACTCAAACTCCTCAAAGAAACTGAAGAGAAAGGGAATACTTTTTTTTTTTTTTTTTTTTTTGAGACAGAGTCTCGCTCTGTCACCCAGGCTGGAGTGCAGTGGCACTATCTTGGCTCACTGCAAGCTCCGCCTCCTGGGTTCACGCCATTCTCCTGCCTCAGCCTCCCGGGTAGCTGGGACTACAGGCGCCCGCCACCACGTCCAGCTAATTTTTTTGTATTTTTAGTAGAGATGGGGTTTTGCTGTGGTCTCGATCTCCTGACCTCGTGATCTGCCCGCCTCGGCCTCCCAAAGTTCTGGGATTACAGGAATGAGCCACCACACCTGGCCGAGAAGGGAATACTTTCAAACTCATTCTACTAGGCAAGCATTACCCTGATGCCAGAACTAGACAAGGACACAACAAAATAAGAAGACTGTAGAGCATAAATGTAAAATGCTCAACAAAATACTAGCAAACCAAATTCAACAACACATTAAAAAGATCATTCACCATGATCAAGTGGGATTCGTCCCAGGGAATCAAGCATGGGCCAACATATGTAAATGAATAATACATCACATTAAAAGAACCAGGAACAAAAACTATATGATCATTTCAATAGATGCTGAAAAAGTATTCAATGAAATTTGACATCCTTTTATGCCAAAGACCCTCAACACACTGAATGTAGAAGGAACATAACTCAAAATAATAAAGGCCATATGTGAAAATCCCCCAGCTAACATCATACTGAATGGAGAAAAATTGAAAGCGGTTTATTTAAGATGCGGAACAAGACAAGGATGCCTGCTTTCACCACTTTTAATCAATATAAAAGTGAAAGTCCTGGCCAGAGCAATTAAGCAAGAGAAGGAAATTAAGGACATTCAAATTAGAAAGGAAGAAGTCACATTAGGTTTGTTTGCAGATGACATGATCTTATACTTAGAAAAACGTGAGGTCAGAGGAGGAGCAAGATGGTGGATAGAAGCCTCCACCAATCATCTCCCCCATAAGGATACCTCACCACCAAAGGCTGCATGTGCCCTGTCTCCAGGTAAACTTGAAAGGCAGTGTAGGCCATAAGGACTGCAACTCTAAGGCAAGTCCTAGTACCGAACTAGGCCGAGAGACAGTGAATTGGGGGAGGTGGCATGCAACATACTGAGACACCACTGGTGCAGCCAGGGGAATGTAAGCATCACTCCTTCCCTAAACCCAGGCTACACAGCTTGTGGCTCCAAAAGAGAACTCTTTCTTCCAATTGAGGAGAGGAGAGGGAAGAGTGGGGAGGACTTTGTCTTGCATTTAGAATACCAGCTCAGCCACAGCAGGATAGGGCACTAGTCAGAGTTGCGAGGTCCCTGTTCCAGGCCCTAGCTCCAGGATGACATTTCTAGACACATCCTGGGCCAGGATGGAACCCACTGCCTTGAAGGAAAGGACTCAGTCCTGGAAGCATTCATCACCTGCTAATTGAAGAGGCCTTGAGCACTGAATAACCAGCAGCAATACTTAGGTGCTACATCGAGGACCTTGGGCGAGCCTCTGAGACTTGCTGGCATCAGATGAGACTCAGCACATTACCAGCTGTGGTGGCTATGGGGAAAAACTCCTTCTGCTTGAGAAAAGCAGAGGGAAAAGTAAAGGGAACTTTGTCTTGCACCTTAGGTGCCAACATAGCCACAGGGGGATAGAGCACCAAGAGGGCTCTTGGGGTCCCCAATTCTAGGACTTGACTCTTAGATGGTATTTCTGGATGTGTCCTGGGCCAGAGGGGAGTCCATACCTGGAAGGGTGAGTCCCAGGCCAGGCAGCATTCACAATAAGCTGACTTAAGAAACCTTGGACCTTAAAGGAACATCTGTGTTAGTCTGGCAATACTCCTTGTGGCTGGGGGTAATAATGGCTACAGAATGAGGCTCCTCTGCCTTTGGAAAGAGGAGGGAAGAGTGGAAAGGATTGTGTCTTATGGTTTGAGTACCAGCTCAGCCATAATAAAATAGAACACCAGGTAGACTTCTAAGGTTTTTGACTCTAGTCCCTGGCCCCCAGATGGCACCTCTGGACCCACCTGGGGCCTGGGGGACCTCCCTGCCCTGAAGAGGAGGATACAGTTCTGGCTTGCTTTGCCACCTGCTTATTGTAGAGCCCCAGGACCTTGAGCAAAATAGGAAGTAACCATGGAGTGGTTGCAGCAGGCCTTGGGCAAGCCCCAGTGCTGTGCTGGCTTCAGGTCTGACCCAGCGCAGTCATAGTGGTGGTGGCCACAGGGGTGATTGTGTCACTCCACCCTCAGCTTTAGGTGGCTCAGAACACAGAGAGAGACACTTTATGTTTGGGAGAAAGACAAGAGAACAGAGTCTCTGCTTGATAATCCAGAGAATTCTCCTGGTTCTTGTTTTAGATTCTCAAGGTGGTACCTCTATGAGTTTGTAAGAACCACAGTGTTACTGGGCTTGGGGTGCTCTCTAAAACAGATAAAGCTTAGATCACAACATCATAGTCCCTTCAAATATCTGGAAAGCCTTCCAAAGAAGGACGTCTACAAATAAGCCTAGATAGTGTATACTACCATAAATTGTTATATCATCTTCAGTGCCTAGACACTGAAGAAGATCTGCTAGCATCAACACCATCTGGGAAAACATGACCTCACCAAGTGAACTAAATAAGGCATCAGGGATCAATCCTGGAGAAATATATGTGACATTTCAGACACAAAATTTAAAATAGTTGTGTTGAGGAAACACAGCTATTTTGAAATCAAAGATAACACAGAGAAGAAATTCAGAATTCTATCAGATAAATTTAACAGAGATTGCAATAATTAAAAAGAATCAAGACTCTGAAGAATGTAACAGAGTCCTTTTATAGCAGAATTGATCCAGCAGAAGAAAGAATTAGTGACCTTCAAGACAGGCTATTTGAAAATACACAGTCAGAGGGGACAAAATAGAAAAGAAAAACAAACAAACAATCAAGCATACTTATAGGACCTAGAACTAGAACTAGCCTCAAAAGGGCAAGTGTAAGTGTTATTGTCCTTAAAGAGGAGGTAGGTAGATAGGTGTAGAAAGTTAATTCAAAGGGTAACAAAGTCAACATATATCACGTGAGTGGGGGAAAAACACACACAATGGGATAATAACAACTTCCCAAACCTATAGAAAGATATTATATCCAAGTACAAGAAGGTTATAGAACTAAAGCAGTACTCCCTTTGGCATATTTAAACAGATTTAAACTAAAGAAGACTACCTCAAGGCATTTAATAAACTCCCAAAGGTCAAGGATAAAGAAAGGATCCGAAAAGCAGCAAGAGAAAATAAACAAATAACATAAATAGAGCTCCAGTATATCTGGCAGCAGACTTTTCAGTGGAAATTTTACAGGCCAGGAGCGAGTTGCATGACATATTTAATGTGGTAAAGGAAAAACACTTTTATTGTAGAATAGTATATCTGGCTAAAATATCCTTCAAACATAAAAGAGAATTAAAGACTCCCAGATGAACAAAAACTGAGAGATTTGATCAATACTAGACCTGTCATCAAGAAATGCTAAAGGGAGTACTTCAATCAGAAAGAAGAGGACATTAATGAGCAATAAATAATCACCTGAAGGTACCAAACTTACTAGTAATAGTAAGTACACAGAAAAACACAGATTTTTTTTAACACTATAACTGTGGTGTGTAAACTTCTCTTATCCTAAGTGGAAAGAGTAAATAATGACACAATCAAAATAACTACAACATTTTAAGATATAGTCAGTACAAATTATTTATGAAAAAAGAAAAATTTAAAATGGGGGAGGATGAAGTTAAGGCATAGAGTTTTAATAGTTTGCTCTTTGCTTGTTTGTTTATGCAAATAGTGCTAAGTTTTTCTCAGGTTAAGATAATGGGTTATAATATTTGCAAGCCTCATGGTGACTTCAATTCAAAACACATACAATGCATACACAAAAAATAAAAAGCAAGAAACTAAATCATATCACCAGAGAAAATCAACTTCACTGGAGGAAGACAGGAATTAAAGAAAGAAGGAAGAGAAGATCACAGACAACCAGACAACAAATTTAAAAATGGCAGGAGTAAGCCCTTACTTATCAGTAATAACATTGAATGTAAATGGACTAAACTTTCCAATCAAAGATATAAACTGGCTGAATGGATGAAAAATAAGATCCATTTATCTGTTGCCTAAAAGAAACACACTTTACTTATAAAGACACACAGACTGAAAATAAAGGGATGGAAAAAGATATTCCATGTCAATGGAAACTATAAAAGAGCAGGAGTCTGTTGATATGAACAGACATTTCTCAAAAGAAGACATTTATGCGGCCAACAAACATATGAAAAACAGGTCATCACTGGTCATTAGAGAAGTGCAAATTAAAACCACAATGAGATATCATCTCATGCCAGTCAGAATGGCGATTATTAAAAAGTCAGGAAACAACAAATGCTGGTGAGGCTGTGGAGAAATAGGAATGCTTTTACACTGTTGGTGGGAGTGTAAATTAGTTCAAGCATTGTGGAAGACAGGGTGGTGATTCTTCTAGAACCAGAAATACTGTTTGACCCAGCAATCCCATTACTGGGTATATACCCAAAGGATTAGAAATCATTCTGCTATAAAGACACATGCACACATATGTTTATTGCGGCACTATTTACAATAGCAAAGACTTGAAACCAACACAAATGCCCATCAATGATACACTGGATAAAGAAAATGTGGCACATATATACCATAGAATACTATTCAGCCATAAAAAAGAATGACTTCATGTCCTTTGCAGGGACATGGATGAAGCTGGAAACCACCATTCTCAGCAAATTAACACAAGAACAGAAAACCAAACACCACATGTTCTCATAAGTGGGAGTTGAACAATGAAAATGCATGAACACAGTGAGGGGAACGTCACACACTAGGGCCTGTTGGGGGGTTGGGGGCAAGGGGAGGGAGTGCATTAAGATAAATACCTAATGCATGCGGGGCTTAAAAACTGGATGACAGGCTGACAGGTGCAGCATACCACCATGACACATGTATACCTGTGTAACAAACCTGCACTTTCTGCACATGTATCCCAGAACTTAAAGAAAAATTTTAAAAAATTGCATCAATCATTAAAAAAAAAAAAGAGCAGGAGTCCCTATTCATATATCAAGCAAAATCGATCTCAAGACTAAAATGATAAAACAAGACAAAGAAGGTTGCTATAAAATGATAAAAGGGGTTAATTCAGAAAGTGGATATAACAATTGTAAATCTATATGCATCAAAAACTGGAGCAACCAGATATATAAAGGAAATATTATTAGAGCTAAAGAGAGAGGTAGGCCCCAATACAATAATAGCTGAAGACTTCAGCACTCCACTTTCAGCATTGGACAAATCTTCCAGACAGAAAATTAGCAAAGAAACATCAGACTTAATATTCACTATAGATCAAATGGATCTAATATTTATTTACAGAGCATTTTATCCAATAGCTGCAGAATACACATTCTTTTCATCAGCATATGGATCATTCTCAAAGATAGACTATATGTTGGGTTACAAAACAAGTCTGAAAACATTCAAAACATTGAAATCATATCAACCATCTTCTCTGACTACAGTGGAATAAAACTAGAAATTTATAACAGGAGGAATTTGGGAAACTAAACAAACACATGGAAATTAAACAATGTGCTTTGAAATGACCAGTGAGTCAATGAAGAAATTAAGAAGGAAACTGAAAAATTTGTTGAAATAAATGATAATGGAAACACAATGTACCAAAACCTTTGGAATGCAGCAACAGCAGTGCTAAGAGGGAAATTTATAAGTGCCTAGATCAAAAAATAGGAAGAACTTCAAATGAAAAATATAATAATGCATCTTAAAGAACTAGAAAAGCAAGAGCACACTGAACCCAAAATTTGTAGAAGAAAAGAAAGAATAAAGATCAGAGTAGAAATCAATGGAATTGAAATGAAACAACACAAAAGATCAGTGAAACAAAAATTGGCTTTTTGAATTGTTAAAAAAATCGACAAATCTTTAGCCAGAGTAAGAGAAAAAAAACCCAGAAGATCCAAATAAATACAATCAGATTGAAAAAGGAGACATTACAACTGATATTGCAGATATTTAAAGAATCATTAGTGGTTACTATGAGCTACTGTATGCTATCAATATATTATCAATAATAACATTGAATGTAAATGGACTAAATTTTCCAATCAAAAGTATTGACTGGCTGAATGAATGAAAAAACAAGATCCATTTATCTGAGCAACTAACTATATTCCAATAAATTGGAAAATCTAGAAGAAATGGACAAATTTCTAGACATATACAACCTACCAAGATTGAACCAGGAAGAAATCCAAAACCTGAACAGACCAATAACAAGTATGAGATCAAAGACATAATAAAAATTCTTTCAGTAAAGAAAGGTCTGTGAACCTGATGGCTTCACTGCCGAATTCTACCAAACATTTAAAGAAGAGTGGATACCAGTTCTACTCAAATTATTTTGAAAAATAGAGGAGGAAAGAATACTTCCAAACTCATTTTACAAGTCCAGTATTACCCTGATACCAAAACCAAAGACACATCAGGAAGAAAAAAGAAGAAAGAAAGAAAGAAAGAAAGAAAGAAAGAAAGAAAGAAAGAAAGAAAGAAAGAAAGAAACTATGCACCAATATTTCTGATGAATATTGGTACAAAAATCCTCAACAAAATTCTAGCAAACTGAATTCAGCAATACTTTAGAAGGATCATTCCTCATGACAAAATGGAATTTATCCCTGGAATGCAAGGATGGCTCAACGTACACAAATCAGTGTGATACCTCATATCAAGAGAATAAAGGATAAAAACCATATGATCATTTTAATTGATGCTGAAAAAGCATTTGATAAAATTCAGCATTTCATAATGAAAAATCCTCAAAAAACTGGGGATGGAAGGAGCATACTTCAACATAATAAAAGCCACATATGACAGACCCACAGCTAATATACTGAATGAGGAACAACTGAAAGCCTTTTCTCTAAGACCTGGAACGTGACAGTGATGCCCAGTTTCACCACTGTGATTCAACATGGTACTGGAAGTCCTAGCTATAGCATTCAGACAGGAGAAGGAAATAAAGGATATCTAAATTGGAAAGCAGATGTCAAATTATCCTTGTTTACAGATGACATAACCTTATATTTGGAAAAACCTAAAGACTCCACAAGACGACTATTAGAACTAATAAACAAATTCAGTAAAGTTACAGGATACAAAAGCAACATACAAAATCAGTAGCATTGCTATATGCCAACAGTGAAGAGTGTGAAAAAGAAAAAAACAATTCTATTTACAAAAGTGACAAGTAAAATTAAATACCTAGAAATTAGCTTAATCAAAGAAATGAAAGATCTCTACAATGAAAACTATAAAACACTGAAGAAAAAAATTAAAGAGGACACCAAAAAATGGAAAGATATTCCATGTTCATGGATTGAAAGAATCAATATTGTTAAAAGGTCTACCCAAAACAATACAACCCAAAGCAGTCTACAGATTCAAGGCAATCCCTTTCAAAATACCAATGGCATTCTTCACAGAAATAGAATATTATCCTAAAATTTATATGGAACCATAAAAGACCCAGAGTAGCCAAAGCTGTCCTGAACAAAAAGACCAAAACTGGAGGAATCACATTACCTGACTTCAAATTATAGTATACAGATATAGTAACAAAAACAGCATGGTACTGGCATAAAAACAGACATGTAGACCAATGGAACACAATAGAGAACCCAGAAAGAAATCCATACATCTACAGTGAATTCATTTTTGACAAAAGTGCCAAGAATATAAACTTGGGAAAGGGCAGTCTCTTCAATAAATGGTGCTGGAAAAACTGGATATCCATATGCAGAAGAATAAAACTAGACCCCTGTGTCTCACCATATACAAAAATCAAATCAAAATGGATTAAAGACTGAAATTTAGGACTTCAAACTATGAAACTACCACAAGAAAACATTGGGGAAGATATTTAGGATATTGGTCTGGGCAAAAGTTTCTTGAGTGATATCCCACAAACACAGGCAACCAAAGCAGAAATGAACTAATGGGATCACATCAAGTTAAAAAGCTACTGTAAAGCAAAGGATACAATCAACAAAATAAAGAGACAACCCATGGAATGGGAGAAAATATTTGCAAACTACCCGTTTTCACCACTGTGATTCAACATAGTACTGGAGGTCCTACCTAGAGCATTCAGACAAGAGAAAGAAATAAAGGGCATCTAAGTTGGAAAGAAGATGGCAAATTATCCTTGTTTGCATATCACATAATCTTATATTTGGAAAAACCTAAAGACTCCACAAGAAAACTATTAGAACTGATAAGGGGATAATAACCAGAATATATAAGGAGCTCAAATAACTGTAGGAAAAAATCTAATAATCCATTTAAAAATGGGGAAACAGTTTGAATAGGCACTTCTTGAATTAAGACATGCAAATGGCAAAGAGGCATATGAAAAAGTGCTCTATATCATGATAATCAGAGAAATGCAAATGAAAACTATAGTGAGATATCATCTCACTCCAGTTAAAATGGTTTATATCCAAAAGACCAGCAATAAGAAATGCTGACGAGGATATGAAGAAAAGGGAACCCTTGTACACTGTTGGTGGGAATTTAAATTAGTACAACCATTATGGAGAACAGTTTGGAGTTTCCTCAGAAAACTAAAAACTGAGCCACCATATGATACAGTACACCCACTGCTGGGTATATAGCCAAAGAAAGGAAATCAGTATATTGAAGAAGTATCTGAACTCCTATGTTTGTTGCAGCTCTGTTTTTACAATAGCTAAGATTTGGAAGCAACCTAAGTGTTTACACACAGAGGAATAGATAAAGAAATTGTGATATATATGCAAAATGGAATACTATTGAGTCATAAAAAAGAATGAGATTTACTCATTTGCAATAACATGGACGGAACTGGAGATCATTATGTTAAGTAAAATAAACAAGTCACAGAAAGAGAAACATCATGTATTCTCACTTATTTGTGGGATCTAAAAATCAAAGCAATGGAACTCATGGACATAGAGAGTAGAAGGATGATTACCAGATGTTGGAAATGGTAGTGGGGGCTCTAGGGGGAGGTGGGAATGGTTAATGGGTCCAAAAAATAGAAATAATGAATAAGATCTACTATTTTATGCACAACGTGGTGACTATAGTTAATAATTACTTAATTGTACAGTTTGAAATAACTTAGAGGGTAATTGGATTGTTTGTAACTCAAAGAATAAATGCTTGAGATGGTGGATACCACATTCTTCAGGATGTGCTTATTTCATGTTGCATTTCTGTATCAAAACATATCATGTATCCCATAAATATATACACCTACTATGTATCCACAAAAATTAAAAACAAAAACAAAAAAGAGAAAAACCTCAACGTGTCACCAAAAAACTGTTAGAACTTTTAAACAAATTCAGTAAAGCTTCAGGATACAAAAATCATTATACAGAAATCAGTATCATTAAATACAGCATATCTGGGGCCATATCCACGAAGCCCCAGGTGTCTGCAGATCTTTGAGAAAATCTCATGTTTTAATGCCTTAACATTGTTCTTTGCATGCTTTCTTCCTGTGAAACTCTACTATTGCACATCCTTACATGTCAGAATTTTTAATTTTTTTCCAACAACTTACCATGAAAAATTTCAAGCATACAGAAAAGTTGAAAGAATTTTATAGTGAACACCCATATACCCACCATCTAGATGTTACAATTAACATTTTATCCCATCTATTCCTTTATACATTCATGAATCTATCGTATATTTTATCCACCTCCCTGCCCTTAGGAAGACTTTTTTTCCCACCATGAATTAGTTTTGCTTGTAGATAAACTTCATATTAATGCTATGTAGACTATATTCTTCTGTGTAAGGCATATTTCACTGAGGATAATGTTTTTGAGATTCATTTATGTTGTTGAATGTATCAGATAAATTTTTAGGATATTTCCTAATTTGTGGTTCTTGTTGAAGTGTTTTTGTAGACATATGTTTTCATTACTTTTGGATAAATACCTGTAAGTGAAATTGCTGGATCGTAGGGCAGGTTTATGTTTATTTTTATGAGAAATTGCCAGGCCTTTTTCCAGAGTGCTTTTATTTTATACTCCCACCAAAAAAGGTATTTTATACCTTTTGGGAGTATTTTATACTCCCACCAAAAAAGGTATAAGAGTTCTGGCCCTCTCTATGTTCACTAACATTTTGTGTTCATTTTATAATATGTAGAGGTAGCTCTCTGTGGTTTTAATTTGCATATCCTTGGTGACTAAAGATGTTAAGCTTTTCCATGTGCTTATTGATCATTCATACATATTCCTTCATGGACTGTCTGTTCAAATGTTTTGCTCATTTTTAGTATTGGGTTGTTGGATTTTTTTAATCAATAAGTTTTTAAGTTCTGTTTATTCATGCTGGATATGAATTTACTATCTCATCTGTGTTTTGCAAATATTTTCTCCCAGTGTATGCTTGTCTTCTCATTTTCTTCATAATATCTTTTGATGAAAGTTAGTTTAAAATTTTGATGAAATTGGATTTATCACTTTTAAAATTCTATGATTATTGTCTCTGTGTTTTTTCTAGAATACCTTTGTTTACCTCTAAATATTACAGATATTCTGTTTCCTTCTAAAATCTTTATAGGTTTAACTTTTATGTTTAGGTCTATAATCCGTGTTGAATTAATTATTGTATGTGGTATGAAGTGAGGGTTGACATTCCTTTTAAAAATTTTTTCCATATGGATATCCAGTTTTGCAGTATTAGTTGTTAAACAAAATTTTTTTCCTCAATGGAGTGCTTCAGTGTTTTTGTAGAAAATCAAGTTATTTCATTTTTGGCTCTGTATTCTGTTCCACTGATCTATTTATTAATCCTTATGTCAGTGCCACACTGCCTTAATTACTATGGATTTAGAATAAGTATTGAAGATGGGATGTTTAAACCTCTTACCTTTTTTTCTTTCTCAGAGTTGGATTAATATTCTGTGTTCTTTTGTACTTCCATATAAAGTTAAGAAAGAATCAGCTAGTCAATTATTACAAAAAAGCTTAGTGAAGTTATGATTGGGATTGCATTGAATCTTTAGATCTATTTGGAAAGAATTGACATTTAACAATATTAGAACTTCCAATTCATGAATACTATATACCTCTTGATTTATTTAGATGTTCTTGCAGAATCTTAGGACATGTTGCCCTTTGATGTCATGGGAGCAGGTGGTGTAATCAATAAAACTTAAAGGAGAATATTTTGAGAAATTGTTTTAGGTTAGAAATCCTAATTTCTCACTATAACATTTTCACAATTTTCTTTCTGTTATTTACTTTTTCCCCTCCAAATGCCTCTATCCTTAATTTATTATAACAACCATTATCCTATGACAGGGAATAACATAACACCAAGAGTAATGATTCTACAAATAAAACATATTCTTCCATTTCAGAGTGTTTATTATTGATAGTTTGATTTACTAAGTTCATTTTCATCTTGTAAGCTCTTGGTGTCTTGCAAAGTAGAGCACTCATCCCAATTCACCTAAAATCATTTAGTGTCCATGGCATCTTGGCATTGAGTAATCACCTAGATCTAAATATGTTTTCCCTTAATTTTCAACAATATTAGATAAAACAAAGATTCAAAACTATACAAATCCAATATATGACATAGAACAGTGGTTCTCAAAGTGTGATATGTGGACCACTGGCAGTCTCCAAGACCATTTCAGGATATATGTGAAGTCAAAACTATTTTCATAATCATACTAAGGTTTTATTTGCTTTTTATGGTTTTTTATATTTACATCTGGTGCAGAAGCAATGCAGGTAAAACACAAGAATAAGGTATTAGCATTAAACTTTTTTTAGTACACATTTTTCACAAGACACATGCAGAAAATAAAAGTCAAGTTGACTTAAGGTCTTTAATGAAGCAGTAAAAATTATTAATTTTATTAAGTCTTGACCTTTGAGTACACATTGTTTTAATATCCCGTGTGATGAAATGGGAAGTACTAATAGAACACTTCTACATATTGGAGAATGATTGTCCCACAGAACTTGTACAGTTATTTGAATTTTGAGCCAAAGTAGTTGCTTTTTTTCATGGGACTCAATTTTTATTTGAAAGAAGTGCCAAACTATTGTTATTTACATTTGGATGTTTGAAGACATTTTCTTGAAATTGAACCAAGTTGAGCCTGTCACTTAAAGGAAGACAACTGACAGTATTTGTTGCCAATGATAACATTTGAGCTTTCAAGTAAAAATTAGAATTTTGGAAAACTTGTTCACTACCATGAATGTGACAGTATCTGAAGTTTTGAAGACTTTTCTGATGAGATCAGTGGTGATGTTAATGATATGATTTTTGGATATTGTATGATGTAATATGTTAACATTTAGAATATTTGAAGAACGTCTTCCAGCTGACCAATGTGTGCTGCTGCAAAATTGCACATGGGTAAAAGACCTATTCAAAGTACAAGAGGGACCAAAAGATTTTAATGTAACAGAGTACAGAAAGTTCATTGATATGGTTTTGGTTTTTGCATACAGTTAACCTTTCTGAAACGACTACCTGCTGATTTTTGGTATAGCATATACCAAAAGATATCTATAATGACCTGAACAAATTATTAAATATTCTTTCCTTTTCCAATCAAATATCTGTGTGAACCCAAATTTTCTTCATTTACTTCAACCAAAGCAATATATTAGGACATGTAGAACACAGAAGCAGATATGAAAATCCAGCCACCTTCTACTAAGCTAGACCTTAAGAGTTGTGCAAAAATATAAAATAATATTATTTTCTCAGTAAATCTTTTGAGAAATGTGATTACTTTTAATTAATTAATGTTAATATAAACAATACATAACAGATAACTTATGTTAGCATGCAATGGATTTATTATTAATAATTAAAAATCAATTTAAAAATAAATAGAAAATTTAATTTCTAAAAAGTAGATAGAAATATATATATAACTTATTAAACAAAAGCACATTGAGATCCTCAATAATTTTTACTAATATGAAGGGGTTCTGAGACAAAAAAGTTGGAGAACTGATGAAATAGAGGAAAGACATAGTATTTTAGATGTACAGTTGTTTCTCATTTTTTTCAGATTCTGTATTTGTGAATTGACTTACCTACTAAAATATATTTGCAACCTCAAAATTAATACTTACAGCACTTTCACGATTATTTTTGGGCGTGTACATGTGCAGAACAGTGAAAAATTTGAGTAACTCCATGTGGATGCTCCCAGCTGAGGTTCAACAAAGAGGCACTGCCTTTTTGTTTCAACTGTGATAACTTAACAAATGTCCTTTTTGTGGCCTATTTAGTGCCACATTTTTTTTCATTTTTATGCTCTTTGTTGGTAATTTTGCTATTTAAAATAGCCCCTAAGTGTAATCTAGCATTCTCAAGACAAGATGTTCCTTATGGAGAAAATACATGTGTTAGTTAAGTTTCATTCAGGCATGAATCATAGTGCTAATGGCTATGAGTTCCTTGTTAATCAATCAACAGTATGTATTAAATAAGGCATGTTTAAACAGAAACACACACACAAAAAGCCTATGAGTTGATTGGTTGATGAAAATGTGATCAGAGGCTGTTAGGAAGCTAACCCTATATATTCCTCCCTGGGAGCAGTAGTTCAGTATTTGCTAATTCATGGTTTATAGCAATTTTATACAACACGTAAATGGTCTGCAAATAATAAGAATCAACTGTATTTGTGTTCTCTGATAAAAGGGAATGCAGATTGCTGCTGGATGGCATATCCATAGATACTTATGGAAATACAGGATATTAGTAAATTGTAAATGTTTCTAACCTCAAGACAAAGAAAGAAAATATAGACAAAGTAGGTTGGTGATTACTTGGCTTCAAATCTTTAGATGTGTTTCTAAGTTGCCTAACCTTCATTTACAATATATAAGTATGTTTCACCTGGCTGCTATCCCTATAAGACATGGGAGAAAGTCCATGAAACCTGGGAACAGTTCAGTGAGATTTGAAAGCCAGATAGCTCATGATTATTCATTCTGAGGTAAATTTTTGCCAATGTTCATCTGCATTTTTTTCATTTCTTTTTCTAGTTGTGCTAAGATTATGTTCTGTGAGTAGATGACCATGTCACATAAATATAAAATGGATGGTATATGCTTCTATAGAATTTAGTGTTATAATTGGTAAAATTATAAAAGTCTGATATATGTAATTCTTATTGTGGAAAATTACTACAATAATTTTTATTCTTTATAGACTGTCAAAAGTTTTGCAGAGTTTCTCTTCTCCCTTTGTTTGTCTTTTAATATTAATATCTATTTGAAGTGTCCATGTTAGCAGATTTGTGATTATGCAATTAATCCTCATCATATAAACACATATTCTAGTTTATGTATATTTTCTTACAAATACAGTAAAAGGTACAATTTCTCATCTTATTTGCCATAGTTACAACACAATTTCCAGAAATACAGTGTCTTGTCCCTCACCCTCAAGTTTTTCATTCAGATTCATGAGATGGGAGAAAGTGTAATAACAATAATTGGCTGTGGGGCCCTGATATCTGAACTTGGCAGAGGGAAGTAAGAAGAGTTAAGATTTAGAAAAGGATAGACTTACTCTCAAATCTATGAAGTAAGAAGAGAAGTGTTGGGGCTGTGGAAAATTCCAAGAGAGAGACCTAAGCAGTCATTTGGATTTGTGCTTAGACATGGCAAACTTCAAATTTAGGAACTGCAGTATAAGAAGATATAATTTTCTGTACTTAGCAGTTGGGTCAGTCAGTTCATTCTTCTTGGGGAGCAGTGGAGCATCTCAATGGAAGAGATGTAGTTGTTGCTAACCTTAGTGATTTACCTCAACCCTCCAAATAGTATGGTATTTAGTCGTAGTATAATTTTAAGAAGAAATGAGGACTTCCTCTTCGATCCCATCCCACAGAAAACCTCTTCCATCTTTTTTTTCCTATGAATAAACAGCGGGAGGTTTTTGTTCTTGTTTTTGGTAACTAATTAACATACCAAGAAGTTACTTTCAATATTTCTCTCTCTTACAAATCATGTTGCTGTGAACACAATGGCTAATTCATGGATTGTAGGGCATTTATACCTTTTACACTCTTAGATCTTTCTAACCTAATCTTCTGAAATTTGTCTTAATTTGAACTTATTTTCATATCTTTTTCTTTTACAAACAACTTTTATGTACTTCTTAAATAATAAGCCAATTAATTGAATAGGGACAATTTCTAAATTTCATAATTGTTCAAGATATTATCAGTGCTATATGTTTTATTTTTTGAAATATTTATTTAAGTTGGTATGTGTTTACATGTTATTCACTTGCTTATTGAAATTATTTAACCATAAATAATACTTTGCCAATTAATTTAGGTGATCGCCAATTAATTTAAGTGATCACCAATTAAGATGACAGCAAATACTCAAATACTTTATAAACCTTGGGTTTTTGTTTTGTTTTTGTTGTTTTTTGGTAGAGGTGGTGCACCTTTGCTTAATAGTGAACTGGATTGAATAGGCTTTGCTGAATTACCATGTGGTGAATTAGCTCTCCTCATAAATGTAAATATCTCAAATATTAATAATATCTTTGTGTTGGAAACATTCAATATCCTCCTTCTAGCTATTTGAAACTATATGTTATTGTTAACTATAGTGGATATGCTAATTACTTTTATCTGATCGTCATACATTATATGTATTGAAACACTACCATGTACTCCTTGTACATGTGCAATTATTACTTGTCAATAAAAAATAAAAATATCTGACTGATTCTAAAAAATTACAATTTGACCTGAAATTTAACTTTTTTGTTACATAGTACTGATTCTTGTAAAAATAAAATAATAATAAGAAAAAAGAATAAAAACCTATCCAGTCATTTTTTAAAGACACAGCTTAAGCACTTTGCCAAGTAGTTGTTATTTTGTAATAATTGCATCACTAATTTGCTGAGCTCTATTGGAAATAATTTATTAGTAAAACATAAAAGAAGATAGTTTCCCCACAATATGAATCTTAATATTTTTTCCATCAAAACAGCGCTGTTATTTCCATAGCATTGTTGTGTACATGAAGTATTAAAGAAACCAGGAAATGATTTGGATAACAATGTGGTAGAAATTAAATTTGATTCTAAATTCTGGCAGTGGAAAATTAACAAACAGATTAAGAACATATGCTTATTTTCTCAGTTGAGCATTCTAATAAAAGAAGATCAAATTTATTGGTAGAAAAGAAGTGCTAATTAATAGAGCATAATAGATAATGACCATATTTTCTTTAACTATAGTGAGTTTTAGCTGCATATAAAGTTCTAGTTCTCTGATAGCCTGAGAGAATACACATAGTAGCACAGTTTCAGGCCTTTCTGCTCTCATGCATAAGACAGCCAAATGCCATCAGGCTTTTTTACTTTCTGGCATGCACATTATTTTCTGTTGGCCTTGTTTCCTCTTGTGTCCCTGTTTATGCATACCCTTCTGGCTCTGGCTCCATTTAGCCTCCTGCTTCAGGTTCTACTTGTTTTCCTGGCTCTGGCTGTGTTTATTTTCCAGTCTCTGCTTCCTTTGTCAGCACAGTAGGTCCCACACCTCCTGCCTCTCTGCTTACTTAATGTTCATTTCCTTTTCTCTGTTCAATGTTATACTTTCCTTCTGTCCCTAATAATTATCCCTCTCCTTTGAACTCTTTTATATATAGAACTACAGTGATTTGAAACCTATAGGGTGACTAAACAACCTGCCTTTCTGCATCTATGATAGGTAACTATAAAGGCACCTCATGTTATTATTTTTTTTTTTATTCACCTGCTATCTGAACCTTATGAATATTCTGAAAGTTGTCCAGAGGTTATAAGCTATAATCATCTGTATATAATAGTGTTTTTTAAACCGTGGGTCATGAAATCAATTTGGTGTGAATAAAACTATTAATTAAGAACAAAGATGTAAATTGAAAAGAATAGGCTATATCCGATATTGCACTTAAAAGTATTATTTTACGGAATTTTATTTTTAATTATATGCATTTCTATAAGTATATATTATATGTAAATGTCTTTCTTGCTGTGGGTCAAGTTCAAAAAAAGTTTGAATGTAATTGTATGTAAGATATACTTTTTAGCCTTAGCTGCTTTCATAGTTTACTTATTTGGATCAACCACTTTATATGTTTGTGATCAAGTTTAGAAACATTCATAGAAAGCCTTGGAAGAATGGATCTGAACTAAATCAGATTTCCCGTAGAAACCTTTAAATTCCATCACAACTTTTGTATGAGCCCCAGAATAACATTACTGTCTCTGAGGTGCTTAGGTCAACTTAATTTAGTAAAACTACTATAAAAACTGGGATTCCAAAGCAATTCCTGATCATACGGACATTTGAAGCTCTGTTGCAGCTCTTTTGGTCTTGTGCTACATTTAGAAATGAATAGGCTGAGAGACTAAGATGAATGCATTGAAAGATGTCAAGATACTGAAATAAATCCTTATTCATCTTCCTATTCGTAATCTTACAAAAATGGAATTCATTGAGGTAATAATTTTATTTGTCAGGAAAATATGCACTAGGAGATTTTATACTGTGGCAGGATTATAAATTGGGCAGATTCAAGTGGCAGCAAGTGGTTAATGAATTAATAACAAGTAGTGTTAGAAGCAAAACCTTACCTCTATACTCTGTCCTGGCGAAGGACATTATTATTTGTTACTTGCCCAATTGGGGAGTGTTCTTTGACATGATGATATAATGGTTTTCAGTGGCAAGTCTTGATCTCAAAGTCTTCCAAACCAAGAGCATCTCTTCCATAGTTTAAAGTACAGAATTCTGAGGTTTCAACAAATACTTGTTCCAAAAGTAAATAGGAGATAGAGCTTCTTTTAAAGAAAAGTCCTGGCTTTGCTGACAGGTAGTTCTATGATCTGCTTCTGTCTATAAGGGGGATGACCAAGATAGATAGGATCTTTATTTTTTTTTTTACAGTAAGTTATTGTTGTTACCATTGATGTATCTGTTAGCTAAAACATATTGATCTTTCTATTAACCCAGAAGATCTACTCCTACTGCCCTCAACTTTGAATATTTTCTCCTCAATTTTTGCCAAGAGCTAGGGAGAGACAGCTATTAGGCAAAAGTTGTCTGAAAGCCATATTAAAACTCTTCTCCTTCCTCTTTTTTTCTTCTTAAGAACAACAATAACACTACTGCTACTACTTACAGTTGTACAGCACTTAATATATGAACCAGGACCTTTCATCTGTATTTGGATTTTATTCAAATACAAATGAATATTTGTATTTGTGAAATAGATACTGTTTTTATTCTCCGTTTTTACAAGTGGGGAAATTCAGGCTCTGAGAGGGAAGGGAACTGTCCAAGGTATCACAAGTAGTTAGTGATGAAATCAGCATACGAATCTAGTATGTTTGACTCCAGAGTTTGTATTGTTTTTATTATATATAATGTATATTTTAATATATAAATAAATATATATGTGTATATATATATTTTTTTTCTTTGAGACAAGATCTCACTCTGTTGCCCTGATTGTCATGCAGGGGTGTGATCTCTGCTCAATGCAACCCTCACCTCCTGGGCTCAGGTGATCCTCCCACCTCAGCCTCCAGAGTAGCAGGGACTATAGCTGCACACCACCATGCCTGGCTAATTAATTAATTTTTTTTGTTTTGTTTTGTAGAGACGAGACCTCACTATACTACCCAGGCTGGTCTTGAACTTCTAGGCTCAAGTGATCCTCTTGCCTTGGCCTCTGAAGTGCTGGGATTACAGGCATGAGCCACTGTACCTGGTCATTTTTTTAATTTTAATTTTTGTGCATACATAGTAAATATATATAGGGTACATGAGATATTTTGATAAAGCATGCAATGAATAGTAATCACATCATGGAAAATAGGTATCTGTTCCTTCAAGCCTTTATCCTTTGTGTTACAAACCATCCAATTATACTCTTGTAGTTATTTAAAAATTTACAATCAAATTATTTTGACTATAGTCACCCTGTTGTGCTATCAAATATGGTCTTACTCATTCTTTCAAACTATTTTTTGTGTCCATTAATCATCCTCATCTCCGCTAACCCCTCACTACCCTTATCAGCCTTTGATAACCCTCCTTCTACTCTCTATCTCCCACAAATTTTTACTTCCCACAAATTTTTACATCCCACAAATGAGTGAGAACATACAATGTTTGTCTTTCCGTGCCTGTCTTACCCCCAGTTGCATCCATGTTGTTGCAGATGACAGAATCTCATTCTTTTAGTGGCTGAGTAGTACTCCATTGTGTATAAATGCTACATTTTCTTTCTTTCTTTCTTTCTTTTTTCTGAGACAGAGTCTCAGTCTGTCACCCAGGCTGGAGTGCAGTGGTGCAATCTTGGCTCACTGTAACCTCTGCCTCCTGGGTTCGAGCAATTATCATGCCTCAGCATCCTGAGTAGCTGGGATTACAGGCATGTGCCACCATGCCTCGCTAATTTTTTGTATTTTTAGTAGACATGGGGTTTTGCCATATTGGCGAGGCTGGTCTTGAACTCCTGACCTCAAGTGATCCGCATGCCTTGGCCTCCCAAAGTGCTGGGATTACAGGCGTGAGCCACCATGCCTGGCTCACATTTTCTTTATCCATTCATCTGTTGATGGATGCTTAGGTTGCTTGTAAATCTTGTTTGTTGTGAACAGTGCTACAACAAACATAGGAGTGCAGATCTCTCTTCAATATGCTGATTTCCTTGTTTTGGCTGTGTAACCATCAGTGGGAGTGCTGAATCATATGGTAGCTCAACATTTTAGTTTTTTTGAGGAACCTGGAAACTGTTCTCCATAGTGGTTGTACTAATTTACATTCTCACCCACAGTGTATGAGGGTTCCCTTTTTTTTCACATCCTCTCCAACATTTGTTATTGCCTGCCTTTTGGATATAAGCCATTTTAACTGTGGTGAGAGATCCCATTGTAGTTTTGATTTGTATTTCTCTGATGAATTAATCAATGAATCAGTGATGTTGAGCACCTTTTTATAAGCCTGTTTGTCATTTGTATGTCTTCTTTTGAGAAATGTCTATTCATATCTGCTGCCTATTTTTTAATGGATTATTAGATTCTTTTCCTATAGCGTTGTTTGAGCTCCTTATATATTCTGGGTATTAACCACTTGTCAGATGCATAGTTTGCAAAATATTTTCTCCCATTCTGTGGGTTGTTGATTCAATTTGTTTATTGTATCCTTTGCTATACAGAAGCTTTTTAACATGATGTGATCCCATTTGTCCATTTTTGCTTTGGTTGCCCATGCTTATGGTGCATTGTTGAAGTCTCCAGCTATTATTTTATTTGGGCCTCTCTCTCTCTTTAGCTCCAATAATGTTACCTTTGTATATCTGGGTGTTCCAGTGTTGGTTGCGTATATATTTACAATAATTATATCCTGTTGCTGGATTGAACACTTTATCATATAATGACCTTCTTTGTGTCTTCTTACAGTTTTTATCTTGAAATCTATTTTGTCTGATATAAATATAGTGACTTCTCCTCTTTTTTGGTTTCCATTGGCATGGAATATCTTTTTTCATCCCTTTATTTTCAGTCTATATGCATATATATAGGTGAAGTGTGTTTCTTGTAGGCAACAGATCATGGAGTTTTTTTTTCATCTATTCAGCCACTCTGTGTCTTTTGATTGGAAAGTTTAGTCCATTTATATTGTTATTATTGATGAGGACTTACTCCTGAAATTTTGTTATTTATTTTCTGGTTGTTTAGGGGGTCTTCTCTTTCCTGTCTTTTTTAGTGAAAGTGATTTCCTCTGGTTTTATGATTTACTTTTTGCTTTTTATTTTTTATGTATCTGTTCTGTTTTTTTCAATTTGAGGTTACTGTGAGGCTTGCAAAGACTTTCTTATAACCTATTATTTTAAACTCATGACAGCTTAACACTGATAGCATAAACAAACAAACTTGACAAAATCTAATAAAAATTCTAGCCTTTAACTTCATCTTCATGCTTTTTTATTTTTATTATTTATTTATTTTTTTGAGATGGTGTCTCACTCTTATTGCCCAGGCTGGAGGGCTGGAGTGCAGTGGCATGATTCTGGCTCACTGCCACCTCTGCCTCCCAGGTTCAAGCAATTCTCCTGCCTCAGCCTCCTGAGTAGCTGGGACTACAGGTGCATGCCACCATGCCTGGCTAATTTTTTTGGTATATTTAGTAGAGACGGGGTTTCACCATGTTAGCCAGGATGGTCTCAATCTCCTGACCTCATGATCCGCCCGCCTCGGCCTCCCAAAGTACTGGGATTACAGGCATGAGCCACCACGCCTGATCCATGCTTTTTTAAAGTTATGACTTTTATTTTTAGGTTTGGGGTTACGTGTGCAGGTTTTTATATAGGTAAACTGCATGTCATGGGGGTTTGTTGTACAGATTATTTCATCACCTAGGTAATAAGCATAGTACTTAATAGGTATTTTTTTTCCTGATCCCATCCCTCCTCCCACTCTTCACCCTCAAAGAGGCTCCAGCGTCTTTTGTTCCCCTCCTAGTATCCATGTATTCTCATTGTTTAGCTCCCACTTACAAGTGAGAACATGCAGTATTTGGCTTTCTGTTCTTGCATTAGTTTGCTTAGGAAAGTGGCTTTCAGCTCCATCCATATTGCTGCAAAGGATGTGAACTCCTTTTTTATGGCTGGATTGTATTTCATGGTGTATATGTTCTACACTTTCTTCATACAGTGTATCATTGATGCACATTTGGGTTGAATCCATGTCTTTGCTACTGTGAATAGTGCTGCAATGACCATACACAAGTATGTCTCTCTATGGTAGAGGAATTTATATTAATTCTTTTGGGCATATACTCATTAATGGGATTGCTGGGTCAAATGGTAATTCTGTTTTATGTTATTTGTGTAATTGTCACACTGCTTTCCACAATGGCTGAAATAATTTACAGTCCCACCAACAATGTATAAGTGTTTCCTTTTCTTAGCAGCCTTGCTAGCATCTGTTATTTTTTGACTTTTTTATTTTTATTTTTTATTTTTTTATTATACTTTAAGTTTTAGGGTACATGTGCACATTGTGCAGGTTAGTTACATATGTATACATGTGCCATGCTGGTGCACTGCACCCACTAACTCGTCATCTAGCATTAGGTATATCTCCCAGTGCTATCCCTCCCCCCTCCCCCCACCCCAACACAGTCCCCAGAGTGTGATATTCCCCTTCCTGTGTCCATGTGATCTCATTGTTCAATTCCCACCTATGAGTGAGCATATGCGGTGTTTGGTTTTTTGTTCTTGCGATAGTTTACTGAGAATGATGCTTTCCAATTTCATCCATGTCCCTACAAAG
This sequence comes from Homo sapiens, assembly GCF_000001405.40. Classification (NCBI taxonomy): domain Eukaryota; kingdom Metazoa; phylum Chordata; class Mammalia; order Primates; family Hominidae; genus Homo; species Homo sapiens. The sequence goes on from NC_000008.11 coordinate 103,603,318, forward strand.
GACATGAACTCATCATGTTTTATGGCTGCATAGTATTCCATGGTGTATATGTGCCACATTTTCTTAATCCAGTCTATCATTGTTGGGCATTTGGGTTGGTTCCAAGTCTTTGCTATTGTGAATAATGCCACAATAAACATACGTGTGCATGTGTCTTTATAGCAGCATGATTTAGAGTTCTTTGGGTATATACCCAGTAATGGGATGGCTGGGTCAAGTGGTATTTCTAGTTCTGGATCCCTGATGAATCGCCACATTGACTTCCACAATGGTTGAACTAGTTTACAGTCCCACCAACAGTGTAAAAGTGTTCCTATTTCTCCACATCCTCTCCAGCACCTGTTGTTTCCTGACTTTTTAATGATTGCCATTCTAACTGGTGTGAGATGGTATCTCATTGTGGTTTTGATTTGCATTTCTCTGATGGCCAGTGATGATGAGCATTTTTTCATGTGTTTTTTGGCTGCATAAATGTCTTCTTTTGAGAAGTGTCTGTTCATGTCCTTCGCCCACTTTTTGATGGGGTTGTTTGTTTTTTTCTTGTAAATCTGTTTGAGTTCATTGTAGATTCTGGATATTAGCCCTTTGTCAGATGAGTAGGTTGCGAAAATTTTCTCCCATTTTGTAGGTTGCCTGTTCACTCTGATGGTAGTTTCTTTTGCTGTGCAGAAGCTCTTTAGTTTAATTAGATCCCATTTGTCTATTTTGTCTTTTGTTGCCATTGCTTTTGGTGTTTTAGACATGAAGTCCTTGCCCATGCCTATGTCCTGAATGGTAATGCCTAGGTTTTCTTCTAGGGTTTTTCTGGTTTTAGGTCTAACGTTTAAGTCTTTAATCCATCTTGAATTAATTTTTGTATAAGGTGTAAGGAAGGGATCCAGTTTCAGCTTTCTACATATGGCTAGCCCGTTTTCCCAGCACCATTTATTAAATAGAGAATCCTTTCCCCATTGCTTGTTTTTGTCAGGTTTGTCAAAGATCAGATAGTTGTTGATATGCGGCGTTATTTCTGAGGGCTCTGTTCTGTTCCATTGATCTATATCTCTGTTTTGGTACCAGTACCATGCTGTTTTGGTTACTATAGCCTTGTAGTATAGTTTGAAGTCAGGTAGTGTGATGCCTCCAGCTTTGTTCTTTTGGCTTAGGATTGACTTGGCAACGCGGGCTCTTTTTTGGTTCCATATGAACTTTAAAGTAGTTTTTTCCAATTCTGTGAAGAAAGGCATTGGTAGCTTGATGGGGATGGCATTCAATCTGTAAATTACCTTGGGCAGTATGGCCATTTTCACGATATTGATTCTTCCTACCCATGAGCATGGAATGTTCTTCCATTTGTTTGTATCCTCTTTTATTTCGTTGAGCAGTGGTTTGTAGTTCTCCTTGAAGAGGTCCTTCACATCCCTTGTAAGTTGGATTCCTAGGTATTTTATTCTCTTTGAAGCAAGTGTGAATGGGAGTTCACTCATGATTTGGCTCTCTGTTTGTCTGTTGTTGGTGTATAAGAATGCTTGTGATTTTTGTACATTGATTTTGTATCCTGAGACTTTGCTGAAGTTGCTTATCAGCTTAAGGAGATTTTGGGCTGAGACAATGGGGTTTTCTAGATATACAATCATGTCATCTGCAAACAGGGACAATTTGACTTCCTCTTTTCCTAATTGAATACCCTTTATTTCCTTCTCCTGCCTAATTGCCCTGGCCAGAACTTCCAACACTATGTTGAATAGGAGTGGTGAGAGAGGGCATCCCTGTCTTGTGCCAGTTTTCAAAGGGAATGCTTCCAGTTTTTGCCCATTCAGTATGATATTGGCTGTGGGTTTGTCATAGATAGCTCTTCTTATTTTGAGATACATCCCATCAATACCTAATTTATTAAGAGTTTTTAGCATGAAGAGTTGTTGAATTTTGTCAAAGGCTTTTTCTGCATCTATTGAGATAATCATGTGGTTTTTGTCTTTGGCTCTGTTTGTATGCTGGATTACATTTATTGATTTGCGTATATTGAACCAGCCTTGCATCCCAGGGATGAAGCCCACTTGATCATGGTGGATAAGCTTTTTGATGTGCTGCTGGATTCGTTTTGCCAGTATTTTATTGAGGATTTTTGCATCAATATTCATCAAGGGTATTGGTCTAAAATTCTCTTTTTTGCTTGTGTCTCTGCCCGGCTTTGGTATCAGGATGATGCTGGCCTCATAAAAAGAGTTAGGGAGGATTCCCTCTTTTTCTATTGATTGGAATAGTTTCAGAAGGAATGGTACCAGTTCCTCCTTGTACCTCTGGTAGAATTCAGCTGTGAATCCATCTGGTCCTGGACTCTTTTTGGTTGGTAAACTATTGAGTATTGCCACAATTTCTGATCCTGTTATTGATCTGTTCAGAGATTCAACTTCTTCCTGGTTTAGTCTTGGGAGAGTGTATGTGTCGAGGAATTTATCCATTTCTGCTAGATTTTCTAGTTTATTTGCATAGAGGTGTTTGTAGTATTCTCTGATGGTAGTTTGTATTTCTGTCGGATTGGTGGTGATATCCCCTTTATCATTTTTTATTGCGTCTATTTGATTCTTCTCTCTTTTTTTCTTTATTAGTCTTGCTAGCAGTCTATCAATTTTGTTGATCCTTTCAAAAAACCAGCTCCTGGATTAATTAATTTTTTGAAGGGTTTTTTGTGTCTCTATTTCCTTCAGTTCTGCTCTGATTTTAGTTATTTCTTGCCTTCTGCTAGCTTTTGAATGTGTTTGCTCTTGCTTTTCTAGTTCTTTTACTTGTGATGTTAGGGTGTCAATTTTGGATCTTTCCTGCTTTCTCTTGTGGGCATTTAGTGCTATAAATTTCCCTCTACACACTGCTTTGAATGCGTCCCAGAGATTCTGGTATGTTGTGTCTTTGTTCTCGTTGGTTTCAAAGAACATCTTTATTTCTGCCTTCATTTCGTTATGTACCCAGTAGTCATTCAGGAGCAGGTTGTTCAGTTTCCATGTAGTTGAGCAGTTTTGAGTGAGATTCTTAATCCTGAGTTCTAGTTTGATTGCACTGTGGTCTGAGAGATAGTTTGTTATAATCTCTGTTCTTTTACATTTGCTGAGGAGAGCTTTACTTCCAAGTATGTGGTCAATTTTGGAATAAGTGTGGTGTGGTGCTGAAAAAAATGTATATTCTGTTGATTTGTGGTGGAGAGTTCTGTAGATGTCTATTAGGTCTGCTTGGTGCAGAGCTGGGTTCAATTCCTGGGTATCCCTGTTGACTTTCTGTCTCATTGATCTGTCTAATATTGACAGTGGGGTGTTAAAGTCTCCCATTATTAATGTGTGGGAGTCTAAGTCTCTTTGTAGGTCACTCAGGACTTGCTCTATGAATCTGGGTGCTCCTATATTGGGTGCATATATATTTAGGATAGTTAGCTCTTCTTGTTGAATTGATCCCTTTACCATTATATAATGGCCTTCTTTGTCTCTTTTGATCTTTGTTGGTTTAAAGTCTGTTTTATCAGAGACTAGGATTGCAACCCCTGCCTTTTTTTGTTTTCCATTTGCTTGGTAGATCTTCCTCCATCCTTTTATTTTGAGCCTATGTGTGTCTCTGCACGTGAGATGGGTTTCCTGAATACAGCACACTGATGAGTCTTGACTCTTTATCCAATTTGCCAGTCTGTGTCTTTTAATTGGAGCATTTAGTCCATTTACATTTAAAGTTAATATTGTTATGTGTGAATCTGATCTTGTCGTTATGATGTTAGCTGGTTATTTTGCTCGTTAGTTGATGCAGTTTCTTCCTAGTCTCGATGGTCTTTACATTTTGGCATGATTTTGCAGTGGCTGGTGCCGGTTGTTCCTTTCCATGTGTAGTGCTTCCTTCAGGAGCTCTTTTAGGGCAGGCCTCGTGGTGACAAAATCTCTCAGCGTTTGCTTGTCTGTGAAGTATTTTATTTCTCCTTCACTTATGAAGCTTAGTTTGGCTGGATATGAAATTCTGGGATGAAAATTCTTTTCTTTAAGAATGTTGAATATTGGCCCCCACTCTCTTCTGGCTTGTAGGGTTTCTGCTGAGAGATCCGCTGTTAGTCTGATGGGCTTCCCTTTGAGGGTAACCCGACCTTTCTCTCTGGCTGCCCTTAACATTTTTTCCTTCATTTCTACTTTGGTGAATCTGACAATTGTGTTCTTGGAGTTGCTCTTCTTGAGGAGTATCTTTGTGTCGTTCTCTGTTTTTCCTGAATCTGAACGTTGGCCTGCCTTGCTAGATCGGGGAAATTCTCCTGGATAATATCCTGCAGAGTGTTTTCCAACTTGGTTCCATTCTCCCCATCACTTTCAGGTACACCAATCAGACGTAGATTTGGTCTTTTCACATAGTCCCATATTTCTTGGAGGCTTTGCTCATTTCTTTTTATTCTTTTTTCTCTAAACTTCCCTTCTCACTTCATTTCATTCATTTCATCTTCCATTGCTGATACCCTTTCTTCCAGTTGATCGCATCGGCTCCTGAGGCTTCTGCATTCTTCACGTAGTTCTCGAGCCTTGGTTTTCAGCTCCATCAGCTCCTTTAAGCACTTCTCTGTATTGGTTATTCTAGTTATACATTCTTCTAAATTTTTTTCAAAGTTTTCAACTTCTTTGCCTTTGGTCTGAATGTCCTCCCATAGCTCAGAGTAATTTGATCGTCTGAAGCCTTCTTCTCTCAGCTCGTCAAAGTCATTCTCCATCCAGCTTTGTTCCGTTGCTGGTGAGGAACTGCATTCCTTTGGAGGAGGAGAGGCGCTCTGCTTTTTAATTTCCAGTTTTTCTGTTCTGTTTTTTCCCCATCTTTGTGGTTTTATCTACTTTTGGTCTTTGATGATGGTGATGTACAGATGGGTTTTTGGTGTGGATGTCCTTTCTGTTTGTTAGTTTTCCTTCTAACAGACAGGACCCTCAGCTGCAGGTCTGTTGGAGTACTGGGCCCTGTGAGGTGTCAATCTGCCCCTGCTGGGGGGTGCCTCCCAGTTAGGCTGCTCGGGGGTCAGGGACCCACTTGAGGAGGCAGTCTGCCCGTTCTCAGATCTCCAGCTGCGTACTGGGAGAACCACTGCTCTCTTCAAAGCTGTCAGACAGGGACATTTAAGTCTGCAGAGGTTACTGCTGTCTTTTTGTTTGTCTGTGCCCTGCCCCCAGAGGTGGAGCCTACAGAGGCAGGCAGGCCTCCTTGAGCTGTGGTGGGCTCCACCCAGTTCGAGCTTCCCGCTGCTTTGTTTACCTAAGCAAGCCTGGGCAATGGTGGGCGCCCCTCCCCCAGCCTCGCTGCCGCCTTGCAGTTTGATCTCAGACTGCTGTGCTAGCAATCAGCGAGACTCCGTGGGCGTAGGACCCTCTGAGCCATGTGCAGGATATAATCTCATGGTGCGCCGTTTTTTAAGCCCTTCAGAAAAGCGCAGTATTCGGGTGGGAGTGACCCGATTTTCCAGGTGCCGTCCGTCACCCCTTTCTTTGACTGGGAAAGGGAACTCCCTGATCCGTTGCACTTCCCAAGTGAGGCAATGCCTCGCCCTGCTTTGGCTCGCGCACGGTGCACGCACCCACTGACCTGCGCCCACTGTCTGGCACTCCCTAGTGAGATGAACCTGGTACCTCAGATGGAAATGCAGAAATCACCCTTCTTCTGCGTTGCTCACGCTGGGAGCTGTAGACCGGAGCTGTTCCTATTCGGCCATCTTGGCTCCTCCCTCCCATTTTTTGACTTTTTAATAATATCTATCTGACTGGTGTGAGATGGTATCTCATTTTGGTTTTGATTTGCGTTTTTCTAATGATTAGTGATGTTGAGCATTTTTTCATATGCTTGTTGGCCACATGTATGTCTTGTTTTGAAAAGTGCCGGTTCATGTCTTTTACCCACTTTTTAATGGAATTGTTTGTTTTTTGCTTGTAGATTTGTCTAAGTTTTTTATAGGTGCTGAATATTAGAGCTTCGTTGGATGTATAGTTTGGAAATATTTTCTCCCATTCTGTAGGTTGTCTGTTCACTTTGTTGATAATTTCTTTTGCTGTACAGAACCTCTTTAGTTTAATTAAGTTCTATTTGCCAATGTTTGTTTTTGTTGCAATTGCTGTTGGCATCTTTGTCATGAAGTCTTGCTAGGTCCTATATTAAGAATGGTCTTTCCTAGACTATCTTCCAGAGTTTTATAGTTTCAGGCTTTACATTTGACTCTTTAATCCATCTTGAGTTCCTGTTTGGATATGGTATAAAGAAGGGGTCCAGCTTCAATTTTCTGCAAACACTATAGTCAGTTATCCCAGCACTCTTTATTAATTAGGAAGTCCTTTATTGCTTGTTTTTGTCAGCTTTGTCCAAGATCAGATGGTTGTAGGTGTGTGGCATTATCTCTGTTCCATTGGCCTATGTGTCTTTGTAACCGTTCCATGCTGTTTGATTATGGTAGCCTTGTATAGTTTGAAGTTGGGTAATGTGTTGCTTTCAGTTTTGTTCTTTCTGCTTAGGATTGCCGTGGCTATTTCTGCTCTTTTTTGCTTCTGTATGAATTTTTAAATAGTTTTTTTCTAATTCTGTGAAGTATGTCATTGGTAGTTTGATAAGAATAGCAGTGAATCTGTAAATTGCTTTGGACAGTATAGCCATTTTAATGATATTGATTATTCCCATCCATGAGTACGGAATGCCTTTCTATTTGGTTATGTCATCTCTGATTTCTTTGAGTGGTGTTTTGTAATTCTCATTGTAGAGATCTTTCACTTCCTTCATTAGCTGTATTCCTAGGCATTTTCTTCATTTTGTGGCAGTTGCGAATGGAACTGCATTCTTAATTTGGCTCTCTGCTTGGACATTGTTGGTGTATAGGAATGCCACTGGTTTTTGTACATTGATTTTGTATTCTGAAACCTTGCTGAAGTTGTTTATCAGACCAAGGTGCTTTTGGGGATAGAGTGGGAGGTTTTATAGATATAGAACTATGTCATATGCAAAGGGGATAGTTTGACTTTCTGTCTTCCTATTTGGATGCCTTTTATTTCTTTTTCATGTCTCATTGCTCTGGTCAGGACTTCCAATACTTTGTTGAATAGGAGTGGTGATAGAGGGCATCCCTGTCTTATTCTGATTTTCAAGGGGAATGCCTCCAGCTTTTGCTCATTCAGTATGACGTTGGCTGTGGTTTTGTCATAGATGGTTCTTATTATTTTGACGTATGTTCCTTCAGTGCCTACTTTATTGCAGGTTTTTAACATGAAGGGATGTTGAATTTTATCAAAAACCTTTCCTGCCTCTATTGCGATAATGATGTGCTTTGTTTATAGTCCTGTTTATGTGATGAATCATATTGATTGATTTGCATTTGTATAGCCAGTCTTGCATCCCACGGCTAAAACCAATTTGATTGTGGTGGAGTAGCTTTTGGATGTGCTGCTGGATTTGATTTGCTAATATTTTGTTGAAGAGTTTTACATCTATGTACATCAAAGATATTGGCTGGAAATTTTCTTTTGTCATGTGTCTGCCATGTTTTGGTATCAGGATAATGCTGGCCTCATAGAATGAGTTCGAGAGGAGTTCATTCACAATTTTCGGGAATAGTTTCAATAGGAATGGTATCAACTCTTTTCTATACATCTGGTAGAATTCAGGCGTGAATCCTTCTGGGCCTGGGCTTCTTTGAGCTGGTAGGATTTTTATTACTGATTCAATTATCGAACTCATTATCGGCCTGTTCAGGGATTCAATTTCTTCCTGGTTCAGTCTTGGGAGGTTGTATGTTTTTAGGAATTTATTCATTTCTTCTAGATTTTCTAGTTTGTGTGCATAGAGGTGTTTGTAGTAGTAGTCCCTGAGGGTTTTTTGTTTTGTTTTGTTTTGTATTTCTATGGGGTTAGTGGTCATTTACCCTTTGTCATTTCTAATTGTGTTTATTTCATTCCCCTGTTTTAAAACTTTTTGTTGTTTCTCTTTATGTCTTATTATACTATGTCTTGATAGATTATTGTTATGATTATTATTTTCATGGTTCATCACTTAGTCTTTCTTCTTAAGAGGAGTTGAGATACAGCAGTTGCAGTGTTTTAATATTTTGTTTTTTTCTGCATGCTTAGTGAGTTTTGTGTTTTCAGATGATTTCTTCTTGCCCATTAACATTTGTGTTTTTCAGATTCAAGAAAACCCTTTAGCATTTCTTATAGGATAGGTCTAGTGTTGATGCATCCCTCAGCCTTTGTTTGTGTTGGGAGGAATTTTTTTTTTTTTGTCAGATGTAGTATTTTAGGGTAAACGTTTTTTCCTTTAGCTATTTAAATATGTCATGCCACTCTCTCCTGGCCTGTGAAAAGTCAGCCACCAGACATATTGGAGCTACATTGTATGTTATTTGTTACTTTTTTTTTTCCTGCTTTTAGGATCCTTTCTTTATCCTTTAGCTGTGGGAGTTTGCTTATTTAAATGCCTTGACATCGTCTTCTTTGGGTTAAATCTGCTTGGTGTTCTATAGCCTTCTTGTACTTGAATGCTCATATCTTTCTCTAAGTTTGGGTAGTTCTCTGATATTATCCTTTTCAATAAACTTTCTATCTATATCTCTTTCTCTACCTCTTCTTTAAGGCCAATGATTCTTAGATTTGCCCTTTTCAGTCTATTTTCTAGATCTTGTAGGCATACTTCATTGTTTTTTATTTTTTTTCTCTTTTGTCTTCTCTGAGCATGTATTTTCAAATAGCTGTCTTCAAGGTCAGTCATTCTCTTTTCTGCCTGATCAGTTCTGCTACTGAGAGACTCTAATGCATTCTTCAGCATGTCAGTTGCATTTTTGTAACTCTAGAATTTCTGCTTGATTTTTTAAAATTATTTTAATCTCTTTGTTGAATTTATCTGATAGAATTTTGAATTCCTTCCCTGTGTTATCTTGAATTTCTTTGAGTTTTCTTAAAATAGCTATATTGAATTCTCTGTCTGACAGGTCACATGTCTCTCTATTTTCAGGATTGGGCCCTGGTGCCTTATTTAGCTTGTTTGGTGAGGTTATGTTTTTCTGGATGGTTTTGATGCTTGTAGATGTTTGTTGGTCTCTGGGCATTGAAGAGTTAGGTATTTATTGTAGTCTTCACAGTCTGGGCTTGTTTCTACCTGTCTTTCTTGAGAAGGTGTTTCAGGTATTTGAATGGACATGGGTCTTAGGCCCAATACCACCGTGGTTCTTGCAGACTCATACAGGTACCACTTTGGTGGCCTTGTATAACATCTGGAAGAATTCTCTGGATTACTAGACAGAGACTCTTGTTCCTTTTCTTTTTTTCCCCCCTCTAGACGGAATCTTGTGCTGTCACCCAGGCTGGAGTGCAATGGTGCCATCTTGGCTCCCTGCAACCTCCGCCTACTGGGTTCAAGCAATTTTCCTGCCTCAGCCTCTCAAGTGGCTGGGATTACAGGTGCGTGCCACCATGCCTGGCTGATTTTTTAGTAGAGACAGGGTTTCACAATGTTGGCCAGGCTGGTCTCGAACTCCTGACCTCATGATCCGCCTGCCTCAGCCTCCAAAGTGCTGGGATTACAGGCGTGAGCCACTGCACCTGGCCAAGACTCTTGTTCTTTTACCTTACTTTCTTCCAGACAAATGGAGTCTCTCTCTGTGCTGAGCCACCTGGAACTGGGTTGTGTGTTGATGCAAGCACTCTTGTGGCTACGACCACTGATACTGCTTTGGGTCAGACCTGAAGCCAACAGAGCATTGGGTCTTACTTAAGTCCCTGGTTACCACCTATGTGTACTCAAACCCCTAGGGCTCTACAATTAGCAGATGGTAAAGGCAGACAGGTTTGGGTCCTTTCCTTCAGGGTGGTGCATTTTCCCAGGCCCTGGTTGAGTCCAGAGATGCTTTCTTGGAGCTAGGATTTGGAGTCAAAAACCTTAGGAATTTGTCTGATGTTGTATTCTACTGTGGCTAAGGTGACACTTAAACCACAATATAAAGTCCTTTTCACTCTCCCATCTCCCTTCAATGGGCAGAGGAGTCTATCCCTGTGGGCACACTAACCCTAGCCCACTGAGGTGGTAGGGAAGATTCTGCCAGGCCATCACTGATGTTCACTTAACGCCCAAGGGCTCTTCCATAAAATTGTGGTGAATGCTTCCATGTGTGAGACTCACCCTTCAGGGCAGTGGGCTCCCCTCTGGCCTAGGGCAGGTCCAGAAATTCTCTCCAAGAGCCTAAGCCTGGGCTCAGGGACCTCATGAACCTACTTATTGCTCTACCCCACTGTGCCTGGACTGGTACCTAAGATGCAAGACATAGTTTCCTTTAGGTCTCCCTCTAATTTTATCAAACAGAAGTATTTCACTATAGCCACCGCAGCTGGGAATGTCCTATAGTCAGTGCGTCTCAGACCCCAAGGCCCATGGCATACTACCTGGGTATCACTGCTGGTTATTCCGGGACCAAGGGCTCCTTAAGAGTCAGCACGTGATTAATCCTGCCAAAGCTAGTACTGGATTCTTCCTTCAAGACACACTCATGGTCCTGGGTGTGTCTAGAAATGTTGCCTGGGAGCTAGGGTCAGGAATGGGGGCCTCATGACTCTTTTCAGTGCCCTGTCCTGCTGTGGCTGAGTAGGTATGTATTCAAGGTTCAAGACAAATTTCTTTTTACTTTTCTCTCTCTGCCTGTTAAGCATCAGGAAGGAAACACTTTTATTACCGTGTTGGGTGTTCAGGAAGGGATGGTGCAAGCACTACTTTAACCACCCCGGCTGGTGTCTCCATAGGTCACATGCCTCCTTAGTCCTCTGGCTCTGAGCCCATCCCAGCACTAGAAGTTGCCTAGGAATTGCAGTCCTTGTGTCCTAGACTGTCTTTTCAGCTTATTTAGGATCCTAGAGTACTTCTGCCTGTGGTAAGTCTTGCCAAGAAACTTGAGTTCTGACCACTGGGTTGGGCAATTTCCCCCTGGCCAGGTCTGGTCCGTTTGCTCTCTCCATGCATGGGCACTGGCGGAGCCCAGCACAGCTTTGCTCTCCACTATGATGGGGCAATACTGAGATCTGTGTAATGTCCCCCAGTCACTATGCTCTCCCTTCCCTAAGTGCACAGACTCTGTGCTGCATGGCCTTTGCTAGTGCATTGGAGAGGTGTGGCACTGGCTATTTAAGACTGTCTCTTTGATCCTTCTCATGCCCCTTTTAATGATTCAAAGTTAAAGCCAGTTACTGTGATTGCTCACTAGATTTTTGGTTATTGAGATAGTGCTTTTGTGTGTGCCGATCATTGTTGGAATTTGGTATTCATGCAGGGCAACAAATGGCATAGTCTTCTGTTCTGCCATCTTGCTCCGCCTTCCTCCAGAGCTTGTATTCTCAAATCGTGGTGAGTACAGCAACCCTCCTTTCTACTCAAGTTTCCAAAATTAATCTTTATAATGAAAGTGATCATCACAAAGGAGTATATCTTAGTATATCTTTCTACCTCCATAAAAAGATTGAATATTATGCTTGTAACAGTTGCAGAAGTCGCATGAAATTAACAGCTATGTCATATTTCTATTAATACATGTTTCGGGACAGTGCTGTTGAGGACATTACCTAATATGATGTTCACTGCCCTTTATATGAAGATTTTTGTGACACATTTCTAACACATATTAAACTTTTGACTTTACAGTTGAATTGGCATTTATTGGAGAAATTTCTATCTCATTACATTTCTCTGTTTCACATCCAATGCTAATTAGCTTTTATCTTTTAATTATGTTTATATTATATTATTTGCTCTTACTGGCTATAATTAGCATAATAAAGATCTTTTTAAAATGTACCCTTTACTGCTCTAAAATTGACCACATAATTGGACATAAAACAATCCTCAGCAAATGTAAAAGAACTGAAATAATACCAAGCACACTGTCAGACCATAGCGCAATAAAAATAGAAGTCAAGACTATGAAAATCGCTCAAAACCTACATGGAAATTAAACAACATGCTCCTTCATGACTTCTGGGTAAATAATGAAATTAAGGCAGAAATCAGGAAGTTCTTTGAAAATAATGAGAACAAAGATACAACTTACCAGAGTCTCTGAGACACAGCTAAGACAGTGTTAAAAGGGAAATTCATAGCACTAAATGCCGACATCAAAAAGTTAGAAAGATCTCACATTAACAACCTAATTTCACAACTGAAAGAATTAGAGAAGCAAGAACAAATCAACACCAAAGCTAGCAGAAGATGAGAAATAACAAAAATTAGAGATGAATTGAGGAAGAAAAGCAAGAGACAAAAAATCATTCAAAAGATCAACAAATTCAGGAGTTGATTTTTAAAAAGTTAATAAAATAGGCCACTAGCTAGACTAATAAGAAAAGAGAGAACATCCAAATAAACACAATTAGAAATGATGAAAGGAATGTTACTACTGACACCACAGAAATAAAAACAACCATCAGAAACTACTACAAACACCTCTATGCACACGAACTAGAACGCTTAGAAGAGATGGATAAATTCCTGGACACATACACCCTCCGAAGACTGAGCCAGGAAGTAATTGATTCCCCAAACAGACCAATAATGAGCTCCAAAATTGAATCAGTAGTAAGTAGCCTGAAAACCAAAAACGCCCAACACCTGATGGATTCACAGCCAAATTCTACCAGATGTCCAAAAAAGATGTGGTACCATTCCTACAGAAACTATTTGAAAAAATCGAGGAGAAGGGACATCTCCCAACTCATTCTATGAGGCCAGCATCATCTTGATACCAAAACCTGGAAGAGACATGATAAAAAAAAGAAAGCTTCAGGCCAAAATTGTTGATGAACATTGATGTAAAAATCAACAAAATACTTGCAAACTGAATCCAGCAGAACAACAGAAGGCTAATCCATCATAATCAGGTAGGCTTCATCCCCAGGATGCCAGTTTGGTTCAATATGTAAAAATCAATAAATATGATTCATCACATAAGCTAAACTGAAGACAAAAAAACACATGATTGTCTCAATAGATGCAGAAAAGGCTTTTGATAAAATTCAACATTTTTTCATGTTACAAACTCTGAATAAACTAGGAAATGAAAGAACATAGTTCAAAATAATAATAGCCACCTGTGACAAACCCACAGCCAACATTATATTGAATGGACAAAAGCTGGAAGCATTCCCCTTGAAGACTGACACAAGGCAAGAATGCCCTCTCTCACCACTTCTATTCAACATAGTTTTGGAAGTCCTAGCCAGAGCAGTCAGGCAAGAGAAAGAAATAATGGGCATCCAGATGGGAAGACAGGAAGTCAAACTATCTCTATTTGCAGACAACATGATTCTATATCTAGAAAACCCCATAGTCTAGGCCCAAAAGCTCCTTCAGCTGATAAACAACTTTAACAAAGTTGCAGGATACAAAGTCATTGTAAAAAAAAATCACTAGTATTTCCATGCACCAACAATAACCAATCTGAGAGCCAAATCGGAAAGGCAATACCATTCACAATTGCCACACAAAAAATAAAATACCTAGGAATACAGATAACTAGGGAGGTAAAAGATCTCTACAATGAGAATTACAAAACTCTGCTCAAAGAAATCAGAGAAGACAAAAACAAATGGAAAAACATCCCATGTTCATGGATAGGAAGAATCGGTATCATTAAAATAGCTATACTCCCCAAAGCAATTTATTAATTTGGTGCTATTCTTACCAAGCCACCAATGATATTCTTCACAAACTAGAAAAATCTATTTTAAAATTCATGTGGAACCAAAAAGCCCAGATAGCGAAGGCAATCCTGAGTAAAAAGAACAAAGCTGGCAGCATCACGTTACCCAACTTCAAACCATACTACAAGGCTACAGTAACCAACCAGCATGGTATGGATGTGAAAAGAGGCACATAGACCAATGAAACAGAATAGAGAGCCTAGAAATAGGGCCCCACATTTATAACCATCTGATCTTCAACAAAACTGACAAAAATGGGGAAAAGAATCCCTATTCAATAAATGGTGCTGGGTTAACTGGCTAGCCATATGCAGAAGATTGAAGCTGGACTCCTTCCTTATGCCATACCCAAAATTCAACTGAAGATGGATTAAAGACTTAAATGTGAAACCCAAAACTATAAAAACCCTGGAAGAAAACCTAGGCAATACCATTCTGGACACAGGAATGGGGAAAGATTCCATGACAAAGATACCAAAAGCAATCTCAACAAAAGCAGAAATTGACATGTGATCTAATTAAACTGAAGAGCTTCTGCACAGCCAAAGAAACTATCAACAGAGTAAACAGACAGCCTATAGAATGGGAGAAAATATTTGCAGAGTGTGCATCTGACGAAGTCTAATATTCATCATCTACAAGGAACTTTAACAAATTTATAAGAGAAAAACAAGCCCATTAAAAAGTGGGCAAAGAACATGATCAGACACTTCTCAAAAGAAGATGTATATGCGGTCAACAGGCATATGAAAAAAATTCAGTATTAGTGATCATTAGAGAAATGTAAATCAAAACCACAATGACATACCACCTCACACCAGTCAGAATGGCTGTTACTGAAAAGTCAAAAAATAGCAGATGCTGGCAGGGTTGCAGGGAAAATGGAAAACTTATAAAGTGTTGGTGGGAGTGTAAATTGGTTCAACCATTGTGGAAAGCAATATGGCAATTCCTCAAAGATTTAATAGCAGAAATACCATTTGACCCAGCAATCCCATAGGAATATAAATCATTTCACTGTAAAGACACAGGTATGCAAATGTTCATTGTAGCATTGTTCTCAATGGCAAAGACCATGGAATCAACCTGAATGCCCATCAGTGACAGACTAGATAAAGAAAATGTGGTACACATACTCCATGGAATATTATGTAGCCATGAAAAATGAAGATCATATCTTTTGCAGGAGCATGGATGGAGCTGGAGGCTAAGTAACACAGGAACAGAAAGCCAAATACCACATATTCTCACTTATAAGAGAAAGCTAAATTATAACTTAATGAACACAAAGAAGGAAACAACAAACACTAGGATCTACTTGAATGGGGAGGGTGGGAGGAGGGAAAGGAGCAGAAAAGATAGCTATTACAGAAACCCTCAGGAAATGGGTTGAGGAAGAACACAGTACAGCATATCATTAATTTGTAAATTGGCAGTACAGCCAGTGTATGCTGGAAAAGACACTAGAGTAGGGACAGGATTCAAAGAAGTTTCCTGAAGCTGGAGAGACCCAGACAGTTGCAAAAAAGGGAGAATCTGGTAGAATGAGAGGAAGGGAATTATTGTGTGAGACCATTTTCAAGGCTGTAATAACTATGACTTTTGTCTATCCATCCCATTTCCCACCCCTCTTCTTCTGATTCCTCTAGAGAAAGTATTCCCTGACTACATGTTTCCTTAGGGGCCTCTCAATGGTAGTATCCTGTCATCTTCACACAGATGAGTACTTCACCCAGATCATTCAGTTCACATGTACTGTCTTCCCAGCTGGGGGACTACTTTAAGAATGAACACATGACTCAAGTGGAGCAAATGAGAGTTTTCTCTGAGGGTAATGCAAGGATATTGGAAGACAAACCTATTTTCACTCGTGGTTGCTAAGCTTGAGAATTCAATTCAGGGATATTGACACCCATCTTGACTACCACATAGAAGGAACTTGTCTGTAGAACAGATAAAGAGAGGCAAAAAGGTAGAGAAATAAAAGTTGCTTGAATGACAATGTTTGAACTTCTAGATCCAGATATGCCTGAAGCCAATCCACTCCTGGATATGCTCCCCTATTACATGAGTCAATAACTTCACTTTTTGCTGAAAAAAAAAAAAAAAAAACCAATATGGAAAACAGTGAGTACTTGAAAAGAGAAAAAGCTCTCAAGTAACAAGAGAACCAAAACCAAGAGATATGGCAAGAAATATATGAAGTAAGAGTATCTTAGAAAAGTATCTTAGTAAAATTTATTAGTGTCTGTTCTGTAAAAACTATTTCAGAAAAAAAACAAAGTTGTATTTTTTAAAAACTAAGCTAAAATTCTAGATGATATCAACATTGTGGTTGAGGGAGAGTAGTTGTACATCAAAGAATCATGAAAATATACTTAAATATTTGTCTTATTAGAGAAATTATGTAGATATTAACATATTTAAGAAGTAAAGATATATAAATAAATATTTGGAATATTGGGGAAATTCCCAATATTTGCATCTGAATTAAGGAAAAATATTCTGAGAACAAAATCAAAATCAAACTTTTAAGCAGCAGAAAAAAATCTTCTGCATTCAAGGTTGGTAAACAGTGGGGAAGAAAAGAAAGAGCAGTAAAATAAATCAGAACTACAAAAAGGAGGCAGGAGAAGAAAACAGATCACATAGAGAAAGACTTCTACTCTCTGTGTAAATGTAAACCTAAATGAAATAACACAGAACAAAGACCAACCATTTTCTCGCTTCCTTCACCTCTACCATCAGTACTCAAAGCTACCACTACTACTGCTTGCACACAGGATTCTCCCTTTAATCCGCATTTTGGCTACTCTACTTTTATAACAGTTCCTAGAAAAGGCTATGTATTTTTCTGCTACAAGATGTATGTACATAGCTGGAAATACTCAAAGGGAAAATATGAACATGTCTATGAAACAAACACATAATTTTCTGTATGATGCCAAATATTTTAACATCTATATACATCTATAAATGGACTTATTTTTGCATTTTACCTATAACAAACAGACTAGTGTTTTAGAAACTATTGCTCCTAAGCTCTAGCTGTCACCACCCTTGCCTATGACAATGAGCCACTATACTTATGAATAATAAGGTAACATTTGTCAAACTGTTGGCTAATAAAGTGGTTGTCAATGAATGCTGAAATAATTTCCATATTAAAAGTAGTCAATAAATGTTACAATAATCTATCCAGGTTGTATACATGGCAACTTTTCAATGTGAAATTGTTTTTCCTCTGACACCAAAGATGTTCCTTCACTGCTAGATGATATTTGCTCAGGGAATACAAGCTTAAATTTTTTTTCTAAGTTAAACATATATATGACAATAAACTCATAATGAAAACTCAACACCAAATTACTTTTAATTCTTGTTTTTTTTCAATATGAACAACTAAATGTTGACCGCATCATTTAAAAGCTATAATTTAAAAAAAAATGCCTAAATTTCTATGACTACTTACTCAAGCTTATCATTATTAGTTTGGGGTGAAAACCTGTTTTTTATCCATCATCTGAGGGAAAAATGAAAGCAACCGATTAATGTAAACAGCTGGAATTCCAAAACATTAATTTTGTGTAAGATAGCTGAGTGCAAAGAGAATGGGCAAAGGAGAATTTAGACAGACCTAGTCCCGATTCTTAGTTACATTGTTTGGTATTCATGTGATCATCAGGAACTTTATTTCATTGAGTTTCTGTTTATAATTAATAAAATTGTGATAATACCAGATAAAGGATATTAAGTGGATTAAATAATTTATGTAGAAAGTGCCTGGCATATAGTGGTTACTCAGTAAATAAGAACACCCTTTTCAAAACTAAATTTTCTTTTCAAAATTTAAAAAATTGTCCTTTTAAGTATTTACTGTGAACATATTATCCTAAGGGAGAAGAATAGGTGGATAGAACAAAGATGTGGGAAGGAAAATTTCACTGCATACTTTTTGTAACTTTTGAACTATGTGACTATATTATATATTTGAAACTAAATAAATGAAATTTAAATAAAAATAATAAAACAGTAAATTGAAAAACATAGCCAAATAAATATTACACATGATGTCCTAATAATTTTATGTGAGTTCCCTGAAAGTAGGGATTATGTCTTATTTATGTTAGAAATGCTTGTTCCTTATTGCCATAAAGAAATAGCACTTGAACATAAATTTAATTTCCTCAGCAAGGCCATTGTTACTTTCTGCAGAAAGGGTACACCCACCAGCAGTTTTGCCACAAGAGTACACTGAACAAAGGAGACAGGGTCATTGATAACCTGACGTGCCCACCCTACTGCTGTGTCTGGTTTCCATTGGCTGGAACGGGACCTCACATTCTGTATTTGTCCCGATTGGTTAGCAACTTAGAACTTTTTAAAAGAGGCAAAGGCAGAGGAGAACAAAGGAAGGAGGAAGTAACTTGTGGAATGCTGAGAAAGGTAAAAACACCTTCAAATAAGGAAGAGGAATAGGCTATGACCTAATGCTTGCTTGGACCAGTATAAGCATGCCAGGGCAAATATTTAGGCTAAACTGTGGGAGCTAAGAACATAAAGTTCATTGATTTCTTTATTACGTCTAGCAGATATTTAAGAATGTTAGCACAGGTCTTTGAATAAATTTTGCTTCTAAGAGAAGTTACTGTTTATTCCTAATTAGATGGAGAGGAAAGTCTTTGAAGAGGAACCTCTGCTTTACTTTTTACATTTATCTCTGGGACCCACAATTTTTGAACAATGCTTGGCACACAGTAAATATTCACAAACATCAGAAGGAATGGATGTAGGAGAAATGGTTGTATTTTTGAGACATTGATGCACATTTTGATCATATATGTATGGTAGCAAAAATAAAACTGAAATTAATTCTCTATTGTTTCTAAGTACCTAAGTGATAGAATATGAGTACAGCAACTTAATTTACTGGGCTATGAGGGTAACCAAAAATAATTGGTTCCAAAATGATATATTTAATGCTTGTGTGTATAAAAATAATCCAAAAATATTGTGATTTGCCATAGTATCATTTTTTAAAATTATCATTAATTTCTAGAGATTTGTAGAGAAAAATACATTTCTAACAATATAAAAATTATTCACAAAGAATAAGGTTATTACCCTTTACAGAAGAGAAGACAAAAGTAAATTATGAAGAAAGAAAAAATACTTTTGCTATAGTGGATTATAAGAATTTATAATTTTAAGTAGAGCAACACATAGAAGGGTATCTATGTCTGATTAAGTGAATACAAACAATGACACATACATTATATTCTGAAATTTTTCAGCATCATCACTATAAGTCATATAAACCTTGAGTCCAGAAGAAATGTGAAGATATTATCTGGAAGATTACCTCTAAGTGTTTTTTTAATGCATAACATTTTAAAAAGACAAACACAAAACACATAAAAATGTTACTAGTATTTCAATGAGAGTGTCAAGATTGTGGGGAATTTTATCTTTCCTGTCTCTATTTTTCAATTTTTTATATAATTAAATATATGTAACATTTTTAAGATGCCATCTGGTTTAAAAAAGAAGTAACCACCCAATATACCCTATGATTATAGCCAGGTCATAGATTCAGCAATCTCATACATACAGATGCACATTCCGTTTTCAAAGTCCTCAAGAAAAGGGATTTGCAATTAGCACCACCTGTTCAACAAGGGTGCTGTGATTCAGTATATCTGCCTTATTTGATAACCTTATATGCTCTCCTATCTTCTCCCCCCTGCTATCAAATGGAGCACCAGCCACAGGCAGTTGGCTAAACAGCCAGGGAAACTGATCTAGTCACTCGGGCATTTGCACATGTCTAAAACTCTTTATGTCCTTTTGTGATAAAATTACTCAAAACATAAAGAAAGGAAGTAGCAGCAATAAATCATGCTGGCATAGCACAGATTATTTATTCTGAACAGGATGGCTGTCAAAGGAACCTGCTGTCACAACATATGAGAGCACTTAAAATAATGAGAATTTCTGAAACAACTTGAAAAGAGTAAAGAAAGACACTAACTGTCTCTGTTTGTTCCATAAGACAGTCTCAAAGAAAATGCAGGTGATGGCAAATTTGATCTGACATATTGAAGGTTAATAAAAAAGCAACATGATCTCCCAATGTGATTTTGCTAGTTTTTATATGAAAGAGTATGGGCTTCTGAGTCAAGCAGACTGAGGTTTTATGCTAGCCCTAACATTCATACCTAGTAAGTTATTTAACCATTTTATTACACATTTGTAAAAATGGGGAGTACAATAGCTACCTCATAGACTGGTAGTTCAGATTAAGTAAAACAATAAATTAAAGTACAGAACACATTTTATTTCTATATAAAATTTTTTATATGTTTGAAATATTTTCTAATGATAAAAATATGTAGTATGTGTGGCAAATAATTGGCTCTCAATAAATGTTGAATCATTTCCTTGGTACAGACATAAAAATTAAACTAGGGTTTCTTCAGTTTTTTTTTTTTTTTTTTTTTTTTGAGACGGAGTCTCGCTCTGTCGCCCAGGCTGGAGTGCAGTGGCGCGATCTCGGCTCACTGCAAGCTCCGCCTCCCGGGTTCACGCCATTCTCCTGCCTCAGCCTCCCGAGTAGCTGGGACTACAGGCGCCCGCCACCACGCCCGGCTAATTTTTTTTTTTGTATTTTTAGTAGAGACGGGGTTTCACCGTGTTAGCCAGGATGGTCTCGATCTCCTGACCTCGTGATCCGCCCGCTTCGGCCTCCCAAAGTGCTGGGATTACAGGCGTGAGCCACCGCGCCCGGTCTCTTCATTTTTTTTTTTTAAAAAGGAAGGAACTAGAGGTCATCAAGTATCAAGTTCAGACCTCTGCCTCTAGGGAGATCTATCACATTAACTAAATATCCTCTGATGACCTTCAGCACAAGGGTACAAGAGAGATTTTTCTCAGTGTCTTAAGAGAAAAGAAATTTAAGAGGGAAAAAATGGTCAATTAAATCCAGAATAGACTAAGTTAATGTTAATTGTAAAAAGAGACTCACTTCTAAGGACCTCTCTAGTTTAAAAGGCTAAAAGCTACAAACCCATAGTAAGCAAAACCCACAAACAAAACCCATTATGATAGTTAATTTGATGTGTCAACTTGACTGGCCAAGGGGGGCCCAGATTAAACATTATCTTGAGGTGTGTCTGTGAATGTGTTTCCAGTTGAGATTAGCATTTGAAAGGCTGAACTCAGTAAAGTGAATTGCCCTGCCAATGTGTGTTGCATTATGCAATCAGTTGAGGGCTTGAAGAAAATAAAAGGCAGAGGAAGGAGGAATTCTCCCCATTTGCTGGCTGCCTGCCTGCTTGCTTAAGCTAGGACATCTCATCTTCTCAGACCCTCGGACTGAGATCTGTACCATCAGCTCCACTAGTTCTCACACCTTCAGACTCTGACTGAGTTACACCACTGATTTCCTAGCTCGCAAATGGCAGACTGTGGGACTTCTTAGCCTCCATAATCATGTGAGCCAATTCCTCCTAATAACTCTCCCTTTATATATATGACAAGGTTTATTATAAGAATTTCTTTTGCTTACTGTCACCGTGAAATTCTTGAGGGAATAATCTAACTTTGCTATACATGTGTATATAGGTAATATTAATAGTGGATATCATTTGCTTGTGGGATTTTATTCTATTTAATACACAAACATTTTTATATGATGACTTACTGTATATCAGGCACTATTCTAAGTATTTACAAATATTAATTCATTTAATCCTCTTACCTCTATATGGTAGGGATTCTTATTATCCTCAATTTAAAAGATAAGTCTTACGAGTGGTTTTCATCTTTATACATATCTGTATTTTCTGATTTTAACCAATGAATATTTACAGATACATACATACATACACACAAAAATAAATAAAATGGTGCACAGAAAATACTAAGCCCCTTTTTGGCAGAAGAATATGGAAGGGTAAAGGAAATAAAGGAAATATGTAAAAACAGCATTTTTACTTTTTAAATAGAATCAGTTTATATCCTGTCAGATTCTTTAATCTAATTAAGTTTTGTTTCTTACTTCAACTGGCTGTCTTTCTTGTTCATCCTGCTACTAACTCATACAGTGTTTTTAGGGGGAAGGAGGTTGGATATGTAAAGGGCTGGGGCAGGGGTGTTTGTTTATTTTGCAGTATAATGCAACCTTTTTTTTTTTATTATACTTTAAGTTCTAGGGTACATGTGCACAAACAAAATTGTCCATCAATAACATTTTTTAAGCACCTACTATATCAGGCACAAAGTTGAGGCACTTAAGGAGTACTGAATAAGGTAGATACTAAGACTTAAAGTATCCTGCCCACAATGAGTTCACATTCTGGTTGAAGAGCTACATTCTAGAACAGAGCACTAAGAAGGCAGAAATAAAAAATGGATTTAATAATAGAACATTTAGCTTTTGTCTTTTTATTCATACAATAGCATAAAATCAAGGATAGGATTCTTTACATTACCTAACGCAGTAACTTAAAGTTTACAAAATGCTTTCCCATGTATTAATTTGTTTAGTCCTCACAACAACATATAAAGGGAGAATTATTTCTAATGATAAAGACCGTTTAACATAGTATGAACCAAAGCTTGAATAGTTTGAATGACATCTCGAGATCACAGTGATAAAGGGTACAATGATGAAAAAAAGCAAAGTGAGTGAAAATTATGTTAATTCAGCAAACATTTAACAGAAATTTATTGAATGCAGGCAGGTCTGACATACTTATAATTTACATCAATGAACTAAATAGTTTGTATTCCTGCTGGCTTTGTAACATTATTCTGCTTTTATGATAGATAGTTGTATACATACATGAATACATTATATAATATATATAAAATGTAGACATACATTTATTATGTGTATGTGTGTATATATTATATATATACACACACTAGTAAATTGTTCATATATTTATCTTTTCTCAATAGGGTATGAACTCCTTGAGAATAGGAAACATGTTTCATTCATCTTTATGACTTCAAGACCTAACACAATACCTGTCACATAATAAGTATGTGATAAATGTTGTAAGTGCATAAGTGAATTATAAATTTCTTTATATTTTACCACTTTAGATGGTACATTATCTGAAACATAGGGATACAGTTTAATTTAAATATATATGTTAACTGTCATGAGAATGTTTCATTCAGATATTTGTATTAACAGAATTGTTGAATGTTGAAAACCTGAGTTTTGATTCATAGATTGAAGATATTCAATTCTTAATAAAGCATGGTTACAAAGCTGTCAACCTCTTCTGTTACCAACTAATTACAATCACTCTCTACTGCCAGTTTTTGTTTGATGTGTATAAAAAATGAATAGGGCAGTCATTGAAGAAGCAATATACTAGCAGCAGTCAAGAAAGAAAAATGTAATAATAATAATAACAAAATATTCCAGACTAACTGCAAAAATATGAACAGCAAACAATTATTACAATAATGTAATGTAGCACACAACATAAAAAACTACAAACAAGTTAAAATTATTCCAAACAGCTGTTGCACATAAAAGTGACACAACTGAATGTTTTCCAGTAATGCATATATTGATCTAATACCATAAAAAATATTGATGTCTATCGGGGGAACCAGCCCCCAATATTTCCACGTAGGTTCTTTCTATTTTCCCTAAATGTCAGCTGGTCTGAGAAATAAAGAGAAAGAGTACAAAGAGAGAAATTTTACAGCTGGGCCTCCGGGGGTGTCATCACATATTGGTAGGACCATGATGGCGACCTTGAGCCGCAAAACCAGCAAGTTTTTTATTAGGGATTTTAAAAGGGGAGGGGGGGTGTACAAACAGGAAGTAGGTCACAAGGATCACATGCTTCAAAGGGCAATAAAGATCCCAAGGCAAGGCAAAATTAGAATTACTGATGAGGGTCTATGTCCCGCTGTGCATGCATTGTCTTGATAAACATCTTAACAGGAAACAGGGTTTTAGAGCAGACAAACAGTCTGACTAGAATTTACCAGGCTGGAATTTCCCAATCCTACTAAGCCTGAGGGTACTGCAGGAGACCAGGGTGTATTTCAGTCCTTATCTCAACTGCATAAGACAGACACTCCCAGAGCGGCCATCTATAGACCTACCCCAGGAATGCATTCCTTCCCCAGGGTTTCAATTATTAATATTCCTTGCTGGGAAAAGAATTCAGCAATATGTCTCCTACTTGCACATCCGTTTATAGGCTCCCTGCAAGAAGAAAAATATGGCTTTATTCTGCCCGACCCCGCAGGCAGTCAGACTTTCTGGTTATCTTCCCTTGTTCCCTGAAAATCACTGTTATTCTGTTCTTTTTCAGGGTGCACTGATTTCATATTGTTCAAACACACATGTTTTACAATCCATTTGTACAATAGTGGTCCTGAGGTGATGTACGTTTTCAGTTTATGAACATAACGTGATTAAGAGATTAAAGACAGGCATAAGAAATTATAAGAGTATTGATTGGGGAAGTGATAAATGTCCATGAAATCTTCACAATTTATGTTCAGAGACTGCAGTAAAGACAGGCATAAGAAATTATAAAAGTATTAATTTGGGGAACTGATAAATGTCCATGAAATCTTCACAATTTATGTTCTTCTGCCTCGGCTCCAGCCGGTCCCTCCATTCAGGGTCCCTGACTTCCCACAACAGATGTCCTTTAAGAGTTCATCAAGAAAGTAAAAAGAGGGATCAGTTTTACAATGGAGAACTACTGACTTAACATGTTATAACATAATGATTGTCAACCCAAAGTAGTAATCAGTTAAGATCATTTTATTTGGTGTAGAAAAAATAATCATTTATACCTTTCTTCATGCTTTAAATTTAGATGAAGCATACTTTGGGTGCTTTTAATTTATGTTAATCTAGTGCCTTTCAAAACCTAAATGCGCCTGCTCCTTTATGTAACTGGGTGGTGAATTTACAACTCTCTTCATGGATTCAGGCTCTCCAGAGTTACTGAACAACTGCATGCATGCTATCTAGACCTCAGACAATTTCACAATCAAGAGTTACCTATAATTAATTTTGTATAATCATTATAATATTAGCAAATTAGGTACTTTATATAAGGCATTGGGGAAAATAAACAGGTGAGGAAACAAAACATTAAGAGAACAAAAAAGAAACTATGGCTGGTTCCAGACAAGTTGGGTATGCACACTCCACTTTATTTTCTCTACTAATTACAATTTTAAAACTCTAGACAAAATTCAAAAAGCAACTAATAGAAGACCTTACAAGAGAAAGAAAATAAAGTGGACTGGATAGGAACTTCAAGAGAAAACCCCTGGGAGTGAGTGGGAGTGAGATCCCTGTTTTTTTTTTTTTTTTGAATCAGAATTTCACTCCTGTTGCCCAGGCCTGGAGTACAATGGCACGATCTCAGCTCACCACAACCTCCGCCTCCCGGTTTCAGGCAATTTTCCTGCCTTAGCCTCCTGAGTAGCTGGGATTACAGGCATGTGCCACCATGGCTGGCTAATTTTGTATTTTTAGAAGAGACGGGGTTTCTCCATGTTGGTCAGGCTGGTCTCGAACTCCTGACCTCAGGTGATCTGCCCACCTTGGCGTCCCATGGCTTGGACTCCCAAAGTACTGTGATTACAGGTGTGAGCCACTGTGGCTGGCCCTTGGGGTTTTTTGTTTTGCCCTCTCTATACCCCAACATGGGCACTAAAGAAACCCACAACCGAGAAACATCAACAGACCCATATTAAAAAAAAAAAAAAAAAAGGTCCCAAGGAAAGCCTGCTGTCTCTAGCTAAAGGACCAGAAAAAGGACAGCCAACAGAACAAAAACATTTTGATTATACTTGCCTGCTCCAGGAAAATAGCATGAAAAGAGATAGACTCCTTCCCCTCCCCATGGAGCACTGCAGCTACCCAGATTGTGAGCAGAGGTCTGTCCACCAACCACAGCCTGAAAAACAAAGCAGCAACCTCTCCATACCTGTGGGAATTGTGGTAAGAGCCCTTTTATCCTTGCCCTGCAATAGTGAGAGAGGCCCCTGTTCCCAGATGCAGGCTCTCAGCAGAAACTATATTGCATCCTTGCCCTTCAGTAATGAGATAGTACCCCTTTGCCCCTACCCTGCACCTGACTCAACTGGGTGCTGCAGCCAACAGATTGTGGATAGACCCTCTCCTCCATCCCCATGATGCAATAATGAGCCAGAATACCATATCCTCTCAATTAGAGAGCTGAAGGAGGATTACTGAGAGGGTTAGAGGGAAGAATTTTTATAATCTGCATATGAAGTCCTGGACAGATCCCTGAACAGACAATGCATGAAGCTGACCAAAATCAAAACAGCAAACGCTTTAAGAACTCAGCAGTGGTATAGAATAACTCCCGGATTTTAGATTGACTTCGGGATAACACATAAGTGGGGCAGACCAGAAGCATGTTGGAAAGGCTTTGAGAACTAAACTGACATTTGAACTGCAGCCCACAAAAATAAGCTAAGAAATGTATATGCAACCTAACAGGAAGTAAAAAAATAGGAAGAAGGGTGTCATAAAATAATATGTAAAAGGTACAGGATACCATTTAAAACTACTTGTCATATTGAGAACTAGGAAAATTTCAATTCCAATGAAAAAATACAATTAACATATGCCAACACTAAGATGATATAGATGATGATTAATTCCAAATATTTTAAAGCAGTTATCATTAAAAGGCTATCACTTTAGAAGTAAAAAATGCAATAACCAAAACAAAAACCACACTAGATGAGCTCAATAGCAGGACAAGATGAAATAGGAAATAAACTATAAACTTGAAACCTGAGTAATACCAATTTTAAAATCTGATGAACAGAAAAAACAAATTAACAAATGAACCATCTTGGATACTCTGGCAGTACAAAGGAAGGCAGGGAGAGGGGGAGTAAAATACCTAACATATGTGTCCTCAGAGTCCCAGAAAAAAAGAACAGTACAAAACTAAAAAAAAAATTTTAAGAAATATGAGCAAAAGCTTCACAAATTGGGGGAAAGTCATAAACATACAGATTCAAGAAACTGAGTGAACCAATATCAGGCCAAACCAAAAGAAATTCAGGCTGAGACACATCATAATCAAATTTCTGAAAACTGAAGACAAAAAAAAAAAAAAAATCTTGAAAGCAGCTAGAAAGAAATGATGCCTAACATAGGAGTAATAATAGTTTGACTAGAAGAACAATAGCAGATTTTTTTGAATGATAGCAGATTTCTCATCAAAACCCATAAAGACTGGAAGTAAATGGTTACATTTTTTGAAATGCTGTAACAAAAGTACTATAAATTCAAAATCTTAAATCTAGCAAAAATATCCTTCAAGAGTTAAGGTGAAATGCAAAGCATTCTCAGATGAAGGAAATCTAAGAACATTTGTCACCACAGGCTTACTCTAAAAGAATGAATAAAGGCAGTTTTAGAAACAGATAGATAGGAAATAATAGGAGAATCACTAGAACCAGGGAGGCAAAGGTTGCAATGAGCCGAGATCGTCCCATTGCACTCTAGCCTGGGCAACAAGAGCAAAACTCCATCTCAAAAAAAAAAAAAAAAAAAAAGAAACAAAGATGTCTACATGCTACTTACAGTAGTAAGATGTTGAAAGACTATGATAAGTCACACACACACAAACACACACACATATTCCTAGAAAACTATGAAAAGAGATGTGCCAAAAACAGTATAGATAAAATAAAATGAAATACTAGAATATTAAAATATGCTGCAGTAACCCACAAAAGAACAGGAAAAAAGGAACCAAAAAAAGAAAAACAGTGAGAACAGGTGGAACACAGCCCAAAATATCATTCTAATGAGCAGTGAATTGAGCTATTTTTTTTATTTTAATATGCTTGTTGGCTGCACATATGTCTTCTTTTGAGAAGTGTCTGTTCATGTTCTCTGCCCACTTTTTAATGGGCTTGCCTGTTTTTCTCTTGTAAATTTGGTTAAGTTACTTGTAGATGTTGGATATTAGATCTTTGTCAGATGCATAGTTCACAAATATTTTCTCCCATTCTGTAGGTTGTCTGTTTACTCTGTTGATAGTTTCTTTTGCTGTGCAGAAACTGTTAAGTTTAATTAGATCCCATTTGTCAATTTTTGCTTTTGTTGCAATTCCTTTGGTGTCTTTGCCATGAAATCTTTGCCTGTTCCTATGTCCAGGATGGTATTGCCTCGGTTTTCTTCCAGGGTTTTTATAATTTTGGGTTTTATATTTAAGTCTTTAATCCATCTTGAGTTGATTGTTGTATACAGTGTAAGGAAGGGGTAAGGAAGGGGTCCTGCTTCAATCTTCTGCTTATGGCTAGCCAGTTAACCCAGTATCATTTATTGCGTAGAGATTCTTTTCCACATTGCTTATTTTTGTACGTTTTGTTGAAGATCAGATGGCTGTAGATGTGCAGCCTTATTTCTGGGCTCACTATTCTGTTTCATTGGTCTATGTGCTAGTTTTTGTACCAGTACCGAGCTGTTTGGTCACTGTAGCCTTGTAGTATAGTTCAAAGTCAGGTAATGTGATGCCACTGGCTTTTTTCTCTTCACCTAGGATTGCCTTGGCTATTTGGCCTCTTTTTTGGTTCCATGTGAATTTTAAAATAGATTGTTCTAGTTCTGTGAAGAATGTCATTAGTAGTTTGATAAAAATAGCACTGAATCTAGATTGCTTTGGGTAGTATGGGCATTTTAATGATACTGATTCTTCCTATCCATGAACATGGGATGATTTTACACTTGTTTTTGTCTTCTCTGATTTCGTTGAGCAGTGTTTTGTAATTCTCCTTGTAGAGACCTTTTACCTTCCTGGTTAGCTGTATTCTTAGGTATTTTATTCTGTTTGTGGCTGCTCTGAATTAAACTGTTCTTGACTTGGCTCTCAGCTTGGACATTGTTGGTGTATAAAAATACTGTTGACTTTTGTATGTTGATTTGGTGTCCTAAAACTTTGCTGAAGTTGTTTGCTAGATCTGAGCTTTTGTGTAGAGACTATGGGGTTTTCTAGGTGTGGAATAATATAGTTGGCAAATGGAGATAGTTTGACCTCATCTTCTTCTATTTATATGCATTTTATTTCTTTCTCTTGCCTGATTTCTGTAGCTAGGACTTGCAGTACTGTGTTCAATAGGAGTAGTGAGAGAGGGCATCCTTGTCTTGTGTCAGTTTTCAAGGGGAATGCTTCCAGCTTTTGCTCATTCAGTATAATGTTGGCTGTGGGTTTGTCATAGATGACTCTTATTATTTTAAGGTGTGCTCCTTCATTTCCTAGTAGAGTTTTTAACATGAAAGAATGTTGAATTTTATCAAAAGCCTTTTCTACCTCTATTGAGATAATCATGTGTTTTTTTGTCTTCAGTTCAGCTTATGTGATGAATCATATTTATTGATTGCTTTTTTGAGGCGGAGTCTTGCTCTTTCGCCCAGGATGGAGTGAGGTGGTGTGATCTCGGCTCACTGCAGCCTCTGCCACCCGGGTTCAAGCGATTCTCCTGCCTCAGCCTCCTGAGTAGCTGGGCTTACAGGCACCTGCCACCATGCCCAGCTAATTTTTGTATTTTTGGTAGAGACAGGTTTTTACTATGTTGGCCAGGCTGGTCTGGAACTCCTGACCTCAGGTGACCTGCCCACCTTGGCCTCCCAGAGTGCTGGGATTGTAGGCATGAGCCACTGCGCCCGGCCATATTTATTGATTTTTTTTTTTTTTTTTTTTTTTTTGAGATGGAGTATCGCTCTGTAGCCCAGGCTGGAGTGGCGCAATCTCGGCTCACTGCAAGCTCCGCCTCCTGGGTTCACGCCATTCTCCTGCCTCAGCCTTCCGAGTAGCTGGGACTACAGGCACCCGCCACCATGCCGGGCTAATTTTTTGTATTTTTAGTAGAGATGGGGTTTCACTATGTTAACCAGGATGATCTCTATCTCCTGACCCTGTGATCCGCCCACCTTGGCCTCCCAAAGTGCTAGGATTACAGGTGTGAGCCTCCGCGCCAGGCCTTTTTTTTTTTTGAGATGGAGTCTTGCTGTGTCACCCAGGCTGGAGTGCAGTGGTGCAATCTCGGCTCACTGCAACCTCCATCTCCTGAGTTCAGGCAATTCTCCTGCCTCAGCCTCCTGAGTAGCCGGGACTACAGGCATGTGCCACCACGCCCGGCTATTTTTTTTTTTTTTTTGTATTTTTTTGTATTTTTAGTATAGATGGGTTTTCACCATGTTGGCCAGGCTGGTCTCAAACTCCTGACCTCAGATGATCCACCTGCCTCGATTTCCCAAAGTGCTGGGATTACAGGTGTGAGCCACCATGCCCATCCTGATTTTTATGTGTTGAACCAAACTTGCATCCTGGGGATGAAGCCTACTTGATCATGGTGGATTAGCTTTTTGTTGTGCTGCTGGATTCAGTTTGCAAGTATTTTGCTGATTTTTATATCATGTTCATCAACAATTTTGGCCTGAAGTTTTCTTTTTCTCTTGTCTCTTCCAGGTTTTGGTATCAAGATGATGCTGGCCTCACAAAATGAATTGGGAGGTGTCTTCCCCCCTCAGTTATTTCATATAGTTTCTGTAGGAATGGTACTATGTCTTTGGACATCTAGTAGAATTTCACTGTGAATCCATCAGGTCTTGGGCATTTTTTGATTTTCAGGCTATTTATTACTGACTCAATTTTGGAGCTCATTATTGGTCCATTCGGGGAATCAGTTTCTTCCTGGCTCTGTCTTGGAAGGGTGTATGTGTCCAGGAATTTATCCATCTCTTCTGAGTTATTTTGTTTGTGTGCGTAGAGGTTTTTGTAGTAGTTTCTGATGGTTGTTCCTATTTCTGTGGCATCAGTAGTAACATTCCCTTCATCATTTCTAATTGTTTTTATTTGGATGTTCTCTTTTCTTTATTAGTCTAGTTAGTGGCCTATTAATTTTTTCAAAAAATCAACTGCTGGATTTGTTGATCTTTTGAATAATTTTTCGTGTCTTGATTTCCCTCAATTCAGCTCCGATTTTTGTTATTTCTCATCTTCTGCTAGCTTTGGGGTTGATTTGTTCTTGCTTCTCTAATTTTGATTCAGTTGTGAAGCTAGGTTGTTAATTTGAGATCTTTCTTACTTTTGATGTAGGTTTTTAGTGCTGTGAATTTCCCTCTTAACACTGCCTTAGTTTTGTCCCAAAGACTCTGGTAAGTTGTATCTTTGTTTTCATTATTTTCAAAGAACTTCTTGATTTCTGCCTTAATTTCGTTATTTACTCAAAAGTCATTCAGGAGCATTTTGTTTAATTTCCATGTAATTGTATTGTTTCGAGCGACTTTCATTGTGTTGACTTGTATTTTTATTGTTCTATGACCTGACAGTGTGTTTGGTGTGATTTCAGTTCTTTTACATTTGTTGAGGATTATTTTATGTTTAATTATGTGGTTGATTTTAGAGTATGTTCCATGTAGTGAGGAAAAGAATGTATATTCTGTTGTTTTTGAGTGAAAACTTCTGTAAAGGTTTATCAGATCCATTTGGTACAATGCTGAGTTCGGGTTCTGAATATCTTTGTTAGTTTTCTTGTCAGTGATCTGTCTAATTCTGTCAGTGGAGTGTTGAAATCTCCCACTGTTATTGTTTGATAGTCTATGTCTCTGTAATTCTCTAGGAACTTGCTTTATGAATCTGGTTGCTCCTGTGTTGGGTGCATACGTATTTACAATAGTTAGGTCTTCTTGTTGAATTGAACTCTTTACCGTTATGTAATTCCCTTCCTTGTCTTTTTTGATTTTTGTTGTCTTGAAATCTGTTCTGTCTGAAATGAGGATTGTCAACCCTGCTTTTTTTTTCTGTTTTTCATTTGCTTGGTAGATTTTTCTTCATCCCTTTATTCTGAGCCTATGAGTGTCATTATGTGTGAGATGGGCCTCTTGAAGACACCATACCATTGGGTCTTTTTTATCCAGCTTGCTACTCTATGCTGTTTAAGTGGGGCATTTAGCCCATTTACATTCAAGGTTAGTATTGCTATATGTGGATTTGATCCTGTCATTGTGCTGTTGGTTGATTATTATGTTGGCCTGTTTGTATGGTTATTATGTTGGCTTGTTTGTGTGTTATTATGTTGCTTGTTTGTGTGGCTTGTTTTACAGTAACAGTGGTCTTTGTGTTTATGTTTGTTTTTGTATTAGGTGGTAGTGGTCTTTCTTTTCTATATTAGTGCTTCTTTCAAGATGTCTTGTGAGGCAGGTTTGGTGGTAAGGAAGTTTCTTAACATTTTCTTATCTGAAAAGACAGAGAGGCTTTCAGTTGTCCCTGGAGGCTCTGTCCAGGGAGTTGCTGAGTTGGTACTGACTGGATCCATAGCTCTGGTGGGGTGTGGTTGGAGGCCCAGGCCTGGATGACCCACCCAGTGAGGAGATATGGGAATGGGCACCGACATAACACTCTGGCCACTTTTCCATAGGGCTGCTTCAGTATGCTTGGTGCCCTTTCTAGTCCCTAGTCACCTCGGATCTTCCAGAACCTGGAGGTGTCACCAGTGAAGGCTGTGAAACAGCGAAGGTAACAGCCTGTTCCTCCCTCTGGGAGCTTTGTCACAGGGAGGTACTGACCCCTTATTGTCCCAAAGACACCTGCAGGAAGTGGCTGGAGACCCCAGTTAGGAGGTCCTGCCCAGTGAGGAGGAGCAGGATCAGTACCTGCTTAAGAAAGAAGTTTGGCCACATTTTGGCGGAGCAGCTGAGCTGTGCTGGGGTTCCACCTCAGCCCCCAGTCATGTCACGCACTCTGAAGCCTAAAGGCTGGAATGGCTAAGTTGTCCAAACAGCAAAGATGGCAGCCTACCCCTTCCTCTAGGAGCACTGTACTAGGGGGAATTTAGATCTCTTTTGGCTGGAGAGCTTGGGCAGGGGGTAGTTGGAGGCCTTAGTTGGGAGGTCTTGCCCAGTGAGGAGAAACAGGATCAGGTACTCCCTTAAAGCAGCAGTCTGGCCTCATTTTGGTAGGGCAGCTGTGCTGTGCTGGTGGATCCCTTCTACTCCAGGTCAGCTCACACTCTCCAAAGTGTAAAGGCTGGAACGGCTAAGATGCCTTAACAGCAAAGATGGTGGTATGCCCCACTGCCTGGGAGCTCCTTCTTAGGTAGGTGCAATGCTGCTACTGGTAGCTGGCTGGAATTTCAAGCCAGTGGGTTTTATCTTGTGAGGTGCTGTGGAAGTGGGGCCTGCGGGCTGTTGCTGCTCAGTGCCCTGGAGTCAGTCTCTTTCCTAGGGGTGTGCACAGAAGTCTAACCTCCCAGTTTGCTGGAACTGCAGCTACTTTTGTCAGAAATTGTAAGTATCTATCACTCTGGGGTGTCTATGCATGCCAGAGCAGCTGCTCTGCCGAGACTCCATGTAGCTCTTTTTGTCAGACTGAAGGCCCTGGTTGAGTGGGTTCACAAGGAGATCTCCTAACTGAAGGTTGTATAGATCTGTGGGAGAAACATGGTTTCTCCCCTGGGAAGGGTCACTCATTCACTCACTGCTTCTTTGTGCAGGGGAGAATCCCCTGGGTCTGTGTTGCTCCCAGGTGGGCCGTTGTCCTGTCTTGCTTTTCTTCATTCTCTTTGGGTCAGGTTGTTTTCCTGATTAATTTCAGTGCAAGTACCTGGATGTTATCGTCGAAGGTGTTGCTATTTATTTGGCCCTTCCTTTCCTTTCCTTGAGAGCCATGCGTACTAGCTGCTTCTAGTTGGCAATCTTGGCCACTCCCTTGCTTTTTTTCTATAACCCACCCCCGCACCCCCCCCCCCCCACACACACACACATACCAATCTGCGTTTTGGGGAGGCACAGCCTTCAAGAAAAATGAAAGTGTGCTCTTTAAAGAACAAAAGGAATGTTTGGCTCACATAAGGAAAGTTCTCACCCAAGTTCTCAATCAGATCTATTTATGCAAACGAAGGATTCAAGCTTGTTTAGTTCTGATTGGCCAAGATAGTTGAGCCCTTGATTGGGTGGCTTCCTAAGACCCAAACTAGAAGGCTCTCTGAGATGTTTCTTCTAAAGGGCTAGTGGTGGGTCATTTCTTGCCAGTTTTTCTTGGCTTTTGTCACAGGAACTGTTCTGGCTTACGGGCATAAAGTAGGATGTTTATCCAGATTTGCCTTTCTATGAACAAAAGGCAAGTAAACACTCTTCTTTCACTCCACCATGGCCACTTTGTTCTGTAGTCTCAATTTTGGTATTTCTTCTATTAGTCATGGTGAGTCCATCTAGTCTGGAGTGCTTGGAGTCTCATTTACAGTTTAATTTCACACTAATGTGTTAAGAATTTTTGCATCTGTGTTCATTAAGGATATGAGTAACTTTCTTTTCTTGAATTTACTTTTTCTAGTTTTGTTATCAGAGTAATAATGCTGGCTTCACAAACTGATTTGGAATGTGTTCTATTTTTTGAAAATGAATGTGATTTTTATGAAAGATAAGTACTTGTGAAAGATAAGTATTACTTATTTTTAAAAATGTTTTATAGAATTCACCATTGAAGCCATGTGGGCCTGGAGTTTTTTGTGGGAAGGTTTTTTGTTTTGTTTTAACTTTTCATTTTGAAATAATTTTAAATTTTTAGGAGAGTTGCAAAGATGGTTCAGAGAGTTCCTGTATCTTGTTCACCTAGGTTTCTGCAGTCAACAATTTACACAATTACAGTGTATTTATCAAAACAAAGAAAACAGGATTGGTACAATACTATTAAATAACTGTAGGATTTATTCAAATCTTACCATATATTTTACTGACTTTCTTTTCCAGGATTCAATCTAGGATAAGTGCATTTAATTTCATGTCTCCTTAGTCTCTTCCAATTTGTGACAGTTTCTCACTCTTTCCTTGTTTTCATGATTTTGATACTTGTGAAGAATACTGGTGAAAGTTGTGAAAACAGAAAAAGAGTGTTCCCTAATTTCAATTTTTGTAGACGTTCCTCAGTTTGGGTTTGTTTTGATTTTTCCCCTGATTCAACTGGGGTTTTGAAGTTATTGGAAGAATACCACAGTGGTATCACATCATATCAGGGGGTTAATTTTGATCGTATAGTTAGAGTTGTGTCTCTCAGCTTTCTCCACTGTAAAGTTATAATTGTTTCTTTTTTATTTTCTATTGGTTGCAAGTGGGTCACTAATTTCAGTCCCTATTTGAGGGGAGAGGAATTAAGCTCCACCACTTGAAGAAAGGGTATAAAATAATTTTTAGACATCAAAACCACAGTAATTAATAAATATTTCACAGGAGATACTTGAGGCTATGCAAATATTGCTTCTCCTTTAAGCTTTGATTTCTAATGTTAGCATATATCAGTGGATCTTACCTGCAACAGTTACTACTGTGATGCTCTAATGATGACTTTCTATTTTCTTCATACCTTTCATGTTTCTTATTTGGCACTCTTCTGTAAGGGAAATATGCGCCGTCTTCTCTAATTATTTATTTATTTATCTATATCAGTATGGATTAATGGATATTTATTTCTTGAGGGAGCATTATAATCCATATGGGGTTTTTGTTCGTCCTCAAATAGTTCCAGCTTTGGCCATTGGGAACTCTTTCAGGTTGATTTTGTGTCTTTTGACATACTCCATGTTTTTATGTTTTTGAACAATTTCTCATTTTCTGGCATTACAAGATAATCTAGGTTAACTTTGTATTTTTTTCTGTCTACCTGGAAAATTAGCCATTTCTCAAAATATCTTTGATTGGAGGATGGTATTTAGAAACAAAGATCTTTGTACCAGATGGGCTCACTGCAATTGGGATGTCACTGTTTCTAGGCTCTCTCAGCAAACAAAATGAGGAAATACTTGTATATATAAACTTGTGTAGACACACATATCTATATTTATTTCTCGACCTCTATTTATTTATTCATCTATCATCTATCTTTAAAATATGTAAATTTGCGTGATTTTGTACTGATATGTCTGTCTCTAAATTTAGCACTGCTGGCAGGGTTCATTCTAGCCTCCTCTCTTTGTTTATTTGTATTCTGTGGCAGTTACTTGCTCATGTTCAACCCCAGTATAAATGTAGAATAGTTTCACAAATGCTAACTTGTATAGTATGGAAACAAACTTACCAGAGTACAATGCTTATGTATTGTTATTTTTTGTCTTTGGTATTACAGTTATCTAGTTAAAATATCCTTTCCTAATGTTCTTTAGGACACCTCCTTTATTCCTGACTCTCTTGTAACTAACTAGGTTATATTGTACCTTTTAAATACAATTTGATCAATTTGTCACACTTTGTATTCCTTCCAGGGATTTAAAAAAAAAGTTTGCAAACATTAACATTTAATGTTTGTGATGCATAATTCCATGGGTTTTGACAAACATGTAATTATCCAGCAACACTATAGAATAGTTTCAACACTCTAAAAATTTCCTTGTGTGACTTTTGTAGTTAATACTTCCCTCTTTCATTGACCAGTTAGCCACTACTCTGTTTTCTTTATCTATAGTTTTGCCTTTCCCAGAATGTCATATAAATTGAATCAAACCTTATGTAGCTTTTTAGTTCTCAATTCTTCCTCTTAGCAAAATACATTTGATATTTAGTCATGCTGTTCATATCAGTAGTTTATTTCTTTTTATTGCTGAGTAGTATTCTCTTGTATGGATTTAACCATAGTTTGTTTATTCATTCACCTCTTAACATCTTGGTTATTTTCAGTTTTCTGAGATTATGAATAAAACTGCTAGAAACATTGATGTATAGGTTTTTGTGTGAACATAAGTTTTCATTCTATTTGACTACATACCTAGAAAGTGGGATTGCTAGGTCTTTTGCCTTTTAATATAAACTTTGAGTCATTGTTGATATGCACAAAATAACTTGATGAGATTTTGGTTGGGATTGCCATGTTTCTATAGATCAAATCATAAGAACTGACATCTTAAAAAATGTTGAGTCTTTCTATTCATGAACATGACATACTTCCGTATTTATTTAAATTTTCTTATATTTATTTCGTCAGAGTTTTGTAGTTTTCCTTTTATAGATTTGGTATGTATTTGTTTGGTTTATGTATGATTCAATTTTTAAAATAGACATAGACCTCTCCTTTTGTAAGCATTGGTACATTGTTTCTTTCAAGGAAATGGTCCATTTCATCAAAATTATCAAATTTGGGATAGTTGTTCTTACTATTTTTTAAATCTTTTTAATGTCATGTGATCAGAAGTGATGGACTGTCTTTCATTTTTTATATTAGTAATTTGTGTCTTTTCTTTTTTCCTTGATTAGCCTAGCTAGGAATTTATCAATTTATTGGTCTTTTCAAAGAGGTGGCTTTTGGTATTGTTGATTTTGTCTATTGATGCCCGGTTTTCAAGTTCATTGATTTTTAACTTTTATTATTTATTTTTCTCTGCTTAGATTTTATTTTCTTTTTCTAGTTTACTAAGGTAGAAGCTTTATTAATTGTAGATATGTCTTACAATATATGCATTAAAATGCTAGAAATTTTCATCTAAGCACTGGTTTAGCTGCATCTCACAAGTTTTGATAGGTTGTATTTTCACTTTCATTTAGTTAAGCATATTTTTAATCTATTTTGAGACTTGACTCACATATTTTTAGAAGCATATGGTTTAATTTCCAGATATTTTGAGATTTTTCACTATAGTTGTGCTGTTAATTTATAATTTAGTTCCTCTGTGAACTCAGAGCATATTTTGAATGATTTGTATTCTTTTAAATTTATTAAAGGGTGTTTCATGGCCTAGAATGTGGTCTGTCTTGGTGTATGTTCCCTGGGTGCTTGAGAAGAATGTGTATTATGCTGTTGTTGGATGAAGCATTATAAAATGTTCATTAGATCAATTTTATTTATGCTGTTCATTTCAACTACATCTTCACTGATTTTCTGCCAACTGTATATGTCAATTATTGATAGCTGTGTAAAGAGCATCTGTAACAGTGGATTAATCTCTTAATGGTTGCAGATGTATCAATTTTTGCCTCCTGTATTTTGACACTTTGTTGTTATGCACACACACATTAAGGATTGTTATGTTTTCTTGGAGGAATTCATCCTTTTATTATTATGAAATACTTTGATTTTTCTCTGATAATTTTCCTTGCTCTAAAGTTGGCTTTGTTTGAAATTAATGTGGATACTCTAGCTTTTGTTTATATTTAAAACAGGTTTCTTGTAGAGACAATACATTGCTTGGTGTTATTTATTTATTCAATTTCTTATTGATACATAATAGATATACAAATTTTAGAGGTGTATGTAATGATTTAATACATTAATATATTTTGTAAGATTAAATCAGTGTCATTGGGATGCTCATCACCTTAAATATTTGTCTTTTCTTTATGTGAGAAACATTTGAGTTATTCTTTTCTATTTTGAAATATACAATAGATTATTGTAAACTATTATTACTGTACTGATCTATCAAACACTAGGTCATATTTCTTGTCTAACTGTATGTATGTACCTATCAACCAACCTCTCTTAATTCCCCAATCTCGTGATGCTATAGCTTGGGTATTGTTTGTTTGTCCCTACCAAATTGCATGTGAAAACTTGGTCCCTAGTATGGTAGTGTTGGGAAGTAGAGCCTAATGTGAGGTGTTTAGGTCATGGAGGTGTATCCCTCATAAGTAGATTAATGCCATTCTTGGGGGTGGAGGGTAAGTGAATTCTCATCTTGTTCGTTCTCATGAGTGTTGGTTGTTAAAAAGAGCCTGGCATCTCCTCCCCTTTTTCTTGTGTCCTCTCTTTCCATGTGATCTCTGCATGGCACCCCTTCATCTTCCACCATGAGTGGAAGCAACTTGAGGCCCTCATCTGATGCAGATGCTGTTGCCATGCTTTTTAGAAAGTCTGCAGAACTATAAGCCAAATAAACGTTTGTTCTTTATAAATTACCCAGCCTAATGTATTCCTTTATAGCAACACAAATGGACTAAGACATTGTGTCTTTTTGTTTTCATCCATTCTGATATTCTCTGCTTTTTAATTGGCATATTTAGACCATTCACGTTTAAGGTGACTATTTTTAGTTGAATTCATGGTTACTGTGTTTGTAACTGTGTTGCATTTATTGTACTTGTTTTATTTCTTATTTTATCTTCTAATTTTTCTCTCTCTTCTTTTGCTTTATTTTAGCATTTTATACAATTCTATTTTCTCTCTTAGCATATCAATTGTACTTC
Organism: Homo sapiens; assembly: GCF_000001405.40. Classification (NCBI taxonomy): domain Eukaryota; kingdom Metazoa; phylum Chordata; class Mammalia; order Primates; family Hominidae; genus Homo; species Homo sapiens. Next base: position 103,642,216 of record NC_000008.11, read on the forward strand.
CTTTTAAAATTTTATTTTGGTGGTTGCTTAAGAGATTGAAGTGTTTATTTACAATGAATCCAAGTCCATTTCAAAATCTCACTGTACAACTTCACAAATGATGTAAACCTGGTAACAGATTATTCACAATTCCTTTCTTCTGTACCTTATAACATCACTGTAATTTATTTCACTTATCCATAAAATATCACAGAATACAGTATTGCTACAGTTCCACATTTGAGAAACTGATAGATTAAGAATAAGAAAAATAAAAGGTTTTATTTTATCCTTATTTTTTCCTTCCCTAATGCTATTCCTTTTATTAAATGTACATCAGAATTTCTGACCTATGTAATTTTCTTGTCTCTGAAGGAAATGAAAAACTTCTTTTTAATATTCCTTGCAAGGCAGATCTGTTGACAAATTTTTATAATTTTTGTTTGTTTGAGAAAATATTTCTTTCTCTTTCACTTTTGAAGGATAATTTGACTGAGTGTAGACCTATAGGTTGGTTGGTTTCTTTATTCAACACTTTAGATATTTCATTCTACCTTTTTCTTTTTTTTATGAACAGAAGTCTGATGTAATTCTTATACTGTTTCTCTGTAGATAAGGTGTTTGCTTTTTTTCTTTCAAAATGTCATCTTTGTCTTTCATTTTCTGCAGTTTGAATAGTATATTCTTATTTGAAACATTTTTTGATATTCATCCTGTTTGGTGTTCTCTGAGCTTCCTGGATTCATGGTTTGGTGTTTGTCATTAATTTTAGAAAATTTTCAGTTGTTATTACTTAAAATATTTCCTTTGTTCCTTTCTTCTCCATCTGCTATTCCCATTACACATACTTTATAGTTTTTATAATTGTCCCTCAGTTTTTGAATATGCTGTTCCATCTTTTTCACTCTTTTGTGTTTTTGTTTTTCAGTTTTAGAAGTTTTTATTGACATATTTTCAAGCTCATTGATTGTTTTTTTGGCCAAGTCTACTGCTCTGTTGATGAGTCTGTCAAAGGCATTCTTTATTTCTTTTATATTATTTTTTATTTTTAGCATTTCCTTTTTGATTCACTCGTAGAGTTTCCCTCTCTTTGCTCATAGTACCGGTGTATTCTTGCATGTTGTCTACGTTTTACATTGGAACTCTTAGTATATTAACCACAGCTATTTTTCTCAGTCTAGCAATTCCAAATTTTCTGCCATATTTGATTTATGCTTTCTTTGTCTCTTCAGACTTTTTTCTTGCCACTTAGAATGCCTTGTAATTTGTTATTGAAAGCTGGAGAAGGGTTATTCAGTAAAAGGAGCTTAGGTAGTTAGGTCTTAAGTATGACATTTTATGTTTATCTGGAGAAGAGTTAGACTGTGTTTACTGTTTATTGTAGCTGTGGTGTCAGAGGCTAAAATTTTTCTATTGTCCTTGTGTTTATCTTTTTTTATTTTTTGCTGTTTTGTTTTTCTGTACTGACTCCTTACTAAATAGTTTCTGAGGATTGCAGTTGTTTTAGTTGTTTCACCTGTTATTATATAAGAACTCTACTGATTTGGTGGTAAGTGTAGAGGGAGGAGAGGCATCTGATAGTTCTGTCATTAGGCCTCAGTCTGTCAATGAGCTTGAGTTGAGTTTCCTTTCCCTACATTGAAGGCTAGAGAGGACTGGAATTTGGTATTTTCCATTTTCTACATTGAAGGCTAGAGGAGGATGAAATTGGGTATTTACCTTCCTCAGGCCCGTTAAGCTTTGGCAAAACACCATCTTTATAAAATAGTTTCCCTTGAGAGAAGACCTTGTTAAAATACAGAGCTTCAAGTGCATTTCAAAATGGTTACTTTCCTTCTCCCCCTATTAGATACAGGAGAGGATTTTTCTCTGATTTTCACCGAGAGAACCCGGTGGAGCTTCTAGAGATAATACTTATGCAAGTGTGTTGGCACCCGTAAGACTGAGAAACTAAGATTTGGAATTTGAAACTTAGAAGTAGTCTACCCTGAGCCTCTGGCAATTAATTATAAAGTGTTTGTGGATATACTGGTTCCACCTGCAGACCTCTGCTCCTGGACATTTGGTTCTGGTAAGCTGTGCAACTTTGTATTTGTCTGTTTGTTTAGTTTTTGTGGCAGCAGTTTGTGAGGTCACATTAATTTCTTGATGACGCTAACAAGAGTTGTTGATTTTCAGTTCAGCTTTTTTTCTCATTTTGAGGATGGGAGTGATAATTTCCAAGATCTTTATATGTCAGATTGGAAACTAGAATCTCATCAGCTTCTTGGAATGGACGAATGTAGGAGTTCACTGTTAATAATGTTAGCATATTGTCAGAGAAATAGGTGATGTAATTAGTTTCTCATATTACCAATTTTTAATTCATTATCTCAACATTTTAATTTTGGTGAGATACTTTGTAATGTGATTTTATCTAAAATATTGGCAAAAGGAGAAGAATAATTTTATACTTTTAATTGTATTTAAAGACATTTTAAATATTTATTTAAAACATAAATATAAAATGTAAATATTTTAAATATTTATACATATTTTGTTTGGGAGGATGATGCAAATGTTATACATTTCATATATAGATGTTTTTACAAAACCCAGTTTTAATAATTTAGATTTTTATGCCTATGTTTTCTAGTAAAGATTTTGAAATTGGAAACTGATTTTTAGATTAATATCAACATGTTTATGATAAAAACTTGTCACTGATTAAGAGCAACATGATTTCTTGCAGATTCTCACCCAGGAGTTCTTTAACAAGTAAATGAGCCCATTTACATATTTATTTCAGTATTTCTTGTTTTTAGCATACTATTATTTGGTGAAGGGTCATTTTAATTGTTCTTCATTTTAATGAGCTCATATGGTAATCTTTCTTTGCCATTATCTTTTTATCTATTTGTGAATGTTTTGTTCTAAAAAGAGATTTTTATCTTTTTCTCAAAGAAATACAAGTTTTCTAAATAGAATTCAGTGTCACTATAGTTTGCTTGTGTTTGAATGTTTATATGACATTTGGTGTTAAAATAATCTTTTAAATATTAAATCCATTTTGTGACTGTATTTAAATACTAAATGATGTGACTTTCATTCTTGCAAATAAGATATTACACTCTGAATTTTATAAAGAGAATACAGGATATAATTTTATTGTTAATATAGAAATAGATACCAATTATATTTGTTATTGTGACACAAATATGTCTAAGAATATGGCTTTCATTTATTACTATATCATTAAAAAATGAACACAGTGTAAAAGTGAATCAATTTGATCTAAAGAGAATTTAATTTACAGTGTTAGGTATAGCCTTGTAATGAAAGTCTAGGATTTTGCTGACCAGTTTTCATGACTAATTCTTAGTTTCCCTCTGAGAGGGTAAAAACTAATAAACTGATCACATAGTCATAAGTTTACCTCTTAGGATAAGTTCTAGGAAATTGTGAGAAACCAAATTTCAGAGGCCTTTATTATCCTTGTGCATGATTTTTCTCTGCCTTATAAATATCCAGTCTTATTTCATTTTGATACTCAGTGATCTATATTGGGCCAGTCTCCCTTAATTTCCCGAATATTGTGAAACCAGTACACACTAATAGGTCTGTAGAAGGAATAATTTAATTTTAATAAAGGAATATTAAAAAAATGAATAATATTAATTTCATACACGTCCATGTGAAGAGACCACCAAACAGGCTTTCTGTGAGCAATAAAGCTGTTTATTTCACCTGGGTGCAGGTGGGCTGAGTCTGAAAAGAGAGTCAGTGAAGGGAGATACGGGTGGGGCTGTTTTATAAGATTTGGGTAGGTAAAGGAAAATTACAGTCAAAGGGGGGTTGTTCTCTGGTGGGCAGTTGTGGGGTTCACAAAGTGCTCAGCAGGGGAGCTTTTGAGCCAGGATGAGCCAGGAGAAGGAATTTCACAAGATAATGTCATCAGTTAAGGCAGGAACAGGACATTTTCACTTCTTTTGTGGTGGAATGTCATCAGTTAAGGCAGGAACTGGCCATCTGGATGTGTAGGAGCAGGCCACAGGGGATATGATGGCTTAACTTGGGCTCAGAGGCCTGAGAATTAATCCCAAGAATGACTCACTAAATGTGTGCCACGTGAGGTAGAAGTTTTTTTTTAGTTAGGTGTACCTAATTTTTCGTATCATATGCATCATGAATTAACTGTCTCCTTTTTTTTCTTCAACTTTTATTTTAAGTTCAGGGGTACATGTGCCAGATGTTCAGGTTTCTTACATAGGCAAATGTGTGCCATGGTGTTTTGCTGCACACATCATCCCACAACCTATGTATTAAGCCCAGCATCTGTTAGCTGTTCCTCCTGATGTTCTACCTCTCTCCGCACCCAGTTCCGACAGGCCTCAGTGTTTGTTGTTTCCCCCATGTGTCCATGTGTCCATGTGTTCTCATCATTCAGCTCCAACTTATAAGTGAGAACATATGGTATTTAGTTTTCTCTTCCTGTGTTAGTTTGCTGAGGATAATGCCTTTCAGCTTTATCCATGTCCCTGCAAAGGACATGATCTTGGGCTGAGACAATGGGGTTTTCTAGATATAGGATCATGTCATCTGCAAACAGAGATAATTTGACTTCCTCTCTTCCTATTTGAATAGCATTTATTTTTTTCTCTTGCCTGACTGCCCTGGCCAGAACTTCCAATACTATGTTGAGTAGGAGTGGTAGGAGAAAGCATCCTTGTCTTGTGCTCATTTTCAAGAAGAATGTTTCCAGCTTTTGCCCATTCAGTATGATACTGGCTATGGCTTTTTCATGTATGGCTCTTATTATTTTGAGGTATGTTTTTTCCATGCCTAGTTGAGAATTTTTAACATGAAGGGATTTTGAATTTTATTGAAGGCCTGTTCTGCATCTAATGAGACAAATTATGCATTTTTTGTCTTCAGTCCTGTTTATGTGAAGAGTTACATTTATTTATTTTTGTACATTGAACCAACCTTTTATTGTGGGAATGAAACCTACTTTATCATGGTGGATATGCTTTTTTATGTGCTGCTGGATTCGGTTTGCCAGTATATTGCATTTATGTTTGACAGTTTTTGCATCAGTGTTCATCAAGGACATTGCCTGAAGTTTTTTGTTGTTGTTGTATCTGTGCCAGGTTTTGGTATCAATGTGATATTTTTGCATTGATGTTCATCAAGGACATTGGCCTGAGGTTTTTTGTGTTGTTGTATCTGTGCCAGGTTTTGGTATCAGTATGATGTTGACCTCATAGAATGAGTTAGAGGGGAGACCCTCCTTTTTAATTTTTTGGAATAGTTTCAGTAGAATGGTACCAGCTTTTATTTGTACCTCTGGTAGAATTCAGTTGTGAATCCATCTCGTCCTGGGCTTTTTTGGGTTGGTAGGCTATCTATTACTGCCTGAATTTCAGAACTTATTATTGGCCTATTAACAGATTCAGTTTCTTCCTGGTTCAGCCTTGGGTAGGTGTATGTGTCCAGATATTATTTGTTTCTTATATATTTTCTAGTTTATGTGCATAGAGGTGTTTATAGTATTCTCTGATGGTCGTTTATATTTCTGTGGGGTCAGTGGTGATATTCTTCTTATTTCTGATTGTGTTTATTTGATTCTTCTTTCTTTTCTTTTTTATTAGTCTTACCTAGTGGTATATTATATTAATTTTTTTTCCAAAAACCAGCTGCTGGGTTCATTGATTTTTTTTTGATTTTTTTTTTTTTTAATTTTTGTATCACCTTCAGTTCAGTTTTGATCTTGGTTACTTCTTGTCTTCTGTTAGCTGTGGGGCTTGCTCTTGGTTTGCCAGTTGTTTTAGGTGTGATGTTAGGTTTTTGAGATCTTTCTAGCTTTTTGATGTGGGCATTTAATGCTATAAATTTCCCCCCTAACACTGCTTTAGCTGCGTCCCAGAGCTTTGGGTACATTGTCTCTTTGTTCTCATTAGTTTCAAAGAACTTTCTTATTTTTCCCTTAATTTCATTATTTACACAGGAGTCATTCAGGAGCAGGTTGTTCAATTTCAATGTAGTTGTGTGTTCTTCAGTGATTTTCTTAATCTTGAGTTCTAATTTGATTGTGCTGTAGTCTGAGAGAATGTTTGTTATTATTTCAGTTCTTTTATATTTGCTGAGGAGTGTTTTACTTCAGATTATGTGATAAATTTTAGTCAATAAAATTTTAGTTAGATAAAATTAAGTGCCATGTGGTGATGAGAAGAATGTATATTCTGTTCTTTCCTTGGTGGAGTTCTGTAGGTATCTATCAGGTCCATTTGATTCAGAGCTGAGTTCAGGTCCTGAATATCCTTGGTAGTTTTCTGTCTCGATGATCTGTCTCATATTGACAGTGGGGTGTTAAAGTCTCCCACTATTATTGTTTGGGAATTTTAAGTCGTTTTGTCTCTAAGAACTTGCTTTATGAATCTGAGTGCTCCTGTATTAGGTGCATATATATTTAGGAGAATTAGCTCTTCTTGTTGAATTGAACCCTTTATCATTCCATAATAACTTTCATTGTCTTTTTTGATCTTTGTTGGTTTAAAGTCTGTTTTGTCAGAAATACTGGAATTGCAACCCCTGTGTTTTCTGTTTTAAATTTGTTTGGTAAATTTTCCTCCATCCTTTTATTTTGGGCCTATGTGTGTCTTTGCATGTGAGATGGGTCTCTTGAAGACAGCATACCAGTGGGTCTTGGCTTTTTATCCAGCTTGCAATTTTGTGTCTTTTAATTGGGGCATTTAGCCCATTTATATTTAAGGTTAGTATTGTTATTTGTGAATTTGATTCTGTCATCATGATGCTAGCTGGTTATTTCGCATACTTGTTTATGTGGTTGCTTCATAATGTCACTGATCTGTGTACTTCAGTGTGTTTTTGTAGTGGGTAGTAATTGTTTTTCTTTTCCATATTTAGTGCTTTGTTCAGGAGCTCTTGCAAGGCAGGCATGGTGGTGGAAATTCCCTAAGCATTTGATTGTCTGAAAAGGATCCTTTTTCTCCTTCACTTATGATGTTTAGTTTGGGCGAATATGCAGTTCTGGGTTGGAATTTCTTTTCTTTAAGAACATTGAATATTGGCCCCTAATCTCTTCTGGCTTTTAGGGTTTTTGCTGAGAGGTCCCCTGTTAGTCTGATGGGCTGCATTTTGTAGGTGACCTGGCCTTTCTATCTGACTGCCTTTAACATTTTTTTCTTTCATTTGTATATTTCAGAATCTGATTATTATGTGTCTTGGGGTTGATCTTCTAATGGAGTATCTTACTGGGGTTCTCTATATTTCCTGGATTTGAATGTTGGCCTGTCTTTCTCTGTTGGGGAAGTTCTCCTGGATGATATACTTAAGTATGTTTTGCAACTTGGTTCCATTCTCCCCATCTCTTTCAGGTACCCTAATGAGTCTTAGGTTCTGTCTTTTTAAATAATTTCATATTTTTTGGAGGTTTTGTTCATGCCTTTTCATTCTTTTTTTTTTTTCTTTCTGTTCTTGTATGCCTGTCTTACGTCAGAAAGACAGTCTTCAAGCTCTGAGATTCTTTTCTCTGCTTGGTCTATAGTTCTCATGTTGTGTTTTTCAGCTCCATCAGGTTGGTTATATTCCTCTCTAAACTGGCTATTCTGGCTATCAGCTCCTGTATTGTTTTATCATGAGTCTTAGCTTCTTTGCCATTGGGTTACCACATGCTCCTTTATCTCAGCAAAGTTTGTTATTACCCACCTTCTGAAGCCTACTTTTGTCACTTCAGCCATCTCAGCCTCAGCCCAGTTTGTGCCCTTACTGGACAGGTGTTGTGGTCATTTGAAGGAGAAGAGCTGTTCTGGCTTTTTGAGTTTTTAGCGTTTTTGTGTTGATTCTTTCTTAGCTTTATGGGCTTACCTACCTTTGGTCTTTGGGGTTGGTGACCTTTGATTTGGGTTTTTATGGGGTCTTTTTTATTGACGTTGTTGTTGTTTTCTGTTTGTTTTTCTTTTAATAGTGATGGCACTGTTTTGTGGGGCTGCTGTGGTTTGCAAGGGTCCCCTTCAGACCCTAGTTGCCTTCGTTTTTCTCCTTCCCAGAGTTATCACCAGTGAAAGCTGTGAACCAGCGAAGATGGCAGCCTTCCCCTTTTTCTGGAAGCTTTTTTTCAGTGGGGCACTGACCTGTTGCTGGCCCAAATATGCCTGTAGGAGGTGACTGGAGACTCCTGCTGGGAGGTCTCACCCAGTCAGGAGGAACAGGATCAGGGATCTGCCTAAAGAAGCAATCAGGTGGCCCTTTGGTAGAGCAGGTGTGCTGCATTCAGGGGTCTCTTCTTTGTCTGGACTGTTCGTATTCTCCAAAGCTGGAATGGCTGAGTCTACTGAACTGCAGAGATAGAGAACCCCTGGGAGCTTCATCCCTGAGAAAGATCAAAGCTCTGTCCGGAGAATCCTTGCTGGAGTGGGTGAAGCCCTCACAGGGAGGTCTTGCCAAGTGAGGAGGAATGAATTGGGTTCCACTTAAAGAAGCAGTCTGGCCATGATCTGTCAAGGCAGCTATGCTGCTCTGTGGGGGACCCCTCCTCATCCAAACTGCCTGTATTCTTCAAAGTTGGCAGGCTGAAATGACTGAGTCTACTGAACCACAGAGATGGTGGTCACCCATCCCCCTGGGAACTCAGTCCTGACTCAGGCAGACTCCAGCCTGCTACTACCAGCTGGCTGGAATTCCAAGCCAGTGGGTCCCAACTTGTGAGGCACCATGTAAGTGGGGCCCACAGAATGATGCCACTTTGCTCCCTGGACTCAGTCCCCTTCCTAGGGGTATTCACAGATGGATCTCCTGCCTTGATGCAGATTCCGGGGCCAAAGTATGCAAAACTCCTGGGTCTCTGTGTGTGTCTAAGCAGCCGCTCTGCCGAAACCTCACATAGCTCAGTGTATTGGACCCAGGACCCTGGTGATGTGGGTTCACGAGGATATCTCCTGATCCATGGGTTGCAAGGATCTGTGGGAGAAACGTGGTTTCCTGGGCAGGTCACACAATCACTGACAGCTTCCCTTTGCTCCGTGCTGCTCCCAGGTGGGCTATCGCCCTACCCTGCTTCTCTTTGTTCTCTGAGGGTCAAGTTGTTTGCTTAGTCAGTTTCAACGTGAGAACTCAGATATTTCAGTTGAAGGTGCTGAACTGACTTGCTCCTTTCATTCCTCTCCTTGAGTGCTGTGGAATGCAGCTGCTTTCAATTGGCTGTCTTAGCTTTCCACAACTGTCTACTTCTAAATCAGTTTCTGACTGTGAATTTTAGATTTTTGTAATATAAAAATATCTTCTCATCTCAGAGAATTAGAAAGTAGTTTTTTCTATATGCTATTTTAGATAAGACTTTATTGAACTCAGCAGAACTAGAAGTAAAGCACTGACTTGATTATTATAGTTATTTCTATACTATTTATTTAAATTCATTTTCAGTCTGGAATAGTTGTTTGCATAATTAACTTATGAATATTTCTAATTTAATATACCTAGTTATTTTAATAGCTATTTTAAGAGAGTTTGGATACCTGCCCTCCCCCACCTCCCATTCCTTTCTCTGCTCCTTTAGGCATAAAGAAATTCATTTGTAAGACTTTTAAAAATACATTCGTAAAACTCTATGTTTAATTTAAAATATTTATGCCTTTACTTCAATATTAAGGAAAAATTAAAAAAAGGAAATCTATTTGCACTTAACTAAATGTAATTGTGTTTAATATAGTATGTTAAAATAATTACTTAAAAATCTTCAATATCAATAAAAATATTCAGAAAACTTCAGGACCAAATCATTGCTTTAAAACAGAGGTAGAATTTTAATATTAGTTTTCTGTTAAGGACAAATGATTCATTTTCTCTTTTTTGTGTAAAATTGATTGAAATGTATAATTTCAATATATGGCAAAGCACTAAGTCTTTCTATATAAAATTCTTATTTTTGGTGTCCATTTTATATGAACACAAATTTGTAAATAGAAATCTCTTCATAGTACAGTGCACTCAGTTGTGCAAACTTATCTTTTTAGGGTCAAAGAAGAACACAAACCACAACTGACACAGTAAGTAAATGTATTAAGAGTGTAGTAGGCTTGACTTCTGTACTTTTGCCACATACTGCTTTCTGGTATTAGCTTACACTAATACTGGATAGGCTGCAGCTAGTGTGTCTTCTGCTTTCTGACTCTCTGGCTTGTAAGAGAGCTGCTTGCAGCTTCTTACATCACCCACATAGTGACTGGATGTAGTTTTTTGCTGCCTGCTTGTGGACTAGTTAAGTGTTCAAATTTAATTTCCCTACATTTTGACTGCCTGGATGATAATTGGAGCTCACATTACCATTGGCTGTAGCTTTTGTGCCTGTGTATTTTTATTATGGATAAGAAAACGTTAACCTACATTGTTATTCATTTGGTTATTCAGTCACATTATTTGCTTATTTAAACAGGTGGTTTCCCTTTAGTGGAATCACTGAACTGGTAAATAACGTTCTTCAGCCCCAGCAAAAACAACAAAATGAAAAGGAGCCCCAGACGTAAGTAAGCTGATCTATATAGACTAAATATTATCTCTGATAGTATAACATACTGAAAAGTATGTGTTAAAATACTGTCCTTGAAATAGTATGCCCTCAGAAAGGAAAATTGTTCGGTTAGGGTTTGATACTGTTACCCTTAATGAAAATCTATAAAGAAGGCAAGGATAATTAATAGGGTAGTAAAAAAGAAGAGGTAATTCCCCCCACCCTGCTATATTTTAGTATAAATAATGTAAGCCATACTTATTCAGTAAAACATCCTTTTCCAACAATGCAATATATAACTAGAGTGTGTTTCTTTCAAAAATTGTTCTAGAGGACATTAAAAGATATTAACCCCCAAATTCAATCTTTAGTCAAATAGTTTTGGAAAGGTTGTTTTAAAAAAGGTTAAGCAAGTTTCTTTATTATAATTATTCTGAGAACCCAAATATGCTCCAAGGGTATTAGAACATACACTGTTTAATACATTTGTTTGACCACTGAATCCTGTTTTTACTAAACATTTCATTAGGTTATGAAACATAATTTGGGAAATGTGGCAATATATTCTCACACTGACCTGAAGCATTAAAGAAGTATTGATTTCATTTTTTTGTTATTAGATTTAAAAACACTGTTTAAAAAGTTGTTCACTTCTGTAGCATTTTAATTTTGTGCAAGCAATATTATTTATGTTGTGAAGTTGAGGTAGCTGAAGATGTGAGAGAGACTGCATATATTTAAATTCCAGTATTCTCCTGACAGTTGTCATAATATTCAGATGTGCTCCAACCACTTAGCCTCTGTGCTTCCTTTTGAATTATGACTTTGGAGAAGCTGGTTTGGTTGTAGGAATGGACAAGTTGACAAGTGACATGGACTCCAGGAGAGAATGAGAATGACGAGTATGATGAAACACTCAGAAAAACATTCATATTTTGCCTTTAATGCAGAGTAAAAGATAAACATCTTTTATGTCTTGTTGCTATTGATGAGGATAATCTCATGCATTTTATGCTACTTTGCATACATTTTATGTTATATTTTGTCAGGGTTTTCATTTCAACTGAAGTAAAAGTATGATATGTACTCTTCCTAATAGTTAATATGTAGTTCTCAAATTGGAACTTCTCCTGTACTTAAGGTCGTTGAAGTAGGGCCAGTATTTGTCTTGCCTACTGTTTTATTCTTGGCATTTAGCAGAATGCCTAATACATAGTAGGAACTCAATAAATATTTCTTCACAATTGATTTTTCATATTTTATCCTTTTATGATACAGGAATTTTATGACATAAGGAGTAAAATTAAATTTAACAATTGCTTTTCTAACTAGCAAGCATTATATTAAAATGCCACACAATGTCATTGTTTTGCTTTTTCACTATGGCACTGAAGCTTAAAATAAAATGGAGAAACCAATAACAAAATATAATTAGATGTAATTTTGTCTTGGTTTTAAATGACTTCAGTTAATGTATCTTGTGTGTGAGGTTTTGAAAATAATCAAGACTGTGCCATATTATGTATTAATTACCATGGCCATTAAATAAAATGACATATTTTGTGAGTAACTTTTAAAAAATGATATTTAGATTATTGTAACAAAGTGACATTTGATTGGCATAAACACAAAAGAAATCACTTTAATAATAAATATAATCCAATCTGCTTTGATTTTTGTATAGGAAGATGGTAGAAAAAATTAGCACTTTTAGATGATTTAAAAATTAATTCTTGATTAATTGGTATTATTTCAGTTAAGATTTCTTTGACAACTAATTCATTCTTGCTCTGTGATTTATGTAGTTTTAAAAATTCAGAATCAATAGATTCTCTTAATAGCTACATTCTTCATCTTACATTCTTGTTACATTGAAGATTTTTGGTATGTAATTTTCTAGAAGCCTTCCTTTTATCTTTCTGAACCACAGACCAGGGTTACTTCTGAATGCCCTTTAATTCACTTACTCTCTATTCGGATTTATAAGGCTTCTTCTTTCTGGCTTATCTTATTTCTTTCTCAATATGAATACTATGTGAGTGGGATAACTTCCTATCTGCTTACTTTCTATTATTCATCCATAAAATTATTTTTGGAAGCTGAATTCCAGGTATTCATTTTAAGTTTTAAATGTTAAAAAGTAAGTTTTTCATATTTTGTGCAAATACTTTCATAGTAGAATAACGAAATATTCTACCAGATAGCTAGTATTAAAAATCTATTATGTTTCCTAAACACTAGTTCATTTTAATCCATTTATATAAATTCCATTTTGCGGTTGTTGAAAAATCTAATGATGATGTAGGCTTCTTGAGGTCTGTATTTTTGAGGTTTGTTCATTTCATATTCTTTAGCATAATAGGAAGATTTACTAATTTTGATTTTGGCAATTGATGTGAAATTATAGATATAAGTAGACTACTGTATATTCAACTTTGACTTTTCCTGAGATTTGAGGCATAGAAAATTGAATGAGCCATTTGTTTTAGTTGCCAGTTAATTCACCCTTTGTAGAAACTGCTTAATATATAAATTAAATAATTTTAATATTACTTTCTCTTTTCTTTTGCTATTTTTTGCATCAGCATTAAAATGAGGGAAAGTTTTCTGCAAAGAGAATATCACATAACATAGGTTTTATGTAAGGTATAAAACAAGCCTCTGGATAATTAAAGATGGAAATACTAGGAAAAATGATAAATGCCTTATAATGCAACTGTCATTTTAACTTTGTATCTGCAATACATAGCAAAATGGTAAAGGTAATTAAAAAAAGTTTCCAATGCAAATACATTAAACTAATCAATTGGATTACTTTACTTTGAATTTTATATTTTAGTTTTATTTATGTTTTGCTATGATTAATAAATGTACTTTTGAAATACTAGAGAAATCTAAAATTTGAATTATTGGAATTAGATAACCACCTAATATAGTAATCCTCTTTGGCTGTGAGGTCTTTTAATAGAAACAAAATGTTAAAGGGAAGAGTGTTTTAAGCATAGGGAACATGATATGTGAGAGTCTTTAAGTAGCAAGGGACACAAAGAAGACCAAGATGGGTGTAGTATAGTAGATGAGAGGGAGTGTGGCAGGAGATGAGGTTCCAGAGGTAGGACTCAGATAGGGCAGTGGTTTTACAGAGAATGATAAGGAGTTTGAATCTGAGTCTCAGTATACAGGGAAGATATTGAAGAGATTTAAACATGGGAGTGACATGATTTACTTTATGTATAAAGAACATATTGACTGCTCTATAAGTAGCATGAGTGAGAATAGAAATGGAGAGAGCAATGGAAGAGGCCTTTTTTGAGGACTTTGCTAGTGATAGTGATAACCTGGACCACACTGATTACAGTGAATACAGTGAAGATGGAGAGAAGTAAATTGAGAATATATTTGAAGATTGAAATGATATGATTTGTCAGAGGAGAAGATTTAGAAGTTGTTGAAGAAGGGAAAAGAACCAAAGATGACTCCTGGGTTTCTAGTTGAAAGAACTAATTGGGTCGTGATGTTATTAAATATGATCAAGAAGAGGAGAAGATTAACAGGTTGGAGGTATAAACTAAAACTTACATTTTGAACTTTTAAAATTTAAGATGCTTATAATTATCCAGCATTAAAGGAGAGAGATGGACTGGCCAGAGATATATTTTTGAGAGTGGTTAGTATGGCACATAAAGCTAGAAAAATGCATAAAATAACCTAGAGAGAGAGTGTGTGATAAAGAGCAGACACAAAGATTGGTTAAGCTCTGAAAAATCCTTATACCTATCCTGGGTCCTGAGATAAAAAGACTGTGGTTCCTACTCTCAAATAGTTCATGGTTAAGTGGGAAAAACAGACAAGCTGATAAGTAATTAAAAACAGTTCTGTGGGGACTTCTGGTTTGATTTTTGATATGTGAAAGAGCATGAAAGTTGTCACTGCTATTCTCATAACAAGAAAAATGCTGAACTGAAAACCAACAACTTTTCTTAAATCCATCAGAAAATTGAGGTCACAGGGCAAATCAAGCCATGAGTAGTGGAGAGAGAGGCAAATACAAAGAGTAAGTTTACTGGGTGAAGAAACCACAGATTCTGTTAGGAAAACTTAAACTATAATTGATGAACTGCTGGAAGCTGAATGTGGACTAACTTAAAAGTTAAAACTTCTTGCGGTCCTAGCCTTAGGGAAGCCCCCACAATTTTAAGGTTTTACTTCTGGGAGTACCATCAAGCTCTGAAAGTGAAGATCAGAGAAAAGTCCCCTCATGCCTCCAGCTGGGGGAGGGGAAAGTAACCATTCTGAAATAGCCCAGGGAAGGAGTAACCATTTTGACATACTCCCAGAACTTTCTGTTCCCCACCTTCCCTCAAGAGAAACAACTTTACCAGAGCTGAATCAATATGAGAAAAGGAAAATAACTCCAGTCTTTAGATTTTCCGCCTCACCTAAGGGGGACAAGAAGCTGAGAATCACTTTCAGAGTCACAGCCCAAGAGCACAGGTTCACTAAAGACCAAAACCTATTCATAGGAGTAGGTTTCTCTTCCAAGTGGCAATTCAGAGATTTAGGCTGCTGCTCTCTTGTAAGCCATCTGGAACACATAGCTTCCAGGGTTGCTACACCAGTGGAAGAGAGATAATGGAGAACTCACACTTATTCTTAATTATGTAAGACAGAAGTGTCATAGGTCACTTTTGCTCACAGATTATTGCCTAAAACTTCTCACAAGGCACTATCCTCTATATAATGAGTTCTAGTAACACCTACAGTTAGTTTACATTTGATTCTTATTTACTGCAATGAGACAGAAATTTTAGGATGCCAAAAGATAAAGATTTCCCAAAAGAATAGTTACTGTAGCAAGGATTGCCCTGTCAACAAAATTTTTCTGGAAAGGAATTTTGAGGAAAGAGACTTTGTTTGCAAATGGGGTAGACATAGTTTTCAATGATAGAGGAAGGTGCATTCCAGAAAGCAAAGGGAGGATCTGATTTTATAGCAAACGTTCCTGCCCATGTTTTTAATCCAGTTTCTTTATGAAAATGAAGGATTCAAACTTGCTTCATTCTCATTGGTTAACACAGCTCAGTTCTGACTGGTTGATACAGCTGGGTTCTGATTGGTTGGTATAGCTGAGCCCTGATTACTTGGTTTAGGTGAGCACAAAGTTCAATAGAGGTGTGGGTTTTCTGGAAACTCAGAGTATGTGATGACCTCTAGTTAGCAAATGGCAGCTTGGCTGTATTTAAAATCTAGACCCAGTTAGCCACTTGAGTTCCACCTTGAAGGATTAACTCTTTCAGGTTCACATTTGTTCACAACTCCGATACCGTAGTTGCTTCTACTGTAACTGCTATAATGACTAGGATCAAGGTCTAATTTTTACAAGACTGAAGGTTAGGTTATAACGTGAAGAAAATTCAAATATACAAGTGTCCTCTGGAAGGAAATTTGCTATTTGTAGTGTTTTAAGTAACAGCTATTAGGTTGGTGCAAAAGTAAATTACTTTCAATGCCAAAACTGCAATTACCTTGCACCAACCTAATATTAAGTTTTGTCAGTGAGATAACAGGGAGATTTTTGCCTTCTCTTAGGTGGTAATGAAAGACTAATGGAGATAAAGAACGTGATAACACTGGCCGTATGTGAATGTATACACATATTCTGAGAAGCCTTTAGTTGATCACTAGGGATGCCAAAGCACAATAATAAATAAGATTACAAGTAAACAAAATTGTTTTAGAAAGGAGGAGCAGAGATACCAGAAGAATTACAATCTTCTGTTCTTGGGTGGAAGCTGTATACTTTGGTTTGTCATTTGCTTGATCCAGGAGTCATTAGCTGTTTTTTTCCAAAGATCATCTGCTTCTGGAAGCTTCTTAAGACTCCTGTTTAAGGACTCCCAGTGGAGAAGATTTTCAAGCCCAGGGAAAATGGTGTGTATCTTTTTAGTTGTGAAACATGAATTCAAGGGTCAACGTTTTGGAGCTTTTAATGGAAGTGCTAATTATTAGCATGACTTACCACACTCTTTTCATGAAGTGTCCAGGACAGTTTTTCTCCCTTGTCTCCTCCAGAGTACTAAATGTGCAGATCTCAGGTCATAGAGAGTTGCTTAGAAGGATGTTTTGGAAAGACTGCTTTTACCTGTTGATGACAAGACTGAGTGTATCACATGATTTCTTTGCTGTGTCTACTCATGTTAGCTTGCAATAGCAGAATATAGGATCAAAGGTGAAATTTAAAAATATGTGGGGCAGTCCATTATTCATTCACAAGGAGAGAGCAGATGGGTCCCCAGAAATGTTTATCTTTTTGTTTTGAAGGCTAATGCTGATAGAAATCGAAGAGTCCTTGAGGATATTTAATTTTAATTTTTAAAGTTCACTTGTTCTACTTTTTCTGAAGATTAAGAATGATATAGACAAAAGATTGTTTTTGTAAGCTGTGTGCTTCTTATGGTGCTTGACTGGTCAAAGAAGTTGATATGGAGGCAGTCACAGTGGTGCCTGTGGGGACAGAGGAGGGAATGGGTGAAGAGGAGCAAGACTCTGGCACTACCACGGGCTGCGGGCTGCCTAGTGTAGAGAAAATGCTGGCCACCAACCCGGGCAAGACCCCAATCAGCCTTCTGCAGAAGTATGGTACCAGAATAGGGAAGAACACCTGTGTACTACCTTCTCAAAGCCGAGGGCCCACCAGCCTAATTTCACCTTCTGGGTCTGTTGGCAACACCAGCTGCACTGCTCAGGGCCCCAGGAAGAAGGTAGTCAAGCACAAGGCAGCTGAGGTGGCCCTCAGACACCTCAAAGTGGAGAGCATGTTGGAGCCGGCCCCGGAGGACAGCAGTTCTTTTTCTCCCCTAGACTCTTCACTGCCTGAGGACTTTCCAGTTTTTACTGCTGCAGCAGCTGCTACCCCAGTTTCATCTGTTTTCCTAACCAGGAGCACCCCCATGGAAAAGCAGCCCCCGCTCCTCCCTTCAGCAGTCGGAGTGCATCCCTGTTGGTGCTCTTCAGAAACTGGTGGTGCAGAAAGGCTGGTGGTTGCCAGAGCACACAGTGACCTAGGAGTCCAGGCCAGATCAACACGAAGAATTGACCTGACGAGTGGAGCGTTTCACTGAGATTGGCAGTGGCACTTCCAAAAAATCAACAAGTTGTAATGCAGTGACCAAAATGCTGCTTCGAGTGCACACGGTGTCTGTGGATGCCTGGGATGGCAATGAGGCAGAGCCTGATGATGACTACTTCTCCATTGATGTGGGCTCCCGCCTGGATGGTCTTCAGAACCGGGGCCCAGGCCGCACCTGAGATTTTCTACCAAATTCATTGGAGAGAAGATCCTGTCCTTCTGCAATTGCTCCCTGGGCTCCATAGGTGCCCTGGGCCCTGCCTGCTGCCGTGTCCTCAGTGAGCTCTCTGAAGAGCAGGTCTTCCACGTCAATTACCTGGATGTTGAGGAGCTGAGCCTGAGTAGACTCTGCCAGTGTCTGGTGGAACTGTCCTTCCAGCTGGCCACTGCATATCATGGCTCTGCAACCACCAGGGAGGCAGCCCGTGGTGAGGCTGCTTGCCGTGCCCTGCAGTACCACAAGATCATGGCGGGCAGCAAGTGAAGCGCTAGCTGGACTCATGGATGTGCACCCTTTGCTTCCTGCTATTCCTGCCTCTGTGCTCACGTATCTGCTCAGCTCTGGTACCTTCTGTAGGTGCCATCTCTACCTCTGACACAGACTGTCTGCCTCGAGGCTGAGAAGGCACAGGGCAAGGAGCCAAGGACCTCAGGGCCTCAGCCAGCCCGGAATCTGTCCTCATTTTATTGGTGATGATGAGTGGGAATGAAATCAGGGGGCTGTATACTAGGGCCCGGAATAAACATGCTGCTTCGTGGATAAAAACAAAAACAAAAACAAAAACAAAAAAACAAATCTGATACGGAGTTGTGAAATGGTAAAGGCAGTTCCTGGACATAGATGTGTTTCCAGGTCTAACATAGATAATCTTTAATCTGAATAATGTAAAATTGCCAGAATCTTTCTCATACCTTAGAATCATATTAAATGCTGTGTGGCTCAAGGCAGGGATAAGTAAATAAACTTTTAAAATGACAAATGATAGGTTGCTCAGAAAAGGATACTTAGAAAAATTGATAAAAGCAGCAAAGTACTTATTGCTAAGTAATATAAAACTTAAGTAAAACTTATAAGTAATATAAAAAATGAAAAGTGCACAGATTGAAGGTATAGAAAGTAGCACTGAGATCAAGAAGCAGAACATTAACAGCCATGCAGGATTTCCTCATGCTCCCTTTCAGGGAGAACTATTTCCCATCTCCAAGGGTAACTTTTATCCTTTTGCCTAGCACCACTATTTTCTGTCCAGCACCATTATTTTGGCCTATTTTTATTTAGAGTTTACAGAAAGAATCATACAATGTATTCTATTGGTTCTGTATTGTTTTGCTCAATATAATGTCTGTGAGATTCAGCTATATAATTGCATGCAATTGTATTTCATTCATTCTCAGTGCTGTCTGTACTTCAGTATCTGAATATACCACATTTTATTGATCAGTTTTACTATTGATGTGCGTTTGAGTTTGTTTCTAATTTTTGCCTATTATGAATAGTGCTGCTGTATACATTCTGATGTCATTATTTTTTTTCCTATGACTTTGGAGGAGAATTTTGGAGTTATTTGTGAAAGTAAAGTACTTCAGCTACTTCAAAATACTTTAAAATATTAAAGCTAGTTGCTCTCTAATTTCCCTAATTTCCCATTTAGTTATTTGGTAATACTATAAATGCTGTTTTTTGTTTTTTTTTTAAGACAGAGTCTCGCTCTGTCACCCAGGCTGGAGTGCAGTGGCGTGATCTTGGCTCACTGCAACTTCTGCCTCCCGGGTTCAATCAATTATCCTGCCTCAGCCTCCCGAGTAGCTGGGATTACAGGCACACGCCGCCACCCCTGGCTGATTTTTTTGTATTTTTAGTAGAGATGGGGTTTCACCGTGTTTCCCAGGCTGGTTTCAAACTTCTGAGCTCGGGCAATCTGCCCGCTTGGTCTCCCAACGTGCTAGGATTACAGGCGTGAGCCACTGCATCTAGCCTAGATGCTGTTTTTTGAGCATGCCTTACCATTTGATGTTTTGGTGCCTTTGCATCTGGCCTAGAAAGGGAGAAAAGGAGTGATATGATATGATTTGTTCTAAAATACAATTTTGAAATTTCACTTGTTATTTCTACTTTTTCTGAAGATTGAGAAAGATACAGAGAATGATATTGAGAATGATATAGACCTGGGGTGTCCAATCTTTTGGCTTCCCTGGGCTACATTGGAAGAAGAATTAATTGTCTTCGGCCACACATAAAATACAGTAACACTAATGATAGCTGATGAGCTAAAAAAAGTTTCCAAAAATCTTATAATACTTTAAGAAAGTTTACAGATTTTTCTTGGGCTGTATTCAAGGCTGTCCTGGGCCTCATGTGGCCCATGGGTCCCAGGTTAGACAAGCTTCATATAGACAGAAGATGTTTTTGTGTAAGCTATGTGCCTCTTATGGTGGTGATCTCTTCTAAAATACAAATCAGATCATATCACTGTGCATCATATAGTAGTAGGAAGTTTACAGTTAACGACATCAGTTGAGATTAAGTGCAATTAAATTTACACAAATTGTAAAAAATGTAAATATTGTTATCAGAGTTTTTTCTTTTTATGTTTTGTGTGAAAAACACATATTCTTATACCCAGGCAACAGTGGATAAAAGTGTTTTTACTCTCCAATGTCTTTTTCAAAGAAGTACTTTTTTTGTTCAAGCAGAAAGCAGTTACAGGTGGAATATTTACAATGAACTCAAATTATTCTTCTATTTATCACCATATTTTTATTTCAGAATTGAGTTGATACTTTTCTTCAAGAAGCAAATTTCAGAGAAGAAATGAAACACCTTTTCCCTTTGGAGTCAGAAGAGTCTATCTATCTATCTATCTATCTATCTATCTATCTATCTATCTATCTATAGTCTTATAAATATAGTCATTCTCTAGTGTCAATAACAAGCTACAAGTGTAATTTTTACATATTTTTAATGTCAGTCTCTAATATCAATATTTTATTTTGTGAACAGAATAATAATGTCAGCTCTGAAGATTCTGTATCTAGCGACTACATAAATTTTTCTGGAGCAGGCCAGGCACAGTTGCTCACGCCTGTAATCCTAGCACTTTGGGAGGCCCAGGCAGGCGAATCATCAGGTCAGGAGTTCGAGACTAGCCTGGCTAACATGGTGAAACCCCGTGTCTACTAAAAATACAAAAAATTAGCTGGGCATAATGGCACGTAACTGTAATCCAGCTACTCAGGGGGCTGAGGCAGGAGAATTGCTTGAATCTGGGAGGCAGAGATTGCAGTGAGCTGAGATTACACCACTGCACCCTAGCCTGGGTGACAGAGTGTGAGATTCTGTCTCAAAAAAAAAAAAAATTTTTTTTCTGGAGGAAAAGACTCTCTTAATTTAATTGCCTTTTCAATACAGTTTTAGTTATGGTGGCATTATAAAACAGAGAAACAAAGCCATTTGTATTAAGGAGGTGTGTTACAATAGAAATAAAGGGTATTCAGTTAGGAAAAGAGGAAGTCAAATTGTCTCTGTTTGCGGATGACATGATTATATATTTAGAAAACCCCATCGTGTCAGCCCCAAATCTCCTTAAGCTGATAAGCAAATTTAGCAAAGTCTCAGGATACAAAATCAATGTGCAAAAATCACAAGCATTCCTATACACCAATAATAGACAAACAGCCAAATCATGAGTGATCTCCCATTAACAATTACTACAAATAGAATAAAATACCTAGGAATCTAACCTACAAGTGATGTGAGGGACCTCTTCAAGGAGAACTACAAACCACTGCTCAACGAAATAAAAGAGGACACAAACAAATGGAAGAATATTCCATGCTCATGGATAGGAAGAGTCAATATTGTGAAAATGGCCATACTGCCCAAGGTAATTTATAGATTCAATGGTATCCCCATCAAGCTACCACTGACTTTCTTCACAGAATTGGAAAAAAACTACTTTAAAGTTCATATGGAACCAAAAAAGAGCCCGCATAGCCAAGACAGTCCTAAGCAAAGAGAGCAAAGCTGGAGGCATCACACTACCTGACTTCAAAGTATACTACAAGGCTACAGTAACCAAAACAGCATGGTACTGGTACCAAAACAGTTATGTAGACCAATGGAACCAAAGAGAGGCCTCAGAAATAACACCATACATCTACAACCATCTGATCTTTGACAAAGCTGACAAAAACAATGGGGAAAGGATTCCCTATTTAATCAATGGTGCTGGGAAAACTGGCTAGCCATATGTAGAAAGCTGAAACTGGATCCTTTCCTTACACAGTATAAAAAATTAATTCAAGATGGATTAAAGACTTCAATGTAAGACCTAATACCATAAAAACCCTAGAAGAAAACCTAGGCAATACCATTCAGGACATAGGCATGGTCAAAGACTTCATGACTAAAACACCGAAAGCAATGGCAACAAAAGCCAAAATAGACAAATGGGATCTAATTATACTAAAGAGCTTCTGCACAGCAAAAGAAACTATCATCAGAGTGAACAGGCAGTACAGAATGGGAGAAAACCTTTGCAATCTACCCATCTGACAAAGGGCTAATATCCAGAATCTACAGAGAACTTAAACAGATTTACAAGAAAAAAAACAACAACCACATCAAAAAGTGGATGAAGGATATGAACAGACACTTCTCAAAAGAAGACATTTATCTGGCCAACAAACATGAAAAAAAGCTCATCATCACTGGTCATTAGGGAAAAGCAAATCAAAACCACAGTGAAATACCATCTCATGCCAGTTAGAATGGCAATCATTAAAAAGTCAGGAAACAACAGATGCTGGAGAGGATGTGGAGAAATAGGAACACTTTTACACTGTTGGTGGGAGTGTAAATTTGTTCAACCATTGTGGAAGACAGTGTGACAATTTCTCAAGCATCTAGAACTAGAAATGCCATTTGACCCAGAAATCCTATTACTGGGTATAAGCCCAAAGGATTATAAATCATGCTATTATAAAGACACATGCACATGTATGTTTATTGTGGCACTATTCACAATAGCAAAGACTTGGAACCAACCCAAATGTCCATCACTGATAGACTGGATTAAGAAAATGTGGCACATATACACCATGGAATACTATGCAGCCATAAAAAAGGATGAGTTCATGTCCTTTGCAGGGACATGGATGCAGCTGGAAACCATCATTCTAAGCAAACTATCACAGGGACAGAAAACCAAACATCGCATGTTTTCACTCATAGGTGGGAGTTGAACAATGAGAACACATGGACACAGGGTGGGGAACATCACATACCAGGGCCTGTCTGGGCATGGGAGCCTGGGGGAGGGATAGAATTAGGAGAAATACCTAAAGTAAATGACAAGTTGATGGGTGCAGCAAACCAACATGGCACATGTATATCTGTGTAACAAACCTGCACGTTGTGCATATGTACCCTAGAACTTAAAGTATAATGAAAAAATGTGTATTAGAGATTCTTTCATAGTTCATAAGTGTGATTGGGTGTTTAACGCTCATTTGAGATGTTCCTCCCTCAAACCTTGGTATTATGTTTGCACATTACACATCTGATGTTAAAAAAAGAAATGTGTGAAAGATAAAGGATTAATATTGATAAAGAACTTCATGTGACTTCTGGCATCAAGTCTTTTTTACCCAGTAGTTCAGAAATGGTTTTGAGATATGCTATGAGTCTAAAAAGAATTAATCAAATATCTGACCTATTCAAGATAGGTTTGTAATCTTTCTCAACATTGTCTTACTGATTTCTATAACTTGTGATGTTACAATCTTAATTGGATATTAGATAATATGGGAAATAATTCTTAGTATTCTACCTCACGCTGACTTTCCAGCTTCTTCTATTGTATTTTCCTCCCTGTTTTCCCCCCATGCATACCTTATTCCAAATGAGAATACTTTCAACTTCCTGAATTTTCCATTTGCTTTCATACTTTGCATGTGAAAAAATGTAAGCCTGAAATTTATTCTTCATTTTATGCCTATCACAATTTTGCATGTCTTTCATGGCCCAAATGCTTATAAAACTAAAAAATGTTTTTCTTCTATGAAGTTTTATCAACACCATTCACAACTAATGCCTCTTTTCCTTATGCTCCAGTAACAGTTTTCTTATATATTAATACTTATTTAGTACATATTTCAGTTGACTTGTTAGAAGAAAAACTTCAGACAAATTAAATTTAACAGAGTTTAATTGAGGAAAGAATGATTCCTGAATCAGGAATCCCCTGAACCAGAATAGATTCAGAGAGACTTTGGCACTGCCACATGGTCAGAGAGGATTTATGGACAGAAAAAGGAAAATGATGTACAGAAAATGAAAATGAGGTACAGGAATAGCTGGATGTGTTGCAGTTCAGCATTTGCTACAGTTGAACAGTTGGTCACCTGTTATTGCCTGAAACTCAGTGATTGGTACAAGAGTAAGTTGCAGTCTGTTTATACATCTAGTTAGATTACAGTTCACTATGTACAGAGAAACCTTTAGGCCAAACTTATAATGAGGGCAGTTTTAGGCTAAGCCTAATTTAACAATTCCCTTCATTTGGTCAACCGGAGAGGTTGACCAAAACTTTATGCGTTGACATCATTCTTTTGCCATGATAAATGTATTTACTTGGTCTCAAATCTCACTAGAAAATAGCAGAACAGTGGGTTTTGTAAGTCCTTGTAAACAGGACTTTAACTTACTTTTTTGTAAAAGGTAGCCTAGAGGAGACTTCCTTATTATGCTGGAATGTCCTGTTTTCAAGAGAGAAAAACATTTCTGGTCTTTTTTGGGGGGCTATCTGCTTCTTTAAAGTTTCAATTTGATTATGTTGCATTTAGCATGAGTGACTCCATCTTGATTTGATCTGGTCTGGTCTGTTAAGGCCTAGTGTATGAGCTCAGTCCAAAACAATGACCTCCCATAATTTTGTTTAACTCATCCTTTTGGTCAGGTTTTTACGTAGGTGAGAGTGTGAGCAAAGCTTAGGGCATTAGCACTACTCTTAGTTACCATCATTTAGGGTTTCCAGTCACAGTGTGTCGTTCATAGGTTATGGTGTTCTCATAATCATGCATTTCTTTGAGTTTTTGTTGTTCCAGTTGAAGAGAAACCATTTGACATTCTATAGATGACTGTATGCAAACATTTAAAACTTTTGAGAGAATACAGTGCACCAGGGAGATGACTATTATGACTGTCAGGAGGATAATACCAAGAGTTTGGAGTATGCCTTAGCTGGGATCCTCATGAACCAAACCAGCTAAAATCAAAGACCAAAGAATAAGCTAGATAAAGCATCTGTTTGTTTCAACCAAGCAACCTATTTGTTAATCCCCTACAACAGAATCTCTATAATACATAATGTATGTGTCATGTGCAACAAGAAGTGTCAGTAACTTCACAGATACTTCTCTGTTCAGCAGTAAGTTATAATTTTATTGGATGTAGCATAACTTCAGCAAGAGAATTTAAAGAAGCTTTTTGTGCACCCATAGTCTTTGCAGTAGAATCTGCTGTAGAACCTGTTATAAGGAATAAATTTTTAATCATTGCCTCATTTACTCCAAACTGTGTAAAAAGAGACCGCCCATCTGGAATAATGAAGGCCTTCTGGCAGTTTTCTCTTGAACTGATGACGTAGGTTAAGAGGAGTGGACCACTGTTCTGTCTCTGACATTATGAAGCAACAAAGATATTAAAATTTCTTGAACACGTTGTTTTTCATCTTTCATGTATCAAAGCATAGGTTGTCCATAAATAAGGTTGGCTGCAAAATCCCCCACAAATAAAAGTATACTTCATGAGTGCACACAAACCCCTTTTCCAGTGGTATTGCTCATAGAGGTATAAGCAAGGAAAAAATTGAGAAGTAAGAGTTTCATGATAGCAGAGAAGTCTTGATCTGTGATCTTTGGAAAGCTGTCTGAATCTGGGATGTCATCTGCTTCTAGGGAGAAACTTCTGTGGTTAGCTTTACCTTAAGGTCTCCAATGGGTGTATAGTTCCAAGAGTCTGTAGGGGATCTTCTGAGTTGTGAGATTACAAGCTTAAGGTTCACAGTCCCACAGTTTTGTTGCAGTGTGGGTGGCAGGGGCAGTCTTTCCTTGATGTTTCCAGAAGACCAAATCTCTGAGTTTTAGATCACCTGGGTTTGATTGTCCTCTGTTGGGGGACCATGACAAACTTTCTTTAACCTGGTGAAAATACACTTTGGCATAATACATTAAAGCCTGGTAGAATTTAGTCATATTAGAGTTTAGGAATGGAAGATACATGAGGTTCTATTATTAGGAGCATAGGCCTTCCAGTGACTATTTCATAAGGGATCAACTTATATTTTCCTCTGGAACTAGATCTGATTGTTATCAATCTGCAATATCTTTGACCAAGGCAACCTAGTTGATTCAATTAGTTTTGCTTAATGTTACTGTATTTGTAATACCTTATTTATTTTACTTGTCCAGTGAAACAAGTACCTTTATCACTAGAGACTTTTCCAGGAATGTCCCATGAGGGAAATACATTTTCTGATAACCTTTTAGCTACTGTTATAGGATTAACCTTCTTGTATGAGAAAGCTTCTGTATAACCAGAATATATGCATTGAAAACAACAATGGAATGAAATCTTTCTATGTTCAAATGGCCAATCAGGTAGCAGAAATATACCTGAAGTATATTTGTCACAAGTCATTTTGGTAATTTAGAAGAGTCACCACACCAGTTTGTAAGTGTGTGTGTGTGTGAGTGTGTGCATGCATGTGTGTATTCTATTTGGATCATTTTATCTCCTCCATGGTGAGTCATGGAGTATAGACGATTTATTTATTTATTTATTTATTTATTTATGTATTTATTTATTTAGAGATGGAGTCTTGCTCTGTCACCTAGGCTGGAGTGTGGTGGCACAGTTGTAGCTCAGTGTAGCCTTGAACTCCCGGGCTCAAGCAATTCTCCCACCTAAGCCTCCTGAGAAGCTGGGATTATGGGTAGAAGCCACAATGCCCAGCTAGAGCTTTTAATAATGGAGGTTTAAGGATTTAGGAATTACAGGTGACTGTCCAGCCTCTCTCTGTGAGTCTACATTTAACATTGGATTTATATTCTCTTAAATACCAATTTTGTTTCTCCAAATTAAGTGTGTAGCATTGTTTTCTAGATGGATTATCATAGTTTGTTAGTCTGTTTTCACGCTGCCGATGAAGATATACCCAAGACTGGGTAATTTATAAAGGAAAGAGGTTTAATGGACTCATAGTTTGATGTGGCTGGGGAGGCCTCACAATCATGGTGGGAGGCAAAAGGCACATCTTACATGGTGGCAGGCAAAGAGAGAATGAGAGCCATGCGAAAGTGTTTCCCCTTATGAAACCATCAGATCTCGTGAGACTTATTCATTACCAAGAGAACTGTATAGGGAAAACTGCCCCCATGATTCAGTTGTCTCCCCCTGGGTTCTTCCCAAAACGTGGGAATTATGGAAGCTACAATTCAAGATGAGATTTGGGTGGGGACATAGCTGTACCATATCACTTCATCCCTGGCCACTTTCAAATCTCATGTCCTCATATGTCAAAACCAATTATGCCTTCCCAACAGTCCCTCAAAGTCTTAACTCATTTCACCATTAACTCAGAAGTCCACAGTCCAAAATCTCATTTGAGACAAGGCAAGTCCCTTCCACCTATGAGCCTGTAAAATCAAAAGTAAGTTAGTTGCTTCCTAGATACAGTGGGAGTATAGGCATTGGATAAATACAGCCATTCCCAATGGGAGAAATTGGCCAAAACAAAGGGGCTACAGGCCCCATGCAAGTCTGAAATCCAGTGGGACAGTCAAATCTTAAAGCTCCAAAATGATTTCTGTTGACTCCATGTGGCTCACATCCAGGTCACACTGATGCAAGAGGTAGGTTCTCATAGTCTTGGACAACTCTGCCCTGTGGCTTTGCAGGGTACAGAGCCCCTTCCGGCTGCTTTCATGGGCTGGCACTGAGTGCCTGTGGCTTTTCCAGGTGCACAGTGCAAGCTGTCAGTGGATCTACCATTCTGGGGTCTGGAGGATGGTGGCCCTCTTCTCACAGCTCCACTAGGCAGTGCCCCAGTGTGGACTCTGTGTGGGAGCTCCAACCCCACATTTCCCTTCTGCACTGCCATAGTAGAGGTTCTTATGAGGGCCCTGCCCCTGCAGCAAACTTCTGCCTGGACATCTAGGCGTCTCCATACATCCTCTGAAATCTAGACAAAGGTTCCCAAACCTCAATTCTTGACTTCTGTACACCCTCAGGCTCAACACCAGGTGGAAGCTGCCAAGGCTTTGGGCTTGCACCCTCTGCAGCCATAGCCCAAGCTGTACCTTGGCCCTTTTTAAACATGGCTAGAGCAGCTGGGATGCAGGGCACGAAGACCCTAGGCTGCACGCAGCAGGGGGACCCTGGGCTGAGCCCACAAAACCATTTTTTTCCTCCTAGACCTCTAGACCTGTGATGGAAGGGGCTGCTGCAAAAGTCTCTGACATGCTCTGGAGATATTTTCCCCATTGTCTTGGCAATTAACATTTGGCTCCTCGTTACTTAAGCAAATTTCTGCATCTGGCTTGAATTTCTTCATAGAAAATGGGTTTTTCTTTTCAGTCGCATTGTCAGGCTGCAAATTTTCTGAACTTTTATGCTGTTTCCCTTTTAAAACTGAATGCTTTTAACAGCACCCAAGTCACCTCTTGAATACTTTGCTGCTTAGAAATTTCTTCTGCCAGGTACCCTAAATCATCACTCTCAGGTTCAAAGTTCCACAAATCTCTAGGGCAGGGACAAAATGTTGCCAGTCTCTTTGCTAAAAAATAACAAGAGTCAGCTTTGCTCCACTTCCCAACAAGTTACTTATCTCCATCTGAGACTACCTCAGCCTGGATTTCATTGTCTATATCATTATCAGCATTTTGGTCAAAGCCATTCAACAAGTCTCTAGGAAGTTCCAAACTTTCCCACATTTTGCTGTCTTCTTCTGAGCCGTCCAGACTGTCCAAATCTCTGGACTGTTACCCAGTTCCAAAGTTGCTTCCACATTTTCAGGTACCTTTACAGTAGCACCCCACTCTAATGGTACCTGCTTACTGTATTAGTCCATTTTCATGCTGTTGATAATGACATACTTGAGACTGGGTAATTTATGAAGGAAAGAGGTTTAATGGACTCATGGTTCCACGTGCCTGGGGATGCCTCACAATCATGGTGGGAGGCGAAAGGCACGTCTTACATGGTGGCAGGCAAAGAGAAAATGAGAGCCATGCAAAAGTGTTTCCCCTTATAAAACCATCAGATCTTGTGAGACTTATTCACTACCATGGGAACAATATGGGGGAAACCGCCCTCATGATTCAGTTATCTCCCACCGAGTGCCTCCCAAAACGTGGGAATTATGGGAGCTACATTTCAAGATAAGATTTGGGTGTGGACACAGCCAAACCATATCACATTGGTAATTTGACTTGCATCATGGAGTTCATTCGAATAGCACATCTTAATAATTTCAGTGCTGGCTGATTTATTATGAAAACCTGGCAAAGTATTTTCTTGGTATTCAATTAATTATTGTCCTCCTTGGATTAGCAGTTTTATAAATCAGTTAGTCTTTTCATTGGAGTACTAGGAATCCTTACTTAGTCCAAATGATATGATCCTAAAGTCATCAGAAACCTGTATTCAAAGGTGCTTCTTATGGTCCTTTCTACCCTTTCCATGAACTTCCATGAAGACACAACACTTTAGGATTTTATTTGCTTGTAAAGAGCTGTTTTAAAATGCATCAGAATTAAGCAGTTAACTGTGGACAAGAATTAATATGATCATGATCAAAGACACAAGTGAGAAGAAAATTTGGTTGTTTCTGTGGCCTATAATAACTTAACATAATAACTATAGTTATGACTGATTTCCTACCAAGATATAACAGAATTTTAGGAATCACATACAATTTTGGAACATATATTAATAACGTATTCATGAAAATATAACTCAAAGAGGGTAAAACATTTCTTATTTGACAATGCTTCCCATATGCTTTAACATACCAAATAAGCCTGTTCATCTCTCTTTTGAATGTTTCAGGGTCCCTCTGTAGCATTCCAAAGTAGTTTGAGGTCACAAAAAGACAACTTTTAATTTGAAGTTTGATTTTGGGAAACATATCAAATATGTCAAAGGTTTAAAACAATTAAAACAGGATCACTAGTCACTGTAAATAATATTTATTTAGCCAAAGGGATAAATAAAAGGTTTTAAAAAGCAAAAATCTGTTTTCAGTTTTCCAAACAATCTGGAGACCTAATGAAAACAATATGGGACAGTATCTGTGTCTGCTTCTGTCTTCTATTGTTTTTTTTTTCTTCACAGTTTACTCAAATGTTGAACAGAAATTTATCTACTATCTCTTATTAATATTATATGCAAATCTTGTTCAAAGTAAAATACCAAATGTTATTTATGTATTAATACATTATGAATTATATTAAGCCATTCTTGCATTGCTATAAATAAATGCCATTGATTAGGTAATTTATAAACAAAATAGTTTTAATTGGCTCACAGTTCTGCAGGCTTTAAAGTAAACATGGTGCCGGCATCTGCTTGGGCTTTTAGGGAGGCCCCAGGAAGCTTACAGTCACAGTGGAAGGTGAAGGGGGAACAGGCCATTGTAGGAGCATGGCTAGAACAGGAAGAAGAGAGGATGGTGGGGAGAGGTGCCACACACTTTTAAAGATAACCAGAGTTAGTGAGAACTCACTCACTATAGTGAAGATAGCACCAAGCCATGAGGGATCTAGCCCCATGACCCAAACACTTTATACTAGGCCTCACCTCCAGCACTGGGGATTACAATTCTACATGAGATTTGGGTAAGGAAAAATCTCCAAACTATATCATTCCATCCCTTGTCCCTCCCAAATCTCATTTCCTTCTCACATAACTAAATACAATCATGCCTTCACAACAGTCCCCCAACATTGTAACTTGTTCTATTGTTTAAAGTCCAAAGTCCGAAGTTTCATCTGAGACAAGGCCAGTCTCTTTTACCTGTGAGCCTGTAAAATCAAACAAGTTATCTACTCCCACAGTACAAGTGGGGTATAGGAATTGGGTAAACATTTTTATCCCAAAAGGTAGAAATTGGCAAAAAGAAAGGGGCTACAGGTCTCATGTAAGTTTGAAACTCAGCAGGGCAGTCATTAACTCTTAAAGCTCCAAGAAATCTCCTTTGACTCCATGTCCTGCGTGCAGGACACACTGGTGCATGAGGTGGGCTCCTATGGCCTTGGGCAGCTCCACCCCTGTGGCTTTGCAGGGTACTGCCCCTGTAGCTGCTCTCATAAGTTATTGAGTGCCTGCAGCTTTTCCACATGCAGGATTCAAGCTCCCACTGGATCTACCATTCTGGATTTTGGAGGATGGTGGTCCCTTTCTCACAACTCTACTAGGCAGTGCCCCAGGGGGGACTCTGTGTGGAAGCTCCAACCCCACATTTCTCCTCTGCACTCTCCTAGTAGAGATTCTCTGTGAGGGCTCCACTCTTAGGAGGCTTCCGCGTGGACACTGTGCTTTTTCATACATCCTCTCAAATCTAGGAGGAGGCTGCCGAGATTGCACTCTGTGTGCCTGCAATCTTAATACTATGTGGAAGCTGCCAAGACTCATGGCTTGCATTCTTCAAAGTGTCAGCTCAAGCTGTATCTGGGCCTCTTTGAGCCCCAGCTGTAGCTGTAGCTAGAGCAGCCAGCATGCCAGGTGCCATGTCTTGAGGTGGCACAGGGTAGTGGTTTCTGTTCTCCCAGGCCTCAGTGCCTGTGATAGGTGGGCCCGCCATGAAGGTTTCTGAACTCCATCAAGGTCTTTTCTCCATTGTCTTGAATATTAGCAGTTGGCTCCCATTTAGTAATATAAATATCTCTAGTAAGTTGTTGCTTCACAGCCAGCTTGAATTCCTCTCCCATAAAAGCTTTTTCTTTGCCACATGGCCAGACTGCAGATTTTCCAAACTTTTAGGCTCTATTTCCTTTGAAATGTAATTGTTGACTTTAGATTATTCTTTGGTCCCACATGTGAGTATAGGTTGTTAGAAGCAGGGAGGCCACATCTTGAACTTTTTGCTGCTTAGAAATTTCTTCCTTCAGATACCCTAGGTCATCACTCTGAAGTTCAGACTTCCACAGGTCCCTAGGACATGAGCAGAATGCAGCTAAACTTTTTGCTTAGGCATAACATGCATGACATTTGTTCCAGCTCCCAGTAAGGTTCTCATTTCCATCTGAGACCTTGCCAACCTTGATTTTAGTGTCCATACCACTATCAGCATTTTGGTCACAACTGTTTAATCAGTCCCTAAGAAGTTCCAAACTTTCCTTCATCTTCCTCTCTTCTTCTGAGCCCTCCAAACTCTTCCAACATCTGCCCATTACCCAGTTCCCAAGTTGCTTCCTCATTTTCAGGTATCTTTATAGCAATGCCCTACTCCTTGATACTATCAATATAGAAGTTAATATTGCTAAAATCTTATAAGCAAATCCATCCAGTCTCAGATAGCTTTTGACCACACAAGATTTTCATAAACCTTTTATGATCTCTTAGAAAATTTTAAAATTCTTTTTATTTTTAACTGTTTTTTTTGTATCTATATCTTTTTTATTTTTTTAATTTGAAGCAACCTTTAAGTAACTTCTAGATGGGCAGAATTGATTTTCTCAACAAATGCATATTTTTATGCCTTTACAACTTTTCTCACTAAAAACATATCTTACTTTTCTTTATACACTGTATATAGAATTGTTTTTCCTATATCTAGTAGTTATAATTACACACATTAACTATAATTTTAACTCTTAGTAACCCTGGTTTTTAGTGAAAACCTAGCATAAGTAATTTTGAACTGTTTTATATCAGCATTTGCTGATGAAAATGATTTTATGATTTTTAGAATTATGTTTTCTCAAATTTTTGTTTAATTGATTTAAATATGTTTAGCATTTTTATGCAACATAAAAGTAAGATGCCAAAGTATATAACCTTGAATTTATATTTAATAATTAATGTTTCAATATTTTAATTTACTTACAAATGAATCATTTTTTGATTATTTGTTACTTAATTTAATATGATTTGAAGATTTTAAACTACTGAAAAGATTAAATGATTCTCCTGCTTCAGCCTCCTGAGTAGCGAGGATTACAGGCACTCGCCACCATGGCCGGCTAATTTTTTGTATTTTTAGTAGAGATGGGGTTTCACTATGTTGGCCTGGCTGGTCTCGAACTCCTGACCTCAAGTGATCTGCCCGCTTTGGCCTCCCAAAGTGCTAGGATTACAGACATGAGCCACCAGAACTGGTCCTGAAAAGAATTTTGAAATGTTACCCTCTCTAAAGTCTTTCCTAGTAGTCCTGGGTCTCAGGTAGCCACATGGCATCCTGGATGGCTATGAAGGCCAGGGCCCATCTGGGTCCTGAATTTACATATTAGGTGTAGAACTCAGAAGAGAAGACAGCTGTGAAAGTGATTCCTGTTCCATGCAACCCTTTGCAGAATGGCTAGGAGGCAAAACTGGACCAGGGAGGAATGGGCTTGACTCGGCCCTGCAGCTGGTGGTCTAAGTACTGAGGACATATCTTCAGGTCTTACCTTGGATGCCTGTCCAGATCCCAGAACCTAGAGGCTTGAAACATAAACATAAGTTCACCGTCAAATTAAACAAGTATTAAAAATATTAAGGAAGCAGCAGTTTTGTGACCTTGAAACATGTAACAGAGATAGCATAAGCCTATCTGACCAGTACACCCAGGCAGAAATTACCGTATTATATTTAACTGACAATTATGAAGCCATTCTTATTTTTTTTACCAACAATTTTAAAACTCCTTTTTTTTTTACAAAGTATCAGCACATGCACATAACACATACAGACTTGCAGACATACAGACACTCAGACAAAAGCAGATCTTTTAGCTTTTATAAGGAATTCTGGTTTGTGGACTTTTAAATAGTTTTTCTTTTCTCTATTTACTCTATCAGTCTTACAAATACCTGTTTTTTTGTCCTAAGCAATTATTAGTTAAGCAACAATTTGTCTTTTAAAGTGATGACTCTTAGGTGAAAAAAAGGTAGAAAATTTATATCTGAAAAGCACAGAGCTGAGACTTTAGGCCTAAATATCCTATCACCATTTATTCAACCCAAGGAAAAAAGGTACATAAAGACCCATTTAAGACAAGATGGCCAGAAAACTACCTTAAACAAAGGTAAGACTTGTTATGTAAATTTAAAACAATGGTAAGAGTTCCTAGTGACCTAGTCTTCCCTTTCATACACCCTTACAAATGGAAATTTCCTTATAGATGTAAACTTTTTTGCAAAAGGGTTTTTATATAGACTGTTAAATGCCAGAAAGGTATATTTTCAAAACAATTTAGTTCAATAGGTGGTCTTTTAAACTAAGCTATTGTTTCTTAGCTAAAATTACTGAGCTCAGGGTAGAGCCCCTTAAGGAATAGGGCAAAGAAAGCCTTTATGCCTGGATTTAGCATGTATAGCTCTTAAAAAGAAGCAAGTCTACTTTACCTGAGGGCCTACCTTTTATAAACACTTTATCCAGAATAGCTTTCTTTTTTCCTTCAGAACAGGATATTAATTAAGCCAAAAGTTAAGCAGATTCAATTCTTCTTCTCAGTTAGTTGCTTAAGCTTTTTATTTGCCTTTTAAAGTCTTTTTTTTTTTTAATAAAGAGGGAATAACAATACTGAAATATTTTTAGAAGCTTCTGCATATCAATAGGAATATCTGGGTGAGCTTAATTCAGGAGCCCTCATTTTAAAATATACTCCTTGGCTGGGCATGGTGGCTTACACCTGTAATCCCAGCACTTTGGGAGGCCAAGGAGGGTGGATCACTTGAGGTCAAGAGTTCAAGAGTAGCCTGGCCAACATGGTGAAACACTGTCTCTACTAAAAATGCAAAAAATTAGCCAGGCATGGTGGCGCATGCCTGTAATTTCAGTTACTCAGGAGCCTGAGGCAGGAGAATAGCTTGAACCCAGAAGGCAGAGGTTGCAGTGAGCTGAGATTGTGCCAGTCCACTCCAGCCTGGGTGACAGAGTAAGACTGTCTTAAAAATAAATAAAATATACTTTTTAAAGTGTAGTGTCATTCATTTGGAATGTTTCAGTGTAATTTTAAATTACCTTTAGTCAGATTTTGCCATTTCTCCAAGTGTTTGATGCTTTTGGGGCTTAATACTTATACAGGTAAATGTAGATATAGTTGGAAGTTGATGTACTCAGTTCTTTAGAAATTAGGATTCCATTTTCACATGGAATCTTGGCTTTGCCTCTCAGATCCGCTTGATCAACTTAGCCAATGATTTTTTCCTACTTAAGTGTGTAAAAAAAAAAGAAACAAAGGGGATGGTACACAAAAGTCTTTGAGAACTCCTGAAAGCTGGAGTTCACATCCCATGCAATATTGTCATTTACTGCCAGTTTCTACCTGACCTAGTCAGACACCTTAGGCCTCTAACTGGAATCAGGCCAGATAATTATCAGATAGAGTGTGATCTGGGACCCAGTTTAGTTTCTGTCATAACTTCTGAACCCAGTTCAGATAAAAAATTTGCTCAAACAAACTTAGATAGCTCAAAACAGAAATCCATGGATCTTAAGAATCCGAGAGAGAACTTACCCACAGTCTCCAGTTTCTGGGACAGCAATGGACACAATGGCCAGGCAGGTACTTTGCTTGGTTACCCAATGCTCCTGGGGCTCACTAGAAGCTCTATTTTGGTTCCTACTTCTGATACCATGTGGTAAAATTAAAAACTTTGGGCAAATTAAATTTAACAGTTTAATTGAGCAAAGAATGATTTGTGACTCAGGTAGCCCCCCAACCAGAACAGAGTCAGAGAGACTCCAGTGCTTCTGTGTGGTTGGAAAAGATTCGTGGACAAAAAAAAAGAAGTGACATACAAAAATACAGAAGAGATGTACAGAAGGAGCTGAATTAGTTACAGTTAGGTGCTTGCCTTATTTATTTATTCTGTATGTATGTGTGTATGCATTTATTTATTTATCTGTGCTTTGCTGAAACTCAGTGATAGTTACAAGAGTAGGTTACAGTCTGTGTATACATCCATTTAGGTTACAGTTCACTATGTAACTGTACTCCAGACAGATGTATGGCGAAACCTTTAGGACAAACTTATAAGGAGCCAGCTGTAGGCTAAACTTAATTTAATAGACTTAATTATATTTGTTTCCATGTCTGTCTCATATCTATGCATGTTCATATCTATCTTATTTTACTGATGACAAGAACAGGGTAATATTCAACTTTATGTTTTTCTCTATCATGTATCAAATAATATACACACAATACATATTTGTTTATTCATTATTAATGTAAACATTCAGTAAGTATTGAGAACTTGACTATGAGCCATGTATTATGCTAGTCACTGGGATAAACTGGAAAGCAAAAACAGACAAAGCAATTCTCATGACTTTTCTAATTAGAGAGGTAGAGATTAATGAGATAATTACATACATGAACAAAAGGTGCAACTGTAGTAAATGTCATATAATACAGTGCTTTGATAATATTTAACAGAGGGATTTGACCTAGTCAGTGATGTTAAGGAATACCTCTCCAAGGAAGTGATATTGAAGTGCATGAGAATAAGTAGGAGTATGGAAGTGAAGAGTAGAAAGTATGGTTATATTAGCTTCATGACATTGTTAGAGAACTTGCTTTTTCTTTCTTTCTGAAACAACATATAGAACATGGAAATATTTATTGGAGGTCCTTAATCTGTTTTGTATATGAATACGTTTGACAGCCTGTTGAAGCCTATCGATTCTTTCTCAAAATGTTTTTAAATGCATAAAAGATAATACATGCAATTAAAAAGGAAGTCAATTCAATTGAAATACCAATCTATTCATGGACTATCTGGGGGTGGATCACAAGTTAAGATAGAAAAATTTGAGTTAAAAGAATCACTTGTAATCCATACAGGTGGTTACTGTTTTTTTTAAGGATTGGCAATAAATGCCGACACATGTTTTTAGGTGGGAAGACTCAACACTGTGAAGATGTCAATTATCCTAAAAGTAATCTATAAATATAATGCAATTTTAATAAAAGTCCCTCTAGGATTTTCAAGAAAGTTGGATAAAAGGGTTATAATATTTATATGGAAGAAGTCATTTTACAAATGGTAAGTTTCCATGAAGAAGACCAGAGGCAAACCCTTTTTACCAGATAGCAAAGCAAGTTACAAAGCCAGAACACTATATATCCTGAAATATATGGATTCTCCCCTTCCCCCGAAACCAACCCTCTAGCAAAAGGAAACTGCTCAATTTGAGTCCTCATAAATCTTATCTTATGAGGAGCTCTTAATTTCTTTATTTTGAACTACAGAGAACTGCTTGGAGAGAACATATTATCCTTAAGGGACCTCAAACAAATCTAGTTTTGTATACCTATCCTATAGAGAAACAAGAAATTTAACATCAATCAAGAAATTCACAGTGGTATGACCTCACAGTGGCAAGTGTTGGAAATCCTAGTAAACAAACTTTTTAAAAGATTACTTTAAAAAGGAGTAATAGAGGTAGTTAACTTTTGGAGAATATGAAAACACACTTATAATATGAATAGGTAAACAACAACAACAAAACTAAGTGGCTGGGGAAAAAATTGCCAGGAACAGCAGTAAATATGAATTGAAGAAGTTTCATTATTTCACAGAACTCAGAAGTGAAAAATATTTACTTTAGAAAATACTGAATTCATTTAGTTTCCTTAGTGATGAGGGAGACTTTGATATAGAAGATATACCTGAAAAATTTAGATACAATAACTTTATGAGATAAGAAAGTAGAAAAATATTTCTAAATTTATATTTATTTAAATATTTATTTGTAATAAAAGTTTTAAACTAGTTTTATGATTATATCTTTGCCTCTTTTATCTACATCAAGAATTTGCAAAATATGGCCTGTGGACCAAAATCCTGCCTGCTATCTGCTTTTGTAAATAGCATTTTATTGGAATATAGTCAAACTCATGTTTTCATATTATTAGTGGTTGCCTTTGCATCGCAGTGGCAGAGTTGAGTAGTGACAGAGACTGTATGGACCACAAGGCCTAAATTAGCTACTGTCTGGTGCTTTACAGAAAAAGTTTGTTGACTTCTGATCTACATCACTAGAAAGTTATATATTCAAATTTATATATTTAAGATTTTTTGGATCTTTAATTTTATTTGGAGTTTGGTTGTTATTATCTTGTTATGGAGTAAAGGCAGACAAAAACACCATTGAAATAGAATGCAGAGTTCATAAACAGACCTATGTATATATGGGAACTTAGTATATGATAGATTGATATCACAAATCAGTGGAAGAAAGGACGAACTAGCTAGTATATGATGCTTGGAATATAGGATCTCTATATGGAGAAGATTGACATTAAATCCCTGCATCACAGCACATATAAAAATAAACTTCAGATTGATTAAAAGCCTAAATATGACTGGTAAAATTATAAAGCTACTAGAAGAAACCACAGAAATTTTTGGTGCCTGACTTAGGGGTAGGTAAGATTGTTCTGTTTTGTTTTGTTTTATATAGCCAGCCACCAAAGCTACAAATGATGAAGGGAGAAATTGAAGTATTTGACTACCTCAAAATTAAAGATTTCTGTTTAGCAAAATTAACAGACTGAGAGAAGAAATGTCCTATGTTCAACTATGTATATATAGGCTATATAGTATACGCCTGCATATCATGAAGAATAATACAGGAAATCCAATCCAGTAAAGGATATGAATAGGCAGTTCATCGGAAGGGCAGTCAAATTGACTGGATTTCATTGAAATCAGAAAACTATGAACTAAAAAATGGGACATCAATTAATACCTATCAAATCAGCAAAAATTTAAAAAGTTGAGTAATAATCACACATTGGCAAGAATGAGAGAAAACTAGAATATTCATACTTTGCTTGCAGGTGTACTAACAGGGTTAATCCATTTGGAAGAGCAGTTAAAAAGTATCTAGTGAATGTTAGTATGTTCGTCATATTTCTGCGTAAATGCCCTAGGGAAAACTTTATATGGGTTTAAAAAATATGGCATAGATATATTAAAGAGTAACGAATTATAAAGAGCCAACTTAAAGAAATGGATGAATAAAATGTGATTATCCAAACAGAAACATTATACAGCCATTAAAATGCATGAACTAGATGCAGCAACTATAGGGGTAAAGAGCACGAACTCTTGGAACAACACTAAATTTGGATTTGGCTTTTACCATTTACCAGCTGTTTGACTATGAGCCACATAACTTGTCTGTAGAATAGGGACAATAATATGAATAATGATAACAGCATCTATTTACCTGTTACATAGTAAGTACCATGCACATTAGCTATTTAGATTTTAATATAAAAATGTAAAATTGAATGACAAAAATAAATGGAAATAAGTAAATGGCACACATGCCATATATGTAAATGTACAAGACTGGTTTCCTCAGGGAAGGGAAATCAAATTGGGGAAGGGAAAATAGTTAATTAGAACAAGAACCAAGCGTGGACCAGTGCTACCAAGGGTATGATCAATTATATTATGGATACCTAAGGTTTTAAAAAAGAGAATTAAAAAAAGTGTACATAGCAATCCATTCATTCATTCTAGACAGGCAAGAGCATGTATAAAATATAGTCTATAATGGGATGAAAGAAAAAGGATTGAAAGAAAGGCTTTAGCAGAAAGTGGGAAAAGAAACTGCAAAAAAATTAAGTTAAAGATGTGTATAGTATATCCAAGGTTTTATAGGTCCTCATAAGATTTTTCTTAAGAACAATTAGCAGTGAGAGAAGAATAACTCTTTTTTTTAAGTAGAGATAATTTTTTCTGCAGTGTACAGAGTAGATTGAAGGGAAGAAGCATGGATGTGAGTAGCCTAACTAGGAGACTATTCTCTAGATTAGGTGGGAATTGATGTTAGCAAGACCTATAGTATTGGCAGCATATAATGGAGACAAGTGGAAGGATTCAAAGCACATGTAGGATGTAAAATTGAAAGGACATATTGGTAGATAAATTATGCATTTGAGGGAGAGAGACATTTCCAGAGTAATTCCAGATTTCAGGCCTGTATAATTGAATGGTGGCACCATTTTACTGATATGGGGAACAATGGAAGGGAATCTGGTTTGCGTAGGAAAACTGTGAGTTTTCTTGAATTTGAGGTGGCATTGAGAAATTTAAATAGAAATGTTAAGTAGGCGATTGAATACTGAAGCTCAGAGGAAAAGTCTGAACTAGAGGTATACATTTATAAGTCACTTATATATAGGTGGAAGTTGAAGCCTTAAGTATGGATAAAAATGCCTAAGAAGACTCTACATAATAAAAAGAGAAGAGGGCATGAGTCTTGACCTGCGAAGGAGAAAGAAAATGAAAGGACCTAGATACAGGAAGAAAACCAGGAGTCTTACAAAAGCTAAGTGGACAGTGAGGACTGTGACACATAGTTTTAAATATTGTTCAGAACTGAAGTAATATGATGACTGAAACGTTTGTCCATTAATTTTAGGTACATGGAAGCCATTGATAAATTTAGTGAGCATTAGGAAGTAGACTGGAAAGTGATGAGATAGAGTAGAAGAGTGCCTGGCATGAGGAAGCAGAGAATTTTGTTTATGTGTAAATGGGAAGGGAAGATATGATCTTGGCAAGGAACGTCAATTAACTCCTGAGTCTGCCCATATACCACCACCTCTTTGTCTAGCAGTGTCTCATTTTATAGGCCTGGTAGGATGAATAAATAAAATTTTTTAAAAAAATCTTTCTTAGTACCTCAAACTAAAGTAAGGTAAATACTGTTTCTTAGTACCTCAAATTACTGTCTTATCAAGACATTGTCTTATCTGGCTTGTAGCTTCTGTATCTCTGTTCTTCCTACAGCTGGAACCATTTGATTCCATTTTGCAGCCTTGATAGTGCTGCAGTATCTGGGATCATTACAGTTCTTATGTAAGAGAGTTTTAAATATCTAATA
Organism: Homo sapiens; assembly: GCF_000001405.40. NCBI lineage: Eukaryota > Metazoa > Chordata > Mammalia > Primates > Hominidae > Homo > Homo sapiens. The sequence continues at coordinate 103,682,944 of NC_000008.11, forward strand.
TGACAGTTTGGGATAAATAGTTACTAGCTCTGCTACTAATTTAACTGGCCTACTCTTGTGTGTGAGAAATGCGGCTTCCACTTCCCTTGAGGCATAGTCATTATAGTTATAGCACAGTTCAGTCACCTGGATTTTTAGTTTCTGTTCCAGTGTTCCTTGGTATCTTAGTCCATTTTGTGTTATTTTAATGGAATAGCTGAGGCTGGTAATTTATAGGGAAAAGAAGTTTATTTAGCTCATGTTTCTGCAGGCTCAGAAGTTCAAGAAGCCTGGCACTGGCATCCGCTTGGCTTCTGGTGAGGACTTTATGCTGCTTCCACTCTAACAGAAAACTGAACGCGAGTGGGCAGGTGTGAAGAGATAACATGGTTAAAGAGGAAGTAAGAGAGTAAAATGAATAAAGCCAGAGTCTTTTGACAACTCACTCTTGTGAGAACTAATCCATTTTAGTCCAAGAATTCACTCACCCCCAAGGAAGAGCATTAATCTATTCATGAGATATCTGTCCACATAACCCAAACAACTCCTAGGCCACAACACTGCCACACTGGGAATTAAGTTCAGCATGAGTTTTGGCAGGGACGTTCAAACCATAGCACTTCGTAAATTGTCCAGTACTCCAATGCCTCCAGAACTGAAACAATATTGCTCTTTCTATTTTTTCTGTCTTGTTCTTTCTCCCAATGGGGTTTAGTCATTTACTGAGAAGCATCTCAAAGTTAGGAAGTGTATCAACAGTGTTGCAGTGGAAATGCACAGTATGGCACAAAGGTACAAATATGTGTCAAATTTCTACACTTGGAAAGATGATTCTTTTAAATGGTGGGAGAAGTTCTAATGCAGAGCTCATTCATTTATGGGCCTGAACCTCCTGTAGTGGTGCTTGTTTTGTGTTAGCAGAGCTTCACTTAAACCTGGTGTGAGATTATCAGGGAAAAGCAGGGTATTATCTGAAGTGACAGAAAAAGTTAATAAAATTGGTTTTAAAGCAATTTTCATTGATATTAGGTGTAGAAAGGAAGTATACTTTTGTGACAAAGTAGATATAAGGACTCCTGGAATTTTATCTGTTAATTTACTGGCTGACTTTAGGTTAGCACTTCGAAATCTAACTTTTCTTAATGTCAGGTTTTATGAACTATAGTTTATTTACAGTAAAATTTACCTCTTTTTTGTATATAGTTGAGTGAGTTTTGACAAACATAAAATCTATCAGCATAATCAAGACATAGAAATATTTCCTTTTCCCCAAGAGGTTTCTTGTGCCCATCACTCTACTCCAGCCCCTGGCAACCATTAATCTGATTTTGCTTTTCCCAGAATGTCATATAAATGAAACTATATCATAGAGAAGTAGGCAGTCTATGGTACACAAGCCAGTTCTATCCCACTGCCTGTTTGTGTATAACCAGCAAGTTAAAAATAGTTTTTTACACTTTTAAATGGTTGATTAAATTTTTTTAAGTTTATGATATTTTGTAATTGTAAAAACAACATAAAATTCAAATTTCAGTGCCCATAAATAAATCTTTACTGGAACACAGCTACACTCATTCATTTATATATTGTTCATGACTACTTTCTGGTTCATACTTTTTTTATTTTATTTTATTTTATTTTATTTTATTTTATTTTATTTTATTTTATTTTATTTTATTTTTGAGACAGACTCTCGCTCTATCCCCCAGGTTGGAGTGCAGTGGTGTGATCTCAGCTCACCGCAACTTCCGCCTCCCAGGTTCAAGCAATTCTCCTGCCTCAGCCTCTTGAGTAGCTGGGATTACAGGTGCCCACCACCATGCCTGGCTAATTTTTGTGTTTTTAGTAGAGATGGGATTTCCCTATGTTGGCCAGGTTGGTCTCAAACTCCTGACCTCAGGTGATCTGCCCACCTTGGCCTCCCAAAGTGCTGGGATTACAGGCATGAGCCACTTCACCTGGCACATACTTTTTATATCCTATTAAAGAAATCTTTTCCTAACCTATCTAAGAAGTCTTTGTTTATCCCAAGGTCACAAAGAATTTCTTGAATGTTTTCTTCTAGAAGTTTTATAGTTTTAGCCATTATATTTAGTTTTATAATTCATTTTGAGTTAATTTTTATATAAGGTGTAAGATACAAGTTGAGGTTTTTGTTTTTTACACATGGATTTTCTTTTTCTTTTTTTTTTTTGGATTTTCAATTACTATTTATGTTAGTCTGTTTTGCATTGCTATGAAGAAATACCTGCGTAATTTTTAAAGGAAAGAGTTTTATTTGGCTCATGGTTCTGCAAGCTGTACAAGAAGCAAAGTGCTGTCATTGGCTTCTGGTGGGGCCTCAGAAACCCTCCATTCATGGTGGAAGGCAAACAGGAAGCAGACATGTCACATGGCAAGAGAGGGAGCAAGGGCAGGGAGTAGTCCCAAACTTTTTAAAACAACTAGTTCTCCTGTGAACTAGCAGAGCAAGAACTCACTCTATTAGCATGAGGAGAGCACCAAGCCATTTATGAGGGATCCACCCCCATGACCCAGACACCTCCCACCAGGCCCCACCTCCAACATTGGAGATCACATTTCAATATGAGATTTAGAGGGTACAAAACATCCAAATGATATCACTAGTTTTACATATAAATTTCTAATTGCTTAAAAGACAATTTTTTTCTCCATTGAATTACTTCAGCTCCTTTGTAAAAAATGTTAATGATCACTAAGTATTGTACTACTTCTGGACTTCCCATTGCATCCATTGATATGTATCTTTATCCTTTGTCAGTACCATGTTTACTTGATCACTACAGCTTTTATAGTAAGTCTTCAAATCAGGTACTTTGAGTCTTTCAGCTTTCTTCTTTTTTAAAAAATATTTTTGTTTATTCCAGGATTTTGTTTTTCACATAAATTTTAGAGCTAGCTGGTCAATTTTTATTAAAAAAATGCTGGGAGTTTTATTGGGAATGGCATTGATTGAATAGATTGATTTGAAGAGAATTGTGATCTTAACAATTTTAGTCTTGCCATTGGTTAATGTGGTATATTTTTCCTATTATTTAGGTCTCCTTTGATACTTTTATCAGTGTTTTATAGTTTTCGCCATAGGAAGCTTGTTCATATCTTATTAGAGTTATACCTGAATCTTTTTTCTTTTTTTATTTTTCGCTGCTGTTGCAGACTGTTTATAAAAATATTCATTTTCAATTGTTCATTGCTACTAAATACACGTGTAATTGTTTTTTGTATATTGATCTTGTATCCTGTGACCTTGCTAAATTCATTTATTTGTTACAAGAGGTTTTTTCTTTCTAGTTTCTTTGAGATTTTATACAAAGACAGGTAGGGCAACTGCAAATAGTTTTCTATTTTCCTTTCTAATCTGTAAGCTTTTTATTTTCCTTTTCTTTTCTTGCCTTAATGTGGTGGCTAGCATTTTCAGTTTGATGTTGATTAGAAGTAGTGAAAGAGGATACCTTGCTTTATTACTGATCTTAGGGGGAAGCATTCAGTTTTTTACCATACAGTGTGATGTTAGTGGTAGACTGTTTTACAGATGCCTTTACTGTGCTAAGGAAGTTTTTGTCAATTCCTAGTTTGCTAAGCAGTTGTGTGACATGCTTTCTCAGCATATTTTTAGGTAATCATATTAATATGACAGATTATATTGCTTGAATTTAAAATGTGGTTCCAAACTTACATTCCTAAGATAAACATCACCTATTTGTAAGGTATTACTCTTTAACACATTTTTGGATTTGATTTGTTAATATTTTTAGTGTTGAGGATTTTTACATCTGCTTATGAGAAATACTTTATTGGTCTATAATTTCTTCCAGTATCTTTGTAATTTTTTTTTAAGAGATGGGGTCTTGCTTTGTTGCCCAGGCTGGAGTACAATGTGCAATCATAGGTCTCTGCAGCCTTGTATTCCTGGACTCAAGCAATCCTCCTGCCTCAGCCTCTTGGGTAGCTGGGACTACAGGTATATACCACCATGCCCAGCTTCTTTGTGTGGTTTTAGTGACAGAGTAATACTGGCATTAAGAGATTAGTTGGGAAATGTTCCATCCTGTTTTCTGGGAGAGACTATGTAGAATTGGTATTATTTCTTCCTTCAGTGTTTGGTAGCATTCACCAATGAAACCATTGGGAACCAGAGTTTTAGATTTGAAAGGTTCTTAAACTATGAATTAAAGTTATTTAATGGATATAAAGCTTGTCAAGCTATCTTTTTTTTTTGGTGAATGAGGTATGCTAGCTTCTGTCTTTCAAAGAAAGACATACATACATATGGGCATATGGTTGCTTATAGTATTCCTTTGTAGTCTTTTAAATTAATTTAGATTAATAGTGAGTTCTGTTGTAATCTCTGTCATTCTTGCTGTAGGTAATTTGTGTCTTGTTTTTTTCATCATTCTAACTCGAGGTTTATCAATTTTAGTGATTTTTTTTTTCTTAAATGCTTTTTTAATTTTTAAATTTAATTTCAAATTAACAAAAATTGTGTATACTTACACAACATGATGTTTTGAAGTCTGTATATATTGTGGAATGATTCAATCCAGCTAATTACCATATGCATTATCTCACATACTTATTTTTGTGGTGAGAACAAAGTCTACCCTCTTATGATTTTCAAAATACAATATATTGTTATTAACTATAGACATCATGTTGTACAATAGATCACTTGAATCTCCCATCTAACTGAAATTTTGTATCCTTTGACCAACATCTCCCTAACCTCCCATACCCCAGTCTCTGGTGATCATAATTCTACCCTCTACCTCTATGAGTTGAACTTTTTAAGATTTCACATGTAAATGAAATCATACAGTATTTGTCTTTCTGTGCCTGGCTTACTTCACTTAACATAATGTCCTCTGAGTTCATCTGTGTTGTAACAAATGACAGGACTTCTTTCTTTTTTATAGCTGAATAGTGTTCCATTGTTTATATATACCGCATTTTTTTTTATTGATTCATTCACTGATGGATACTTACATTGATTTATATATTGACTATTGTAAATAATGCTGCAATGAACATAGGAATATGGATATCTCTTCAACATACTGGAGTCTTTAGGGTTTACTGTAGATAAGATCATGTTGTCCACAAACAGAGACAATTAAATTTCCTTTTCAATTTGGATGCCTTTTATTTCTTTCTTATGCTTAATAGCTCTTGCTAGGATTTCCATTACTATGTTGAATATAAGTTGCAATAGTTGGTATCCTTGTCTTCTTCTTGATCTTAGAGGAAAGTTTCCAACTTTTCACCGTTGAGTATGATGTTAGCTGTGGGTTTGTAATGTAACACCTGTATTGTGTTGACATATATTTCTTGTATACCTAATTTAAGAGTTTATTTATCATGAAAGGATATTGAATTTTATCAAATGCTTTTTCTGCATCTATTAAAATGATCATACAGTTTGTGTACTTTGTTCTGTTAACGTGGTGTATCACATTGATAGAATTGTATATGTTGAACTATCTTTGCATTCTGAACTATCAAGGAATCCAACTTGATCATGGTGGATGATCCTTTTATATGTGCAGTTGAATTCAGTTTGCTAGTATTTGGTTGCTAGTATTTGGTTTTGCATCTATGTTCATCAAGAATATTGGCCTGTAATTTTATTATTTTTGTAGTTTATTTTCTGGCTTTAGTATCAGGGTAATGCTGGCCTCATAAAATGAGTTTGGATGCATTCTCTTCTATTCAGTTTTTTGGAAGAGTTTGAGAAGGATTGGTATTAGTTCATAGTAGTGTCTTATGATCCTTTGTATCTCTGTGGTATGAACTTTAATGTCTCCTCTTTAATGCCTGATTTCATTTAGAGCTAAAAGCTTGTTGATTTTATCTTTTTAAGAAAACAACTCTTAGTTTTATCTTTTCTATTTTTTAAATTTCTGATTTCACTGATTTCTGCTGATACGTATTGTTTCCCTCCTTCTACTAACTTTGGGCTTAGTTTGTTCTTCTTTTCGTAGTTTCTTTGGTCGTAATTTTAGGCTGTTTATTTTGGATCTCTCTTCTTTTTTTGATCTACCCATTTATTGTTATAATTGTCCTCTTAGAATTGCCCATGCTGCATCACATATATTTTGGTGTGTGTTGTTTCCATTTTTCTTTGTCTCAAGGTATTTTTTTAACTTGCATTTTAATTTCTTCTTTGACCCACTGGTCATTCAGGAGCATATTGTTTAACTTCCATGTGTTTGCATAGTTTCCAAAATTTCTCATATTATTGATTTCTAGTTTTATTTCATTGTGGTCAGAGAAGATACTTGATATAATTTTATTTTATTTTTTTAATTTTTAAAGACTTGTTTTGTGGCCTAACTTATGGTCTGCCCTTGAGAATGATCCATGTGCTGAGGGGAAGAATGTGTATTCTTCAGTCATTGGATGAGATGTTCTGTAAATACCTATTAATTCCATTTGGTCTGTAGTGCAGATTAAGTCTGATGTTTCTTTGTTTATTTTCTGTCTGGATGATCTGTCCAATGCTGAAAGTGGGGTTTTGAAGTCTCCAGCTATCATTGTATTTAGGTCTATCTCTCTCTTTAGCTCTAATAATATTTACTTTCAATATCTGGGTGCTTCAGTATTTTGTGGATATAGATTTATAATTGTTATATACTTTTGCTGAATTGATTCCTTTATCATTACATAATGACCTTCTTTGTTTCTTTTTATAATTTTTGTCTTGAAATCTATTTTGTCTGATACAAGTATAGTTACTCCTGCTCCTTTTTTGGTTTCCTTTTGCAATAGGAAATCACGTGAAGGTACAAAACTCACTAGTAATAGTAAATGCACAGAAAAACACAAAATATTATAACACTGTGATTATGGTGTATAAACTACTGATATCTTGAATAGAAAGATTCCTTTTTCCATTTCTTTATTTTCAGTTTATGTTTATCTTTATAGGTGAAGTGTGTTACTTTTAGGCAACAGAATATTGGATTTTTTGTTTGATTGTTTGTTTGTTTGTTTTAATACATTCAGCTACTCCATGTGTCTTTTTTTTTTTTTTTCTTTGAGATGGAGTCTTACTTTGTTGCCCAGACTGGAGTGCAGTGGCGTAATCTCAGCTCACTGCAGCGTCTGCTTCCTGGGTTCAAGTGATTCTACTGCCTCAGCCTTCCAAGTAGTTGGGGTTACAGGCATGCACCATGATGCCCAGCTAATTTTTTTTGTATTTTTAGTAGAGACAGGGTTTCAGAATGTTGGCCAGGCTAGTCTCAAACTCCTGACCTCAAGTGGTCCCCCCACCTCAGCTTCCTGAAGTTCTGGGATTATAGTCATGAGCCACCGCTCCTGGCCGCATGTGTCTTTTGATTGGAGAGTTTAGTTGATTTACATTCAATGTTAATAAGGATTTACTCCTGCCATTTTGTTTTTTATGGTTGCTTTATGGTCCTCTCTTCCTTCTTTCCTTCCTTCCTGTCTTCTTTGTAGTGAAGGTCAGTTTCTCCTGTGGTGTGCTTTAATTGCTTGTATTTTACTTTTTGTGTATCTGTTGTATGTTTTTTGATTTGAGGTTACCATGAAGTTAATAAATAACATCTTAGAATCCATTATTTTAAACTGATGACAACTTAACACTGACTGCATAAACTAATAAGCAAAAACAAAACTAATAAAAATACTACACTTAACCTTTACTCACCTGCTTGTTAACTTTATGTTGTTTCTGTTTATATCTTACTGTAGTGTCTATGTCTTAAAAAGTTTTTGTAGTTACTATTTTTGATGCATTCATCTTTTAATCTTTCTATTCAAGATATCAGTAGTTTATACACCACAATCACAGTGTTATAATATTTTGTGTTTTTCTATGCATTTACTATTACTAGTGAGTTTTGTACCTTTGGTGATTTCCTATTGCTCATTAACATTCTTCTTTGAGATTGAAGAACTCCCTTTAGCATTTCTTGTTGGCAGGTCTGATGTTGATGAAATCCCTCAGCTTTTGTTTGTCTGGGGAAGTCTTGATTCCTTTATGTTTGAAGGATATTTTTACTGGATGTACTATTCTAGGATAAAAGTTGTTTTCTTTCAACACTTTGAATAATCATGCTACTTTGTCTTGATTTCCTCTAAGAAGTCTGCTGCCAGACATACTGGAGCTTCATTCTGTGTTTTCTCTTTCTTTTCTCTTGCTGCTTTTGGGATTCTTTCTTTATCCTTTACCTTTGGGAGTTTGATTATTAAATGCCTTGAGGTAGTCTTTGGGTTAAATCTGCTTGATGTTCTGTAACTTGCTTGTGCTCGAATATTGATATCTTTCTTTAGGTTTGGGAAGTTCTCTGTTATTATCCCTTCGAACGAACTTTTACCCCATCTCTGTCTATATATTTAAGGCCAATAACTCTTAGATTTGCCATTTTGAGGCTATTTTCTAGATCTTGTAGGTGTGCTTTATTGTTTCTTGTTCTTTTTTTCCTCTTCTGACTGTGTATTTTCAAATAGCCTGTCTTCAAGGTCACTAATTCTTTCTTCTACTTGATCAATTCTGCTTTGAAGAGACTCATGCATTCTTCAGTATGTCAGTTACATTTTTCAACTCTAGAATTTCTACTTGATTCTTTTACGTTATTTCAATCTCTTTGTTAAATTTATCTGATAGGATTCTGAATTCCTTCTCCGTGGTATCTTGAATTTCATTGAGCTCCTTCAAAACAGCTATTTTGAATTCCTCTGTCTTAAAAGACATATATTTCTGTCTCTCTGGGATTGGTCCCTAGTGCCTTACTTAGTTTGTTTGGTGTGGTCATGTCTTCCTGGGTAGTCTTGATGCTTGTGGGTGTTCTTTGGTTTCTGGGGATCAAAGAGTAAAGTATTTATTGTAGTCTTCACAGTCTGGGGTTGTTTGTACCCATCCTTCTTGGTAAAGCTTTCCAGGTATTTGAAGGGACTTGGGTATTGTGATGTATGTCTTAGATCAGTGTAGCTGTATCTTCACAAGGGGCCACACCAATCCCAGTAATGTTGCAGACTCACAGAGGTATTGCCTTGGATAAGGTCTTGGGTAAAATCTGGAAGAATTCTCTGGATTGCTAGGCAGAGACTCTTGTTCTCTTTCCTTATTCTCTCCCAAACAAATGGAGTCTCTGTCTCTCTCTTTCTGTCTGTGTGGGACTGCCTGGGGTTGAGGAAGAGTGACACAAGTACCCCTGTGGCCACTACCAATGAGACTGCGCTGGGTCAGACCTAAAGCCAGCCCAGCCTTGTGCCTCACCGAAAGCTCACAGCAACCACTGCCTGAGTACCACCTGTGTTCACTCAAGGTTCAAGGGCTTTACAATCAGCAAGTGCTAAAGCCAGCCAGGCTTTTGTCCTTTTCTTCAGGATGGTGAGTTGCTTCCTCTTCCCAGACAAGCTCAGAAATGGTATTTCAGAGCCAGGGCCTGGAGTCAGAAACCTTAGGAATCTACCTGGTGTTCTATTCTACTGTGCCTGAGCTGGACCCAAGCCACAAGACAAAGTTCTTCCCACTCTTCTCTCTTTTTTCCACAAGCAGTGAAGTCTCTTCCTATGGCTACCACAACTGGGAATTTGTTGAAGCCAGCACATCTGTGAGTCTCACCCAAGGCCCATGGCAAGTACTGCCTGGGCATTCCTGCTGACTATTCAGAGCCTTAAAGCTTTTTAGTCAGCAGCTGATGAATCCTGCTAGGACTGGGTTCTTTCCTTCAGGGCAGTGGGTTCCTTTCTGGCCCAGAGTATCTCTAGAAATGTTGTCTGGGAGCTAAGGCCTGGAATGGGGGCCTCACAACTCTGCCTGGTACCATATTCTACTGTGGCTGAGCTGGTATCCAAGGTGCCAGACAAAGTCCTTTATACTCTTCCAAGTGAGGGATACAGTCTCAGAACTATGAGCTCTGCTACCTGGGGTTGGGGGAGGGGTGATGCAAGCACTCCCTTTGCCACCTCAGCTGGTTTCTCACTGGGTTGCATGCTCCCCTCATCCACTGGCTTTGAGCCCAGCACAGAATCAGGAATTGCCCAGGAATTGTGGTCCTTGTGGTCTGGACTGCCTTTCAGGTTTATTTAGGATCCCAGACCCCTTTAGCTCATGGTGATGGGGCTTACCTTTGGTTGAACTCTGGTTCCTACTGCTGTGATGGGCAATTCACTTCTGGCTAGGGCTGGTCTAAATGCTCCCTCTATGAGGGGTGGCTGAGTTCTGCCTGATGTTGCTTTCCCCTGTGACAGGTCATCACTGAGTTTCAATGCAAAGTCCCACAATTACTAAACTCTCCCTTCCATAAGTTCACAGATTCTCTTCCTGCACCCTGTGGCTGCTGCTGATAGGTGAAGGAGGGATAGCATCGAGAATTTAAGACTGTTTTTTCTACCCTCTTCAGTGCCTCTTTTTTATATAAAAGTTAAAACGAGGTACTGTAATTGCTCACTTGATCTTTGGTCCTTATGACCGTGCTTTTTTATGAGGATAGTTGTTCAATTTGGTGTTCCTGTGAGGAGGATAATTAATGGAGGCTTCTCTTCCACCATCTTCTTATTCTTCCTCGCTGGAAATGATTGCTTTTTTGGTAGTGTTATATCTCCTTGGTTTTTCATGATTATGCTTACCTTCTGTTGATGTCTGTGCATGTAGGAAGTAGGGACTTATTCCAGTCTGTTTAGATTGTCTTTGTTTGGAAAATGTCTTCACCAGTCAGCCCATGTGGTGATTCTGGGCAAGCTGTTTGCATGGTTGGTAGGTGGGCTTGTTGTTGGAATTCTTGGGGAGACTGAACCAGTGCCTGGGTCAGCAGGTGTGTGTCCCTGGCCCCTGGGTTTGTTGGGTTAGTCTTTGATCCTGGAGCCTCTGTTGTGGGCCGATTCATTTGGTCTGCAGGCTTTGTCCTCAAATCTCTTTCTTTGGGAACTGACCTTAAACTTGGGTCCACAGAGGCTGACCTGGCATTGAAGTTGGCCTTGAGCCTGTGTCAGGAGGGGCTGGCTAGGTGTTGGTATGGTGTTAGTGCACAGGTGCACTGGGATGGACCCAGAGTCCATGGGACCTGACCTGGTGCTTGGTTGGTCCTGGGGCCCGAGTCTTTTAGGGTGGAACTTGTTCTTGTGTCCGCAAGAGTGGATTTGGAGACTTTTTCCATGTGGTTTGGCTTGGCACTGGGTTCTACTGTCACACTATTGATCTGTTGGTCTGCTGGAGTGTGGCTTTGTAAGGGCTGGCCTGGAGGGTGGGCCTCAGGGACCAGCATGGCATTGGGTATGCCTAGAATCTGTTTTTGCAGGTTCTGATCTTTGCCTTAGACCAGGATGCTAACATGTTGCTGTGTTGGGCTGATGCTTGCAGTAGTACGGGCCTCTGTTTTACTGAGCTGGTCTGAAACCTGAAGGAAGCCTGGAGGCTAGGGCTACAGGGGCTGGTCTTCTGCTGAGTGGGCCTGGAACTTGTATCTTCTGGTGCCATCCTGGAGGCTGGGTCTTTGTGTGATGGCTTGATGACTAGGGCTTTAGGCACTTGTGCTGTGCTGGGACATGCCTTGTAACCTGGGACTATGTGAGCCAGTATAATAATGGGAGTATTCAGTAGCCCAGGATGGCTGGGGCTATCCTGGCTCTGTAATATGCCTGGAGGTTCCATATAGACCTTGTCTACTGGGCAGGCCTGGAACCTAGAGCTGTGGGATCTCACTTGATGCCAGGGTGGGCTTGGAGGCTTGGTCTGCAGATACCAGCCTGGATCCTGGGCTACGGGGGCTGGTTTGGTGCTAGGTGTGCCTGGAGCCTATATCCACAGAGGCTTGTCTGGAGGCTGGTTCTGAGGGTGCTAGCCTGATGATTGAACTGCAGGGCCTGGCCTGATACTGGGTTGTGCCTGAAGCCTGAGGTCAGGGAAGCCAGCCTGGCACTGAGGGCATTGTAGAAGTCTGGAGTCATCCTGGAGATTGGGCAGGCCCAAAGACCAAGTCTGATGGTCAGGCATGGAGCCTGGGGATGTGGGATTTGTTTTGGCACTGGAGTGGGCCTGGAGGCTCAGTCTGTGCATACAACCCTGATGTCTGAGACTGTGGGGGTCTGCCTAGCACCTCATTTTATTGGTGAAACAGTAAACAATTGCCTGATATTGGAGTTCAAGGCAGAGTTGAGTGTTCTGTTCTCTCTTTTTCCCCCTAGCGATGAGTATCTCTGTTTATGCTGTGTTGTCTGTGGTTGGGGAGGGATGAACAGGAAATGTTAAACTGTCCTTTTTACCCTGTTCAGTGCGTCTTTTATTTTTTTGCTACACTTAGTTGCTATAATCTCCCACCTGGTTTCCTTAGGTCTCATGAAGGTGTTTTCACATATGAGTAGTTGTTCAAATTGATGTTTCTGCTGAGGGACAAATGTTGGAAAGTCCTTTTCCCTCAACTTGCTTATGTCAGTCTCCATTGATTTTTTTCATAAAACCAGCATTTGGTTTCATTGATTTCTGCTCTAATCTCTTGTATTTCTTTTCTTCTGCTTTCTTTGAGTTTAATTTTCTATTTTCTTAAGTTTTTGAGACACATTTTATTTTTAATATGAGCATTTATTTCTTTGTCTAGGTCTCTTTTTCCATATGATACTTCCAAGGAGTATCATACTCTTTCTGTTTCAAGAACTTCTTTTAAGTTCCATGCAGTGAAGGTCTACTGCCAATGAATTTCTTCAATATGTGTCCATCTGGAAAAGTTTTTATTTTTAAATTTTATTTATTTTTATAATTTTTATTTACTTATTTATATTTTTTAAAGCCTAATTTTACTGTGTATGAGATCCTGGGTTGACAGTTTTTTTTTGTTTGTTTGTTTGTTTTTCTCTCAATTTATAGACATCACTCCAAAGCTTTCCAGCTTGCATGGTTTCTCAAGAGTAATCTTCTCTAATTCTTATTGGGTTTCACTATACAATGTGTATTTTCTTTGGCCACTTTCAAAGGTTTTTCTTTATCTTTGGGTTTTAGCAGTTTGACTATGAAGGCAGACTAGGGGCATGTGTTTATATTTGGTAGTTGATTTGACATTTGTGCTTCCAGGGATTCTCTGAGGTTCTTGTGTTTAATTTGTTGTCTCTCATTAGTTTTGGAAAATTTTTGGTCATAATCCCTTCAAATATTTCCTTCATTTCCATTTTTTTTCTGTGAACAATTACACATATGGTAGGTTGGGTTAACTCTTGGATGCACTGTTGTTTTATATTCCCCACCTATTTTTCTTTTTCTTTTAGTTTGGATAATTTTTATTGACTAATTTTTAAGTTTATTTATATTTGCCTCAGCACTTTCAAATCTACTCAAGAGCCCCCAAAATGAAGGAATTCTTCATTTTTAATAGCATGTAAGTTTTCTTCCATTTGACTGGAGTGCCTATCTAGTGTTTTTTCTCTCTTTGGATTCTTTTTAATCACTCTGATTGAGACTGTGTCTCAGTGATTTGAAGTTCATAGGTCTTGGCTTCACTGTGTAAGTCAAATTAGCTTTCTGTATTTCTGAAGTTAAATGGTAGAAAAATAATATTGTAAATATTTTAGAGCATATGATTGAAAATGTACTCCAAATGGAAGATAGAAATTTAGAAATATAATTTCAATAAATATTTCCATAAACATATTATATTAATTGGTTATTTAATATGTATATTAGAAGGTAGAGACTGGGTATGGTGGCTCAGGTCTGTAATCATAGCACTTCAGGAAGCCGAGGCAGGCGAATCCCTTGAGGTCAGGAGTTCGAGACCGGCCTGGCCATGGCGAAACTGCATCTCTACTAAAAATATAAAAATTAGCTGGCGTGGTGGTGTGTGCCTGTAGTCCTAGCTATTCAGGAGGCTGAGGTGGGAGAATTGCTAGACCCTGGGAGGCAGAGGTTGCAGCGAGCCAAGATCGCGTCACTGCACTTTAGCCTGGGTAACAGAGCGAGACTTCGTCTCAAAAAAAAAAAAAAAAAAAAAAAGAAGGTAGAACTAGTTGCAATACTTTTACAAATAATGTGCCATGAAAAGTGTTAATTTATCATCAGAAAATTAAATTTTCATTCTTTTTATTCTCATCTTGTATTTTTTTGGTTATAAAACTGTGTCTATAAATTGTGATAATTTTTCCTTTAGAGATCATCAGGAAACCAACTTTTTTTCTTATCTATTTTCTCTGCAGAAAACTGCATCAGCAGTTTGAAATGTATAAAGAGCAGGTAAAGAAGATGGGAGAAGAATCACAGCAACAGCAAGAACAGAAGGGTGATGCGCCAACCTGTGGTATCTGCCACAAAACAAAGTTTGCTGATGGATGTGGCCATAACTGTTCATATTGCCAAACAAAGTTCTGTGCTCGTTGTGGAGGTCGAGTGTCATTACGCTCAAACAAGGTACAGAAATGAAAATTACAGTTCTCTTCTAGTTAAGCTTATTGTGTTTATCTATTCACGTTAGAGAGTATGTTAATTCAACCCAAATAATATTTTGTTGAAATTAGCAAAAACATTTTAAAATGCTTGTGGCCAGACACGATGGCTCACGCCTGTAATCTTAGCCCTTTGGTAGGCCAAGGCGGGCGGATCACTTTAGCCCAGGAGTTCTAGACTATCTTGGGCAACATGGTGAAACCCTGTCTCTACGAAAAAAAAAAAAACAAAAAAAACCCACAAAAATTAGCCAGGCATGGTGGCGGGCCCCTATAGTCCTAGCTACTCAGGAGGCAGAGGTGGGAGGATGACCTAAGCTGGAGAAGTCAAGGCTGTGGTGAGCCATGATTGTGCCACTGCACTCCAGCCTGGGTGACAGAGTGAAACCTTGTCTCAAAAAAGAAAAAGTTTGGGCAGGGTGCGGTGGCTCAAACCTGTAATCCCAGCACTTTAGGAGGCTGAGGTGGGCGGATCACAAGGTCAGGAGTTCGAGACCAGCCTGGCCAATATGGTGAAACCCCATGTCTACTAAAAATACAAGAGTTAGCTGGGCATGGTGGTGTGTGCCTGTAGTCCCAGCTACTCAAGAGGCTGAGGCAGGAGAACTGCAGTTCAGCCTGGGCAACAGAGACTCTGTCTCAAAAGAAAAAAATTTGTGTCAGTAAATTCTTTAGACTTTGCATTTATCTACTTACTAATCTTATCACCTACTTATTTATTTCAGTAGTTTTTAAATAGGAAGCTATTTTTTTACATACATTACTTAGACATAATGGTGGAAATTCGTTTCCCTATGTGATTTCATTTCTTCATTTTCTTGTTAATCCCCATTTTTCATTATTTTGTTTTGCTAAGAACTAACCACTTATAATTGTTTCCCCTGGATTACCTGATTATGATTTTTTTTCTTGACTAGGTACATTGGCTAGAAACTGCAGTATAATTTTGAATAAAGTGGATGAAAGCAGACGTTCCATTGTATTGTTCTTAATCTTAGGGAGAAAGCCTTTAGTCTTCACTATTAGGTATAAAGTTAGCTGTACGCTTTTCACAGATGCCATCTATTCCTACTTTGCTGAGTTTGTTGTTGTTGTTTGGTTGGTTTTTTAAGATCAGGAATAGATGTTGGATTTTGCCAAATGTGTTTTCTCTATCTGTTGAGATTAATCATATGTTTTTTATTTTGTTTTTTAATGTGGTGAAATACATTGGTTGATTTTTATATGTTAAATCAGCTTTGTATTACTGGGATAAACCTCATTTTGTCATGATGGATTATCTCTTTTATATATTAATGGATTTGATTTGATCATTTTTTTGGGGGATGAGTGTCTTGCTATGTTGCCTAGGCTGGACTTGAACTCCTGGGCTCAAGTGTTCCTCCTGCCTCAGCCTCCCAAGTAGCTGGGACGACAGACACATGCCATGGTGCCTGTCTGATTTAATAAAATTTTGTTTACAACTTTTGCTTCTATATTCATGAGGCATGTGTCTGTATTTTTCTTCCTTGTAATGTTTTTCTTTGGTTTTGGTATTGGGATAATGCTGGCCTGATAAAATGTGTTGGGAAGTATTTCCTCCTCTTCAACATTTTGGAAGAGATTGTGTAGAACTGGTAGATTACACCAGTGAAGCCATGTGGGCATGCAATTTTATTTGTTGGGAAGGTTTTTAAGTAAGGTTTGTTTTCTTAATGGATATAGGGTTATTCAGGTTATCTTTCTTGAATAAGGTTTCATTGTTATATCTTAGTTTGTCTAGTTCCTCATAAATAGCTGAATTTATTGGCCTAAACTTGTTCATAGTATTCCATTATTAGTCTTTTAGTATCCATGGAATCTGCATTGATGCTACCTCTTTCATTCCTGATATTGGTAATTTGTATCTTTTTTGTTCCTGCTCAACCTGGCTAGAGAAAGGATCTTACTCTGTTGCCCAGGCTGGATTGTAGTGGCACAGCCACAGCTCACTGCAGTCTTGACCCCCTGGGCTCAGGTAATCTTGTCACTTTGGCCTCCCGAGTAGCAGGAACTATGAGTGTGTGCCACCATGCCCTGCTAATTTTTAAAATTATTTTTGTAGAGATGGGGTCTTGCTGTGTTGCCCAGGCTGATCTTGAGCTTCTGGCCTCAAGCAGTTCTCCCACCTTGGCTTCCCAAAGTGCTGGGACTACAGGTGTGAGCCACCACGTCTGGCCCAGATTTTTTGTTTTATTGATTTTTCTTTGTTGTTGATTTCTGCTTTGATCTTTTTTTCTTTTTTCGTTTCTTTTCTTGTCTTTTCTTTTTCTGCTTACTTTGGGTTTAATTTTATCTTTTTTACTTTCTTAAAATAGAAGCTGAGATCATTGCCTTGAAACTTTTCTTCTTTTGTAAATTAGGGGTCACATGCTATAAATGTTCCCTAAGTACTACTTTACTGGCATCACCACAATTCTCATGTGTTGTTTCTTCATTTTATTAAGTTAAAAATACTTTCTCATTTTCCTTTTCTTCTTTGACATAGATAATTTAGAAGTATGTTATTTATTTTTCAAATATTGTGGGGTTCCTAGGGATCTTTTTGTTAATGATTTCTAATTTACCTCTCTCGTGGTTTTAGAATATACTTTATATGCCTCAAATTCTTTGGAATTTGTTGATACTTATTTTATGGCCCAGAATATGGTTACTTTGGTAAACCATGTGCACTTAAGAAGCATGCATATTCTTCTGTTTTTGGCCAGAATATTTTAAAATGCCCACTCAAGGCCAGTTTCGTTGATAGAGTCATTTAAATCTGTTATCTCACTGTTGATTTCCTGCCTATTCTATCATTTGTTAAGAGAGGGGTTTTGAAATATATAATAATATGTGGATTTGTCTATTTCTCCTTGGAGTTCTATTAGTTATAGTTTTATGTATTTTTAGCCTCTGTTTTTAGGGACATAAACATTAGGATTGTTATATCCTCTAGTTTAACAGGCCTCTTTATCATTATTAAGTGATATTCTTTATTTTTGGTAATATTCTTTGCTCTAAAATTCACTTGGTCTAATACATGTATATAGACCAAGTACTCTCTCTTTCTCTCTGTCTCTCTGTCTCTCTCTCTATCTAGATGTATATTTGGAAATGGAATTGCATATATGTATTGGGTTAGGTATTAACATAGTATATGTTCTTCTATTATTTTACTTAAAATTTATTTGTTTGAAGTACTTTTCTTATAGCCAGCATATAGTTGGATCTTGCTTTATTATTCAACCTGACAGTCTCTTCCTTTTAATTGGATGTTTATAAAATTTACGTTTACTGTGATTATTGATATGGTTTCATTTGATTACATCACCTTGCTTTTTTGATTTTGTCTTATGTCATCTGTTCTTTGTTTTTTCAATTTTAGCCTTTTTTGAGATTACTGAAGTATTTTTATGATTCATATTTTCTCCTTTGTTGGCTCAATAGCTGTAACTGTTTTGTTATTTTATCAAGTTATTCAAGATTTGTAGAATACATATTTAAATTATTGTTGTCAACCTTCAACTGATATTACACTATTTCATGTGTATTATAAGAAGCTCACAGAAATGTTGGATTCTATGTTACTGGTGTCATATTTTACTTTTATTCATTTTATAAACCCCACAATATATTGTTATTCTTTTTGTATAAAGAGTTTATCTTCCATGAGTTTCAAATATTAAATAATTTTTGAAAAGATCTATATTTATTCTTGTAGTTATTTCTGGCATTATTTATTTCTTTTTGTAGATCTATAATTATATCTGGTATCACATTTTGTCTGTCTTAAGTATTTCCTTCAGTATTTCTTGAAGGGCAAGTCTGCTGCTGATGAATAGTTTCAATTTTTTCATGCTGAAAATTTTGCCTTCATTTTTTAAAAAGATATTTTTGCTGATTGTGGAATTCTTGGTTAACACTTTTTGTATTTCAGTATTTTTAAATTAAAAATTTATGGATACATAATATTTAATAGTCGTACATATTAATGTGGTATATGTGATAATGATAACAACTGTACAATGTGTAATGATTAAATCTGGATAATTGGGATATCCGTCACAGTAAACACTGACCATTTCTTTGTGTTGGGAACATCCCAAATCTTTTCTCCCAGCTATTTTGAAATATACAGTGAATTACTGATAACCATAGTCTCTTTCTTGTTGTAACTGAGCACTGAACTTCTTTTTTCTATCTAACTATATTTTTGTACCCATTAACCAACCACTCTTTATTCCCGCTTCCTCCTACCCTTCCCAGCCTCCAGTAATTACCATTCTATTTACTACCTGCATGAGATCAAATTTTTTTTTTATTTGCTCCCACATGTGAATGAGAACATGTGGTATTTGTCTTTCCGGGCCTGGCTTATTTTACTTAACATAATGACGTCCAATTCCATCCATGTCACTGCAAATGACAGAATTTTATTCTTTTTTAGGGCCGAATAATATTCCATTGTGTATATATACAACATTTTAGAATCCTTTCATCTGTTGATGGTCATTTAGGGTGATTTCATATTTTGGCTATTGTGAATAGGCTTCAATAAACAGAGTAATACAGGTATCTCTTCAGTATGTTTATTTCCTTTCTTTTGGGTACATACGTGGTAGTGGAATTGTTGGATCATATGGTGGTTCTATTTTTAGGTTTTTTATTGAGGAACCTCTATACTCTTCTCCATAGTGGCTATACTAATTTACATTCCTACCAACAGTATACAAGTGTTCACCTTTCTCTGCATCCTTGTTAACATTTGTTATTTTCTTTTTCATAATTGTGATTTTGATGAGGGTGAGATGACATCACATTGTGGCTTTAATTTGCATTTTTCTGATAATTAGTAATGGTGATCATTTTTTCATATACCTGTTGGATATTTGTTTGTATTCTTTTGAGAAATGTCTATTTATATCTTTTGTCCATTTTTAAATCTGATTATTTTTTATTTTGCTATTGAGTTGTTTGAGTTTTTTGTATATTCCAGTTATTAATCCCTTATTGGATAGATAATTTGTAAATATTTTCTTTCATTGTGAGGGCTGTCTCTTCACTCTGTTGATTGTTTCTTTTGCTGAGCATGATCTTTTAGCTTGATGTAATTTCATTTGTCAATATTTGCTTTTGTTGTCTGTTTTTGAGGTCTTATTCAATAAATATTTGCCTAGACCATGTTTACTTCTTTTTGTAGTAGTAGTGCCACAGTTTCAGGTCTTAGATTTAAGTCTTTCTTTTGATTTGATTTTTATATACAGTGACAGAGTTCTAGTTTCATTCTGCTAATGGATATTTAATTTTCTCAGAACCATTTGTTTAAGAGACAGTCCTTTACCTGGTGGATATACTTGGTGCCTTTGTTGAACATGACTTAGCTGTAGATGCATTGATTTATTTCTGAATTCTCTGTTCTTTTCCCTGGGTCTATGTCTGTTTTTATGCTAGTACTATGCTGTTTTGGTTACTCTAGCTTTATAGCATATTTTGAGGTCAGGCGATGTAATTCCTCCAGCTGTTTTTTTTTTTTTTTTTTTGTATTTTGGCTAAGAATTGCTTTGGCTATCTAGCATCTTTTTGGTTGCATTAGAATTTTAGGACTTCTTTTTTCTGTTTCGTGAGGAATGTTGTTGGGTGTTTTTGTGAGTTTGTTTTTTTTTTTTTTGAGACAAGATCTCAGTTTGTCACCCAGGCTGGAGTGCATTGGAGCCGTCATGGCTCACTTCAGCCTTGATCCACTGAGCTCAAATGATCCTCCTGCCTTGGCCTTTTGAGTATCTGGGACTATGATATGCATCACCATACCTGGCTAATTTTTTGATTTTTTTTGTAGAGATGAGATCTCACTATGTTGTCCTGGCTGGTTTCACTCTCACACTTCCGTCATTGTTTTTGTTTGTTTGTTTGTTTGTTTTGTTTTTAAGACAAAGTCTTCCTCTTTTGCCCAGGCTGGAGTGCAGTGGCACAATCGTGGCTCACTGCAGCCTCTACCTCGCAGATTCACATGATTCTCCTGCCTCAGCCTTCTGAGTAGCTGGGATTACAGTCGTACACCACCATACCCAGCTAATTTTTGTATTCATAGTAGAGACAGGGTTTCGCCATATTGGTTAGGCTGGTCTCGAACTCCTGACCTCAAGTGATCCACCCATTCAGACTCCCAAAGTGCTGGAATTATAGATATGAGCCACCACGCCTGGACTTCATTGGTATTTTATGTATAGCATTGAATCTATAGATTGCTTTTGGTAGTTTCAACATTTTAACAGTAGCAATTCTTTCAATCCATGATAATAGGATACTTTTCCTTTTTTTTGGTATTTAATTTATTTCATCAGTGTCTTATAGTTTTCATGGTAGAGATCTTTCTCTTCTTTAGTTAAGTTTATTCCTAGGTATTTTATTTTATTTTTGTAGCTACTATAAATGGGATTGCTTGTTTGATTTTGTTTTCAGATTGCTGCTGGCGTAGAGAAATGCTACTGATTTTTGTATGTTGATTTTGTATCCTGTAACTTTACTGAATTTGTTTATGAGTGCTAAGAGATTTTGGTGTCATCTTTACGGTTTTAACATAAGACTGTGTTATCTGTGTAAAAGTCTAATTTGACTTCTTCCTTTCCAATATTAATGCCTTTTGTCTATTTCTGTTGCCTAATTGCTTTTGCTAGAATTTCCAATACTATATTGAATAAAAGCGGTGAAAGTGGGTATCCTAGACTTGTTCCAGATCTTAGAGGAAAGACTTTTAATTCTTTCCCTTCCATATGGTGCTAGCTGTAGGTTTGTCAAATATGGCCTTTTTTATTTTCAGGCATGTTTCTTTTATATCTAGTATGTTCAGATTTAAAAATCATTATTAAATGCTTTTATTGGAATGTACTAACATGGCTGTATGGTTTTGGTCTTTATTTCTATTATTGTGGTGTGTCACATTTATTGAATTGTGAATGTTGAACCATCTTTGCATTCCTGGGATGATTGTGGTGATTGATCTTTATAATGTTTTATTCAGTTCAGTTTGCTAGAATGTTTTTGAAGATTTTTGCATCTATGTTCGTTCATCAGAGATAATGGCCTCTAGTCGTCATTGTTGTTGTTTCTGTGTCTTTGCCTGTTTTCATTCTCAGGTTAATACTAGCCTCATAGAATGAGTTTGGAAGTAGTCTCTCCTCTTCAAAACTTGTTGGCAGAGTTTGAGTAGGATTGGTATTAATTCTTCTTTTAAATATTTGATAGAATTCAGCAGTGACTCCATCATGTCTTGGGCTTTTGTTTGATGACAGACTTTTTATTATGGCTTCAATCTTTTTACTTATATTGGTCTGTTTAGGTTTTCCATTTAATCATGATCCAATCTTGGTAGGTTGTATGTGTCTAGAAATGTATCCATTTCTTGTGTATTTTTCAATTTTTTTGCATATATTTGTTCACAGTAGTCTCTAATGATCCTTTGTATTTTCATGGTATCAGTTTTAATGTCTTCTTTTTTATCTCTGATTTTATTTATTTTGGACTCTTCTTAGTTTCCTAGTGAGAGGTTTGTTAATTTTGTTTACATTTTCAAAAAGCCAACTTTTCCTTTCATTTTTCTTTTGTGTTTTTTGACTCAATTTTAGTTATTCCTGCTTTTTTATTATATTTTTTCTTTTATTAATATTGGGCTTGATTTATTCTTGCTTTTCTAGTTCTTTAACATGCATTATTTGGTTGTTTATTTGAAGTCTTCCTACTTTTTTGACTTAGCCATTTATTGATGTAAACTTCCCTCTGCTTTACTGGATCCCACTGATTTTAGTAATTTAGTATTTCCATTTAAATTTGTTCCAAGACAATTTTTAAATTTTCTTCTTAATTTCTTCATTGACTTATTGGTTATTCACAAGCATGTTGTTTTATTTCCATGTATATGTACAGTTTTCAACATTCCTCTTTTTACTGATTTTGAATTTGTTCCTTATGGTCAGAAAAGATACCTGATATGATTTTTACTTTTAAAATTTCACTATGACTTGTTTTCTGGCCTAAGATATGATCTGTTTTGGAGAATGTTATATGTGCTAATGAAAAGAATGTATAGTTTGTCACAGTTGGATGAAATATTTTGTAAATGTCAGTTAGGTCCATTTGGTCTAGAGTTTAGTTTAATTCTGATTTTTTGTTGTTGTTGCTTTTTCTGCCTGCGTGCTGTGTTCATTACTAAGAGCGGGGTGTTGATATTCACCAATGTTATCGTATTGCAATCTCTCTCTTCTTTTAGATGTAATAATATTTTCCCTATATATTTGGGTTCTATGACATTGGTTGCATATAGATTTACAGTTTTTATATCTCTTGAATTGACCCCTGTATCATTAAATAATGCCATTTTTACAGTTTTTTACTTGAAATCTAATAGCTTCTGCTGATCTGTTTTGTTTTCTACTTACATGGAATATCTTTTCCATGCATGTATGTCTTTAAGCAAGTGAGTTTCTTCTAGGCAGCATATATTTGGATCTTTTTTTTTTTTTAAATTCATTTCACTCCTCTGTCTTTCAAGTGGGGGATTTAGGCAATTTACATTCGATAGTATTATTGATCAGTAACCACTTACTACTACCATTTTAAAATTCGTTTTCTAGTTGCTTTGTAAGTTCCTTCTTCCTTCTTTCCTACTGTCTTCTTTTGTGGATAAGTCATTTTTTTTTCCTGGTATTATATTTTAATTCCTTGCTTTTTATTTTTAGTGGACCTATTATAGGTATTTCTTCGTCGTTTCTATTAGCTTACAAAATATATTTTATAGTTATAGAAAGTTATTTTAAACTGATGACAACTTCCCGTGGATTTCAAAGAAAAGAATCAAGCAAGCAAAGTGAAAACTACACTTTAGCTTCATTTCCCCATTTAGTTTTTGTTATCTCACATTTTATCTTTTAAATATGCCTTTCTTTCAACAGATTGTTGTAGTTATTACTTTTGGTAAACTTTTAGTCTTCATACTAAAGACACTACATGCCACAATTACAGTTTTAGTGTAGTCTGAATTTGTCTGTGTAGTTACTTATACCAGTGAGTTTTATACCTTCACAGGATTTTTTTGGATGATTGTTTCTTTTTTTTAAAAAAAAATTGATTAACTCCCTTTTGCATTTCTTGTAAAATAGGTCTAGTGGTAATGAATTCCCTCAGGTTTTGTTTGTTTGAAAACTTTTCTCCTTCATGTTTGAAGGATTGCTGTGTTGAGTACAGAGTTCTCTGTTGCAAATTTTTCCTCCAGCACTTTGAATATGTCACCTCACTTCCTCTTGGCTGCTACATCTGCTGCTACGTCTGCAGCCAGGTGTATTGGAGTTTCTTTATATGTTATTTGCTTCTTTTCTCTTGCTGTTTTTAAGATCCTTTCTTTGTCCTTGATGTTTGAAAGTTTGATTATTATATGTCTTGGAGTAGTCTTATTTGAGTTGAATCTGCTGGTATTCTTTGACCTTCTTGTACCTGTATATCCATCTTTCTCTAGGTTTGGAAAGTTCTCTTATTATTTCTTTAAATACATTTTTTACCCAATCTCTTTGTCAGCCTCCTCTACAAGGCCAATAACTCATATATTTTTCCCTTGTAGCCTGTTTTCTAGATCATGTAAGTGTACTTCATTTCTTTCATTTATTTTCTTTTTTATCCTATGCGAATTTTCAAATAGCCTGTCTTCGAGTTACTGATTCTTCTCCTTCATCAATTCCACACGGAGACATTCTAATGCATTTCTTTTAATCATTGATGTTTCCAGCTCCAGGATTTGTTTAATTAGTTCAGTTTCCATGCTGCCTTTTTTTCTGATAAATATCTGAATTCCTTCTCTGTGATTTCTTGAAGTTCATTGAGTATCCCCAAAATAGGTATTTTGAATTCCTTGCTTGAGAGATTATGTATCTCTATGACTCCAGGGTTGGTTACTGGGAACTTATTTAGTAAATTTGGTGAAGTCATATGTTCCTGAATGTTCTTGATGCTTGTGTATGTTTGTTGATGCCTAGGCATTGAAGACTTTAAGTATTTATTCCAGTCTTTGTAGTCAGGCCTTGTTCCAGTCCTTCAGAGGGTCTTCCAATAATTGTTAAGGGTACTGAGTATTTACTTAAGCCTGTGGGTAACTGTAGCCATTTCAGCACTAGAGGGCACTCTAAGCCCATGTGTGCTGCAAATCCTCGCGATCCAGCCCTGGTGGACTTGGGGAAGATAAGGTTCCCAGGCAAAGTCTTTAGCTTTCTTTTCTCCCTTTTCCCCAAGTGAAAGGGGTCCCTCTCAGCACTGTGTTGCCTGGAGTTGGGGGATGGGTGACTCGGCACTGCTGTGACCATAGCAAGTGGCACCATGCTGGGTTATATTCCAATCCCATGGCGTCTCAAATCAGCACAGTACAGGGGCTTGCCCAAGGACCCTGGCCACTATTGCCTGACTGCAACTGATGTTTACTTAAGGCTAAGGCCACTGTAGTCAACAGGCGGTGAAACCTGCTGGGACTTGGGTTTGTACTGCCAGGGCAACATATTTCCTTTTGGCCTAGGGTGCGTCTAGAAGGACCATCCAGAACCAATGGCCAACTGGGAGCTTTGGGATCCTGCCTGGTGGTTTATTTTAATGTAGCTGGGCTGGTACCCAATTGTAAGAAAAAGTTTCCTCTGTTTACTCTAAGAAAAAGGAATCTCTGCACTGTATTGCCTGAAGTCGGGAGAGGAGTGATGCAGGCATTCTCTAATGGATACCACCAGAAGGTTTCATGCTGGGTTGCACTTGGAGTAAACAGCCTTCGAGAGTAGTGCAGTGGCAGGGTTCACCCAAGGACTGCAGTTGCTATGGCCTGGATGCCACTGAAATTTATTCACGGCTCAAGGCCACTTTTGTTAGCCTGTGGTGAAGTGGACCGGGATTTGGGTTCTTCCTGCTGGGGTGGCAGATTCTCTTCTGCTCCAGGACTTGTTCTAAATACTCCCTCCATGGGCACTTGTGGAATTCTGCCTGGTGTTAATGTTCCACTCTAAGCATATATTCTTTCCTCTGGCTGTGCTCTCTAGGGTTGGGTGAGGAGTGGTGTAGACAGTGCTGTTCTTTTCATCCTCTTCAATGCATCTTTTCTTGTTATTACGCTAAAACTAGGTATGTGATCTCTCATGTGATGTTTTAATTTTCATGAAGGTGCCTTTTTGTGTAGATAGTTGTTCAAAGTTGATGTTCTTGCCAGGGACATGATCACAGGAGATTCTCTTTCACCATCTTGCTCCACCTTCCCTAAATCATTCTCTCTTTCAATATTTTAAATGTACTGCTTTTCTGCCTCCTCCCTTTCACTGTTTCCATTGAGAAATATATCATTCTCATCTTTGGTTTTCTGTGCATAATGTAGCATTTTTCACTTGCTGCTTAAGTATTTTTTAACACTAGTTGTGTGCAATTAAATTGTTTTTTTGGTGTATTTTTCTTTGTGTCTCTTTGGTTTGAGGTTTGTTGAGGGCCTGGGGGAATTTTGGCCATTATTTTTCAAATATTTTTACTGTTCCTTCCTTTCTCTAGACAGCTTCAAGAACTCCTGTTCCCAGTATATTAGGCAGCTTGTAATTGTCCTACAGCTCACTTATGTTCTTTCCTTTAATCTTAGTTTTATTTTTTTCCTTGTGTTTTATTTTGTATTCTTTATATTAATGTGCATTCAAGTTTACTGGTCTTTCCTTCTGCAATGTCAAATCTGCTGTTTATAAAATTCAGTGTATTTTTTAATAATCACAGACATTGTAGCAATGTCAAATCTGCTGTTTATAAAATTCAGTATATTTTTTAATAATCACAGTCATTGTAGTTTTTATGACTAGAACTTTAATTTGGGACTTAAGATATATTCTATGCTCTGTGTAACTTTAAAAACATGTAGAATACAGTTATAATTATTGTTTCGATATTCTCTTTTGCTAATTCTAACCCCCCTTGAGTCTGGGTTAGTTTTGATTGATTACTCTCATTACGGTATGTGGGTTTTTTTTTTTTTTTTGTACTTTTTTCATGTGTGGTATCTTAGGTTGGATGACAGGTGTTGTATATTTTACTTTGTTGGATGTTGGCTATTTTTGTGTTTCTGTAACTTCTTGAGCTTTCAGATGTAGTTAAGTTACATGGAAACAGTTTGATACTTTTACACATTCTTTGAGGGTTTGTTAGGTATATTTGGAGCAATGCTCAGTTTAGCACTAATTATTCTCCTCTACAGAGGAAAGACTGAGTCTTTAACCAATATCCCATGAATTAGGAGTTTTTCCAGTCTTGCTGGTAGGAACAACTATTTTCTTTCTAATTCTTTTAGATATTCTTTTTTTTTCTTTAACCCCATTCCCTTGAGTATTTTTCTCATATGTATGTTCACCGATCATTACTGAGCTGAAGACTTGAAGAAACCCCTGGAGTTCTCTTGGGTTCTGTCTCTGTGCAGCTTTGTGTATCAACTCTGTCTCTTTATATGTTGAGGGTTAGCCTGATAGGGATGGTTTATGGAAGAAGGATGGAGCCAGAGGCAATACTCCCCACTTATCTTGTATTTTCCTTAAGTCTGAGGATTTGTAAAGATAGATTTTAGCTCAAGGAAGACATCCCTGGATTTCTTTCATTAGTTTTTCTACATTTTTATTCAAGCAAGAGACTTGTCATGTATAAAACTTGCCTATATTCTAAATAAAAAGACTCTGGAATGTATTTTTTTTTCAAATTTGATCATCATGCTTAGTTGCCTTATGTAGAAGGCTTTTGTTCCCAACAGGTACTAAATACATTTCTTTGATTTTTCATAGCCCAAAAGGATTAATCTCAGTGAAAGTTGGTCTTACTAAGCTTATGAAATAGAATAATGAGAACACAAATATTATATAGCTTATGATTTAATTATAAAGCTATTTAAAAATTCTCTTAGTAATCTTTTAAGGGAATATAATAAAATAATCTTTTGTTTTAATTTTGAGGCTCTTTCATGTGGAGCCATCCTTAACATTTAGTTAATTCTCTTGAGGTACATTTAGGACATAGAAAATAAATGAAGGGCAGGACATATGGAAGTACCAACACAACAAAATTTTACGAAATATCGGTTCTCTTTGTTTCCTTTTCAGATTATACCCTCTTAATAAATAAAAGCCATATTTTTAGTCAAGTGAAAAAATAATGACTTCATAAGAAAACAATTATTTTGTAATTATTGGATAGTGATGTTAGAAAGACATTAAAAGTAATTTACAATAAGGATTATTTTAAGCGTCAGAGTGTGGCAACTTTAACTTTTTGTTTCTTTTACTTTTTGGTAAGAAAAGTATATTACCACCTGCTTAATCACTAATTTAGAAAAAAATAAATAATGTACATTTCCACAGTTGTATTATTTAACTTAAAATGTAACATGAATTTTTTCACTTTATAAATTATCAGATTTGAAGCATAATGACATAATTTTATAATGGTTATAAAGGAAAGTGATTTTTAAAAATTTTATTTTATTTTTAGAAAGTGATTCTTAAGCAAGTTCTTTGAAATATATTGATATACATTGCCAATTTGGGGGTTGTTTCTCTTCAGGAATCTCTGATGAGTTCACAAGTTCTTTATACTCTGAAATATATTACAGTAGTCTTGAAAGTGAGATAGTGTATCACCTACTGTGGAAGGAACGCTTTTTGGGAGTAAC
Source organism: Homo sapiens (assembly GCF_000001405.40). Lineage (NCBI taxonomy): Eukaryota > Metazoa > Chordata > Mammalia > Primates > Hominidae > Homo > Homo sapiens. The sequence continues at coordinate 103,711,031 of NC_000008.11, forward strand.
TGGTGTGAATAACTTCAAGGGCAAAGATTTTAGTAGCATATTCTTAAAGTTGATCTACCTTAGAACACTATCTTTTTTGTGGATCTTTCTTTTTCAACTCACTTTTACAATTGTTCTATTTTTCAAAAGAAAGGTACATTCCTCAGCCTTACCTATTCTGAATCTAGCTTTTATGTAGTACATTGGCTCAGGGTGTAGAAATCTCTGGGGCACCACACAAAGTGACAATTCCAGAATGTGTTGTCCTCAGGGAGAGTTCAGAGGCAAAGCAATGAGAAGGTTTGTAAGAAATATAGAAGAGGGCAGCGCCTTATTTCATTCAGGCAACAGATTTTTGGCAAGATTCTATTGCCTCTTCTATTGTTTTTAGAATTAGAATTTGGATGTGAGATGGCCATTTGTGAATCATTATAATAGCAATTTTAATTTAAAAATGAAGTTGGACTCTTTTTGATAGAAAGCCAGATTTGATGGTTTAACAGTGTGGAGTGGTTTGCCAAATGGGTTCTATAGTAGACATTTGCCATATATATTCCGTGTATAAGCTAAATATGCAGCTCCAAGATTTGATGAAAATATATCAGGCAGGTGCGGTGGCTCAACCCTGTAATCACAGCACTTTCGGAGGCCAAGGTGGGGTGGATTTCTTGAGCTCAGGAGTTTGAGATCAGGCTGGGCAACATGGTGAAACCTCATCTCTACCAAAAATACAAAAAATTAGCTAGGCGTGGTGGTGAGTGCCTGTGGTCCCAGCTACTTGGGAGGCTGAAGTGGGAGGATCGCTTGAGCCTGGGAGGCGGCGGATGGAGTAAGCCAAGATCTGCCACTGCACTCCAGCCTAAGCAACAGAGCCGGACCCCATCTGAAATATATATATATATATATCACACTTTTAAAATGTACTTTTACAATACCCAATATATCTGAAAATGCATCCTAACCATTTAAACTTTATTTTAGTTTTCAATTTTTTTTTTTAGAGATGTGGTTTCACTCTGTCAACCAGGTTAGAGTGCAGAGGCACAATCACAGCTCACTGGAGGCTTGAACTCATGGGTTCAAGGAATCCTCCTGCTTCAGCCTCCTGAGTAGCTGAGACTACAGGTGCACACCGCCTCACCCGCTTAATTTTTAAACTTTTTTTTTTTTTTTTTTTTTAAATAGAGACAGGGTCTCGCCACCTTGCCCAGGAAATAGTCCCGAACCCCTGGGCTCGAACAGTCCTCTTGCCTTGGCCTCCCAAAGTGCTTGGATTACAGGTGTGAGCCACCATGCCTGGCTTAAAACTTAAATGTTAATTTAAAAATATGTAGGAGTATATGGTTTTAGAGATTTATTTTAGATTAGAGAAAAAATACTCTTAGCTCACTGGACATATGGCAAAGGCAAGGTATGCTTGGTTGTTGGTACATCTACATATGAAAGCTGCTTTTGGTATCCACTTGTTCCTAATCTCTTGGTGTCAAGGATACTGCTTTGTACATGATGTGCTCATCAGTAGTTAAGCTCCTTATCAGTAGATAAGGTGAGTACCAAGTTAAATAGATTTCATTTAGCATATATAAGGAAGATTAATAATAGAATCTATAATGAATTCTAATCATAATAGGAGACTATACAACAGTTTAAGATATAAAAAATTCATGACATCACCAAAACTGCAGGATGGTAAAACAGACTGTAGATACAGAAACACAAAGGAAATGGAAAGCAGGCAAGACATGTAAGGTGGGTTAGACATTGGTCATGAATTCCTTTATCCCTTTTAAATGGAATATCCAGTTAACTTTACCCAATTTCTTTTCAAGGATTCCTAACAGAAACCTTTAATTTCAAACATAAGCAAAAAGTAAATGAAAAATAAAAGAATTTTTTTGAAGTTAAAATAAAAGTGTAGTAATAATCCTTATTTTTAACTTATTTTATGTAAAAATCCATTAAATAGGACATTGGATTTTTCTTTTCCTTCCTTCCTTCCTTCTTTTCCTCCTTTCCTTTCTTTCTTTTTGATGGATTATCACTCTGTTGCCCAGGCTATAGTGCAGTGGTGCAATCTTGGCTCATTGCAACCTCCACTTCCTGGGTTCAAGTGATTCTCCTGCCTCAGCCTCCTGAGTAGCTGGGATTACAGGCACACACCACCATGCTTGGCTAATTTTTGTATATTTAGTACAGACAAGGTTTTGCCACTTTGGCCAGGCTGGTCTCGAACTACTGACCTCAGGTGATCTGCCTGCCTCGGCCTCCCAAAGTTCTGGGTTTACAGGCATGAGCCACCATGCCCGGCCTAATATCTTGTGTTTCTAAGTCCTTTGCGGTAAATACATTAGAATACTGCTGAATCTCACTTAGTCCAAGCAGACTTTCTATGTATTTCCTATTGCTGGAAGAACCCACAAATCTACACCTCCTATAATTTTCAACTTTTTAATTGGCCCTATTTTCCACTTTGTCATCTAAGCCAGAAAGGTAGGAATCATCTCAGATTTCTTTCCTTTCCCCAAATTTTTTTGATTTTATCATTTCCTGTCTCTCTATGTAAACTACGGATGCTGTCTTTTTTAGGTTCTTATCTTCTGTCACCTAGACTAAGGCCAATCTTCTAATTGGTCTCTCTGCTTCAGTTTTGGCCTGTTAATCACATCCTTCAAATACTGCTATAGTGATTTGTAAAATGCAGATTTGATTATTTTTACCTTCTGTTTAAAAATGATTCAGTGACTCCTCATCACCTGAGTGAAGTTTCTAATGGCATAAAGAGTCACCGCTCTCTGATTTATTCCTTGCCTAACTCTAGGCATGAGCTTCACTCCATTCTAGATGTCTTAACCAGATTATACTACTTACACTTCTCTTATTTCTGCCTTTTTTTCTTTCTTCCTGAAATACTTCTTTTATCCCCTCTAGATCCCACTCCCAGTCCACAATTCTTACCCACTTGATGAGCACTTACTTATTTTTCTGGATTTAAGCATCATCTCCTTTATGATGCTTTCTTTGGGTATCTCCTGTGAATTAACCACTCACTTTTTTGTGCCACACTGGATTCTTCAGACCTCCAATCTAGTACTCTCAAAAGTGTATTATTATTAATTGATTAGATCTGTTTAATTCCCCTTGACTGCTGTAGGCTTCTATGTTTTGGCACATAATGGGTCAGTGAATTAATGGAACAAAGAAGTCTAGTGTACTTACTATGGGCATGTTATTATGGGATAAGCATTGCATTTAAGTCCAGCTCTTTGCTGTAGCTCAGCACTGTGATAATGTTTTATGGAAGATAACAATCTAAACTTGTGGATGAATTAAAAATATAAACTATACAGACAGAATTTAATTGTTGTTATTCTTGGAAAAAAGAAGACCAGCCTTGAGAGAGAATATTGTAGTGGTGTGAAAGAGAGGTATTTTTGGGTTGATTAGAGAAGGTAGTCAAGAAGTGAGAGGCAAGTGATGGTAGTTTAACTATATAGAATATAGAGCACTGATACAGAGGGAGGGATCAGAAAGATGGAATACCTCTATCTAAAGAAGGATTCTGAGGGGAAATTAACATTAGTTTCCTAGGAGACTGGGGAACTAATCATGGAAAGTTGCACAAAGAATAGTTATTGACAGATGATTTTGTCATATATAGTCTGAAATGATGCCACGATAAGAGGAAATATCAGAGGTGGAAAATAATGATAGAATCAATGATATATAAGTGATAATGAGAAGGTAGATTTGGGAGTAATACTTAAAGTAAATTGATCTTGTGGAGAGGAAGGGTGACTGATTATTAGAAGTGATAAGATAGTAAGGATGGCCATAAGGATGGTTGATTATGAGAAAAAAGTAGTTGGTATAAAATTTTTTTAGATAATAAAATAGGGTAAGATGTTGACTATTTAAAAGAAATTTTAACATGTAATTATATTATTAAATTTTTAATGAATATTCCTGGGCATACTTCAAGTTACCACTGGAGTTTCCAGGTCTAGTAATTATGACCTAAAATAATTAGCTGATCAATTAAATTACAGAGAAAAGAGATATAAAATCAACCAAGGACACTGGCATTATATAGAGGCAGCACTATTGAGTGGCTATAGTGCAAGATCTGAAGTGAGACAAGATGTTGTTTTTATTTTTAATTTTATTGTAAGTTTCAGGATACATGTGTAGGATGTGCAGGTTTGTTACATAGGTAAATGTGTGCCATGGTGGTTTGCTGCACCTATCAGCCCATCACCTAGGTATTAAGCCCAGCATGCATTAGCTATTTTTCCTGATGCTTTACGTCCCCAACCCCTACTGCCTGCCCCCGACCAACAGGCCCCAGTGTATGGTATGTTGTTCCCCTCCCTGTGTCCATGTGTTCTGATTGTTCAGCTCCCCAAAATGTGGGATTTTAATATAGGACTTTGCGATTGTCTTTCCTCTGAGTCACAAATGTTGTACTATCACCCATATTTCAAAGAAACAGTGATATCTCAAAACACATGATTTTGGTTTTAATTATTGTAAGTTCTTGTATCAGCCATTATTATTGCATTATCACTTTCACTGTTATCGTTACTTTATGTTAAAGAAAAGAGAAATGAAAGGAGTTTACTTTGTAGTGTATTTAAATCACCTTTTGACCAAAATATGTATTTTCTCATTTTATTTTCCACACTTATCATATTGGGAAACAGTGACCCCAAATTACCAGTGGTAATCAATAATAACAACTTCAAAAAGATTTTCTTTTTAGTTATATTAAGTATAAAAGACTTCTGAATAATTGGGACAGAGATAAACTTCAGAAACAATATGTGTAATTCATGAAAATTACATTTTATCTACTTTTGATAGTATATGATGAAATTAAACATTGATGCTATGTTTTTTATTGTCTTTGTATATAAAACTTTTTTCTTAAACATTTTTCAGTTTTTTGAGCTCAGTGTTTAACTGATTTTGTTTGTAGGAAGAGTATTCTTTTTTTCCCAATGTTTGGATGTTTAATTGCTGTTATGGAAATTATTTTGTTTATATATCTTAATATATTCTCTTATGTAGCATGCTTTTGCTTGAATTGAATGAAATGTATGGAAAAAAATCTCCCCTAAAATTTTTTAAAATCTAGAATTTTAGATTTCAGTCAAAATGTAATTTAGACATTTTCAGAATTTTAATTTCAGTAAGAAAACTTTTTAAAACTCTTACTTGTTTTAAGAATGGAATTAATTATTTCTTTTTTGTTTTGTCTTTTCTGTCTTTTCTAACTTGCTTTCGTGGATATTCACTCCAGGAGGACAAAGTGGTTAGAGTCTTTTTTTCTGTCTAATATTAGTTTTTCCTTATTGTTGTTATTGCCAGTTTTAATTTTATAGCTATATTTAATTTATATACTTCTCAGTGTTTTGTTATAGTTATGATGCATGGTAATTGCTAAACATTATGGCTTATTTAAGCATGCTATCTGCTTTTACTGAAAAACTTACATTAAATTATTTACACTTCATATATTATAGATGAAAAGTTGATTATTTGATTTTTAAAAAGGCTTGCCTTTTTAGAATTTAGCATTTTTTTCAAGGAAACCTCATAGTATTCCTCATTGTGATAAATTTCTATAATCTTCTATTATGCTAAACTCATCATTGCACTGATAAGGTTTTAAAATCTTAACCTTCTGACTTAGTATAAAGATTTAACTGTTATAATATTGAAGTAATAACACTGAATATGAATTTTCTGAAGTATATATTTGGCAGTTGATTATAAGTATTTCATGTATTTTATTTTTCTTATATGTTTTAGAATTTGGTAAAATGTTTACCTTATTATCTTCATGTTAAATGTTGGATGTATTCATACTTTAAAATACTCAGGTAGATACGACTAGACTACCGGCTAGGTTTTAATAATCTGCTAGTGTGTGCCCTTAGTGGTCTAATTTGAATTTGGATCTGCCATGGAGACTGATGACTCCCTGCAAATATAGATAAAAATCATTTTATCTGATTCTTTTGGATGAGTCAGACTTAAAGTTGAGGACTTTTCAAGTTTTCCCATTTCAAATTGGCATAAAACTCAAAGAGAATATCATTCAGCTGATAGTTTCTAAATAGTGCCTTCTTTTTTTTTTTTTTTTTTTTCTTTTACCAGTTGGAGCCTTTTTCTTCCTCTCCAAGTCTTTAGTTACTCAGTTGGGGATGATGTAGATGGTGGCAAATATCGAATGTGGGTTCAGAATAAAATCTCTTAGTAGAAAAAAGGTTACTGCAATTTCTTTCTTTTTCTTTCCTTAAAAAAAAAAAAAACCTGTAGGAATCCTCCCAAATTTTAGATGCAGTTTTGAAGATATATGGGTCAATTTCTGTAGACATGTCCCAGACTGTGCGTCATCCTTGATCTGGGACAGGTTCCCTAGAGAACCTATAAGCTATCTTCCAGCCCACCTGATTTTCTGACTCACAAGTAGCATAATTCAGGCAATTTATAACCTTTAGAATCTCTGGTGCTACTTTTGTGTCCAGAGTTAATGCAGGATGCATAATGGTCTAATTATTGTTTGTGGCTTCCACAATGAATTCTGATACCCATCCCAGAAATGAGGCACTTGATGATAAAACTCAGCTTTAGAAATGACTTTTATGCATTGATAAGATTTCATAATATAACAGTCTATATTTCAAACTAAATATTGACTACAAGATAAAAGTATAATTTTGTGTGGATTTGGGACATTGCAAATAAAATTCAGCAGGCCTTTTTATAATACTATGCATCACTGTTCAATAGGACTTTCAGCAATGATGAAAATGTTTTACATCTTCACTATCCAATTCAGTAGGTTCTAGTCACATATAGCTAGCTATTGAACACTTGAAAAGTGGCTGGTTGACTGAGAAACTGAATTTTAAATTTTCTTTAATTTTAATTAATTTTAATTTAAATAACCACATGTGGCTAATGGTTAAAGTAATCCTAAGTCTAGACAGCAAATTCTATGAGTTTTCAACTTCTAAGGCAATATACAAGCTCTTGAACTCATACTAGCAATATGATGTATATTCTAGCAGTGCATGTGAATGCCATACAGACTCTAAGAAGAGTATACTTGCTAGTCCCAATCGTATCTAATGCCAAGGAGGATAATAGGCAAGGGACATCCTGCCAAGGTAGAATCAAGGGACATGAAAGACAGTCATCAAGGGAAAATATCTAGATAGCTCAATCAGGGGCAGCTAGATAGGTTAACCAATGAAACTAAGCTATTGTTCATATATGGGTTGCTGTGTGCTATGGACAGTTGTTGCTGTATATTTATTATTGTTCATACTTCTGAATGAGAGTTTTTATTACAGTTACCCTGTTTTTTCTCAGTCATTGTGTATTGGGTGTATTGGGAACAGGTGTAATTTGTCTTCTAGTGTATAGTTGAGTGGTTCACAATGATGCACACTGGGCCATGATGGTAAGATTTGTTTTTCCTCAGAGATCCTGGATTTGGAATTAGATTTTATAACTAGATGAAACTTTGGGATTACCTCCTTTATGGAGGAGGTGAATGTATTACATGTAAAATATACATATGGAATGTTGAGTAGCTGAAAAAGGAGACTGTTTTTGACTCTGCTCAATGGCTCAACAACCTTTTTTTTTTGTGGGGGTGGGGAGGGAGGAGTCTCACTCACTCTGTTGCCCAGGCTGGAGTGCTGTGGTGTGATCTCAGCTCACTGCAATCTCCACCTCCCGAGTTCAAGTGATTCTCCTGCCTCAGCCTCCCAAGTGGCTGGGATTACAGGCGCCTGCCACCACCCCTGGGTACATTTTTGTGTGTATTTTTAGTAGAGATGGAGTTTTGCCATGTTGGCCCGGCTGATCTCAAATGCCTCGGCCTCCTGAAGTGCTGGGATTACAGGCATGAGCCACTGTGCCCCTCCTCCAACAGACATTTTTAACTTCCTTCCCTCTTGCAATCCCCACTAGATAGACTGGAAAAATATAAAATATTCTTAGCTTTCCTCTAACTGGGAATGGCTGTGTGACACAGTTCTAGCAAATGAGTTATAAGAAAGTCTTTGAGAGCTGCTGGGAGGTCATAAGTTAAAAAAAAATGTAGCTGGCACAACCTTTTAGTGCAAAAGTAATGTTTTAACTTGACCAGCCATTTGTGATGATGAAGGAAAGGCCAAGAGCACTGGAGTCATTAGTCATGACATTGTCAAGCCACTGATTCAATGTAATCAGATACTTTTCCCAATGTGAGAAAAATATTCCCTTCCCAAATTTGTTTCTGTCACCGGTAGTCAATGTTTTTTTGCTTCTTATACCCAAAAACATTCCTAATGGAAACACTAGTAAGATATGCAGTATGCAGCAGGGAAGCCATACAAACATCTAGAGTTGATTTTCTTCAGAAATGCAGAAGTGCAGTAAAGGAAGTGCATGATGATCATTGCCCAGTACTCATCTGTATGTTTTTGCCTCTATACATGTTTTAAGAAGTAGGATAATTTAACACATTTTCTCATTTATTACATATAAATAACCTCAGGTTGTTAGTAGTAAATTACTATGAACATGTTGGTCTTAGAGATTGAATTTTTCCTCAGTTATGAATTTTCTATTTTACATAGGATCAAAATAAAGAGAAATGAAATTTTTTAAACATAATTTAATGTTTCCCAGACCTTTTAGGATGCATAGAGCAAATAAGTAAACTTACACTGTATGGTAAATTATTTTCTCACAGGCCAGAACATATATCTAACTGTTCATCTGTTACTAAATACTGACCTAGGCATGTCTAGTGAGAACAACATGAAATTAAAGTTTTGGAACAAAATTAAGCCCATTTCACTGTCTAGAGGCGTATCATGTGTTTATAGAAAGGCAACTTTAATGTGGGTATTAAATTATTCCTTTCTCTCTTTTGACAACAGTTATTAGTTTTCTTAGGATATTGGTATCTCTTGAGACAACACTAGATAAAAAGTTCACTTGTTAGTTGTTAACTTTTATTGTAGAAGAATAATGTTACTAATGGTCATGATTATTGAAATGAAGGGTGTGGAAGGGTGATATATGACCTGCAGTAATTCTCACATTTCAGAAGTATACAAGTTATCTTTTGGTTTGCAGCTGCAGCTATGATGTTCAGAGGAAGGTGCTCTGTGTTTTCAATGTAATCTCTTTCTGATTAAGTGCATTATACCTTCATAATTTAAGCACATAGGCCTTCATAACCTGTGTATTCTTCTAGCTGCTCATTGTTATTCTCATATAGAGTTGCAATTTAGCATGTACTTATGCTAAATTAAGTATATGTAATTTAGCATATACTTAAAAGTATTTTTCAAATTACATCATTTTTGATTATTCCATTTCATCTGGGCAATGGCTGTGTGGAACTTCATTCTAGTAAATACTGACTTAACAGTGGTAGATTAATTTATTTGCATTTGCACTTCTATTTATTAATACAGTAAGATGTAAATCACCTTAATAAAATCATTCTAGAAACTGAATATAACAGTCTGTCATAGCAAACTCATAAAAAAATCACAAGTTTATATATTACTACTACCATTAGTCCTATTGTATTGTAAACCTGACGAAGACCAGCATTCTTACATTGTTTAACTAGGAAATTAGACAAACATCCAGAGTATTTTTATCAGCAACATAGAGGTATTTTGGACTGTATTATTTAGACAGCATACTATTCAATAAGAATATAGGACAAAATGATTCTAGAAGGCTAGAAGAGTTTTGAGTAGTTTAAAAGGCAGAGAGAGGCTACTGACTATTTGTTTGAATATATTATACATTCTAAGTTTAGAAAAAAGATAACGTAATTTTAAAAACCATTTACCTGATTGCATATTTAGAATAAATGCACAAATGAACTTAGAAAATCTGATTTAGGTCTTGATATGATTCGGATTTGTATCCCTGCTCAAATCTCATGTTCAGTTGTAATCCCCAGTGTTAGAGGCGGGGCCTGGTGAGAGGTGATTGGATCATGGGGGTGGATCCTTCATGAATGGTTTAGCACCATCCCTTTGGTGCTGTTCTCCTGATAGAGTTCTTACAAGATCTGGTTGTTTAAAAGTATGTAACTCTTGCTCTGGCCATGTAAGATGTGCTGGCTCCCCTTCGCTTTCTGCCATGATTGCATGTTTCCTGAAGCCATGTTTATATGTTTTCTGAGGCCTCCCAGAAGCCGAGCAGATGCCAGAATCATGCTTCCTGTACAGCCTGAGAAACTGCGAGCCAATTAAACCTATTTTCTTTATAAATTATGCAGTCTCAGGTATTTCTTTATAGCAATATGAGAATGGGCTAATACAGGTCTCCTATAAAAAGGGATTAAAAATCCATGCTGTGAAAATTCTGTGAATTAAAATATCCTATAGGGCAATTATAAAAAGTGTATATGACAACTGAAAATATTAATAAAGAGCATATGTTGAAGTTTTATAGAAGATGATATTAGTAAGAAATGATTTAAAATGACTTTCAGTTTGGCTGTGATAGAGTTCACAGAAAGTTGGAGAGATGACAAAGCATATTTATAATTGCAGCATACCTAACTTCTTGTGAGCAGGCACAGGTCATACATTTTTATTATACATTTTACTACTTTTTTATCTTTTAGATAACTGCTTTGAGCAAGTTATTTCAATCATGAATACCATTCCATCCAATCTATAACTGAAAATGAAATCTATTTTCTTATCCTGCATGGGATTCCCATAACTAAAAAATACCATCAGTGAGAGTTTATGAGCTCTTAAAGTGGGAGAAAATGTCAATAGCTATATAGGGTTGGTGGATTTGAGAGTTGAGAAGAGAATAAAAAGATGGAGGAGTCAAGGATGACAACTAGCTTTCTGCATTGAATGAGGATATTTGTGCTGAAACCAGTATATGGAAGATGGAGGAGCCGTTTTGGGGTGGTGAGGGTCAGAGGGTGACGGTAGGGAAGGCAATGATTTTATGAAGATATTGAATTTGGAGAGCTTTCAGGAAACCAGGGTAGATATGTTTATTAATAATATCATTGAACACTTATTGGCCAGGTGTGGTGGCTCACAGCTATAATCCTAGCACTTTTGGGGGCCAAGGTGGGCAGATCACTTGAGGCCAGGAGCTTGAGACTAGCCTGGCCAACATGGTGAAACCCCATCTCTACTAAAAATACAAAAAAAAATTAGCCTAGCATGGTGGCACATGCCTGTAGTCCCAGCCACACAGGGGTGAGGAGATGGTTTCGGGATTATTCAAACACATTACAGTTACTGTGTACTTTATTTCTATTATTATTACATTGTAATATATAATGAAATAGTTATACAGTTCATCATATTGTAGAATCAGTGAGAGCTCTGAGCCTGTTTTCCTGCAACTAGATGGTTCCATCTGGGGTTGATGGGAGACAGTGACAGATCATCAGGCGTTAGATTCTTATAAGCAGCACGCAACCTAGATCCCTCCCATGTGCAGTTCACGATAGGATTTGTGTTCCTGTGAGAATCTAATGCCGACACTGATCTGACAGGAGGCAGAGCTCAGATGGTAATGCAAGGCGGGGAGCTGCTATAAATATAGATAAAGTTTGCTTGCTCACTCTCCCACCACTAGCCTCCTGCTGTGAAGCCCAGTTCCTAACAGGTCATGGACTGGTACTCCTGATCTGTTGGGGGTATCCTTGATCTAATAGGTTCTGCATAGATTCTTCTCCTGTTAGATTTGCTGGGTCTTTCCAGGGCCTTGATTTAATCTGTCTGACTAGGACAGAGCTGGGAGAGAACTCCTTATGGACCAGGTCTTTTTTGTATGAAACTGCTTGTGATTTCTTATCTCTGGCAGAATGAACTGATTTATTTTCATTTTCAAGACCAGCCTGACCAACATGGAGAAACCCTGTCTCTACTAAAAAATGCAACAATTAGCCGGGCATGGTGGGGCACACCTGTAATCCCAGCTACTTGGGAGGCTGAGGTAGGAGAATCACATGAACCCAGGAGGTGGAGGTTGCAGTGAGCCGAGATTGTGCCACTGCACTCGAGCCTGGGCGACAGAGCAAGACCCTGTCTCCAAACAAACAAACAAAAAGAAAATGATTTGTGGGTTGCTTTTCATTAAAAGGTAAACCTTACCAAGGACTTCCTTACCCTCACTATCTGCCTAAATAATTTCTTAACTCCTGTACCATCAGTGCTTTATTTTGATCTTTTGATGATGTCATGTTTCTCTGATTATTCACGATCTTTTGGACTTGTATTGGTGTGGGCACATTTGAAGAAGTAAGCTCTTCTTGTTCTCTTTACAAACTGGCTTCAGCAGGGAAAGCCCTTTACCAGTTAGCCTGTTCAGAGATTCTAGACCAAGTGTCTTCAGGATCCATGGGCAGGCTTGCTGCTGGAGTCTGTGGGTCAGATGGCTTGGTACCTGGGTCAGTGGATGAGTAGGCCTGACTCTTGTGCCCACAGGGGCTGGCATGTTTCCAGCATATGTGTGTGGCCTGTAGTCTGCATTCATAAGGGCTGATGACTTGCAGCCTAGGGCATCATGGGCTGGCCTGGTACTGGGTGGATCTAGAGCCTGGGACTGTGGGTGCTGGCATGGAGTCTGTGTCCACAGGTGCTGGCCTGATGACTGGAGCTACCAGGTCCAACCTGGAGTCTGAGGCTGTGGGCGCTAGCCTGGTGATGGGACTTGCTTGGTCCCTGAGCCAACATGAAAGGCTTGAAGTGTAGGTCTATAGGGTCTAGCCCATAGCCTGAGGCCACAGAGCTGGCCCAGCACTGGAAAAGGACAGGAACCTTGGTGTGTAGGGGCTGGTCTTATCCTGGTATGGGCCTACAGCCTGAGTTCACTGTCGGGGAGCCTGGAGCCTGGGGCCAGGAGGGATGGCCTGGTGCTAGGGGAAGCTTGGAGATGGGATCCACAGGAGCTGGCTTTGTGTCAGTGGTCACTGGGGAAGGCCTGATACTGGGGTACCCACTGAAGTCAGGTGCTTACTTCACTCTCTTCCCCGCCCCGCCCCCCCACAGAAATGATCTCTCTTGGCACTGTACTGCAGGGATGTGAGGGAGGGGTGATGTAAATAATGTGAAACTGTCCTTCCTACCCTCTTCGATGTGTCTGTTCTTATTTCTGTGTTCCACCCAGGTGCTATAATCTCTTACCTGGATTCCTTAGCTCTTGTGAGTGTATTTTTATGGTTGCATCATTGTTTAAATTGATGTTTCTGAGAGGGGGTGAGGGTAGAAAAATCCTACTCTGCCATCTTCCTGACATCACTCTCTGCATTTCTCTTATTGTGTACTATTCTTTGCTCATTTGTATTACTATATTTGTATTTTTAAATATGGTTTATTTGTTAAAGAATATAATTCTTTATCACATATGCTGGAAATATTTCAGGTTTTTTCTTTTGACTTCATTTAGATGTAAAACCATTTAATTGCCTTTAGTCAAATTTATCAGTCTTTTTAGCATTGGATTTTGTTACATATAGTAAAAGTTTCTTTATTTCAAGATTACAAAAATAAATTCTCCAATATTTTATCTTTTTTGTGGAATAGTTTTTAAGTTTTAAAAAACATTTATGACTTTGATTTATTCAGAATTTATTTTGATGTACAATATAAGATATGGATCCTACTTTATTTCATATTGTTACTCATTTGTCATAATACTATTTATTGAGTAACCTATTTTTTATCCACTAATGTTCACAGCCACTTTTTTCATATATAGAATTCCCATATGCATTCTGGTATATTTCTGGTCTCCTTAATCTGCCCATTGATTTTTCAATTATTTTGCCAGTACAAGTACCACATAGTTTAATGACTGTGTCTTTTTAGTATGTGTTACTGGTAGCTTGTAGCCATGGTCAGTGGCATACTGAGGGACTGTTGTTGGGAGTGGACCACCCCGGCTATAGACAGTATGAGGTGGATGAACTGCCTGTAGAAAATATTTCAAAAATATGAGAAGGGACTAAAAATTGGCCTGCTTATTAACTCCATATGTGAACAAAACTAAATTTGATACAAATTTAGTGTTAAAATACTCCTCCCCACTGTGGCAGATTACAACTCCTATCTCCCCCACCCCCACATTTGTTACACCAGTGGAGTTAGTTTCCTCACATTACTCTTCTTTACAAAAATTTCCTGGCTATTTTATTTCCTTTCTGTAAAAAATTGAAGTGTAACTTGTACATAATAAGATGCACAGAATTTAAGTATAGTTTGACAAATTTTGAAAGATATGTATATTCCCAATGTGCCTAGCACCACATCAAGATATATATTATTTCCATCATCCTAGGAAGTTTATGCATGCCCTTTTCCTGTCAGTTTTTTATCCCCGTCTCCCAAAAGGCAATCACCCTTCTGACCTTATTACCATAGGTAGATTTGCCTGTTTTTGAACATCATATAAATGAAATCATATAATATGTAGTGTCCTCTTTCAATTCAAAATCTATGAGATTCATCCATGATGTTGCCTATAACTGTAGTTTGTTCCTTTTTATTGCTGATACTACTTTATTATATGAATATGCCACAATTTGTTTATCCATTTTTCTGTTGCAGGACATATGGATTGCTTCTAGTGTTGTTGGCTATAATAAAGCCACTATAAACATTTGTGTTCAAGTCTTTTTGTGGGCTTATATGTTTCTTTTTGGTAGAAACTAGGAGTAGAGTATGCTGGATCAAGAAGCTGGATTCAATTTTCATTGCAAACAGTTTTGCAAAGGTCATATACAATTTTATATTCTTACCAGCCAAATATGAACACTCTGGTTGCTCCATAACCTCACCAGCATTTGGTTGGGTTACTGGTTTGGCTTTTTATTTCCATTTTTCTAATGATCAGTGATGGTGAGCATTATTCGTGTTTTTCGGCCATTTATATCACGTCTTTTGAGAAATGTCTGCTTCAATCTTGTGCCTATTTTAAATTTGGGTTGTTTGTCTTTTTATTATTGACTTACAGATGTTCTCACTCTATATATACTGAACAAATATCATATATAGATGGTTCCTGACTTATGATGGTTTGACTTATAATTTTTAACTTTACAATGGTGAGAAAGCAATATGCATTTATTATGCTCCTTGACTTATGATGGAGTTACATCTAAATAAACCCATCATAAGTTAAAGACATAGTAAGTTGAAAATGAGCTTTTGACTTAAGATATTTTCAGCTTAATGTTGGTTTATAGGATGTATCCCCATTGTAAGTCAAGGAGCATCTGTTAAGGATTGAGAATATCTTCTCTCTGTCTGCGGCTTGGCTTTTCATTTTCTTAATGGTGTATTTTGGAGAACAGATAATTTACATTTTGATGAAGTCCAATTTATTAACTTTTTCTTTTATGGTTAGTGCTTTTTGTAACCTAAGAAATCTTTCCCTATCTCAAGGATGCAAGGATATTCCCTTGCTATACTTTTTTATTTAGTTTTCCTTCTTTATTTTAGAATCAATTTGTTTAGTCCTAAATAGGCCATATAGGTGTTTTTTACTGGGATCACATTTAATTTATGGATAAGTTTGGGAAGAATTGTCATCTTTATGATATTAAGTCTTCATATTCAAAATTAGAATGTTTTTGATGTATTCACCTTCCTTTATGTCCCTCAATAGGATTATTTATATTAATTATATATATATTTTATTTATATTAATTATATATATATATATATTTTTGAGACAGAGTCTCGCTTTGTAGCTCAGGCTGGAGTGCAGTGGCGCGATCTGGGCTCACTGCAACTTCTGTCTCCTGGGTCCCAGTTCAAGCAATTCTCCTGCCTCAGCCTCCCAAGTAGCTGGGATTATAGGCACGTGCCATCATGCCCAGCTAATTTTTGTATTTTTAATAGAGACGGGGTTTCACCATGTTGGCCAGGCTGATCTTGAACTGCTGACCTTGTGATCTGCCCACCTCAGCCTCCCAAAGTGCTGGGATTACAGGTGTGAGCCACCGCACCCAGCCAATTTTATGTATTTCTTAATAATTTTAAAATTATAAATAAAATATTTTTACTACTTCTACTTATTTTTATATAGAAAGGATATAGATTTTTTTGTGTTATTAATGTACACAGCCACCTTTCTGAATGATATTATTTGAATTTTTTAGTTGTTTCTCTTGAATTTTAATAATATGCAACCATATGACCTGAAAATAATAATAGTTTACCTTCTTCTTTCTCATTTATTTCTCGTTTAATTGCATTAGCTAGACTCTTCAGAATAGGGTGAAATAATATATTCACTTATGAAACTAGAATAATCTATATAACTTGTCATTTTGTTATATTTCAAATTTTACTTGATGATAGTTTCCAAATATGTTCTTCAATTCTGTGGGTTGTCTCTTCACTTTGTTTATTCTTTCCTTTGAAGTGCAGAAGTTTTTTTTTTTAACTTGATGTGATCCCATTTGTCCACCTTTGCTTCAGTTGCCTGTGCTTTTAGGGTATTACTCAAGAAATCTTTGCCCAGACCAATGTCCTGGAGTGTGTCCTATCTGGTAGTAGTTTCATAGTTTCAGGTGCTGGATATAAGTCTTTTGGCAAGAGATTGGGATCTAGTCTTATTCTTCTGTGTATGGATATGCAGTTTCCCCATCACCATTTATTGAGGAGACTGACATTTTCCCAGTGTATGTTCTTGGCACCTTTGTCAAAAATAACTTCACTGTCGACGTATGGATTTGTTTCTGGGTTCTGTAGTGTGATCCATTGATCTATGTATCTGTTTTTATGTTAGTACTGTGCTGTTTTCATTGCTATAGCTTGGTAGTATAATTTGAAGTGAAGTAATGTGATTCCTCCAGTGTTATTCTTTTTGCTTAAGATAGCTTTGGCTATTCTGGGTCTTTTGTGTTTCCATACAAATTTTAGTATTTTTTTTTATTTCTGTGAAGAATGTTACTGGTATTTTAATAGGGATTTCATTGAATCTGTCAGTTACTTTGGTTAGTATGGACACTTTAACAATACTGATTTTTCCGGTCCATGAACATGGAATATCTTTTCATTTTTTTGTGTGTGTTCTCTTCAATTTCCTCCATTAATGTTTTATAGTTTTTGTTCTAGGGATCTTTTACTTCTTTGGTTAATTCCTAGGCATTTAATTTTATTTGTGTTTATTGTAAATGGGATGACTTTCTTGATTTCTTTTTCAGATTTTTTACTGTTGGCATATAGAAATGCTACTGATTTTTGTATGTTGATTTTATATCCTGGAACTTTACTGAATTTATCAGTTTGAATAGTTTTTTGGTGGAGTCTTTAGGTTTTTCCAGATGAATGAGATCATCTGTAAACAAGTATAATTTGACTTATTTATTTCTCATTTTAATGCCTTTTATCTCTTTTTCTTATCTGGTTGCTCTGTCTAGGACTTCCAGTACTATGTTGAATAACAGTGGTGGAAGTGGTCATTCTTGTCTTGTTCCAGATCTAAGGGGAAATGCTTCCAGTTGTTCCCTGTTCAGTATGTTACTAGCTGTGGGTCTGGCATACATGGCTTTTATTTTGTTGAGGTGTGTTCCCTCTATACCCTTTTTTTGGGGGATGTACCCTTCTTTTAGTTTTCTATAACCTTCTATGCCCTTTTTAAAAAGTTTTTCCCTGTACAGTGTTATACTCAATGTAGGCCTGTCCCTATGGCTTTTATTTTGTTGAGGTATGCTCCTTCTTTTTTTTTTTTTTTTTTTAGGATTTTTATCTTGAAGGAATGGTGAATTTTCTCATTTGCTTTATTATTATCAATTGAAATGATCGTGTGGTTTTTGTCCTTCATTCTGTTGACATGATGTAACAAATTGATTGATTTACGTTTGTTGAGCCATCCTTGTATCCCTGGGATAAATCTCATTTGGTCATGATGAATAATCTTTCTAATGTATTGTTGAATTTGGTTTGCTAGTATTGTGTTGAGAATTTTTGCATCAATGTTCATCAGTGATTTTGGCCTTTAGTTTTTTTGTTTTTCACTGTGTCTTTGTCTGATTTTGGTATCAGGGTCATAATGGCCTCATAGAATGAGTTTGGAAATATTCCCTCCTTTATTTTTGGGAATACTTTGAGTAAGATTGGTATTAGTTTTTCTTTAACTATTTGGTAAAATTCAGCAATGAAGACGTTGGATCCTGGGCTTTTCTTTGCTGGGAAACTTTTAATTATGGCTTTGATCTCATTACTTGTTCTTGGTCTATCCAAGCTTTGGAGTTCTTCATGTTTGAATCTTGGTAGGTTGTATGTGTCTATGAATTTATCTATTTTTTCTAGGTTTTCCAACTTACTGGCATATTGCTGTTCATAGTAGCCTCTAATGATTCTTTGAATTTCTGCAATATCAATTTTAACATCTCCTTTTTCATGTTTGATTTGATTTATTTGGGGTTTCCCTCTTTTTTTCTTAGTCTGGCTAAAGGTTTGTTTATTTTGTTTACCTTTTCAAAAAACTAACTTTGTTTTATTGATCTTTTGTATTTTTTCATTTTATTTTCATTTATTTCTGCTATGATTTGTGTTATTACTTCTACTTATTTTGGGTTTGGTTTTCTAGTTCTTTAAGATGCACTGTTAGTTTATTTTAAGTTTTTCTACTTTTTTGGTATTCGTTTATTGCTATGAACTTTCTTCTTAGTACTGCTTTTGCTCTATCTCATAGGTTTTGGTATGTTGTATTTCCATTTTCATTTGTTTCAAGAAACTTTTCAGTTTCCTTCATAATTTGTTCATTGGCCTACAAGTCACTCAGGAGCATTATTTAATTTCCATGTGCTCACATGGTTTGTAAAATTCCTCTTGTTATTGATTTTTAGTTTTATTTCATTGTGGTCAGAGAAGATACTTAATATAATGTTAGTTTTTCTTGAATTTTTAAAGACTTGTTTTGTGGCCTAGCATATGGTCTATGCTTGAGAATGATTCATGTGCTGAGGAAAATAATGTATATTCTGCAGTTGTTGGATGCAGGCAGTGTTCTGTAATTATCTATTAGGTCCATTTGGACTATACTGCAGATTATGTCTGATGTTTCTTAATTGACTTTCTGCCAGGATGATTTGTCCAGTGCTGAGAGTGAGGTGTTGAAGTCTTCAGGTCTCATTGTATTGTCCGTGGGTGGTGGGGGGTTTAAGTCTCTCTCTCTTTCTTTAGCTCTAGTAATATTTGCTTTCTATTTCTGGGTGCTCCAGTGTTGGGTGATTATATATTTGCAATTGTTATATATATAGAGGACCTCTAATAATATTTGCCTTCTATTTCTGGGTGCTCCAGTGTTGGGTGATTATATATTTGCAATTGTTATATTCTTTTGCTGATTGACACCTTTATCATTATATAATTACCTTCTTTGTCTCTTTTTATAGTTTTTGTCTTGAAATGTATTTTGTCTAATTATAGCTAACTTGTACACTTTAACCTAATTTCCCCACTTTTTAACTTTTGTTGTTTCTATTTATATCTTATTATACTGTCTTTGTCTAGAAATTTTTTGTAGCTATTATTTTGATAGATTCATCTTTTGGTCTTTCTACTCAAGTTATGCATACCTTACACGTCACAATTACATTGGTGTAATCTTTTGTGTTTTTCTATGTAGTTACCATTAGCAATGAGTTTTGTACCTTCAGATAATTTCTTATTTCTCATTAACATTATTTTCTTTGAGAGTGAAGAACTCTAGTATTTTCTGTAGGACAGATCTGATGTTGATGAAATCTCTCAGCTTTAGTTTGTCTGGGGAAGTCTGTATTTCTCCTTCATGTTTTAAGGATGTTTTCACTGTGTATTAGTTCATTTTTATGTTGCTGATAAATGCATATCCGAGACTGGATAACTTATAAAGGAAAGAGGTTTAATTGACTCACAGTTCCACGTGGGTGGGAGGCCTCACAGTCATGGCAGAAGGTGAAGAGGAGCAAAGTCACATCTTACATGGATGGCGGCAGTCAAGAGAGAGCTTGTGCAAGGGAACTCCTCTTTATAAAACCATCAGATCTTGTGAGACTTATTCACTATCATGAGGTCAGCATGGGAAAGACCCACCGCATGATTCAATTACCTCCCACAGGGTCCCTCCTATGATACATGGGAATTGTGGGAGCTACAATTCATGGTGAGATTTGGGTGGGGACACAGCCAAACCATATCACAGTGGATGCACTGTTCAAGGATAAAAGGTTTTTTTTCTTTCCCACTTGAAAGATGTCATGCCACTGTTTCCTAGTCTATAAGGTTTCCACTGAGAAGTCTGCTGCCAGACATATTGGAGCTGCATTCTATATTGTTTTTGTTTGTTTCTGTAGCTGCTTTTAGGAAGCTTTTATCTTGACCTTCAGGAGTTTGATTATTAAATGTTTTGAGGTAGTCTTCTTGGAGTTAAGTTTTGGTATTCTAATCTTCTTGCCCTTTAATATTGATATCTTTCTGTAGGTATAGGAAGTTCTTTGTTATTATCCCTTTGAACAAACTTTCTAACTCTCTATCTCCTCTTTCAGGACAATTAACTCTTAGATTTGCCATTTTGAAGCTATTTTCTAAATCTTGTAGTCCTGCTTTATTCTTTTTTATTATTTTTTCTTTTGTCTCCTATCACTGTGTTTATTCAAATAGGCTGTCTGCAAGCTCACTAATTCTTTCTTCTCCTTGTTCAATTTTGCCATTAAGAGACTCTGATGCATTCTTCAGTATGTCAGTTGCATTTTTGAACTCCAGAATTTCTGCTTGATTCTTTTGAATCATTTCAATCTCTTTGTTAAATTTATCTGATAGGATTCTGAATTCCTTCTCCATGTTATCTTGAATTTCAATGAGCTTCTTCAAAACAGCTATTTTGAATTTTCTATATGAAAGGTCACATATCTGTCTCTCTTGTGCATTAGTTTGTTTGGTGAAGTCATATTTTCCTGGATAGTCTTGGTGCTTGTTGATGTTTGTTGATGTCTGGGCATTGAAGAGTTAGGTATTTATTATAGTCTTCACAGTCTGGGGTTGTTTGTACTTGCACTTTCTTGGGTAGGTTTTCCATGTATTCAAAGGGTCTTGGGTGTTGTGATCTAAGTTTTTGGTCACTGTAGCCATATCTACGTAAGGGGGTACCCCCAGCCCATTAATGCTGTGACTCTAACAGACTCACCGAGGTGCTGATGCCATGGTGGTCTTGGGTAAGATCTGGGAGAATTTCATGTATTACTAGGCAGAGACTCTTGTCTTCCCTTCCTTTCTCCAAAGAAATGGAGCCTCTCTTTGTGCTGAGCTGCCTGGGGTTGTGGGAGGGGTGACACAAGCACTCCTGTGGTCTACACCACTGTGACTGTGCTACGTCAGATCCAAAGGCAGCAGAGCCCTGGGAGTTGCTTAAGGCCCGCAGTGACCACTGGTGAACATATCATCTATGTTCACTCAAGGCTTAAGGGCTCTACAATCAGCAGGTGATTAAAGCCTGCCAGGCTTGCATCCTTCCTTTCAGTGTGGTAAGTTTCCCTCAATCCTGGGTGGGTCCAGAGATATCATCTGGGAGCCAGGGCCTGGAGTTGGGAACCCTTGAAATCTACCTGGTGCTTTGTACTACTGCAGCTGAGCTTGTACCCAAGCTGAAAGACAAAATGTTTCCCACTCTTCCCTCTCCTTCCAAAGAGGACTTTCCCTTCATCACCACCACCGCGGACCTATGGCCTCTACTACTTGGCTTCTGCTGATGTTTGCTCAAGTACCAAGATCTTTTTAGTCAGCTTTTAGTGAATGCTTCAAATCCTGAGTCTCTTCCTTCAGGGTAGTCAGTTCCCTTTTGACTCAGGGGAGGTCCAGGGTCAAGGAGTGAAGGCTTGGAAGTGGGACTCCATGAGCTCACTTGGTGCTCTACCACACTGTCACTGAGCTGGTACACCTGCAAGACAAAGTCCTTTTTACTCTTCCCTTTTCTTTTCTCATGCAGCAGGAGTCTATTAACCACCATAGGCTGCAATGTGCTGAGTAACACCTGAGGGCAGCATGGCTCTGAGTCTCACTCAAGGCCCACAGCAGGTATTGCCTGGCTTCCACTGGTGTTTATTCTGGGTTCAAGGGCCCTTTAGTCTGCAGGTGATGATTCCTGCCAGGACTGGGTTCTCTTCAAGGCAGCGGGTTCTCTTCTTGCCCAAGGTGTGTCTAGCAATGTTGTCTGGGAGCTAGAGCCTGGAATGGAGACTTCATGAGTCTGCCTGGTACCCTGTTCTACTGTGGCTTAACTGGTATCCATGTTGCAAGACAAATCCTTTTTACTCTTCCAAGCAGAGGAACGAAGTCTCTCCCAGTAGTGTGAGCTTCATTGCCTGGGGCTGGGGGAAGGGGTGGTGCAAGCACTCCCCTTGCCACCTCAGCTGGTGTCTCACTTGGTTGCATGTTCCCAAGTTCACTGACTTCAAGCCCAGCATAGCACCAGGACTTACCCAGAAATCGCAGTCTGGTGGCCTAGAATGGCTTTCAAGTTTATTTAGAACCCTGGAACACTTTAGCACATGGTGGTGAGGCTTGTCTGAACTCAGGTTCTCACTGCTGGGATGGGTGATTCTCTTCTGGCTAGAACTGGTCTAAATGCTTCTTCTGTGGGTGGTAGCTGAGTGCTGGCTGGTGTTGCTTTCCACTTCATCAGGTCAGCACTGAGTTCCAACGCTAAGTCGCATAATCACTGTTCTCTCCCTCCTCCAAACTCACAGATTCTCTTTCCACACTTCATGGTTGCTGCTGTGGACTTGGGGAGGGGTGGTGTAGGTGATTTAAGATGGTCTTTTCTATCTTCAGTTCCTGTTTTCTTAATATGTTGTTTAAACCAGATACTGTGATTGCTCACCTGCTTTGGGTTTTTATGATCGTGTTTTTTGTGTGGATAGTTGTTCAATTTGGTGTTTCTATGGTGGGAATGATCACTGGAGGCTTCTATGTGGCCATCTTGCTTTACCTCTCCTAAAAGCTTCTTTTTTTTTTTTTTTTTTTTTTTTTCCCAGACGGAGTCTCGCTGCTGGAGTGCAGTGGTGTGATCTTTGCTCACTGCAACCTCCGCCTCCTGGGTTCAATCAATTCTCCTCCCTCAGCCTCCCAAGTAGCTGGGGCTACAGGTGCACGCCACCACACCCAGCTAATTTTTGTATTTTCAGTAGAGATGGGGTTTCACCATGTTGGCCAGGATGGTCTCAATCTCTTGACCTTGTGATCTACCCACCTCGGCCTCCCAAAGTGTTGGGATTACAGGCGTGAGCCACCACACCTGGCCTAAAAGCTTTTTTTTTTTTTTTTTTAACATTTCTTTTAGTGCAGGTTTACTAGGGATAAAATATTTCAACTTTTGTACATCTGAAAATGTATTTTATCCATATTTTTGGGGATATATTTTATGGATTTATAATTCTAGGTTGGATGGTTCTTTTTTTTTTTTTAGCACTTTAAACATATTAGTATTTTTATTTCTTTTTTTGTCTTCTGAACTCCATTGTTTCTCAGGTGAAATAGTAGACACCCTCTGCTTGTTATTCCTTGTAAGGACTGGAGTATCTGCAGGTTTTCTCTCAATTCCGCTGCCTTGGCAACAGGTACTATATGCCTGTTCCTGACAGAGTATCTTTTTTAACATTTCTGCAGTTTTGTCTTTTGCAGATGCCTTCATACTAAGTGCAAAGTCTAGCATGTCTGAAGCGTTCCTCAGATCTCTAGCTACATCTGCAAGCTTTGGTAGGCCTCTTGTGCCTATTTCTTTTTTGGTCAAGGGTTTCTCTCAGTTCCCATGATCATCCCTTAGTGATAATGCATATTTTCTACCTCTTATTATAAGGCCTGAAATACTGGAGGGTTCTTCTCTCAGTTTTCTAATCACACTTCTGTGCCACCGAAGGGCACAGGTTTTCTGTACTGTCACTAGTCTTTTTTATGAGCATTTGGTAAGGGATCATGGAAAATAGTCACTAGGTGGGTTTAGATTCCCCTGCGTCTGGGGTTGCAGGGATACTAACACTGCTACACCAACCCACACTCAGTCTTTCCAACATTTGTTAAAAGTTCAGCCTATTTCTCCTCACATCTGTGGCAGCTTCCTCCTCTTCTCACTGCTCTGTTAGTGATGAAAGCTGCTTTGCTTTCTCCTCAAAGAGCCTTGTTATTATTTTGGTTTTTAGTTCAGTAAATTTCTTTTTGACTTCAGTACAGTGAAGGGCTCCAGAAAACTGATTTTGTAGTTGAATCTGGCTGATTTTCATTGTTAAAGTGGGAGTGATGTTTTCTTGTTACTTTCTATAGCCTAAGCAGAAACAGACAAATGTCAATGAAAATATTTTTAATTTCCAGAAATTCTATTTTATTTCATATATGTTTAATCCTTTTTGGTGTTTTTATTTACTCCTTTACATCATTAATAATTTTAAACATATTTATAATTTTTAATATCTTGTTCTTTTATTTGAAGTTCTTTTGGTTTTGATTCTGTTTTTATGATTGCTGATGTTCGTTCATGGTGGATTATTCATGTGATTTATAATTTTCACCTGTGAACTTATTTTTGGAGGACCTCAAATCATGGGAATCTTTGGCAGCCATTGCTGATGGTGTGTCTCTTAAGAAGTTTTAAATTTTTCTCCTAAGTGTTTTCTTGGAATATTTGGCCTGGGATTAGTGTTCTTGATGATTTCAGGTTTCTTGGTTCATGGACCAAGCTGCAAATTATAAACCTGTGTGTGCAGTACAGGACAATGTTCTGAATTACTGGGAGAGACGTTTTTTTGTTAGTCCAGAGTATAAGCAGAGACATACTTCCTTGTGCATTCTTTTGTCAGTAGATGAACTTTTTCTAGTTTATCTTTTCATTAAAGATATTGAGTTTTAAATACCCTGGCTTTGTGCATCATCTTAGATTCAGCTCTTCAGCCTATGTAGTACTTAGGCTTTATTTTTAAATTCTGTGTTGCTCCTGCATAGGTGCTAAAATGTAAATTACACAATGTCAGTTTATGCGCGTAATATTCTGGTTTATAACTCCATCTTCCTTTGTGGCACCTTGGCTTTTCTTTCTTTGCAGCTCAGCTTTTCATTTAATATAATTTGGGTTTAATAGCCATAGTAATTTTCAGAGTATTTTAATGTGCAGTCATACTTGTTGTAATGTGAGTCAAAACTCAAGTCAAAATTTGAATTCCTTGAAGTAACCCATGGCAATTAGAATATTTTTAGAGTTTAATATCTATTATATTGAGTTAAGCTGGAATTCTGCAGAACAATGTATAATAGAAGTTTTTGACATCAAAGTCCCATGGGGCTACATTTTAAAGAGGAGAACAGTACAACAATAAATAGCTGGTTCCATTTTGCCACTTGTATGAACAGACCTAGCCAGTTTATTAGCTTGAACTTCTGCATGTTTTGAATCTATTCATTATGAGAAATGACTTATTCATATTTTTTACCCAAGTGAAGGGACACAAAACTATATTCTGGTATTAGTGAGAATATGGCCTTGTTTCTTTTACCCTTACCTTGGACTAATTTTGGTCTATTATGTCCAGTTATGAATTGGCTGGCGTGAATCTAAAAACCATATTTGTCTTTATAATTACTCACGTTTGGCTCAAGTTTACTTCTCAACTGATTTTAATTTGAGAATTGGATTTTGTATGGAAATAAAATTTTGGTTTGTTCTTGGGAGGACTTTAGGGATTCTTGAAACATAATATAATGGCCTATAATTGAGTTTTGTCACTAAAAATGACACCTTTTCCATGAAGAGTTTTTCTTTCTTACTTATTTTATACTAGGGTTGACATTTAGGTAGAACAGAATCTTATAGACCTTTGTGAGCAGGAATGAATTGTGAATTATTGGGCTTGTTTTCCTCAGATCAGCCATCTATTTTATCTGTAGTATCAAATGAAATTCCAAGAGTGAGAGAATAGAAGATGGGAATAGAAGATGGGCTTTAAATATAATCTGTGTACCAATATTTTCTAAATGTATATTCTATGACTTGTTTCCTTAGATATGTAATATGCATCTCAAACTTAATATGCATCCCCTTGAAAGCATTATTGGATACTTTTTTCCTTTAACCAAAAACCTCTAGGCATAATTTTTCCTTTTCTTTTCTTTTTCTTTGTTCTTTTTTTTTTTTTTTTTTTTTTTTTTGAGACAGAGTCTTACTCTGCCACCCAGGCTGGAGTGCAGTGGAATGATCTCAGCTCACTGCATCCTCCGCCTCCCAGGTTCAAGTGATTCTCCTGCCTAAGCCTCCTGAGTAGCTGGGATTACAGGTGCATGCCACCATGTCTGGCTAATTTTTTTCTATTTTTTAGTAGAGATAGGGTTTCACCATGTTGGCCAGGCTTGTCTCAAACTCCCAACCTCTGGTGGTCCTCCCGCCTCAGCCTCACAAAATGCTGGGATTATAGGAGTGAACCACTGTGCCCAGCCTGGAATAACTTCTTAATTGGTCTCTTTGCTTCTTTCCTCCAACCTTTCATACGTCTACTAGGATGGTATTTTTCAAAATGCAATCAGATTGTGTCATTTTCATTCTTACATGCTTACTCACGTAACTTCCTATTGGGGCACACAGGGAAGGCAAAATGCAATCTGGCTTCTGACTATCTTTCTAACATCTCATACCATTCTTCCCCTCAGGTATTTCTGTTCCTGAAGCAACCAAGCCCTTTCCTACCTAAAGGCATTTACATATGTTGTTTCTTATACCTGGAATGCACTTCACCAGATTTTTACATGGCAAGCTCATTCTCATCTTTGATATAGTTCTCCTGTCATCATTTTACAGGGCTCTTCTCTAACTACCCTCTGTAGGGTGTTACTTCCATCAACATCACCTACTCTCATCATATCACTCTGATTTTTCTTGAAAGTGCACTTATATGATTATTTTGTTTATATGTCTGTTTACTTGTTTATTGTGTATCTTCTCCACTAGACGATAAGTTCCATGAGAATAGGAACATGTCTGTCTTCTTTAATACTGTGTTTCTAATAAGTAGCATAGGGCTTGGTACACAGTAATATGTGTTCAATGATTGTTTATTAATATGTAAATAATTCAGTGATTGAATGAAATAGATATTTCCTGATATCACTAATTTTCTTCCCTGCCCTCAACCCAAAATGAGCAGATGAAATAAGAAAAAGGACATAAAATGAGATCATCATTTTATTAAGTTATTGTATAACATATTATACACTCCAAATTGAAGTGGAAAGATTTTAAATTTCAGTCACTTTGATTTAAACTTCAAAAACTGGCTAGCCATATGTAGAAAGCTGAAAATGGATCCCTTCCTTACACCTTATACGAAAATTAATTCAAGATGGATTAAAGATTTAATTGTTAGACCTAAAACCATAAAAACCCTAGAAGAAAGCCTAGGCAATACCATTCAGGACACAGGCATGGACAAGGACTTCACGTCTAAAACACCAAAAGCAATAGCAACAAAAGCCAAAATTGACAAATGGGATCTAATTAAACTAAAGAGCTTCTGCACAGCAAAAGAAACTACCATCAGGGTGAACAGGCAACCTACAGAATGGGAGAAAATTTTTGCAATCTACTCATCTGACAAAGAGCTAATATCCAGAATCTACAAAGAACTCAAACAAATTTACAAGAAAAAAACAACCCCATCAAAAAGTGGGCAAAGGGTATGAACAGACACTTCTCAAAAGAAGACATTTATGCAGCCAACAGACACATGAAAAAATGCTCATCGTCACTGGCCATCAGAGAAATGCAAATCAAAACCACAACAAGATACCATCTCACACCAGTTAGAATGGCGATCATTAAAAAGTCAGGAAACAACAGGTGCTGGAGAGGATGTGGAGAAATAGGAACACTTTTACACTGTTGGTGGGACTGTAAACTAGTTCAACCATTGTGGAAGACAGTGTGGCGATTCCTCAAGGATCTAGAACTAGAAATACCATTTGACGTAGCCATCCCATTACTGGGTATATACCCAAAGGATTATAAATCATGCGGCTATAAAGACACATGCACACGTATGTTTATTGTGGCACTATTCACAATAGCAAAGACTTGGAACCAACCCAAATGTCCATCAATGATAGACTGGATTAAGAAAATGTGGCACATATACATCATGGAATACTATGCAGCCATAAAAAAGGATGAGTTCATGTCCTTTGTAGGGACATGGATGAAGCTGGAAACCATCATTCTCAGCAAACTATCGCAAGGACAAAAACCCAAACACCGCATGTTCTCACTCATAGATGGGAATTGAACAATGAGAACACTTAGACACAGGAAGAGGAACATCACACACTGGGGCCTGTCGTAGGGTAGAGGGAAGGGGGAGGGATAGCATTAGGAGATATACCTAATGTAAATGACGAGTTAATGGGTGCAGCACACCAACATGGCACATGTATACATATGTAACAAACCTGCACGTTGTGCACATGTACCCTAGAACTTAAAGTATAATATAAAACATAAAATAAACTTCAATGTTATTTAAAATTTTAAAAATTGTGTCAGGCATATCACTGGAACTTAGCTAACACTGGCTGCAACAGACCTGGTGATTTTTTTCTCTGTTTACTTTACATTAGCTTTCTAACTTTTGATCCAGTCATTTGAAATTAAGAGAACATAGAAAATAGAAATGAGTAGTTCAATTAGATATTGTAACAATTATCTCTTTATCATGTATTACTCCTTCTTCAGTGTGCATTCCAAGGGATTCCTTTTTCTGCTTCTCAGAGACCTCTGCTTCTCAGAGTCTCTAGGAGCAAAACATAGCACTTTAGTCTAATAGAGTGCTCACTGGCTAGTCTGTTTCTTTGTACCATAGACTAAGTCCTCAAGTGTCATCATTATATATCTTGGGGTCTGTTTCACTTTTGAGAGCAATTTTTATTATATTGGATGGTGGAAATAGATTAAGATGCATATTTATAAATATGAACCTTGTCCCAGGCCCAGAGAGAATATCCACCCTTTGTACTTTAATTTAGAGTGGACGGGAAATGATTTGTTTAGATAAGCATTGTTTTATGCCAACATAGGAAGTTAACATTCTGTTAGTGTTCAGTAATATGTAGCTTTTCTTCTGTTGTCAGAATAGTCACTACTATTAAGATTGTGGGGCAGTGAAGAGAAAGGAGGGGAAGAATATACGTTGTTAACATGCCAAGTGGGAACGTGAAATGTATTTTCCCACAGAAACAATTTTATAAGTGGTGATTAAATAGAATATTAGTGAGTATTACTGCATAAGCCATGATGACTTAACCTAGATGCCTGCTGACTTCTTGGCAGTCAGATGGTAGAGAAGGGAAGAAATGCCTTAGTAGGCAACGCCTGGCTTATAGGGCTTCTTGTAGAGGATGGCAATTTATGACTTGCTCAGAAAATATTGTACACTTTAGCTCAATGGAAGATGGTTATAGATTGGGGAACTTATCTAGTCTGGTGTTAGGTGATGGGTGGAGGAAGCTGAATATTATATGCAGTAGCTGAGATGGCAGTTCTGACATTGATCTTGAAATATGTTTACTTTGAATCCGTAATTTAATTTCGAATAACCTGTTACTTTCTCACATATTTTTAAGATGACATCTAATATTTTCATTGTATGTTTAAGTGGTTGCAAAGGGTACAAATTCTAGCAAGTTATCAATACGACCTTTTACAGTAAAACTGTTACAGCCTCTTTAAAAATGTATCCAGTGGAATATAAATAGCATAGCAGTTTGATAACTTCAATTAGCCTTAAAAATGAAACAAATACATGAACAAACTTTTTTTAACAATTGAAAGTTTTCTTTCCTTGTTTTTTATTGAATTTTTATTTACATTTTCTTCACAGCAGTTTATCCACATGTAATATATTTTTTGCTAGAATTTTTAAAAAGATAACCTTTTTATATTTTTTCAACAAAATATGTATATAAGTTGAAATTAAACATTTTAAGAATTTCAGTGACCATAAGTCTTAAAGTTTTGAAAAATTTCTATTGGATTGAGTTTAATTGTAATAATTATTAATACACAATTGTTTAAAATAAATGCAAATTTTGATTACAAATAATTAAATATAAGACATAAAATTTTACTGGAAATTCATTTCTTGATGAGACAAAAGGGACTGGTTTTCTTTCAAAATTGTTCATAAATCCATGGACAAATATTACTTAGTACAGACCCAGATAGAATTCAACATCAATTCTATTTCTATTTCCTTCGTTTTTATAGATGCAAATGCTGAGGAAATATGTTCACATTAATGACTAGATGTGAATAGAAAGAGGTTGGTTAGAACAATTCACTCAATTCTTTGAAGTCTTTCCAAATTATGTGAACAAAATTATAGTAATCTATCATCACAAATTATTTTTAATTATATATCAGCTGACTATTAATTTAGGTTTTTTTCTCAACTTGTTGAAAGCAAAGAATTGAAGACACCAGGCTTGCAAAATGATTTGTTACCCAGGTGGTGAGTCATTCTGTCTGTTTCTGGGAGTTATACCAAAAAAGCTGTACCAAGACTTATCAAATGACTATTTAAACTTAACCATCCTTTCACTTAGAGGCACCTTGTTTAAGTCAATATACTAAAAAGGATTTGGAAAATGCTCATTTTAGCGTCCCTGCCGATTACAGTTACTGTTGATAAAGTTATTTTGCCTTTTCACATGCTTTAAGTTATTTTTATAAGTATCTTAGAACTATATATTTAGCTTTGAGCTTATCGAAAATGTGAAACATATGAGCTAATTTCCAAAGCTGGTCCTGTTGTCAAACCAATCAGCCACATGAAACTTTCTGTCAGAGAAAGTCTCACTTTACTTTGCGATTTAAATAAGTATGTTAATACAGATCATCTGAGAATGTGATTACATACTGTGACAAAAGCTATGTATGAGTGCACCCTGTTTACTTACTCACCACTTGAAAAAATTTAATATTATATGTATTAATGCTGTATTAATAATAGTTCCCATGTTAATGGTAGCATCTGATACTCCAATCAGGACTCAACTTCTTAAGAACAGTTTCTTTATGAATATGAATGCTTTCAATGTAGGCTTTAAAGTATAAGTATTATCCATTAGTCTATTTCTTATGATTATCCACTGAGTCAACTCCATTCTTGAGATGGATATAAAGATCCTGAAGATCCTTATATATTTAGCCAAGTAAAACCAAAACAACCTAAATGTGAGTATTTACAGTTTTGAATTCTCTTCACTAGTGGATTCCTGGGCAAGTCTCTTAATGTGCCATCATTTCATCAAATATGTTATTTTTGTTATGATTGCAAATGACTAGAACCATATGTACATAATGAGTCTGTAAGTAATATCTTCTACCATTACTTTTGCCATGATCTGAACAATGCCTTCTGCAGTTTTATAAACTCTATAATTATATCTGTAAGGGTTTAATACAATTGCACTGACAGACTTACCAGGCAACATCCTTTTAGCTTTTCACTTTTGTAGCAGACGCAATAACCCTTTTTGTCATATAAGATTTCCTAGCTTTAGTAGTGAGCAATATTAATTTATAAAAGCTCTCTAAAGCCAGTCTTGATTAACTGCTTGTAAGTTGCTAATACCCTCTGTTTTCTTATAATGTGAATAGTTTTCTTTAGGGTTTGAATGTTTTGTGAATAAATGATGCTTCAAGAGAGATGGTTTCATGCTGTTTTCTTTAACAACGATGCCTCAAGGGCAGAATCTCTCAGGGGCTCTCTGGAGCAGTGCATTCTTTCATAATTAGGAGTCACTTTCCCAGGAGGATTATATATCTGAGGACATTATCTTACATATACTCGTACCTTTCTTCTTAATGCTTTATGAATTCTAACAAATTTCAAGCTATTAAACAGCATTAGTTTATTATAAGATAGCGTACCATGAACAGGCTTTTTAAGGTCTGATCTACATTATTAGCAATTAAGATATTTTTATAAAGGATGTCAGTTAAGTTCCTTTTATGCCCTCTTCCAAAATTTGTTTAGCAAGTACCTTGTTTTAGTCATGGGTGTATAACTGTAGCATCACTAATGTTCTCTGGACACAGAAGAAAACTCTGCACCTTTAATAAGCAAGTACTTTTGTTAGCTGTTGACACAACTCCATTTATGTCAACATCTAATCTACAAATGCATTCTATATTTCATGTATATAACAGGAATCAGCCATATATTTCTTTCTTTTCAAGATATTTGCCAATTGACTACAATGAATACTTTAGAGATCTATTGGGAAACTAAGTTAAGAAAATTATGATGACTCCAGAATTATTGCCGGATAAATTTGTTTATCTGCAGTTTCTATTCCATTGAGTTAACAGTGTCTGATTTGAAAATATTCTTTAAAAATTGATAACTCTGGATTATTAGGATAAAAAAACCGCATTATAGTTTACCTAGCTATCAAGATCATTTAAAAGTGGCATAACTGAACTGAAGTTTCCTTTTTGTCATATCGTATAATTAGCATCTATATTTATTACTTATGATTTTATTGATATCACAGATTCTTTTGTTTACATTTATATTGTAAACATATATTAATTTATGCTCTAAGGAAGTATTTGAGAAAACCTGGTTTTATTTGGTCAGATAGTATGCAAATTTAAAGGGAATGAATCTAAAGCTTCCCCATTAAGTATAATCTTTGACACAGTGTTTTGATATATAATCTTTACCATTCTAAGGAAATGTCCTTTTATTCCTATTTCTGTTACCAAGTTAAAGAAATACACTTGTATTTCTAGTTTTCTAAGAATTACTTTAAGACATAAATGGGGTTGAACTTTATTAAATGCTTTTTCTTCATTGATTGAGAGAATCAAATGATTTTTTTCTCCTTTAGTCTATTAATACGTTGAAGTACATTTGAGTTGGATCATCCTTACATTCAAGGAGTTAAATGGTATTGATTATAATATGGTATGTTTCCTAGTTGTGTAGGATTTTTTGTTGTTGTTTGTTTGTTTGTTTTTTGAGACGAAGTGTTGCTCTGTTGCCAGGCTGGAGTGCAGTGGCAGGATCTCAGCTAACTGCAACCTCTGCCTCCCAGGTTTAAGTGATCCTCCTGCTTCAGCCTCCTGAGTAGCTGGGACTACAGGCATGCGCCACCACGCCTAGCTAATTTTTGTATTTTTACTAGAGATGGGGTGTCACCATGTTAGCCGGGATGGTCTCGATCTCTTGACCTTGCGATCCACCCACCTCAGCCTCCCAAAGTGCTGGGATTGCAGGCATGAGCCACCACGCCCAGCTAGGATTTTTATATTTAAGTTTTGGCTTATGTTTTGGCTCCAAATATATGTCAGTGGAATTGGCCTGTGCTTTGCTTATCTTGTGTCAAAATTATATTATTTTCATAAAATGAGCTGTATGGCTTTATTTTTTTTAAATTTAATTTTATGGAACAATTTACTTAAGATACGAATTAATGGTTCCTGAAAAGCTTAGTAGGATTCACCTGCAAAACTGTAACAATTGTTATATGTACCCTACTCATATGCCTTCAGCCCATTCCAAATGGTACCTGCAAATGGTTCCTGAACATAACAATTGCATCCTGTGCCTCTATGCCTAAGGGCATTTTATGGCCAAGGGAACAGGCCTAACCTGAAGAGGAGAGACAGGCATGCCAATGAGCTAATATATAAATACCCCAGACCCCTTGCTCTTCAGTGGGTTGATTCTGAGAAGGTCTCATCATGGCCAAGATTTGCCCCTAGAAATAATCTACTCTTTAATTGACATCTATTGGCTTTCCTACCTTTCATGTTTCACTTCTTCACTCTGACTATACTTTTTTGGATTGTCATTCAAATAAACTTCTTTGCATCAAATGTTGGGCTCAGGATCTGCTTGTAGAAAAGCCTGAAATAATACAAAAGCCATCTGGGCCTAATATTTTCTGTAGAAGAGCTACATTAAAACATTTTTTAGTTGAGATATTTATATAGTAAAATTAACTATTTTAAAGTATACAAGTTAGTGGTTTTTAGTACATTAACAGTGTCATGCAACCATCACAATTTGTCCAATTCCAGAACATTTTCATCACTATCTTCCCAAAAAACCCCTGTACCCATTAGTAGTCACTCCCTTACTTCCCTATACCCCTGCAATCACTAATCTACTTTCTTATTCTATGGAGTTATCTGTACTGGACATTTCCTATTATGCTTTTACGGCTCATCTGTGTTGTAGCAAGAATTAATATTTTGTTTCTTTTTATGGCTGAATTACATTCCATTGTATGGTTATACCACATTTTTTTTTCATTCATCAATCGAAAGACACTTTTGTTGTTTATACTTTTTGGCTATTGTGAATAATGCTGCTGTGCACATTCATTTGCAAGTTGTGTAAAGATTTGTTTTCAATTATCTTGGATATTACCTAGGAGTGGAATTCCTGGGTTATATGATAATTCTATGTTTAAGTTTTTGAGGAACTACCAAGTTGTTTTTCACAGTAACTATATCATTTTACATTCCCACCAACAATGTACAAGAGTTACACTATCCTCACATCTTCACCAACACTTATTTTCTGTTCTTTTAAAAAATGACATATATTTCAGTGGGTATGAAGTGGTATCTCATTATGGCTTTTGATTTGCATTTTCCAGTGACTAATGACATTGAGCATTACTTCTTATGCTTTTTGGCCACTTGGATATGTTTATGCAGAAATATTCAAGTCCTTTGTCCATTTAAGGTTGGGTTGTTGTTGGGTTGTAAGAGTTCTTTATATATTTTGGATGCCAGACCCTTATCAGATGTATAATTTGCAAATATTTTTTCTTATTCTGTGGGTTGTCTTTTCATTTTCTTGAAAATGTCCTTTGATACTTAAAAGGTTTTTTTGATGAAGTCCAATTTATCTATTTTTTGTTTGGTTGTTTGTTCTTTTGGCATAATATCTAAGAAACAGTTGCCTAAACCAAGGTCATGAAGATTTATTCCTAATTTTCCTTTAATAATTATGTAGCTTTAGTTCTTACATTGAGGTCTTTGATCCATTTTAAGTTAATTTTTGTGTATGGTATGAGTTAGGGGTCCAACTTCACTGTTTTGCATGTGGATATCAAATTGTTCCAGTGCCATTTATTGAAAAGACTATTCCAATTGAACGATCTTGGCTCCCTTGTTGAAAATCAGTTGACCATAGATGTATGGGTTTATTTCTGAACTCTCAATTCTATTCCCTTGACCTGTATGTCTATCCTTATGCCAATATCTCAGTCATTATAACTGTAGCTTTGTAGTAAGTTTGAAATCAGGATATCTGAATTGTATAAGAGGTCTCTGATACCTCATTAGTTCCTACTGGTATATTTTAAAGACTAGCTGTATTTATTTTATTCTATTTATTTTTAAGTTTTAGGTTCAGGGGTACATGTTCAGGTTTGTTACATAGGTAAATTTGTGTCAGGGGGGTTCATTGTGCAGATTATTTCATCACTCAGGTATTAAGCCTAGTATCCATTAGTTGTTTTCCTGATCCTCTCCGTCTTCCCACCCCTCAACCTCTGAAAGGCCACAGTGTGTGTGTTGTTCTCTTCTATGTGTTCATGTATTCTCATCATTTAGTTCCCACTTTTCTTTTTTTTTTGAGACGGAGTCTTGCTC
Source organism: Homo sapiens (assembly GCF_000001405.40). NCBI lineage: Eukaryota > Metazoa > Chordata > Mammalia > Primates > Hominidae > Homo > Homo sapiens. The sequence continues at coordinate 103,746,716 of NC_000008.11, forward strand.
TGTCACCCAGGCTGGAGTGCAGTGGTGCCATCTCGGCTCACTGCAACCTCCGCCTCCCGGGTTCAAGCGATTCTCCTGCCTCAGCCTCCTGCGTAGCTAGGACTACAGGCATGTGCCACCACACCCCGCTAATTTTTTGTATTTTTAGTAGAGACAGGGTTTCATCATATTAGCCAGGTTGGTCTCGATGTCCTGACCTTGTGATCTGCCTGCCTTGGCCTCCCAAAGTGCTGGAATTACAGGAGTTCCCACTTTTTAGTGAGAACATGTGGTATTTGGTTTTCTGTTCCTGTGTTAGTTTGCTAAGGATAATGGCCTCCAACTCTATCCATGTCCCTGCAAAGGACATGATCTTCTTTCTTTTTTTTTTAATTAATTACTTTATTATTATTATACTTTAAGTTTTAGGGCACATGTGCATAATGTGCAGGTTAGTTACATATGTATACATGTGCCATGCTGGTGCGCTGCACCCACTAACTCGTCATCTAGCATTAGGTATATCTCCCAATGCTATCCCTCCCCCCTCCCCCCACCCCACAACAGTCCCCAGAGTGTGATGATCCCCTTCCTGTGTCCAAGTGAGCATGGAGCAGAGAAGCAAAAAATGGTAAGAGACAGGGTTGGGGAGTGAGACTGTAAAGAACTTTTTGGGTCATTTTAAGGAGTTTGGCATTTATTTGGAGCAAAACAGGAAGTATTAAAACGTTTTGACCAAAAAAAAAATATGACATGATCTTACTCACATTTTAACACATTTTAAAAGGCTTACTTTGATAGTTTTGTTGAGATACATTAGTGGAGGTATGAAAAGAATGGAAGCTGGAAGATTAGTTATGAAGAAATAATTTATGAGAGATACCTGGTGACTCAGGCTAAGGTAATTGTGGTGGAGGTGGTGAGATGTCATCTTTGTGGATGTATCTTAAAAGTGGGATAAAAGAGATTTTATGATGGAATATATGTAGAATATGAGAGAAAAATATTACTCCAAGATTTTTGGCCTGAGGCAAACTGGAAGAATGGTAAGTTGCCATTAACTGTTATGGGTAAGACTGCAGGTGGAGCAATTTCCGTGTAAAGGTCTGAAATTCACTTTTGGACTTATTAAGTTTGAGATAAATCAAAATACAAGTATACTGAAGCTTAGATATAAATAAGGCTGTGCTTTTAATTTTGTGCTGTGGTAGTGTTGTGATATAGTTTATCTTAGAATAGTAAATCCTCCTTGGGTGGGCAAAGTTGGACTTGCCTTACATTTGGAGTAGGTCAGATGACTATACCTGATAAGTGATGCTATTGCTTTTTAGCAGTACAGGAGAAAGAAGCACATTTCGCAAAGGGAAGTTCATATATTAGTCCATGGCTTCTGGAAATTTATTTGCAAGAAACCATGGAGGATCTAAAAGAGTTTTGTTCATTAACCTTAAAGTTTTCAAGAATTAGCGGGGTGTGGTGGCTCACACCTGTAATCCCAGTACTTTGGGAGGCTGAGACAGGCAGATTCCTTGAGTCTAGGAGTTCAAGACTAGACTGGGAAACATGGTGAAACCCTGTCTCTACAAAAAATAAAAAAAAAATTAGCTGGATCTGGTGGTGTGTGCCTGTAGTCCCAGCTACTTGAGAGGCTGAGGTGGGAGGATCGCTTGAACCTAGGAAGTTGCGGCTGCACGAGCCGTGATCAATCCCACCTCTGCACTCCAGCCTGAGCAACAGAATGAGACCGTCTCAAATACATACATACATACATGCATACATACATACCAGTGGGAATCTGAAAAACAGGTGAATGAAGCTTTATACCCTCAACTTTTTTCTCTGAATTAACATTCCTTCTTTAAAAATTTCTTCTCTGCAAGGTCGTTCTGGTGATTTCCATATCACCAAATTTCATTACTATTTCACCATCATTGCCTCTAGTTTACATCTTCGGTTCTCTTCAATTTGTATAAAGCATTGTCTTCTTTACCATCTGTTAATCTTTATATAATTATGTCTGGTCCTTTGTCTTTTATAATTTATCCTCTTCAGAAATTTTCATGTTCCAATCACCATTTTAAGTGAAACCTTCTATGTGAATATACATTCTACTTTTTTTTTTTGAGACAGAGTTTTACTCTTGTTGCCCAAGCTGGAGCGCAATGGCATGATCTCAGCTCACCGCAACCTCCGCCTCCCAGGTTCAAGCAATTCACCTGCCTCAGCCTCCTGAGTAGCTAGGATTACAGGCATGCACTACGAAGCCCAGCTAATTTTGTATTTTTAGTAGAGACAGGGTTTCTCATGTTAGTCAGGCTGGTCTCAAACTCCCAACCTCAGGTGATCCGCCCACCTCGGCCTCCCAAAGTGCTGGGATTACAGGCATTAGCCACCGTGCCTGGCCATATGCTTTCTATTTTTTTTTTTTCTTTTTTGAGACGGGGTCTCCCTCTGTTGTCCAGGCTGTAGTGCAGTGGCGTGATCTCGGCTTACTGCAAGCTCCGCCTCCCAGGTTCATGCCATTCTCCTCCCTCAGCCTTCCGAGTAGCTGGGACTACAGGCATCCGCCAGCACGCCCGGCTAACTTTTTTGTATTTTTAGTAGAAACGGGGTTTCACCATGTTCTCCAGGATGGTCTCGATCTCCTGACCTCGTGATCCGCCCGCCTTGGCCTCCCAAAGTGCTGGGATTACAGGCATGAGCCACGGCGCCTGGCCACTTTCTATTTTAAGAAAAACTAAACTCTCTTTCTTTTCATTTTTTAAACTATTATTTTACTTTAATATTTTTAATTTTTTTGGTACATAGTAGGTGTATATATTTGTGGGGAGCATGAGGTGTTTTGATAGAGGCATGCAATGTGAAATAAGTTGTATTAGTCTGTTCTCATGTTGTTATGAAGAAATACCTGAGACTGGGTGTATTAGTCTGTTTTCATGCTTATTACTGGAAGTAAATATGCATTTGACATAAATATATTAGTTAATTGAGAATTACTAAATTTTCACACTAATATAATTTTACAAATGCAATATAGCTTATTTTCAGGCCTTTTTTTGTGAAGTAGTGGGAATAAAGGGATCAGGTGATTACATAAATGTTAACCAATTCATTTTATAAATGTTCTGTTCTAAATGAAATTTTATCAAAAAACTAGGAAGTGGTTTCCAAAGTAAATTAGTCATTGGGAAGCATTTGATTGTTTATTGATTATTATCAGAATAGGTGATTGCTGCCTTCATAATAAATATACAATTTAAAAATCTTATTTTAATTCAGAATTGGGTTCTAAGCTTAAATTCCTCCAAGTAATTTTTTTTTAAGACAGCTGTTAAAACAGTGGGTATATCCTACAAGATTAAGGAAATGGAACATTTCTGCAGTTATTAAGTTTTCCCACTAGTCTGTGCTATAGCACTTTTTTCAATCTGGCCCAACTGGATTCACTGCATATTGATATTACATTGTTAACCTATTTTTTCCCCTAAGAAAAAAAAATTTCCATTAAAAATATAGTAACTTTAGTAAAACAAAAAGAATCAGTTCAAAAAGTATCATAATTCCCCATTACAAAATGTGGTGATATTAATTAGAAGAATTATTTTCCATCACATATTTACTGATTCAAAGATTAAACAAGACATAAATACAAATATACTATCAGTTGACAGTTTTCTTTTCCATTATATAGAAGATTTTGCCAGTTATGATGCTTAAATTACAAAATTATAAGTCATTTCATTTTAAAATAACAAAGAGTGTAATTGGATTGTTTGCAACTCAATGGATAAATATTTGAGGGGATGGAGACCCCATTCATTATTATGTGTTTATGATACGGTTTGGCTTTGTGTCCCCACCCAAATCTCACCTTGAATTTTAATAATCCCCACGTGTCAAGTGTGGGACCAAGTAGAAATCATTGGATCATGGAAGCGGTTTACCCCATGTTGTTCCCATGTTAATGAGTCTCAGGAGATCTGATGGTTTTATAGGTGTCTGTTTTATAAGAGAATGAGTGACAGGCATTTCCCCTGCTGGCACTCATTCTCTCTCCTGCTGCCCTGTGAAGAGATGCCTTCCACCATGATTGTAAGTTTCCTGAGGCTTCACCAGCAAAGTGGAACTGTGAGTCAATTAAACCACTTGTCTTTATAAATTACCCAGCGATATGCTTTGGCTATGTCCCCAACCAAATCTCATCTTGAATTCCCACGTGTTGTGGGAGGGACGCAGTAGGAGGTAATTGAATCATGGGGGCAGGTCTTTCTCGTGTTGTTCTCCTGATAGAGAATAAGTCTCAAGAGATCTGATGGTTTTAAAAAGGGCAGTTTCCTTGCATAAGCTCTCTTCTCTTGTCTACTCCCATGTGAGATGGGCCTTTCACCTTCCACCAGGATTGTGAGGCCTCCCCAGCCACATGGAACTGTAAGTCCAATAAACCTCTTTCTTTTGTAAATTGCCCCATCTCAGTTCCCACGCATGAGTGAGAACATGCGGTGTTTGGTTTTTTGTCCTTGCGATAGTTTACTGAGAATGATGGTTTCCAGTTTCATCCATGTCCCTACAAAGGACATGAACTCATCCTTTTTTATGGCTGCATAGTATTCCATGGTGTATATGTGCCACATTTTCTTAATCCAGTCTATCATTGTTGGACATTTGGGTTGGTTCCAAGTCTTTGCTATTGTGAATAATGCCACAATAAACATACGTGTGCATGTGTCTTTATAGCAGCATGATTTATAATCCTTTGGGTATATACCCAGTAATGGGATGTCTGGGTCAAATGGTATTTCTAGTTCTAGATCCCTGAGGAATCACCACACTGACTTCTACAATGGTTGAACTAGTTTACAGTCCCACCAACAGTGTAAAAGTGTCCCTATTTCTCCACATCCTCTCCAGCACCTGTTGTTTCCTGACTTTTTAATGATTGCCATTCTAACTGGTGTGAGATGATATCTCATTGTGGTTTTGATTTGCATTTCTCTGATGGCCAGTGATGGTGAGCATTTTTTCATGTGTTTTTTGGCTGCATAAATGTCTTCTTCTGAGAAGTGTCTGTTCATGTCCTTCGCCCACTTTTTGATGGGGTTGTTTGTTTTTTTCTTGTAAATTTGTTTGAGTTCATTGTAGATTCTGGATATTAGCCCTTTGTCAGATGAGTAGGTTGAGAAAATTTTCTCCCATTTTGTAGGTTGCCTGTTCACTCTGATGGTAGTTTCTTTTGCTGTGCAGAAGAAGCTCTTTAGTTTAATTAGATCCCATTTGTCAATTTTGGCTTTTGTTGCCATTGCTTTTGGTGTTTTAGACATGAAGTCCTTGCCCATGCCTGTGTCCTGAATGGTAATGCCTAGGTTTTCTTCTACGGTTTTTCTGGTTTTAGGTCTAATGTTTAAGTCTTTCATCCATCTTGAATTGATTTTTGTATAAGGTGTAAGGAAGGGATCCAGTTTCAGCTTTTTACATATGGCTAGCCAGTTTTCCCAGCACCATTTATTAAATAGGGAATCCTTTCCCCATTGCTTGTTTTTCTCAGGTATGTCAAAGATCAGATAGTTGTAGATATGCAGCGTTATTTCTGAGGGCTCTGTTCTGTTCCATTGATCTATATCTCTGTTTTGGTACCAGTACCATGCTGTTTTGGTTACTGTAGCCTTCTAGTATAGTTAGAAGTCAGGTAGCGTGATGCCTCCAGCTTTGTTCTTTTGGCTTAGGATTGACTTGGCGATGCGGGCTCTTTTTTGGTTCCATATGAACTTTAAAGTAGTTTTTTCCAATTCTGTGAAGAAAGTCATTGGTAGCTTGATGGGGATGGCATTGAATCTATAAATTACCTTGGGCAGTGTGGCCATTTTCACCCATGAGCATGGAATGTTCTTCCATTTGTTTGTATCCTCTTTAATTTCATTGAGCAGTGGTTTGTATTTCTCCTTGAAGAGGTCCTTCATGTCCCTTGTAAGGTGGATTCCTAGGTATTTTATTCTCTTTGAAGCAACTGTGAATGGGAGTTCACTCATGATTTGGCTCTCTGTTTGTCTCTTATTGGTGTATAAGCATGCTTGTGATTTTTGTACATTGATTTTGTATCCTGAGACTTTGCTGAAGTTACTTATCAGCTTAAGGAGATTTTGGGCTGAGACAATGGGGGTTTTCTATATATACAATCATGTCATCTGCAAACAGGGACAATTTGACTTCCTCTTTTCCTAATTGAATACCTTTTATTTCCTTCTCCTGCCTAATTGCCCTGGCCAGAACTTCCAACACTATGTTGAATAGGAGTGGTGAGAGAGGGCATCCCTGTCTTGTGCCAGTTTTCAAAGGGAATGCTTCCAGTTTTTGCCCATTCAGTATGATATTGGCTGTGGGTTTGTCATAGATAGCTCTTCTTATTTTGAGATACATCCCATCAATACCTAATTTATTGAGAGTTTTTAGCATGAAGGGTAGTTGAATTTTGTCAAAGGCCTTTTCTGCATCTATTGAGATAATCATGTGGTTTTTGTCTTTGGTTCTGTTTATATGCTGGATTACATTTATTGATTTGCGTATATTGAACCAGCCTCGCATCCCAGGGATGAAGTCCACTTGATCATGGTGGATAAGCTTTTTGATGTGATGCTGGATTCAGTTTGCCAGTGTTTTATTGAGGATTTTTGCATCGATGTTCATCAAGGGTATTGGTCTAAAATTCTCTTTTTTGGTTGTGTCTCTGCCCGGCTTTGGTATCAGGATGATGCTGGCCTCATAAAATGAGTTAGGGGGAGGATTCCCTCTTTTTCTATTGATTGGAATAGTTTCAGAAGGAATGGTACCAGTTCCTCCTTATACCTCTGGTAGAATTCGGCTGTGAATCCTGGACTTTTTTTGGTTAGGAAGCTATTAGTTATTGCCTCAATTTCAGAGCCTATTATTGGTCTATTCGGAGATTCACCTTCTTCCTGGTTTAGTCTTGGGAGGGTGTATGTGTCCAGGAATTTATTCATTTCTTCTTGATTTTCTAATGTATTTGTGTTGAAGTGTTTATAGTATTCTCTGATGGTAGTTTGTATTTCTGTGAGATTGGTGGTGATATCCCCTTTCTCATTTTTTATTGCGTCTATTTGATTCTTCTCTGTTTTCTTCTTTATTAGTCTTGCTAGTGGTCTATCAATTTTGTCAATCTTTTAAAAACACCAGCTCCTGGATTCACTGATTTTTTCAAGGGTTTTTTGTGTCTCTATCTCCTTCAGTTCTGCTCTGATCTTAGTTATTTCTTGCCTTCTGCTAGCTTTTGAATGTGTTTGCTCTTGCTACTCTAGTTCTTTTAATTGTGATGTTAGGGTGTCAATTTTGGATCTTTCCTGCTTTCTCTTGTGGGCATTTAGTGCTATAAATTTCCCTCTACACACTGCTTTAAGTGTGTCCCAGAGATTCTGGTACGTTGTTTCTTTGTTCTTATTGGTTTCAAAGAACATCTTTATTTCTGCCTTCATTTCGTTATGTACCCAGTAGTCATTCAGGAGCAGGTTGTTCAGTTTCCATGTAGTTGAGCGGTTTTGAGTGAGTTTCTTAATCCTGAGTCCTAACTTGATTGCACTGTGGTCTGAGCGACAGTTTGTTATAATTTCTGTTGTTTTACATTTGCTGAGGAGTGTTTTACTTCCAACGATGTGGTCAGTTTTAGAATAAGTGCGTTGTGGTGCTGAGAAGAATGTATATTCTGTTGATTTGGGGTGGAGACTTCTGTAGATGTCTATTAAGTCCGCTTGGTGCAGAGCTGAGTTCAATTCCTGGATATCGTTTTTAACTTTCTGTCTCATTGATCTGTCTCTTGTTGACAGTGGGGTGTTAAAGTGTCCCATTATTATTGTGTGGGAGTCTAAGTCTCTTTGTAGGTCTCTAAGGACTTGCTTTATGAATCTGGGTGATCCTGTATTGAGTATATATATATTTAGGATAGTTAGCTCTTCTTGTTGAATTGATCCCTTTACCATTATATAATGGCCTTCTTTGTCTCTTTTGATCTTTGTTGGTTTAAAGTCTGTTTTATCAGAGACTAGGATTATAACCCCTGCTTTTTTTTGCTTTCCACCTGCTTGGTAGATCTTCCTCTATCCCTTTACCTTGAGCCTATATGTGTCTCTGCACGTGAGATGGGTCTCCTGAATACAGCACACTGATGGGTCTTGACTCTATCCAATTTGCCAGTCTGTGTCTTTTAATTGGCACCTTTAGCCCGTTTTACATTTAAGGTTAATATTGTTATGTGTGAATTTGATCCTGCCATTATGATCCTAGCTGGTTATTTTGCCCGTTAGTTTATGCAGTTCCTTCATAGTGTCCATGGTCTTTACAATTTGGTATGTTTTTGCAGTGGCTGGTACCGGTTGTTCCTTTCCATGTTTAGTGCTTCCTTCAAGAGCTCTTGTAAGACAGGCCTGGTGGTGACAAAATCTCTCAGCATTTCCTTGTGTGTAAAGAATTTTATTTCTGCTTCACTTATAAAATTTAGTTTGACTGGATATGAAATTCTGGGTTGGAGAATCTTTTCTTTATGAATGTTGAATATTGGCCCCCACTCCGTTTTGGCTTGTAGAGTTTCTGCCAAGATATCCACTGTTATTCTCATGGGCTTCCCTTTGTGGGTAACCTGCCTTTTCTCTCTGGCTTCCCTTAATATTTTTTCCTTCATTTCAACCTTGGTGTATCTGACGATTATGTGTCTTGGGGTTGCTCTTCTCGAGCAGTATCTTTATGGTGTTCTTTATATTTCCTGAATTTGAATATTGGCCTGCCTTGCTAGGCTGGGGAAGTTCTCCTGGATAATATCCTGAAGAGTGTTTTCCAGCTTGGTTCTATTCTCCCCATCGCTTGCAGGTACACCAGTCAAACATAGATTTGGTCTTTTCACATTGTCCTTTACTTCTTGCAGGCTTTGTTCATTTTCACTTTTTTTCTCTAATCTTGTTTTCTTGTTTTATTTCATTGAGTTGATCTTCAATCTCTGATATCCTTTCTTCCACTTGATCAATTGAGGTAATCATACTTGTGTATGCTTCACAAGGTTCTCGTGATGTGTTTTTCAGCTCTATCAGTTCATTTATGTTCTTCTCTAAACTGATTATTCTATTTAGCAATTCATCTAACCTTTTTTCAAGGTTCTTATCTTCCTTGCATTGGGTTAGGACATGTTCCTTTAGTTTGGAGGAGTTTGTTATTACTGACCTTCTGAAGCCTACTTCTGTCAACTCATCAAAGTCATTCTCTGTCCAGCTTTGTTCCATTGCTGGCGAGGGGCTGCAATCCCTTGGCGGCAAAGAGGTGCTCTGGTGTTTAGAATTTTCAGCTTTTCTGCTCTGGTTTCTCCCCATCTTTGTGGTTTTATCTACGTTTGATCTTTGATGTTGGTGTCCTACAGATGGGGTTTTGGTGTGGATGTCCTTTTTGTTGATGTTGATGGTACTCCTTTCTGTTTGTTAGTTTTCCTACTAGCAGTCAGGTCACTCATCTGCAGATCTGTTGGAGTTTGCTGGAGGTCCACTCCAGACCCTGTTTGCCTGGGTATCACCAGCAGAGGCTCAGTTGGAAATGTAGAAATCACCCATCTTCTGCCTTGATCCCACTGGGAGCTGCAGACCGGAGCCGTTCCTAGTCGGCCATCTTGGAATGGATCCTTGGGAGAGTTTTTTGTTGTTGTTGTTGTTTTTGTTTTTTTTTTTTTGCAGGACTCTTGTATATTATTTTCTTTTCTTTCTTTTTTTTTTTCTTTCTTAAGACAGGTGTCACTTTGTCACCCAGGCTGGAGTGCAGTGGCACATCTTGGCTCACTGCAGCCTTGACCTGCTGGGCTCAACTGATCCTCCTGTCTCAGCCCTATGGTGGGGTGGGCCACGCCACTATGTCCAGCTAATTGTTTAATTTTTTGTAGAGATGGGGTTTTGCCATGTTGCCCAGGCTGGTCTCGAACTCCTGAGTGCAAGCAGTCTGCCCACTCAGCCTTCCAAAGTGCTAGGACTATAGGCATAGCCATTGTGCCCAGCCTGTTATTTTTCTTTATGACAGACATCTTTAAAAATTTTATTTAATGTTTTGTAATTGGTTATAGGTGGTGTATAGAAATGCTGTTTATTTTGCTTAATCATGATTTGATCCAGGAAACTTACTGAGCTCCCTTACTACTCAATATTTTGGCTGTAGATTTTTGGATTTTCTGTCATAATCAAATGGCATTGCCAATCAAATAGTGTTCAAATAAGGACAGTTTTATTTCATCCTTTCTCGTATGTGTGTGTGTGTCTGTGTGTGTGTGTGTGTGTGTGTGTGTGTGTGAGAGAGAGAGAGAGAGAGAGAGAGAGATACAGAGAGAGATATTCAGGAGAGATTTACTTGGCTAGCATCTCCAATACAGTGTAGAACAGAGGTGGTGATACCGGGAATCCTTAGATCATTTCCTACTTTAAAAGGAATGCTCTTACCTTTGATTCTTAAATATAAAATAGGATATAGAGGTTTTGTAGATATCCTTTATTAGGTTAAAGCATTGCTAATTTTTATAATATTTAGTTTGCTGCATTTTATATTGTTTTCACACAAACGAATCTTGCATTTTATGAATGCTGAATGGTTTTTCTGTATGTATTGATAATGCCATTTTATTTCTATTTTAATTAATTAATTTGGTGAATTTGATTAATTTGATGAATTTAACTATTCTTGCATCTTTGGTTTAATCTCCCCTTTGTCATGGTAGGTTCGTCTTTATTCATTTCTTTCTCATATATATTTGCTGTATAAAATTAAGGATTTGGTTCACATTTTTAAAACGTATGCATTCATTTCCACTTGTGCTATTGGGCTATAATTTTACTTTAATTTTGTCTATGGTAGGCAGAAAAATGGCCCCTCTAAAGATAACCATGTCTTAATTCCTGAAACCTATGAATGTTATCTTATATGGCCCCCAACTCTTCTCTTTCCTCAAACAACATGCAGGTGTGATACAGTAAAGATCTTGAGATAGGGAGATTATGCAGGTTGGCCCTAAATGCAATCCCTTGTATCATCAGTGCATATGTATCTGTGCACAAACACAGAAGAGAAGGCGATGTGAAGATTTAACAGAGAGAGTTCGAAGATGCTGTTTTTGAATATTGGATTGATGTGGCCACAAGCCAAGGAATGATGATACTCACCAGAAGCTGATTGCCAGAGGAGACAAGGAACTGGTTTTCCCTAGAGCCTTCTGAAGGATCATGGCCCTGTTGACATCTTGATTTTGGTCAGGTGATATTGAAATTGGACTTCTTGTCCCAGAGCTGTGAGGGAATACATTTCTTGTTGTTTTAAGCCACCAGTTTGGGGTAATTTGTAATTTGAGTCATGGAAGTTTCCATTTTTCCCCCTTCTGTAATATTTTTGAATAAGTTTTAGATAGCTATCTAGAGTTAGATAGACTTTAGATAGCTATCTAGGACCTCCTGTCTTTCTCTTCTTCTCTTTCTTCCTTCCTCTTTCCTCTGAACTTACTTCTTCCTTATTAATAATTTCATGATTGCCTTCATGCAGTCTCTGGGATCTCCAGTTCAGAACCAGATATTCATTAATGAGCTGTGGTCTTGCCTCAATCTTGGTATTGAGTGATATTGCAAATTAATATATTAGTGATATTTTACATTAGTGATCTTATAAATTCATATATACAAACCAAGTCTGTGGAGGCTTTGTTCAGTGTCAAAGTTACAAGTGTGTCCCACTTGCCCAAGCCTACAGCTTCTAGGAAGCTGTAGGTTGAGAAGATTTCCACAGCATTTTTTTCAGCTTTTTTTTATTAATGAAGACGTGAACATGAATTTCAGTTTGTCATTTCACATGCAGCACTTCTAGTTCTGTTAAACCATAAGACCTGTGCTCTTATTCACTGGTACCTGCTGTTTGGCTGGGGACATAGTAGACCTGAGGCTTTAGCTCTGCTAATTTCCTTTCATTTCTTTTTTACTTTTATTTATTCATTTATAAGTTAAAATTCTGGGTGTAGAAACAACAGTCTTTCTATTGAAAGACATGTCTGCTTTTAGCAGAAGAAAGGTTAAAAGTTTAGATTTATATCATGGCATAAAACAACTTACTTACAAATTACAAATAAGTAGAGAAAAATAGAGTTTGGGAAAAGTAATAGAGAGGGTTAAAAGTTTAAATTTAGGCAAAGTGGTAAAACTCACTATAATTTTAATTGGATGAAATCGATGAAATGGGAAGACTGAAGCTCATTACTTCAAGCTGAGGGTATTTGGGGAAAGTGTTAGGTATACAGAAAAGAACAGTCAAGGAAAAGCTTGTTTCTTCTATTCTTCTACATTGTAGGGGAGGAGAAAGAAGACAGGTGAGGCCAGTAGATGATTAGAGGTATGTTCCAGTCTCTTCTTTCCAGGCTTTGACTCAGGACGAGGATGCATTTTTGTTAAATTGAAGGGCATCTTTTACTCTTATTATTATTTGAGATCCATGGAAGGGAATCACCCTTCGGGATGCCCTAGCATCCATCAGGGGCATAGATACTTCAGAATGAACTTGGCAGCGGATCATGATTAAGAAAGGCCAAGAAGGACAGGTGTGGTGGCTCACGCCTGTAATCCCAGCACTTTGGGAGGCCGAGGCAGGCGGATCACGAGGTCAGGAGATCGAGACCATCCTGGCTAACACGGTGAAACCCTTTCTCTACTAAAAATACAAAAAATTAGCTGGGCGTGGCGGTGGGCGCCTGTAGTCCCAGCTACTCGGGAGGCTGAGGCAGGAGAATGGCGTGAACCTGGGAGGCGGAGCTTGCAGTGAGCAGAGATTGTGCCACTGCACTCCAGCCTGGGCGACAGAGCGAGACTCCGTCTCAAAAAAAAAAAAAAAAAAAAAAAAGAAAAGAAAAAAGAAAGGCCAAGAAAAGGCCAGACTTGACTTCCAGAACTGTCCTTTGTTCTAGTGTGGCATGAGCATAACTACATGTCCCAGACATGACACCTATCTATAGTGAGGGATGAGATGACTTTGCAGAAGAAGCTGCAGAATAGACAGCTTTTGCCATAGTGGAATAGAGGGTCATTCAGGGACTAAGTGTTTGGCAGTGCTGGTGGGAACCGAAGTGAGATCAGGTTTATTGAGAAGTGCAAGTCTGTCTAAGTTGAGAAGAATCAGACTATCGATTGGATGAGCTGCAGGTTGTGTAGCAGCATAAGCCTCACAGAACACCTGAATACTTTCTTGGAGAACAGCCAAAAAAGGAGCAGAAATATCAGAAATAGAGAACTTGTCCAAAGGAGCTATTATTTATTGGACTACAATTTACTGAGTAGCTTTAAAGAAGAATCTGGCAAGTGTGCTGTTGACAAAAATCAGATCAAAAATAGAGAAATAAATACGCTACCTTTCTTTGTGAGTAAATTTTTCAAAGCCACAGCGATAGCCAACATAGAAGGATTTGTAACAGCTAAGACTGGGAAATGCTTAAGGTTAAAGCTCTCAGGAGGATGTGCTGTTGCCTCCCAAGAGATTTAATGAAGACCCATCAGACATTCCTGCTTCAGCCTGTAAGTGTGACTATTGCTAGAAATGCTGTGATTACAATTCATGGTAAATCTGGAAGTTCTGCTGCTTGTATCAGGGGCATCAGATGAAGAAAATTTCTGATTTTTGTTTTGTAATCCAGAATCTTAGTATTTACAGATGACAGTATCTCTTAATTGCCTAAGGAATCCTATTAGAAAATGTTAACCTTCTGGGATATGAGCCAATGTGTCTACTTTCAAAATCCACCATGGCAGTGCTGGGTGAGGGCTTGTAGTTTAGTAGCGCAAGCTACCCTTGAATTCTGCCTTTTTAGAGACACAGACACCATGGATCTGATCATGGGAATGCTTTAGGGTAATGCTCTGGTTGAGCCTCTGGATTTCCAGACCTATTGTAGATCTCTGCATTCTTGTTTTTTTTCCAAACACAATGTGGGCCAGAGGGAAAGATCTATGGTGGGACTGCATTCCTTTTGTAACATTTACCGTAATTATAACAATATTTGTGCAATTATTTGTTTGCTTATTGTCTCCCTAGTACACTTTATACTCTGTAGCAAAATGTATATTTGTTGAGCTTTATTCACCAGCTGTTAGCATAGCATTTGGCATATAGTAGCCATTTAGTAAATATTGTATAAGTAAATAAATAATGAATTGGTGTTAATAGTTACTTGCCCATCTATAAATAAATTGGAATTCTATGATTTCAATTAATTTTTATGGCAAATTATAGCTTCATCTAAGTTTATCTACTAAACTAAATGTAATATTATTCTTTTAGTAGAATGTAGTGAATATATTATAGTCACTGGTGTGTTCATACGTGCTAACAACCAGCTCTCTTTTAGAAAAATCTCTGACTTTTGGCATTTTCCAATTTATTTAGTCTAAATACATCCACCACAGCTGATTTCAAGCTAACCCACATTACTTCATGGAATGTGGAGTTAGGGAGAAAGCACACAATTTGTTTTCATGAGTTAGTGAACAACACCGAAGCTCTTTCATATTCATGCCCTGGTAATGGATTGTTCTTCACATACAAGATTGTGCTAGTAATACACATTGAATAAGCATGTACTTTAAAAAGACTGTGAATTAGTCAAGGTAATGCAATCAATTATAGAAGGTAAACTCAAAAAATCTTTAAAGCTCAACTTAGTAGAAGTTTAGTTTTCACCTATGTGAAGTCCACACTGGTAAGCTGATCAGCTGAGTGCTCTCCTCCTAGTGATTATTCAGGTTCCCAGGCACCTTTTTTTCCTGTGGCTTCCTTATCTCCAAGGTCTTGGCTGAACAGCATGAAGATAGCACATGAGAATTTTTAAAAGTTTATGAAAGTGGCACACCCATTCCACTTATAATCCATTGGTAGAATATAATTGTATGGTCATAGCTGCCCAAGATAACATGGAAAATGTAGTTTTCTAAGAGGAAAGGAAATAAGTTGTTGAATAGCTAGCCAGAATCTTTCACAATTTTCTATTTATGTAATGGTTACTTGATCAATTTATACTCTTTTACCTTATTTCTTCTCTGACAAATGCACACATATTTATAAGCAGGTTGGCAATGGTTAGAGGTAGAGTCTAGTGAATTCCTTTTTCTGTGCAGTTAGCTGGATCATAGGAGCTTGGCCTATGGTCTCGTTAGTGTAAGTCTTTAAACTATAATCCCTCCCTTTTTTGAATTACTCTATTTTTTTGTCCCTGTTTAGAAGAAAATCATAGTATTTTGCAGACCTTTAGATTGCTCTCAATTATTGTATATACCTAATGTAAATTTTTTTTTTTTTTTGCTTTCTTTTAGTATTCACTGCAGCTGTTATGGTTATTATTTTTGTGGTTTAAAAAAGATATTTGTATTTTCCTTAGTTTTTTTCCCTTCCTTTCCTAACATTCCTAAGAATGTTTATGGAATAAAACATATGGAAGTAAGTGACAAATTTGGGTCATTAGAGATTATTCCATCTCTTAATATTTCTATATTATTTTTAAAATTTTGACATATTTAGGACTGAAGGTAATAATAATTTATAATTTTGAACCCTGTATGTTTTGTATTCTCAGGTTCTAGATGTTTTTGGTAATTATGAGAATCAGTTAATAGTCTCTAACCAGGGAGATTTATAGGCATATATATTTCTAACATATTTTAGATGGCATTCCTTATGTGGTTAACTTAATTGGTTAAAGCGTTCTATTAGCAAAAGGCCTGTGACTTTATTGCCAAATT
The DNA here is from genome assembly GCF_000001405.40 of Homo sapiens. Lineage (NCBI taxonomy): Eukaryota > Metazoa > Chordata > Mammalia > Primates > Hominidae > Homo > Homo sapiens. Next base: position 103,762,474 of record NC_000008.11, read on the forward strand.
AGATAAATTTTGTTCCATGGACACAGAATTTATCTCTAATAGCTATTAATCATTTCATAGTCAATTAATGAAAAATCATTTCACAACATATATGTATTTGTGAGAGGTATTGGTGTGTGTGAGAGGTAATTCAATACCGTCGCCAATTTATAAGCTAAGCTGCTTTCTGTGTAAAGGGCTACAAGTGAAAGTATCAGTTTTTCTGTACTACAATTGTGTTGCTAATGATGGAGATACAGCCCAAGAAGTGCATCATTAGGCAATTTTGTCATGCTAACATCATGGAGTGTACTTAAACAAATCTAGATGGTATAGCCTTCTACACACCTAGGCTAGATGATATAGTCTGTTGCTCCTAGGCTACAAACCTGTACAACATGTTACTGTATTAAATATTGTAGGCAGTAGTAACATAATTAAAAGTGTTTATGTATCTGAACATATTTAAATATAGAAAAGGCATGGTAAAAATACGGTATTATAATATTAGGGAACCACCCTTCTATATATGGTCTTTTGTTGACTGAACTATTGTTATGCAGCACATGGCAGTACTTGATGTGGGTAGATCCGGAATTCCTGAGCTTAAAGGATTAATAAACTATTAATCCAAGAGTAGGAGGAGATGGTAGAAGAAGAAAAGAAAGGTAACCAGGGTGTCAATATATGAATAGGAAAATACTAGGAGGCATGGTGGCTCACATCTGTAATCCTAGCACTTTGGAAGGCTGAAGTGGGCAGATTGCTTGAACTCAGGCATTCAAGACCAGCCTGGGCAACATAGTGAAACCCCATCTCTACAAAAATACAAAAATTAGCTGGCGTGGTGGCACATGCCCATACTCCCAGCTACTTGAGGGACTGAGGCAGGAGATTCATTTTAACTTGGGAGGTTGAGGCTACAGTGAACTGATATTGTGCCGCTGAACTCCAGCCTAGGTGACAAGGTAAGACCCTGTTTCAAGGAAAAAAAAAAAGAAGAAGGAAGAAAGGAAGGGAGGGAGGAAGGAAATAAGGAAGGGAGAAAGCGAGGAATATAGGATAAGGGAAGGAGGGATACGGAATAAGGGAGGGAAGAAGGGAGGAAAGGAAGGATATAGGAGCTAGTGATTTAGGAAGGAACAAATGATCTAGTCAGAAAAGGAACAAGCAGTGTGCATAGCCCAGGCAATGTGAGAAGGATATTAACACATGGAGAGTCTTTAATGGGAATCAGACATCATCCTTCATACCTTATGCTCATCTGTCTTATATTAATATTCACTAGATATTAACAGATGAGGAAAATTAAGCTGATAGTGTTTCCAATTCTTTTTCTCATTTTGGGCTCCACAGAAACAATACTACTTGTACAGTCAGCAGTTCACACTAAGGTAAACTGACAAGGCTGTGTATGAACTCCTTTGGTCTTAGCCAGTCTGAGGAGCATACTTGTAACCCATTTAACATATTGAACTACGAATCTCTGCCATAGACCGGTGGTTCTCAAATGTTAGCAAACATCAGAATTACCTGGAGGGTTTGGGGAAAAAATATTGCTGGGCACTGCCCCAGAGTTTCCTATTCAGTAAGTCTGGGGTGGGACCTGGGAATCGGCACTTCTGGTGATACTGATGCTATTCTCCCAGGGATATTCTTTGAGAAGCTCTGCTCTGAAATACATTAAGTAACCTGCTTACCTTGTGAAAAATTTTATTTTTCAACTGTTACAAAGCAGCAAATGCTGTTTCTGCAGATGATAGTGATTGGATAATTGTCTGTCTCACAAGCTCTCGTTTGTTGTTAATTACCAGGCACAAAGGGATGCTCTTCTTCAGTACTCTGAGTGTGACCTAATTCAGATAAATTCATATCTTATAATCATCTAGAATAGATTATCACTGAAGCATAAATAACAACTTGTTTAAAACAGAAAAGTTGACATTCAAACTTCATTTATTTTTACATTATTTTGTGGTTCTGTTTTGCGTGACTTTTTAAAAGAGATCTGTAGTACCTGCGTTTGTCACAAGATGGCATCAAAAGGCTGAGATGCTGGCTCAAATTTCATTTTTTGAGACTGTTGATGGGTTAGATATATTTCATGTCTATTAAAACTAATTATAGCAAAAGAAATTTGAACTGAGGCATGTTCTTTTTAATTTCAGTGAGATAATGGTGTTTTCACATCAAAATACTTATAAAAATAAAATACATACATATATTGATATTATTTATGACTAATTCTTTAGGAAATTAATGAACATACATCTTGGCTTAATAATATCAAATATATTATTACCATATTTCCCCCAGAAGAATTTTAAACAACCTAAACTTAGCAAACATTTATTATATCTTACTATTCTATAATTTATAAGGTTTTATTATGCTAGTAGAAGATGTAGTTCCTGCCTTCAATAAACTTCAAATTTAATTGGGGAGAAAAGAAATGTATATACAATTCAATGAAAGAACAAAATAATAAAAATGAGCAAGTACAATGTTGTGTGATAAGATCTGTACAAACTATGAAATGGAATAATGGACAATAAGGTAAAAAATCTACATGGTATTTTACAAAAACATTTTTGTGTCAGTTGAAAATGCCATGTTGAAACTTTTACTGTGATTATACTGTTGTAATTTATTTTATGTGAGAAAATGTTTAGCAACCTGGAGAGCTGTGTAAGAGTAAGTATTTGACATAAACAAAACATTAGCACTCACACACTTGAATTATGAACGGTTATTTTATGATAATATGGCTTTTTAAATGATTAATTGAAAAGGATTTTTCAGAAAAGGGTGAAGGGCTTTCTGGCCACAGAGATATTAATTACAATATGTTTAGATTTCTGGAGTCTGAAAAATATATCTGTAGAAAAATTGAGTATAGAATAGTTGTGCCGGGGTTGGAGGAGAGGAAAAGGGCTGTTGCTGTTTAGTGGGTGTAGAGTTTCAATCTTGCAGGAAAAATTTTAAAGATCTGTTTCACAATGTGAATATACTTACTGCTACTGAGGTGTACAATTAAAAATGGTTAAAATGGCAAATTTTATGTTGTGTCTTTTGCCACAGTAAAAACATCAGATGCATTAGTATAAATTATTAGCAATTAATTGGTTTTTTATAGAGGATCAACAAAGCTTGTAGCTTTATTTTAGCCATTAGGTGCTACTTGAAAAAAATAAAAGCCCCCTTAAGAATATAATTGCGGTTAGAATGTTAACCTAATACTAACAGCTAATTTTCCGTATAACAAGTAATATTCTAGATATTTTAAATAAATTATTTCTAATATTCAGCCTCAAATTACAGGGAAATTATCATCTTTATTTCCCTATTTTATCATTAAGGAAACTAAGTTTTATAGATATGAAGTTTCAGTTCCTTGTTGAAAGTTGCAAAGTTTCTAATTTTGGAGTTGGTATTTAAACCCAACTGTCTAGTTTCAAAATCTATTTTCTGTGTATTACACAATGCCTCTAATTTAAATAAAACTAATTAAATAATACAAATGAACAATCAGCAATTTAGGACTCTAGTTTGCTATCTCTGTGGTCAATAAATATTGACTATTTCATTAGAATTATTCAGAAAAATTAAAAGAAAGTATATATTATTTAATTTACAGTAGCAGTGAATTAGGATTATGTTTTAACTTCAGAAGGATAACCACGTAATTTTTTGTTTGCTTGAATTTTTGTCTCTTTTTATTTGTTTTTAACTTTTGGGAACACTAATTTTTTCCCCCTATGTCTTCATGTGCAGGTTATGTGGGTATGTAATTTGTGCCGAAAACAACAAGAAATCCTCACTAAATCAGGAGCATGGTTTTATAATAGTGGATCTAATACACCACAGCAACCTGATCAAAAGGTTCTTCGAGGGCTAAGAAATGAGGAGGCACCTCAGGAGAAGAAACCAAAACTACATGAGCAGACCCAGTTCCAAGGACCCTCAGGTGACTTATCTGTACCTGCAGTGGAGAAAAGTCGATCTCATGGGCTCACAAGACAGCATTCTATTAAAAATGGGTCAGGCGTGAAGCATCACATTGCCAGTGACATAGCTTCAGACAGGTAAACATTTTGTTTAATCTTTAGGCAAATGTATTACTTTTAGTCTTCATTCCAAACAGAGATAACAATACATGAAATGTTTAGGCAATGGTGAGTTGTCTAAGTAATGTAAACATTCATATGTTTTACATAAATACTATATGTGATGTTCAGGACTTGACCTATCATAGGTTTGAACTATCTTAGATTTGATGTGGGAGTGTTAGGTTATCAGATAGATTTCCCAGCATAAAGAAGTGAAATAAAACAGGGAACTTAGAAGTTTTTGTCAAAGGAAAGACAGACTAGCATTGGACTAATGGGAATGAAGAAGAGATGGCTATAGACTCTTTATAGAGGTTGGATTGATGGGACTAGTTGGAAGTGGGAGTTAAGGTAATAGGGAAGGTTAACAATATCTCCAAAGGTTCTATCTTGGGCTGAAGGATGATGTGGGTTTTCAAGCAAGTATATGCAGATCCGACATCAGGTTTATAGTGAAGGATTTCATGAGTTTGATATATCCATGTGCTAACTCTGTTGTAACTATTTTGGCTCCGTACTATGGGCTTCTTCGTGTTCAAAGTGTGATACTTAAAATAGTACATAGGGCTCTTATATTTACTACCTTTGGAAGGAGAATAAAGGATTTTGATGGGAAGATTCTTTTTCTTTCTTTTTTTTTTTTTTGAGATGGAGTCTCGCTCTGTCATCAGGCTGGAGTGCAGTGGCACGATCTCGGCTCACTGCAATCCCTGCTTCCCAGGTTCAAGCGATTCCCCTGCCTCAGCCTCCCGAGTAGCTGGGACTACAAGTGTGCACCACCATGCTTGGCTAATTTTTAGTACTTTAGTAGAGGCGGGGTTTCACCACGTTGGCTAGTATGGTCTCAATCTCATGACCCGTGATCTGCCCACCTCGGCCTCCCAAAGTGCTGGGATTACAGGTGTGAGCCACCGTGCCCGGCCTATTTTTCTATACCTTATTTTTCTGTTTGAATAAAGATAAATTTAAATCTGGTTTATACTATTTCTGTTGCCCAGAAGTAGCAGATACATTTCTGTGTTGAATAAGTACAAAGTCATGCATTCCTGCAGAAACAAATCTAAATTGTACATATAGTATGGTAGGTTCTTGGGTATCAGTTCTAACAAGTAAGACCACTGGGAGTCATTTTAGATGGTGCCTAAAGTCACCACTCCAATACATTGCTGGATCTTGAGAGAAAAAGAAAACAATGACTGCACCAGTTCTTTTGCAAAGTAGTAAAAGGGAACAGTACATGTAATCCTATCTTTGGGGAAAACAATCATCTTAATCTTGTGGGGACTTCCTCTGGGAGACTGGGTAGAAAGACCTCAGAGTTATCCTATATAGAGGACAAGGAAGTTGGAGTATTTAATTTATCAACTCTCCTTTATTGTTGGTCCAGGGCTGATCCTGGGAATTGTTAACTCTCTGAAACTCACTGGCTAGAGAAAGCACTCAGGCAGAGTGTAACAAACACTTACAGTCAGCAGATTTTGCTATGTAGGGAATGGTGAATGATGAGGCAATGTGGTTGGGTTGCTGGTAGTATCTGCTACACAGTGACTTCAGAGATCAAGAAAGTTCCCCAAATGGCAGTTATAATGGTCAAGGTATATGAAAAAAATAGATAACCAGTGGAGATAGAATTTTTAAAAAATGAGTGAATGAATGACTAAGTAAAATGAATAATGGGCTCTTTTTCGTGGTGCCTTGGAGGCATTCACCTGCTTCAAGATGAAGCTGGACATCTCTTTCCCAGCCACTGGCTGCCAGAAACTCATTGAAGTGGATGATAAACGCAAACTCTGCACTTTTTATGAGAAGCATATGGCCACAGAAGTTGCTGCTGATGCTCTGGTTGAAGAATGGAAGGGTTATGTGGTCCTAATCAGTGGTGGGAATGACAAACAATGGTTCCCCATGAAGAGGGGTGTCTTGATTCATGGCCGTGTCCGCCTGCTAATGAGTAAGGGGCATTCCTGTTACAGACCAAGGAGAACTGGAGAAAGAAAGAGAAAATCAGTTCGTGGTTGCATTGTGGATGCCAATCGGAGTGCTCTAACTTGGTTATTGTAAAAAAAGGAGATAAAAATATTCCAGGATTGACTGATACTACGATGCCTCATCACCTGGGGCCCAAAAGAGCTAGCAGAATCCACAAACTTTTCAATCTCTCTAAAGAAGATGATGTCCACCAGTATGTTGTAAGAAAGCCTTTAAACAAAGAAGGTAAGAAACCTAGGACCAAAGCACCCAAAATTCAGCGTCTTATTACTCCATGTGTCCTGCAGCACAAATGGTGCCATATTGCTCTGGAGAAGCAGCATACTAAGAAAAATTAGGAAGAGGCTGCAGAATATGCTTAACTTTTGGCCAAGAGAATGAAGGAGGCTAAACAGAAGCGTCAGGAACAAATTGCTAAGAAATGCAGGCTTTCCTGTCTGCAAGCTTCTACTTCTAAGTCTGAATCCAGTCAGAAATAAGATTTTTTGAATAACAAATCGATAAGATCAGACTAAAAAAAAAAGGATAATAGGAATATAGACTCCATTTGTTTAAAAATTAACCACATGAGATAGCTTTTTGTGGAGCTTAGAGAGGCAGGGTTAGTAAGAATAAAATGAAATACTAAAGCACTAGGTCACATAATAGAATATTAAGTTTTGGAATGCATTTCATCAGGAAGTTACGTGTGTTAAAAATAAATTCAATAAATTTATGAGTAATTAATTCATCATAGACAAGGTAAAGCCTATCTGTAATCTTTGTTTTTTGTTTGTTTGTTTGTTTTTGTTTTGAGACAGAAGTCTCTTTTTGCTCAGACTGGAGTGCAGTGCCATGATCTCAGCTCACTGCAACCTCCGCCTCCCGAGTTCAAGCGATTCTCCTGCCTCAGCCTCCCAAGTAGATGGGATTACAGGCACCCACCACCATGCCTGGCTAATTTTTTTGTATTTTTAGTAGAGACAGGGTCTCACCATGTTGGCCAGGCTGGTCTCATATTCCTGAACTGAGATGATCCACCCACCTCGGCCTCCCAAAGTGTTGGGATTACAGGCGTGAGCCACCGTGCCCGGTTGCCTATCTGTAATCTTTGAAGAAGGTGGTAATGAGAACAAATAAAAATCTTATATTCTTTAATGCCTCTTTCACTCACAAGTACTGGCCTGAATAAACAATTGAAATTGACCTATTGTGGGGAGCCAACAGGTTGTAGTTCCTTTTATTCTTTTCTCTTTTGCCTGGTGCTTTGGCTACTATTACTAATAAATTCGTGCTTAATGACTAAAAGCATACTGTATATCTTCTTTCCAAACCTTACAAATGCCCAACCAATAGCTCCTTTTGTTCACAAAAATTACTTTTAGTCAGGAAAGAAGTTAGAGTTTAATATCAGATTTGGTAGTTATGCCAAGAAAATGGAACTCATTGTAATTTACATACACTTTTTTTTGGGAAACACTTTAAAGAGTATTTCTTTTATTTTAAAATGCAGATTATACAGTAGTTAATTAGACATTTATCTATAGCCAGTATTGAGTCCTTTGAATTTCTTCCCTTACAGCAAGGGGTCAGCAAACTATGAACCTGGGCCAAATTTGACTTGCCACTTGGTTTTTGTAAACAAAGTTCTTTTGGAACACAGCCACTCCTGTTCATTTATTTATTGTCTATGGCTGCTGTCAGCTACAATTCCGTAGTTGAGTTGTTGTGAAAGACCATATGGGTCTCAAAACTGCAAATATAGTCCGGGTGCAATGGCTTATGCCTGTAATCCCAGCACTTTGGGAGGCCGAGGAGGGCGGATCACCTGAGGTCAGGAGTTCAAGACCAGCATGGCCAACTTGGTGAAACCCCGTCTTTACTAAAAATACAAAAATTAGCTGGGTGTGATGGTGCATGCCTATAATCCCAGCTACTTGGGAGGCTGAGGTAGCAGAATCGCTTGAACCTGGAAGCTGGAGGTTGCAGTGAGCCAAGATCGTGCCATTGCATTCCAGCCTGGGCAACAAGAGCGAAACTCTGTCTCAAAAAAAAACCCTGCAAATATTTGCTCTCTGATCTTTTCAGAAAAAGTTTGCCAATCCCTGCCCTAGAGAGCAGTTCTCTTAGTGTTGTTGAAATTTCTCCCTTTGCCCATTTTCTTTTGTCACCATTTAAATTTTTTTAATTAAACCTATTTTTTTTTTGTTCCTTCGTCTCCCACCCTGCCTGCCAGCTTCTATCCTTCTCTTTCTGTCTCTCTTTCTTCTTTCTTATCAGAATGGGTTTTATTGCAGTATTTGAATTGGACAGGGAAATGGAGGTAATGCTAGAAATATAATTTCAGTTTGAAGCATTAGTAATTTGTTTTTTCAATACCATTCAGAAACCAGTGGCTTCAGAAAGAGAAGCTTCAGTTCAACTTAATTTAAATCTCTATGGACTTATAACTATATTTGAAACAGAAAAGTATGTTACTCTTTTAAGGAGCTTTAATCTATAACATGATGTAGTAGTTTTGACCTTTTTAAATGACTTGTTATTTCTCTCACAGGTTTTGGTACAGTGTTTTACAGATAGGCCATTAGTATTTATTGAATGAATGAATATCAAGTTGGCTCTAAACCTTAGCGTTGAGTAGGTGAATACTTACTTAACATATAGTCATAAATTGCAATTCTTTATCAACTTAGATGCAAAATACTTTTGAGTTTCAAGTATGTTTTTATTTCAAAATAACTTGTGAAATACATTGTAAAACTGGATTTTTTTCTGGTTAAGAAAATAAAATTAGTGAAAACTAAAGTAAAACTGTTTAAAAACATTTAATTGATATTTCTTACATTTGAAATTATTTAAGTTGGATGCTTCATAATTTTCATAGTTGCAAATTAGTGAAATGTAGGAAAGTTTATTTGCAAAATTTTACTATTTAATTTGTAGCAGTTTCTACAACATTTAGAGAAGTTAAAAAGTAAGAAATATGGATAGTTTGTATGGTAGATGAGAAAGAACTAGAAGTCAGAAGACCTAGGCCCTGTTCTCACCTTTTCCCCATAGTGTCATCATTTCTAGATGTTTATTTTTTTCTCTGTATGTCCTGTTTTCTCATCTCTGGAATGGGAAAAGACAGTCTAAATCCTGAGAAGACTTCCAGTTCTAAAATTCTTTATTGTGTTGTATTTTAAGCTCCTCGGCCATGAGATAAACTTGAAGGCATTCTCTTTCACTATTTTTTTCCTCCCATAACTGGTAGTTGTATGACAAATTAATGCAGGATTATCTCCATTCATATTATAATTCATTGTTATAATTCATTCATTCAACAGATATTTATTGAATTTCAGTGTAGTATTTGTTTCTACATTTTTCTGCTTAAATGATGACGCTTAATGAAAATACCAAGGGTAATAAAAATATAAAACAATTATCTTGGATCTAAACTGTAAAGTTTTAAGGTAGGTTCAATATGATGAATATTTAGCAGTTTGGTAATCACCATTTCCTTATTATCTAGTACTTATGACTTTCCAAATATCTCTGTGACATTGATTATTTAAAAATAAAAATAATATTCAAAATATGTGCTTAATACTTCTGCTTCTAGTACAAATGGAATAATAGTGCCTGGATTTACTATTATGCAATAGGCACAATAAAATAAAAGCCATCTAGATTGAAAAGAAAGAACTAACACTTTATTCACAGAGAACATGATTATTTATATAGAACATTAATGGGATCTATAAAATTGTTACTAGAGTAAGGCTGTAGAATATAGTCAATGTCTGATAACCATTTATCTTTCTAAATAGTAGCAAGGAAAAACTTATAAATGGAAATTTAAAAAAACTTTAAGACCATTAAAAATACAAAATACATTTATACTAGCACCAAAAAATGAAGTACTTAGTTATAAATCTAACAAAATATGTACAAGGTCCATATGTTGAAAACACTGAAGCACTGATGAAAGAAATAAAAGAAAGTCTGAATAAATAGAAAGATAAACTGTGTACAGGGATCATACAACTCAATATTGTTAAGATGTCTTTCTCCCCAATTTGATTTATATATACAGATAGATTCTAAAATTAAAATAGAAATGTTTGAAATAACCAAAACAGCTTTTAGGAAGAACGTAGTTAGAGGCATAACACTACCTGATTTCAACACATTATAAGTCTACAGTAATCAAAACATTGTGGCATTGGCATAAAGACAAATAGATCAGTGAAACAGAATGGAGAGTCTATATATAAAGCCATTCATGTATAGACAAGTAATTTTTGACAGAGAGGCAAAGGCAATTCAGTAGAGAAAGGATAGTGTTTTCAACAAATGGTGCTGGAATAACTGAATATCCATATGCAAAAAAATTTGAAGCATACTTTTTTTACTGTATAAAATTAACTGAAAGTGGATCATAGAGATAAATGTAAAAGCTAAAATTATAAAACTTCTGGAAGAAAATATTGGAGAATATTATTTGATCTTGGTTTAGGCTAAAACTGTAAAGCTTGTAGGAGGAACTAGAGGATAACTTCTTCCAAATTTTAGGGTAATCAATAATTTCTTAGACAAGACACAGAAAGCACTAATTCTATAAAATGAAAAAAAAAATCCACAACAAATTAGACTTCATCAAAATAAAAACTTTATTCATTGAGACACCATTAAGACACTGTATAACCATGTTGTATTTCAAGAAATTTCAAGAGAAAATATTTGCTTATTGCTTAAAATGCATATTGCTTAAAAAGATATATAAAGCACTCTTAAAATTCATTAACTTAAAATAAGCCTAAAGTATAAGAAATTGGAATAAGCTGTTTATAAAAAAATATGAATTGCTAGTAAGTACAAGAAATGTCCTATGTGTTTAGTTATTTGAGAAATGCAAATCAAGACTATCAAGTGCCGGGCACGGTGGCTCACGCCTGTAATCCCAGCACTTTGGAAGGCAGAGGCAGGCAGATCATCTGAGGTCAGGAGTTCGAGACCAGCCTGACCAACATGGAGAAAACCCATCTCTACTAAAAATACAAAATTAGCTGGGTGTGGTGGTGTATACCTGTAATCCCAGCTACTCAGGAAGGCTGAGACAGGAGAATCACTTGAACCCAGGAGGTGGAGGTTGCGGTGAGCTGAGATGGCGCCATTGCACTCCAGCCTGGGCGACAAGAGCAAAACTCCATCTAAAAAAACAAAACAAATCTATAAGGAAATACTTTGATATACCCACTAGAAATCCTACGATTTAAAACAACAAAAATCCTGACAACACTTACCTTTTGTGAGAATTCAGAGGAATTTGACCGCTAATATCTTGCTAGTGAAAGTATAAAACATTTAAAATTGTATAAACGTGGGAGGCCGAGGCAGGCAGATCACTTGAGGTGAAGAGTTTGAGACTAGCTTGGCCAATATGGTGAAACCCCGTCTCTACTAAAAATACAAAAATTAGCTGGACGCAGTGGCACATGCCTGTAATCCCAGCTACTCAGGAGGCTGAGGCACAAGAATTGCTTGAACCCGGGAGGCAGATGTTGCAGTGAGCTGAGATTGCACCACTGCACTCCAGCCTGGGTGACTGAGTGAGACGCTGTCTCAATAAATAAATAAGTAAATATTAAAATGATCTAAACATTAGAAAAGTGTTTGACAGTTTCTTATACTGAGACTCTGTCTCAATAAATAAATAATAAACTGGTCTAAACATTAGAAAAGTGTTTGACAGTTTCTTATAAAATTAAATATGTACTTTCCCAATGACACAGCAGTTCTACTCCTAGGTATTTACTTAAGAGAGATGAAATAATATATCTATAAAATACTTGTATGATAATGTTTATAGCAGTCTCATTCATAGAATTTCCAAAATGGAAACTTCCCATATGTCCATCAACAGGAGAATGGATAAACAAACTGTGGTATATTCAAGTATATTCAAATAAGTGTATTACTTATCAATGAAGTGAGGGAACTATTTACATGCACAAAAACATGGATAAATCTCAAAATCATTGTGATGAATGGAAGAAGCTTGGCACAAAAGAGTACATAAGATATAATTCAATTTTTATCCACAGAAACATGGATAAATCTCAAAATCATTGTGATGAATGGAAGAAGCTAGACACAAAAGAGTACATATGATATGCTTCTATTTATATGAAGGTCAAGAAGAGATAAAACAAATCTATAGAAAAGAAATCATAACAATGTTTTCCTTGAGGGAACTTTCTGGGGTGATGAAAACCTTCTGTATCTTCATAGGGGTATGGATTACTGGGTGATGTATTTGTCAGTGGCTACTATAGCGGTAACGTTTAAGATCTGTATACTTTTAACTGCATGTAAATTATATTTAGTAAAAAATTAAAGGAGAATTATGTGCATAATTGCTGCATTTCAAAATCACTGGTTTCATTGAAATTTTATTAGTAGTAAATGTTTAAGACATTGTGAAATTGAGTCTAAATTAATGCAATTTTCTTTATAATCAATGTTTCAATAATGGATTTTTTTCAGTAAATTCAGAGATGCTTATATTTATAGAATGCTGATAGTGTACCTAACACCAAATCAATGGTATTTAGAATTTACTAAGTGTGCATTACATATGGTTTAAGGACTATCTAGGTAGTCTGCTTTCATGAAATCATGACCATGATTGCCATGACTCTTATTCAAAGTGGTCATCTGAGCTATGTGGTAAGAAAAAATAGCATAACCATGAGAGAAATAAGATAAAATGATGTAAAGGGAAATAATTTGTAAAAGGAAATCAAAGTATGGTTAAGAAAGAGGTTAAACTATAGAGCTAAGGAACTAGAAAAAATAAATCACCAATGTTTTTCTTAGGAGAAAAAAGAATCTAATAACCTGGAAGCAAATGATCTCATAACCTTTATTCCTAGATATTTCTTCTTATACTTTTTAGAATACAGGTGAAACAAAAAGGCAACAAAGATGGCTATGTCTTTGGTGCCACTTTCTGTGAATTATGCACATTCAATAAATGCTTGGTGCATATGATGAATGAGAGAAAGCTGTAATAATTAAATAACAAATGTCTTTAACATGACTGATGTCTTTTCTGTAGCATTTTTATCTTTTATTGAAAGGATGATTAATCAATAGACTTGAAGACAAATAATGATCTGTTCTTATATGGCCAATGCTTAATAGACTTCTATTTTCAAGAATATGATATGAGCTCTGAAAGACAAAGTATCTCTCTTAAAAAAGATGTTTAACATAGTATAATAATTGGTTTTACTGCATAGAAGTCAGTTTGTTCTCATGGAATATGTAACTTAAATATTTCAATTTTTAGGTGAAAAAAAGAATCTATTTCTATTTTCAACTGAATTAAACTTGAACCATTGTCAAGTTTCCTTCATTTAAGTGACCTATAAATAGAGTTGCAACATGTGCCAGCTTGCCTAGGACAGTCCCAGTTTACACATGCTGTCCCAGCATTCTTCATAGATTGACATTTGTTCTGGATTTTATATGAAGTATTTTATTAAGAGTTGCATTAAAATAAGCTGGGGTGAGTTTGGAAGGTCTCCATTTTGTACTTACATACTGCTGCTGCCATGATTTCATCCTGTGTGGGATGCATGTATGGTGAAGGGTTCTCAACTGAAATATAATCAGCAATAACCCATCTTTTCCCTAACTTTTCAGACACAAGACAGCTAACATTTCTTGTTTAAGGACAGGATGAAGGTACCACTACTAAAACGAAGTGTGATAGAAAGATCTTTGGTGGTGGTGGTAGAAGTATTTGACATTGCTGTGCCATTTGCCTTTTGATGTATTGGTCAGTTTAGTCATGATCCATTCTTTGGCATTTGAGATGGGAGACTATAAGGTTGTTGGAGATTATAAATTAGGGTAGGAAATAGAGGTTGAACAGTCCTGTCATAGAATGTACAGAAGGTAGTCTGGATGTTTTTTTCTCCAGTGGTTTTGTCATTTATTGTATAGTGTAAATTTATAAATATTTTTGTATTTTATTATTTGGTAATTTTAAAAATTTGCAATAAATATTTCAGCAGCAAGATGCTAAAAATGAAAATGCATTTTTACTCATGAATGTGTAACTTGTACAAATTTTTTGTTGACATTTGCTGTCCACTAGGGGGCTAGTAGTCACAGAATACATCCTTGCAAAAAGAAAAAAATAAACCTGTTGAAGAAGCAACATCAATTTCAAAAGTTAGTAGAATTATTTTAAGAAAACCCAACGATGACAAAGATGGGCAAAGTGCATTTTATAAGTTAGCTGTGAAGCATGACTTTTCCTTTAGATTAAACAGCTGTTCTTTTTAATTTTAGTCAATTTCAGTTCCAAGTTGTGTGTGCACATGTGTGTGCAATCAAAAAGTAAATCATTGGCTTCATTAACAGAAGAACTTTACTATATTAGTAAGTGTTGACATTTTAAAAGGCATTTTAAAACCAATGCTTTTCAACACTAAGACATTTAGATTTTCTCTACAAAAGCAAGGGAAGAATTGAACACATTAAACAAATTTCATTATGCAACAGTCATGTGTATCTTCTTCATCAGTGTATTCCTAGCACCTCACACAGTAATTGATACATAGTGGTGCTCATTAAATAGTTGTTGAAAGACTGAATGAGTAGATAAGTAAAAAAGCTTAAGAAAAAAGGAGAAAGAATTATAAGAAAAAAGGAGGAAGAATTAAAAGGACAGAACCCCAGGAAAAGAATGAAGAGAGACCTTACAAACAGAGTTACGGACTCAAATGCTATGAACTCTATCCCAGTATCTTGCCTCTTTTTTTCAGTATATCTATTCTTTTGTGTCTTTCCAAAACATTTTCACTGGTCAGCTGTTCTACATGGAATGAAAAATGATCATCAATAGAAATTTCTGAATAAATGAATGAAAGGAGTTTTGTACTGGCTTTCATATTGAAAATCAGTACATTATTGGCATATGTATCATATATCCTGCTTGGGAATTAAGATAACTTATATAAAAGCTATTTTATTTAAGTAAAAAGCTATTTTATTTATTTTGGTGATGAAAATACAGTTGAGGTCTAAGATAGCATATAGTTGAACAGTGCTTTATGCTAATTAGGGTTGATATAGACAGAAAATAAATATAAATTCTGCCATTTGAAAGCTGTTAAAATATTTCATCATTTGATTTCATAATGGTATGCATATAAAAGTATTTTAAAATGGGCTGTATGCATTTTGATCTGACATTGGTTATCAAAATTGATTTGTGGACCATAAAAAAAATCCACTCTTAAAAAGATAAAAATAGAATTTTGTTTCATGCTGGGTATGAAATTGGGTATAAACTGGGTACAAAATTGGGTATAAACTGGGTACAAAATTGGGTATAAACTGGCTACAAAGACAAGAGTAACAACTTCGGAACTCAATCATAGCATATAATTTTAAGTTATCTTTTCTTTGCTGACATTTAAAAATGTCAAAACTTGCTATGACTTTGACATTTTTAAAAAGTTTGTTACTTTTCTTCATAGGTTAGAAGTAAAAAAATGGAGTGACATGAAAAGTACACATTTATGTATTTTTGATTTTTTATTGATGTATAATACATATACATATTTTGGGGATACATAGGATATTTTGACACATTCATATAATATGTAAAGACCAAATCAAGGTAGTTGGGATATCCATTACCTAAATATCTTATCTTTATGCTGGTAATATTCAAATTTTTCTCTTCTGGCTATTTTGAAATGTACAATAGATTATTGTTAACTAGTATCATCCTACTGATCTATCAAACACTAGGTCTTATTTCTATCTAATTGTATATTTGTATCCATTTATCAACCTCCTTATGCTCCTTCCCTCTGCCCTTTCTGGCCTCTGGTAACCATCAATCTACTTTCTAGAGATCTTCATGAGATCCACTTTTGTAGTTCCTACATGAGTGAGAACATGTAATATTTGGTCTTCTGTGCTTGGCTTATTTCACTTAACATAATGACCTCCAGTTCCATCCATGTTGCTGCAAATGACAGGATTTCATTCTTTTTATGGCCAAATAATATTCCATTCTATATATATGTCACATTATCTGTTTATCCATTGATAGGCATTTAGGTTGATTTTATATTTTGGCTATTGTGAATAGTGCTGCATTAAACATGGGAGTGCAGATATCTCTTTAATACATTAATTTCATTTCTTTTGGATGTATACTCAGTAGTGCAGTTGCTGGATCATATGATAGTTCTATTTTTAGTTTTTTGAGGAACCGCCAAACTCTTCTCCATAGTGGCTATACTAATTTATGTCCCCACCAAGTGTATGAGAGTTCTCCTTTTTCCACATCCTCACCAGTATCCCTTATCCTTGTCTTTTTGAAGAAGTCATTTTAACTGGGGTGAGAAGATATCTCATTGTGATTTGATTTGCATTTCTCTGATTATTAGTGATGTTGAACATTTTTCATATACCTGTTGGTCATTTGTATGTTTTCCTCTGAGAAATGTCTGTTCAGATCTTTTGCCCACTTTTAAATTGGATTAGTTGGTTTTTTGCTACTGAGTTGTTTGAGCTCTTTATATATTCTGGTTATCAATTCCTTGCTACATGGATAGTTTGCAAATATTTTCTGCCATTATATGGGTTGTCTCTTCATTTTGTTTATTGTTTTCTTTTCTGTGCAGAAGCTTTTAAGCTTGATAGAATCCCATTTGTCTGTTTTTGCTTTGGCTGCCTGTGATTTTGAGGCCTTATTCAAAATCTTTGCCCAGATCTATGTCCTGGAACATTTTCCCAATGTTTTCTTCTAGTAATTTCACAGTTTTGGGTCTTCAATATAAGTTTTTAATCCATCTTGATTTGATTTTTTTATATGGTGAAAGATAGGATTCTAGTTTCATTCTTCTGTATATGAATATCCAGTTTTCCCAGCACAGTGTATTGAAAAGACTATCCTTTCACCCTATGAATGTTCTTGGTGCCTTTGTTGAAAATGAGTTGGCTATCGAATACTATGCAGCCATAAAAAAGGATGAGTTCATGTCCTTTGTAGGGTCATGGATGAAGCTGGAAACCATCATTCTGAGCAAACTATTGCAAAGACAGAAAACCAAACACCGCATGTTCTCACTCATAGGTGGGAATTGAACAATGAGAACACCTGGACACAGGGTGGGGAGCACCACACACTAGGGCCTGTCATGGGGTGGGGGGAGGGGGGAGGGATAGCATTAGGAGATATACCTAATGTAAATGACGAGTTAATGGGTGCAGCACACCAACATGGCACATATATACATACGTAACAAACCTGCACATTGTGCACATGTACCCTAAAACTTAAGGTATAATTAAAAAAAAAAAAGAAAGAAAGTGAGTTGGCTATAAATGCATGGGTTTATGTCTGGATTCTCTATTCTGTTTCATTGGTCTATGTGTCTGTTTTTATGCCAGTACCATACTGATTTGGTTACCATAGCTTTGTAGTACATTTTGAAGTTAGGTAGTGTGAGGCCTCTAACATCCCTTGAAATTATCAGATGAATTTCTCTTGAAATTATCAGATGAATTGGAGTCCTTTATATGTTACTTGCTTCTTTCTTCTAGCTGCTTTTAGGATCCTCTCTTTATCCTTTACCTTTGAGGATTTGATTATTAGATGACTTGAGTTAGTATTATTTGGGTCGAATCTCTTTGATATTCTCTGACCTTCCTCTACCTGGATATTTATGTATTTCTCAAGTTTTGGAAAAATTTCAACATTATTTCTTTGAAGCTTTTACCTTTTGCTCTTGTTCAACTCCCTCTTAGACACAAATAATTCTTAGATTTGGTCTTTTCTGGTAATATTCTATTTCATGTAGATCATCTTCATATTTTTCATTGTTTTTCTTCTTTCTCCTCTGATCGTATTTTCAAATGCTTGTCTTCAAGCTCTCCGATTCTTTCCTCTGCTTGATCCATTCTGTTGTTGAGAGCCTCTAATGATTTTTTTCAGTTCAGCCAATGTATTTCTCAGTTGCAAGATTTTTGTTTTTTAAAAATTATTTTAATATTGTTGCTAAATTTCTCAGATGAATTCCTGAATTGCTTTCTGTGTTAACTTGGAGATCACTGAATTTCCTTAAAACTGCTATTTTTTTATGTGAGAGAGCTCACATATCACTCTCTCAGTGGCATCAGTAGCTGGTTCCTTGGTTTGTCCATTTGGAGAGATAATGGTTTCCTGTTTGCTATTGCTTCTTGGGGATGTCTTTCTATGTCTTTGCATTGAAAGGTTATTTATTCCAATCTTCCCTGTCTGGCTTGTTTTGTTTTTTACTTGACTTGTTTTCTTAGAGATTCTTTTTAGTTTACCTGTTGATTTTTTTTTTCTAGGTTGCTGCCTTCTTTTTGTTGCTGGATGGTACCTTAAGCCAAAGTTTGCCTGGCTGTAGTAAATGATTGGGTTGCTGCCCATACTGAATGGGAAAAGTCCAAAGGGGATATTCTGGCAGTGTTGGGAGGCTGGCCAGGGGCTCATGCCCAGGGGATCTATGGAATATACCTCCTGTAGCATGGTGCTGTGGAATAGCCCCTCTGATTTGGCATCTCCTTTGATTGAGTTAAGGAACAGTTTCCAGGACTGAGATCCAGTGTAGAAACTGTGAGTTGGGGGAAGTATTCCACACACTTCGTGGTGGGCAGATTATGGGGAAAGGCATCAAATACCTTACAGCTTGCCTGGAGTTTTTTCACTTCTTTGTGGCCCTGAGAACTGTCTCTTCCTCACGTTTGAATTCTGGGATATTGCTGATGATAAATTGGTGCTGTATATTTGTTTTCCATTTTCTGTGGGGGTGGAGGGAGTGAAGCCAGCTTGGTTCTTTGTCATTTTGGAACTGGAACAAAAGTATATATTTTTAGTAAAGTTAAAATTATTTTTTCATCAGCAAGTGTTAAAAGTTATTTTGTTCAAAATGACTTAGTATTGTTGCTATAGAGATGGCTTTGATAGGTACTTGAAAAAGTTACTACGCTTATTTTAAAAAACGGTTCAAAATCTTGTTTCCATAATTACTCAAACTTTTTGATTTGCATGTTCTCTTTGAATGTGTTTTGGAGTAAATTTTAAGACTCCTCAGTTCTTGAAGAAGAATTTTCTTATGCTTCAAGGTTTATTTCTTCCGTATATTATCTCCCCTAATCTTTTTTTTTTTTTTTTTTTTTTTTTTGAGACAGAGTTTCACTTTTGTCATGCAGGCTGGAGTGCAATGTTGTGATCTCAGCTCACTGCAACCTCTGCCTCCCAGGTTCAAGCGATTCACCTGCCTCAGCCTCCCAAGTAACTGGGATTACAGGTGTGTACCACCATGCCCGGGTAATTTTTGTATTTTTATTAGAGACGGGGTTTCACCATGTTGGTCAGGCTGGTATTGAACTCCTGACCTCCGGTGATCCGCCCACCTCGGCCTCCCAAAGTGCTTGGATTAAAAGCATGAGCCACCACACGTGGCCTTATCTCCCCTATTCTATATATTTACTGCATACTCCAGCTGCTCAATTTCGCTCAGTTTCTGTTTTCTTTTTTTTTTTTCTCTAACACGGTTACTATTTTTGTTTGAGTGTGTATTTTTATAGACACTGTCTGCAAATATAAGAATATATACGTACACTATATATATATTTCTTTGAAGTGATACCATACTATATATTGTATTTCCTTATCTTTCTTTTTTAATTTAGCAGCATATGTTGGAAATCTTTCTTTACCAGTGCATAGTGAGTGTTCTTCTTCATAATTTTAGTGTATGTGTCATATTTGTTTAGTCTGTAATGATGAACAGTTAGATTATTACAACATTTTTTTGCTATTACAAATGCTATCATGATACATAAATCCCGTGTGTGTGTGTGTGTGTGTGTGTGTGTGTGTGTACTTACAGTTTTGCAAAATAGTAAATCTGTAAGATAAAGGAAAATTCCTAGAAGTACAATCACTTGGTTAAAGAATGTATGCAGTTTTAAGTTTTTGTAGTCATTGCGATATGACCCACTAGAAAGGATGTACAAAGTTACACTTCTATCAGCAGGTATTAGGGTTTTAGTTTCTAATTCATTAGCCAACACAATATTATACATCTTTACCAGTGCAATAGGTGAAAAATGTTACTGCATTATAGTTCTAATTTTTCTTTTTTTATCATAAGTGAGTCAAACTGAGCATTTCTGTCTATGTTTAAGAGTAGTTTTTTCTTTTAAAACTCTGTTTATATCTTCTTCCATTTTTCCATTGAGTTTTTGGTCTTTATTTACATGGATTTTTAGCATCTCCATTTATATTATAGAAAATAACTCTTTGTGGAATGGACTGTATGTTAGTTTTCTATATCTGTATAATGAATGACCACAAACTTAGAGGCTTATAAAAACATACTTTTTAAATTTCAGTTTGTGTAGGTCAAGATTAGGGTACAAGCTAGCTTAGCTGGGTCTTCCCCTTAGGATCTCTGGAGGCTGAAATCAAGGTGTTGCCTGAGGCTGAGATCTCATCTCACGCTCAGGGTCCTCTTCAAAGCTCCCTGGTTGTTGACAGAATTCACTGCCTTGCAATTGTATGGTTGTTGACAGAATTC
Source organism: Homo sapiens (assembly GCF_000001405.40). Taxonomy (NCBI): domain Eukaryota; kingdom Metazoa; phylum Chordata; class Mammalia; order Primates; family Hominidae; genus Homo; species Homo sapiens. The sequence goes on from NC_000008.11 coordinate 103,783,166, forward strand.
ACTGCCTTGCACTTGTATGACATGCCCTCAGCCCTTAGGGGCTACCCAGTGTTCCCTACCAGGTGGCCTTCTCCTTAGCATAGCAGTTTGTTTTTTCTTTTCTTTTTTTTTTTTTTTATTATACTTTAAGTTTTAGGGTACATGTGCACATTGTGCAGGTTAGTTACATATGTATACATGTGCCATGCTGGTGCGCTGCACCCACTAACTCGTCATCTAGCATTAGGTATATCTCCCAATGCTATCCCTCCCCCCTCACCCCACCCCACAACAGTCCCCAGAGTGTGATATTCCCCTTCATGTGTCCATGTGATCTCATTGTTCAATTCCCACCTATGAGTGAGAATATGTGGTGTTTGGTTTTTTGTTCTTGCGATAGTTTACTGAGAATGATTTCCAATTTCATCCATGTCCCTACAAAGGACATGAACTCATCATTTTTTATGGCTGCATAGTATTCCATGGTGTATATGTGCCACATTTTCTTAATCCAGTCTATCATTGTGGGACATTTGGGTTGGTTCCAAGTCTTTGCTATTGTGAATAATGCTGCAATAAACATATGTGTGCATGTGTCTTTATAGCAGCATGATTTATAGTCCTTTGGGTATATGCCCAGTAATGGGATGGCTGGGTCAAATGGTATTTCCAGTTCTAGATCCCTGAGGAATCGCCACACTGACTTCCACAATGGTTGAACTAGTTTACAGACCCACCAACAGTGTAAAAGTGTCCCTATTTCTCCACATCCTCTCCAGCACCTGTTGTTTCCTGACTTTTTAATGATTGCCATTCTAACTGGTGTGAGATGGTATCTCATTGTGGTTTTGATTTGCATTTCTCTGATGGTCAGTGATGGTGAGCATTTTTTCATGTGTTTTTTGGCTGCATAAATGTCTTCTTTTGAGAAGTGTCTGTTCATGTCCTTCGCCCACTTTTTGATGGGGTTGTTTGTTTTTTTCTTGTAAATTTGTTTGAGTTCATTGTAGATTCTGGATATTAGCCCTTTGTCAGATGAGTAGGTTGAGAAAATTTTCTCCCATTTTGTAGGTTGCCTGTTCACTCTGATGGTAGTTTCTTTTGCTGTGCAGAAGCTCTTTAGTTTAATTAGATCCCATTTGTCAATTTTGGCTTTTGTTGCCATTGCTTTTGGTGTTTTAGTCATGAAGTCCTTGCCCATGCCTATGTCCTGAATGGTAATGCCTAGGTTTTCTTCTAGGGTTTTTATGGTTTTAGGTGTAACGTTTAAGTCTTTAATCCATCTTGAATTGATTTTTGTATAAGGTGTAAGGAAGGGATCCAGTTTCAGCTTTCTACATATGGCTAGCCAGTTTTCCCAGCACCATTTATTAAATAGGGAATCCTTTCCCCATTGCTTGTTTTTGTCAGGTTTGTCAAAGATCAGATAGTTGTAGATATGCGGCGTTATTTCTGAGGGCTCTGTTCTGTTCCATTGATCTATATCTCTGTTTTGGTACCAGTACCATGCTGTTTTGGTTACTGTAGCCTTGTAGTATAGTTTGAAGTCAGGTAGTGTGATGCCTCCAGCTTTGTTCTTTTGGCTTAGGATTGACTTGGCGATGCGGGCTCTTTTTTGGTTCCATATGAACTTTAAAGTAGTTTTTTCCAATTCTGTGAAGAAAGGCATTGGTAGCTTGATGGGGATGGCATTGAATCTGTAAATTACCTTGGGCAGTATGGCCATTTTCACGATATTGATTCTTCCTACCCATGAGCATGGAATGTTCTTCCATTTGTTTGTATCCTCTTTTATTTCGTTGAGCAGTGGTTTGTAGTTCTCCTTGAAGAGGTTCTTCACATCCCTTGTAAGTTGGATTCCTAGGTATTTTATTCTCTTTGAAGCAATTGTGAATGGGAGTTCACTCATGATTTGGCTCTCTGTTTGTCTGTTATTGGTGCGTAAGAATGCTTGTGATTTTTGTACATTGATTTTGTATCCTGAGACTTTGCTGAAGTTGCTTACCAGCTTAAGGAGATTTTGGGCTGAGACGATGGGGTTTTCTAGATATACAATCATGTCATCTGCAAACAGGGACAATTTGACTTCCTCTTTTCCTAATTGAATACCCTTTATTTCCTTCTCCTGCCTAATTGCCCTGGCCAGAACTTCCAACACTATGTTGAATAGGAGTGGTGAGAGAGGGCATCCCTGTCTTGTGCCAGTTTTCAAAGGGAATGCTTCCAGTTTTTGCCCATTCAGTATGATATTGGCTGTGGGTTTGTCATAGATAGCTCTTCTTATTTTGAGATACATCCCATCAATACCTAATTTATTGAGAGTTTTTAGCATGAAGGGTTGTTGAATTTTGTCAAAGGCTTTTTCTGCATCTATTGAGATAATGATGTGGTTTTTGTCTTTGGTTCTGTTTATATGCTGGATTACATTTATTGATTTGTGTATATTGAGCCAGCCTTGCATCCCAGGGATGAAGCCCACTTGATCATGGTGGATAAGCTTTTTGATGTGCTGCTGGATTCGTTTAGCCAGTATTTTATTGAGGATTTTTGCATCAATGTTCATCAAGGATATTGGTCTAAAAATCTCTTTGTTTGTTTTGTCTCTGCCTGGCTTTGGTATCAGAATGATGCTGCCCTCATAAAAAGAGTTAGGGAGGATTCCCTCTTTTTCTATTGATTGGAATAGTTTCAGAAGGAATGGTACCAGTTCCTCCTTGTATCTCTGGTAGAATTCGGCTGTGAATCCATCTGGTCCTGGACTCTTTTTGGTTGGTAAGCTATTGATTATTGCCACAATTTCAGATCCTGTTATTGGTGTATTCAGAGATTCAACTTCTTCCTGGTTTAGTCTTGGGAGAGTGTATGTGTCGAGGAATGTATCCATTTCTTCTAGATTTTCTAGTTTATTTGCGTAGAGTTGTTTGTAGTATTCTCTGATGGTAGTTTGTATTTCTGTGGGATTGGTGGTGATATCCCCTTTATCATTTTTTATTGCGTCTATTTGATTCTTCTCTCCTTCCATCTTTATTCGTCTTGCTAGTGGTCTATCAATTTTGTTGATCCTTTCAAAAAACCAGCTCCTGGATTCATTAATTTTTTGAAGGGTTTTTTGTGTCTCTATTTCCTTCAGTTCTCCTCTGATTTTAGTTATTTCTTGCCTTCTGCTAGCTTTTGAATGTATTTGCTCTTGCTTTTCTAGTTCTTTTAATTGTGATGTTAGGGTGTCAATTTTGGATCTTTCCTGCTTTCTCTTGTGGGCATTTAGTGCTATAAATTTCCCTCTACACACTGCTTTGAATGCGTCCCAGAGATTCTGGTATGTTGTGTCTTTGTTCTCGTTGGTTTCAAAGAACATCTTTATTTCTGCCTTCACTTCGTTATGTACCCAGTAGTCATTCAGGAGCAGGTTGTTCAGTTTTCATGTAGTTGAGCGGTTTTGAATGAGATTCTTAATCCTGAGTTCTAGTTTGATTGCACTGTGGTCTGAGAGATAGTTTGTTATAATTTCTGTTCTTTTACATTTGCTGAGGAGAGCTTTACTTCCAAGTATGTTGTCAGTTTTGGAATAGCTGTGGTGTGGTTCTGAAAAAAATGTATATTCTGTTGATTTGGGGTGGAGAGTTCTGTAGATGTCTATTAAGTCCGCTTGGTGCAGAGCTGAGTTCAATTCCTGGGTATCCTTTTTGACTTTCTGTTTCGTTGATCTGTCTAATGTTGACAGTGGGGTGTTAAAGTCTCCCATTATTAATGTGTGGGAGTCTAAGTCTCTTTGTAGGTCACTCACGACTTGCTCTATGAATCTGGGTGCTCCTATATTGGGTGCATATATATTTAGGATAGTTAGCTCTTCTTGTTGAATTGATCCCTTTACCATTATGTAATGGCCTTCTTTGTCTCTTTTGATCTTTGTTGGTTTAAAGTCTGTTTTATCAGAGACTAGGATTGCAACCCCTGCCTTTTTTTGTTTTCCATTTGCTTGGTAGATCTTCCTCCATCCTTTTATTTTGAGCCTATGTGTGTCTCTGCACATGAGATGGGTTTCCTGAATACAGCACACTGATGGGTCTTGACTCTTTATCCAATTTGCCAGTCTGTGTCTTTTAATTGGAGCATTTAGTCCATTTACATTTAAAGTTAATATTGTTATGTGTGAATCTGATCTTGTCGTTATGATGTTAGCTGGTTATTTTGCTCGTTAGTTGATGCAGTTTCTTCCTAGTCTCGATGGTCTTTACATTTTGGCATGATTTTGCAGCAGCTGGTACCGGTTGTTCCTTTCCATGTTTAGCGCTTCCTTCAGGAGCTCTTTTAGGGCAGGCCTGGTGGTGACAAAATCTCTCAGCATTTGCTTGTCTGTAAAGTATTTTATTTCTCCTTCGCTTATGAAGCTTAGTTTGGCTGGATATGAAATTCTGGGTTGAAAATTCTTTTCTTTAAGAATGTTGAATATTGGCCCCTACTCTCTTCTTGCTTGTAGGGTTTCTGCCGAGAGATCTGCTGTTAGTCTGATGGGCTTCCCTTTGAGGGTAACCCGACCTTTCTCTCTGGCTGCCCTTAACATTTTTTCCTTCATTTCTACTTTGGTGAATCTGACAATTATGTTCTTGGAGTTGCTCTTCTCAAGGAGTATCTTTGTGGCGTTCTCTGTATTTCCTGAATCTGAACGTTGGCCTGCCTTGCTAGATCGGGGAAGTTCTCCTGGATAATATCCTGCAGAGTGTTTTCCAACTTGGTTCCATTCTCCCCATCACTTTCAGGTACACCAATCAGACGTAGATTTGGTCTTTTCACATAGTCCCATACTTCTTGGAGGCTTTGCTCATTTCTTTTTATTCTTTTTTCTCTAAACTTCCCTTCTCACTTCATTTCATTCATTTCATCTTCCATTGCTGATACCCTTTCTTCCAGTTGATCGCATTGGCTCCTGAGGCTTCTGCATTCTTCACGTAGTTCTCGAGCCTTGGTTTTCAGCTCCATCAGCCCCTTTAAGCACTTCTCTGTATTGGTTATTCTAGTTATACATTCTTCTAAATTTTTTTCAAAGTTTTCAACTTCTTTGCCTTTGGTTTGAATGTCCTCCCATAGCTCAGAGTAATTTGATCGTCTGAAGCTTTCTTCTCTCAGCTCGTCAAAGTCATTCTCCATCCAGCTTTGTTCCGTTGCTGGTGAGGAACTGCATTTCTTTGGAGGAGGAGAGGCACTCTGCTTTTTAGAGTTTCCAGTTTTTCTGTTCTGTTTTTTCCCCATCTTTGTGGTTTTATCTACTTTTGGTCTTTGATGATGGTGATGTACAGATGGGTTTTTGGTGTGGATGTCCTTTCTGTTTGTTAGTTTTCCTTCTAACAGACAGGACCCTCAGCTGCAGGTCTGTTGGAATACCCTGCTGTGTGAGGTGTCAGTGTGCCCCTGCTGGGGGGTGCCTCCCAGTTAGGCTGCTCGGGGGTCAGGGGTCAGGGACCCACTCGAGGAGACAGTTTGCCCGTTCTCAGATCTCCAGCTGCGTGCTGGGAGAACCACTGCTCTCTTCAAAGCTGTCAGACAGGGACATTTAAGTCTGCAGAGGTTACTGCTGTCTTTTTGTTTGTCTGTGCCCTGCCCCCAGAGGTGGAGCCTACAGAGGCAGGCAGGCCTCCTTGAGCTGTGGTGGGCTCCACCCAGTTGGAGCTTGCTGGCTGCTTTGTTTATCTAAGCAAGCCTGGGCAATGGCGGGCGCCCCTCCCCCAGCCTCGCCGCCGCCTTGCAGTTTGATCTCAGACTGCTGTGCTAGCAATCAGCGAGACTCCGTGGGCGTTGGACCCTCTGAGCCAGGTGCGGGATATAATCTCGTGGTGCGCCGTTTTTTAAGCCCTTCGGAAAAGCGCAGTATTCGGGTGGGAGTGACCCGATTTTCCAGGTGCCGTCCGTCACCCCTTTCTTTGACTCGGAAAGGGAACTCCCTGACCCATTGCGCTTCCCAAGGGAGGCAATGCCTCGCCCTGCTTCGGCTCGTGCACGGTGCGCGCACCCACTGACCTGCGCCCACTGTCTGGCACTCCCTAGTGAGATGAACCCGGTACCTCAGATGGAAATGCAGAAATCACCGTCTTTTGTGTCGCTCTCGCTGGGAGCTGTAGACCGGAGCTGTTCCTATTCGGCCATCTTGGCTCCTCCCCAGCAGTTTGTTTTTTCAAAGCCAGTAGAGGGTGTCTATGCTGTTTGGGATCTCTCTGACTTCTGTCTCTGACCTCAAAACTCTCTTTTAAAGGGCTAACATGATTTATCAGACGCACCTAGGGCCTGATAAAATTAATTTCCCTTTTGATTAGTTTAAAGTCAACCAAGGAGGGACCTTAATCACATCTGCAAAATCACCTCACTTTGTCATATAATGTAACCTAATAATGGGAGTGATATCTCATCATATTCACAGATCCTGCCAACATTCAAGGGGAGGGATGATGACCAGGGTGTGTACACCAGGTGGCAAGATTTGTAGGAGCCAGGTTAGAATTCTGCTCACTTCAGATTGCAAATACTTTTCCCCAGTTTATTATCTTTTGACTTTGCTTATATTATTCTTTTTACCAATGCATAAAAATAAACATATATTATGATGGATTGTACTCTTTTTTTTTTTTTTTTTTTTTTGAGACAGGGTCAGGCTTTGTTGCCCAGGCTGGAGGACGGTAGCACAGTCATGCTCACAGCAGCCTCAACCTCCCAGGCTGTAGCAATTCTTCCTCCTCAGCGTCCCAAATAGCTGGGACTACAAGTGTGTGCTACCATGTCCAGATATTTTTTTCTATTTTTAAACTCTTAGTAGAGATGGCATCTCTCTAGCCTGTTTAGGCCGATCTCAAACTCCTGAGCTCAAGTGATCCTCCTGCCTTGGCTTCCCAAAGTGGTGGGATTACAGGTATGAGCCACCCTGCCCAGCATGTGTTTTTCTTTTATGGCTCTTGATTTATTTATTTGTAATGGAGATATAATTCATGTGTCATAAAATTAACCCTTACAAATGTACACCTAAGTGGTGTTTAGTTTAATTTTGAAGTTGTCCAACTATTACGACTATCTAATTCCAGAATATTTCCATAAACCCTGGAAAACTTGTGCCCATTAGCAGTCACTTGTCATTCTTCTCTTTCCTCAGTCCTCTGGCAACCACTAATCTACTTTATGTCTCTGGAGTTGCCTATTCTGGACATTTCATAAAAATAGTATCATGCAATTATGTAGCCTTTTGTTACTGGCTCTTTCAGTTAGCATAATGTTTTCAAAGTTCATTGATTATATAGCATGAATCAATAATTCATTCCTTTTTATGATGGAATATTTCATTGTATGTTTATACCACATTTCTTTTATTCATCAGTTGATGGACATTTGAGTTTCTCCTTTTTAGCCTTATGAATAATGCTATTATAGACATTTGTGTGTAACTTTTTGTGTGGACATATGTTTTTAATTCTCTTGTCTGTATTTTTATTATAATCATTCCAGGGAGTATGAAGTGGTTTTTATTTGTATTTCCCTAATGACCAGTGATGTTGAGCATCTTTTCTTGTGTTCAATGGCTATTTATATATCTTCTTTGGAGAAATATCAAATCAAATCCTTTGTTGGGGTTATATTTAAAAGGCCCTTTCTTCTTCACTAAGATTAATACATATTTCTGTTATTGTAATACTGTTATGATTTTATGTTTACATTGTAAAAAATGGATCTATCCAACATTTATTAAAGTATGGTGTTAGGTGAAAAATGAGCAAAGCCTCCAAGAAGTATGGGACTATGTGAAAAGACCAAATCTACATCTGATTGGTGTACCTGAAAGTGACGGGGAGAATGGAACCAAGTTGGAAAACACTCTGCAGGATATTATCCAGGAGAACTTTCCCAACCTAGCAAGGCAGGCCAACATTCAAATTCAGGAAATACAGAGAATGCCACAAAAGATACTCCTCGAGAAGAGCAACTCCAAGATAAATGATTGTCAGATTCACCAAAGTTGAAATGAAGGAAAAAATGTTAAGGGCAGCCAGAGAGAAGGTCGGGTTACCCACAAAGGGAGGCCCATCAGATTAACAGCAGATCTCTTTGCAGAAACTTTAGAAGCCAGAAGAGAATAGGGGCCAATATTCAACATTCTTAAAGAAAAGAATTTTCAATCCAGAATTTCATATCCAGTCAAACTAAGCTTTTTAAGTGAATCAGAAATAAATCCTTTACAGACAAGCAAATGCTGAGAGATTTTGTCACCACCAGGCCTGCCTTACAAGAGCTCCTGAAGGAAGCACTAAACATGAAAAGGAACAACCCGTACGAGCCACTGCAAAAACATGCCAAATTGTAAAGACCGTCGATGCTAGGAAGAAACTGCATCAACTAACGAGCAAAATAACCAGCTAACATCATAATGACAGGATAAAATTCACACATAACTATATTAACCTTAAATATAAATGGGCTAAATGCTCCAATTAAAAGACACAGACTGGCAAATTCGGTAAAGAGTCAAGATCCATCAGTATGCTGTGTTCAGGAGAACCATCTCACATGCAGAGACACACATAGACTCAAAATAAAGGGATGGAGGAAGATCTACCAAGCAAATGGAAAACAAAAAAAGGTAGGGGTTGCAATCCTAGTCTCTTATGAAACAGACTTTAAACCAACAAAGATCAAAAGAGACAAAGAAGGCCATTACATAATGGTAAAGGGATCAATTCAACAAGAAGAGCTAACTATCCTAAATATATATATACTCAATACAGGATCGCCCAGATTCATAAAGCAAGTCCTTAGAGACCTACAAAGAGACTTAGACTCCCACACAATAATAATGGGACACTTTAACACCCCACTGTCAACAAGAGACAGATCAACGAGACAGGAAGTTAACAAGGATATCCAGGAATTGAACTCAGCTCTGCACCAAGCGGACTTAATAGACATCTACAGAAGTCTCCACCCCAAATCAACAGAATATACATTCTTCTCAGCACCACATCGCACTTATTCTAAAACTGACCACATCGTTGGAAGTAAAGCACTCCTCAGCAAATGTAAAACAACAGAAATTATAACAAACTGTCTCTCAGACCACAGTGCAATCAAATTAGGACTCAGGATTAAGAAACTCACTCAAAACCTCTCACCTACATGGAAACTGAACAACCTGCTCCTGAATGACTACTGGATGCATAACGAAATGAAGGCAGAAATAAACATGTTCTTTGAAACCAATAAGAACAAAGAAACAATGTACCAGAATCTCTGGGACACACTTAAAAGAGTGTGTAGAGGGAAATTTATAGCACTAAATGCCCACAAGAGAAAGCAGGAAAGATCTAAAATTGACACCCTAACATCACAACTAAAAGAACTAGAGAAACAAGAGCAAACACACTCAAAAGCTAGCAGAAGGCAAGAAATAACTAAGATCAGAGCAGAACTGAAGGAGGTAGAGACACAAAAAACCCTTCAAAAAATCAGTGAATCCAGGAGCTGGTTTTTTTTTTTTTTTTTTAAAGATCAACAAAATTGATAGATCGCTAGCAAGACTAATAAAGAAGAAAAGAGAGAAGAATCAAATAGACGCAATAAAAAATGAGAAAGTGGATGTCACCACCAAACCCAAGGAAATACAAACTACCATCAGAGAATACTATAAAGACCTCTATGCAAATAAACTAGAAAATCCGAAAGAAATGGATAAATTCCTGGACACATACACCTTCCGAAGACTAAACCAGGAAGAAGTTGAATCCCTGAATAGACCAATAACAGGCTCTGAAATTGAGGCAATAATTAATAGCCTACCAACCAAAAAAAGTCCAGGACCAGATGGATTCACAGCCGAATTCTACCAGAGGTACAAAGATGAACTGGTACCATTCCTTCTGAAACTATTCCAATCAATAGAAAAAGAGGGAATCCTCCCTAACTCATTGTATGAAGCCAGCATCATTCTGATACCAAAGCCAGGCAGAGACACAATAAAAAAAGAGAATTTTAGACCAATATCCCTGATGAACATCGATGCAAAAATTCTCAATAAATACTGGTAAACTGAATCCAGCAGCACATCTAAAAGCTTATCCACTACGATCAAGTGGGCTTCATCCCTGGGATGGAAGGCTGGTTCAACATACGCAAATCAGTAAACGTAACCCCTCATATAAACAGAACCAAGACAAAAACCACATGATTATCTCAATAGATGCAGAAAAGGCCTTCGAGAAAATTCAACAGCCCTTCATGCTAAAAACTCTCAATAAACTAGGTATAGATGAGACATATCTCAAAATAATAAGAGCTGTTTCTGACAAACCCAGAGCCAATATCATACTGAATGGGCAAAAACTGGAAGCATTCCCTTTGAAAACTGGCACAAGACAGGGATGCCCTCTCTCACCACTCCTATTCAACATAGTGTTGGATGTTCTGGCCAGGGCAATCAGGCAGGAGAAAGAAATAAAGGGTATTCAATTAGGAAAATAGGAAGTCAAATTGTCCCTGTTTGCAGATGACATGATTGTATACATAGAAAAACCCCATTGTCTCAGCCCAAAATCTCCTTAAGCTGATAAGCAACTTCAGCAAAGTCTCAGGGTACAAAATCAATGTGCAAAAATCACAAGCATTCCTATACACCAATAACAGACAAACAGAGAGCCAAATCATGAGTGAACTCCCATTCATAATTACTACAAAGAGAATAAAATACCTAGGAATCCAACTTACAAGGGATGTGAAGGACCTCTTCAAGGAGAACTACAAACCACTGCTCAACGAAATAAAAGAGGACATAAACAAATGAAAGAACATTCCATGCTCATGGATAGGAAGAATCAATATCGTGAAAATGGCCATACTGCCCAAGGTAATTTATAGATTCAATGCCATCCCCTTCAAGCTACCAATGACTTTCTTTACAGAATTGAAAAAAACTATGTTAAACTTCATATGGAACCAAAAAAGAGCCCACATTGCCATGACCATCCTAAGCCAAAAGAACAAAGCTGGCAGCATCACACTACCTGACTTCAAACTATACTACAAGGCTATAGTAATCAAAACAGCATGATACTGGCACTAACACAGAGATATAGACCAATGGAACAGAACAGAGCCCTCAGAAAGAATACCACACATCTAAAACCATCTGATCTTTGACAAACGGAACAAAAACAAGAAATGGGGAAAGAATTCCCTATTTAATCAATGGTGCTGGGAAAACTGGCTAGCCACGTATAGAAAGCTGAAACTGGATCCCTTCCTTACAACTTATACAAAAATTAATTTATGATGGATTAAAGACTTAAATGTTAGACCTAAAACCATAGAAATCCTAGAAGAAAACCTAGGCAATACCATTCAGGACATAGGCATGGGCAAGGACTTCATGACTAAAACACCAATGGCAATGGCAACAAAAGCCAGAATAGACTAATGGGATCTAATTAAACTAAAGAGCTTCTGCACAGCAAAAGAAACCACCATCAGAGTGAAGAGGCAACCTACAGAATGGGAGAAAATTTTTATAATCTACCCTTCTGACAAAGGGCTAATATCCAGAATCTACAAAGTACTTAAACAAATTTACAAGAAAAAAATCAAACAACCCCATCAAAAAGTGGGCAAAGGATATGAACAGACACTCCTCAAAAGAAGACATTTATGCAGCCAACAGACACATGAGAAAATGCTCATCATCACTGGCCATCAGAGAAATGCAAATCGAAATCACAATGAAATACCATCTCACACCAGTTAGAATGGCGATCATTAAAAAGTCAGGAAACAACGGGTGATGGAGAGGATGTGGAGAAATAGGAACACTTTTACACTGTTGGTGGGACTGTAAACTAGTTCAACCATTGTGGAAGTCAGTGTGGCAATTCCTCAGGGATCTAGAACTAGAAATACCATTTGACCGAGCCATCCCATTACTGGGTATATACCCAAAGGATTATAAATCATGCTGCTATACAGACACATGCACATGTGTGTTTATTGTGGCACTATTCACAATAGCAAAGACCTGGAACCAACCCAAATGTCATCAATGATAGACTGGATTAAGAAAATGTGGCACATATACACCTTGTAATACTATGCAGCCATAAAAAGGATGAGTTCATGTCCTTTGTAGGGACATGGATGCAGGTGGAAACCATCATTCTGAGCAAACTGTCGCAAGGACAGAAAACCAGACGCTAGATGTTCTCACTCATAGGTGGGAAATGAGCAATGAGAACACCTGGACACAGAGTAGGGAACATCACACACTGGGGCATGTTGTGGGGTGGGGGGAGGCGGGAGGGATAGCATTAGGACATATACCTAATGAAAATGAGTTAATGCGTGCAGCACACCAACATGGCACATGTGTACATGTATAACAAACCTGCACGTTGTGTACATGTATCCTAGAAATTAAAGTATAATAATAATGATGAAAAATAAGAAGTACAAAGAAAAAAAAGAGGATAAGCCTGTATTTATCGTTTTTCCCACCAGATGGCGAACATGCGTCCTAAAAGCAAAAGATACACAATTCTCTGATTTTTCCACCTGAACTAGTTGCAGAGCTTGTTTAGTTGACATTTGAGATTGTAGAAAACAAGCCTTCACATGTATCGCTGCCTTTCATATTCAAATATGATATTTATTCCCAAATATTTATCTCAGTTCTGAGATTTCCAAGTACTAGACTTGTATTTACAACTCCAAGTTCTATAATCTTACCTTGTGTTCCACAAATATTTCAAAATCGAGACATTTAAAATGTAAGTATATACTTCCTCCGAAAGTAGCAGCTCCTTTGTCATCCCCTAGCCCATCTTATTGCACCATCAATCATTCTTATGGCCATTTAAAGATACTTAGGTATCATTTTTCTAATCTTCCTCTTGATTTTATAATATGTACATATTTATGATTTTGATTAATTTCATCCCCTTCCCCATCAACTCCCCACAATATGTTTTTCTTCCTTTCTGGCCTCCTGCTTTTCAACTTTATTTACTGCTCTCCATTTTCTACTTGGTTTCCTGAAACGTGATATTAAAGTGTAGATATGAAGTCATTAAATTGCTAACTTTTGATGCTTTCTCATTTTGGACTTAAAGTTCAAATTCTTAACTTTATAAGAGAAATGAACATTTACTGAGTACCTACAATGTTCTAGACTTTGTGAGAAAAATTTAATGCATGTAATTTTAATTCCCATAAAAATGTTATAAAGTGCTATTTAAGATATCCTTTTATACAAAAATAATTTTAACATACCAAAATTAGAGGTAGATTTTCCAGTGGAACATAGGTTTTTCTAACTCAAAAGCCTGTTATGCCCTCTTTTGAGACTCACTATTATTTATCTTTTCTTACCTCATCTCACACCACTTTTTTTCCTTTCCCCTATAATCTAGCCTCAGCAGATCACTAATGAATTTTTAAAAATCTTTCCTTCTTAAAATTTTAAGTATTTGCTCTGCTTTTCCTCTTATCTAGAATTCTATTCTAGCTATGTATGTGTGAATTCAACAAATATTTATTGAGTATTGATTGTGTGTCAGATTTCTAGATGCTTAGAGTATAGCTGTGAACAAATAGACAAAACTACTTTTTAGTTGGGAAAGACAAAGAAATAAGAAATAACTAGTATGTTGGATAAGAGTGTAGCTTTAGGCCTGTGCATTTGGCTGTCCAGGTTGTGTGCAGCAGAACTCCAGGGGGCACAATTCACTCAGATGTGAGTGGTACAACTTGGAGTTCTGCACCTCTGAGGTCCCAGTGACAAGTGCTGTGGAGGAAGATAGTATAATAATACATGGGAGGAGGGAAAGGGATTTTTTGTGGGGAAACAGTTTATAATTTTAAATAGGGTGTTAGGGAAGGCATTGCTTAAGATTTAGTTAAGACTTAAAGGAAGTGAAGAAGTAAGACGTGTGGATATCTGAGGGAAGAGCACTCTAGGCAGAGAAATAGCAAGTGCCAAGATTGTTAAGTGAGGGTGTGCCTTGGCATATCGGCCTAAATCTTACCTTTTTCTTCAAAGCCTAACTCAAGTATTCCTAGTTACTTGAGCCCTTCCTGTATGTTTTTCTAGCAAGAATTATATTTTTGCTTAGAAAGGATACCATTATTAATGCACTTACCACTGTCTGATCTTCAGTATACTTGTCAATGTTTCTTTTCTCTTACTCAATTTCAAACAACTTGAGAGCATACTTACTTTTACATGTTTGGGTCTATACATACCAAGTTAAGGTTCTAGAAATGGAATACTAGTTGAATTAGAATGAATTGAACTAAATCACTGAAAAAGTAGTAGCTACCCATTATCTTCTTCATATCTTTTACTTGTTACAATTATCCTGTGTTTACAAAAATGGAATTTACTTAAAGAATCTGGTAATTTTCCCTGCCCCTTAGCCTCATTTTGCCCCAATGTCTTTGTGAAACCATCTTAACATGCATAAAAGAATTAAACTACTTGTTGCTACATATCAGATTGATCTTTAGTGTTCGATTTTTTCTTAGAAACTGGCAATGGTGATGGATCATTTTAAGTGTATTAGCATATTTGAAAAGAAATTGTTATGCCTATTTGCTTTAACCTGTCACATTCTAGCTTCATTTTAAATAATTTGCTTGAATGTCTTGCTTTTTTTCCATGTTCTCCTATCCATTTTTGGGCAGCGTGACCTATGTCCCAGTTTGTCACTGCCAGTCCTGGCTCATATATGTTATATTGGCATAATTATTAAGAGCACCCTTTTTACTCTCAAAAGTATCCTGGGGTTGACAATAAATTACATGGTCTTCCTATTCTTCTTTGAGGCTTTCTATGTGATAGCTCATATACTGTGCTGCCCAATGCTTGTTAGACCTATTGAAAATTCCCAATGGAATCATACTGCAGCAAATATTACTTCAGGTACATAGTCTACAATATTGATTAAGTATATACTTTATATATAACAGTTTATATGGAGAAATACAAAGACAGTAGAAGATTCTCTGTGTCATATGAATTTATAATCTAATAAGTCAGGATTAATGATATAGTTATATAAACATAAATATTTGAAATGGGCAAATATAAATGTAACAAAATGTAATTTAGAAATATATAAAAGTAGTCAGATAATTGACTACTTTTGTACATTAACAAATTTAAATGATGGAACCAAATAGGGAAATTTGGGAGAAGTTTTGTAGATTTGTTAAAACCAACTAAATTTTAATAAAGGAATTTTAAAAGATAGAAGATACAGCATTGTGTAAAAATAGCATGACAGCAAGTTTGTATAGTATAGACATTTCTATATTATCAGTTTTTCTTCTGTCACTCTTATTTTATTTTGGTCCTCAGATACAGTGAGGTTTGTTAATCATTTGTCAGTTTATGGCACTTCGGTGATTTGTGTTTTCTTCCCACTTAAATATATATCTTTGCATAATACAGAATGTTGCTTTTTGTATGCATGCGTTTTAAATTACAGAAAGGATATGGTGCTTTAGATCTTACATTTTAAAAGATTCGTTCATGTGGGAATATCAATTTGTTGTTCCAGACTGCTGCATTATAATGTGGTAGACAGAATAATGGCCTCCAAAAATGTCCACACCCTGATCCCTGGAACCCCTGGATGTTACCTTACCTGGCAAAGGGACTTTGCAGACATGATTAAGGTTATGGACCTTGAGATAGGGAGATTAACTTAGATTGTCTATGTGGGCCCAATCTAATCACACGAAGCCTTAAAGGTAGAAAACTTTTTTTTTTTTTTTTGGCTGCGTCAATGAGATGAGATAGAAGGAGGAGAGATTCAAAGCAGGAAAAGGACGAAAATGCCTATTGTTGAGTTTGAAGATGGGGGAAGGGGACCATGAGTCAAAGAATTTGCCAGCCTCTAGAAGCTGGAAATCTCCCTCAGTTTATAGCCAGCAAGAAAATGGGGACCTTGGTCTTACAACCACAACGTGAATTCTGCCAATAGTTTGAATGAGCAAAAAATAGACTCCCCTCAGAACCTCCAAAAAGAGACTCAGCTGGCATCTTAATTTTAGTCCAATGAGACTTCTACCAGACTTTCTGACCTACATAAGTGTAAGACAACAAACTTGTGTTTTGAACCATTTAATTGGTGGTAATTTTCTTTACCTCAACAATGGAAAATTAATAGATACTCCCTTGTGTGAATATACTATATTTTATTTGACATCCCATTAGTGAT
The DNA here is from genome assembly GCF_000001405.40 of Homo sapiens. Taxonomy (NCBI): domain Eukaryota; kingdom Metazoa; phylum Chordata; class Mammalia; order Primates; family Hominidae; genus Homo; species Homo sapiens. Next base: position 103,799,377 of record NC_000008.11, read on the forward strand.
GGACAATCTAGGCTATGTCAAAACTCGTTACTATAAACTGTGAGTCAGTGAACATCCTTGTACATGTCTCCTTATGGACCTATGCAAGACTTTGTAGTCTGTCTATGTAGATGTATAATTAATGTGGCATAGGGTATGTATACTTTATTTCACTAGTTTTGTTCTCAAAAATGCCTCAGTCCATACTTCTACTTGTAGTGCTTAAGGATTTGTGATTTCCCATATCATTACTAATATTTGATATTACTAAGCATTTCATGTGTTTGCAGTCTGGTGGATATGAGGGGGTATTTTTGTTTTAATTTGCAGTTTCCTCATTACATTGAAGCTGAGGATCCCCTCACATACATATTAGCTACTTGGATTGCCATTACTATGAAGTATTTATTTATCTGTCAATTTGAAAAAATTAGCTCCACATCATTTTTGTCTGTTGTTTTTTTTAGCAGGCATTTTAATGTTGATGTAGTTAAATTCATTACTTTTTAAAATTTATAGTTTGTGCTCTTTTAGTCATGATTAAAAAGTCAGTCATCATTCAGAATCCCTAGAAATACTCTTTTACACTTCTACTACCAGCTTTACAGTTTTTACCTTTCTCATGTATATTTTAAATTAAGTCAGAGTTCACTTGTGGACATGATGAAGTATGAATCCCAAGTTTTATTTCCCCATATGGTGAGCCACTGTTCCCAGCAGAAGCTATTAGACAAACTATTCTCACATCACTGGTTTTTGCACTTATATATAATGTTTATAATGCACTTATATATAATTGGGCCACTTTTTAGCTCTCTGTTCTGTCTTACTGGTCTATGTTTTACCCTGTGATAGTACCACACTGTAATTTTTTTTTTAGGTTTTTTGGCATTTTTTACATAGATGATTGCATCACTTATAATGAAAAAAGCCTTATTTTTTCTTTTCAAGTCGTAAGCCTTTTATTTCATTTTTTTATCCTATTTTACTGGCTAGTGCCTCCACTAAAATGTTAGATAGAAGTGGTGAGAGTAACGTCTTTGCCTTCTTTCCAGTCCTAGGGTGAATGCTTTGAGTCTTTCACAATCAAATGTGATGTTAGCTATAGGTTTTCCATAGATGTCCTTTATTAGACTGAGAAAATTGTCTTCTATTACTAATTTGCTGAGAATTCTTTCATGAATGGCTATGAAATTTTGTCATTTGCTTTTTTTATGCCTCTGTTGAAAGGATCACATGGTTTTTCCTCTTTCGTCTCTTTATATGGTGAATTACACTGATTGTTTTCAAATGCTGCATCAACCTTGCATTTCTGGGATACTCCTCTTGGTCATGATGGTATTATTCTATTTATGTATTGCTGGATTGGATTTACTAATACTTTGTTTGAAATTTTTACAATTTATGTTCATGAGGGAGAGTTGTATGTAGTTTCCTTTCCTTGTAACATCATTGATTTAATCAGGGAATGCTGGCCTCCTAAGATAAGTTAGGAAATGATCTTCTATCTTCAATTTTCTAGAATAGTTTTTATAGAGCTGTTATTTCTTTAAATGTTTGATAGAATTTGCCTCTACTGCCATTTGGGCCTAGAGTTCTCTTGTAGCTCTGTCTTTATTTTTATTTATTTATTTATTCTATTTTTTTCTATTTTTGAGATGAAGTCTTGCTTTGTCGCCCAGGCTGGAGTGCGGTGGCATGATCTCCGCTCACTGCAATCTCCGCCTTTGGCAATTCTCCTGCATCAGCCTCCCAAGTAGCTGGGACTACAGGTGCACACCACCACACTCGGCTAATTTTTTTTGTATTTTAATAGAGACGGGGTTTCACCATGTTGCCCAGGCTGATCATGAACTCCTGAGCTCAGGCAATCCTCCCGCCTCCGCCTCCCAAAGTGCTGGGATTACAGGCATGGGCCACAGCACCCAGCCAGCAATGTCTTTAAAGACTATGAATTCAGTTTTTTCAATGATTATGCAGCCATTCAGGTTACTTATTTATCCTTGAGCATATGGATATTTTTACAGTCTAGTAAATATATAGCCATGGTAGCTATATTTATTCTAGGGTTGTCTAAATAATCATTTAAAAGTATTCTTTCTTTTCCTTTTAAAATATTAGAGGCAGAATAGACATTTTCATACTCTTTTTCAACATAACCTTTTTCATGTTCCATACTAATCTGTATATCTTACACCTATATTTAATTCCAATTTCAACTAACCTTTATATCTGCCAGTACTATTGGGATAATTTTAGTGATAATTTCTCGTTGTCTCAGGCTGGACTTAGTGACTTTTTACTTTTCATCTGAGATATTCAATCATTGTCATTCACCTTTACCTTGCAGAAGTTTTGCCTTTTAGTCTGCTATCCACTTGTTTTGTCCTTCTTATTTAAAGTCTAGTGAAGCCGTTATCCATTTCCTGTAGGGCATGACTTCACTAGATTGTCCACTTTTGAAGCACTTGCTTTTCAATAATACTTTAACTATTTTATGCCAATATCCAATGTCATAATCGGTGACATTTAATTGAGCAAGACACTACTTATTACTTGCTATTTCTTGACAATATCTGTAAATTCATTTTTAACAAGCTTTCTTTCAGCGTCATATATTCATTTGTAAAATATATTTTGGTATTGATAATTGTAGCAAGGAAAATTCTTTAGTAGTAAAATTACAATCAAAGAAAAGCTAGTAAGGCATTAAAATGGGAGTATTTGTTAGCCAATGGTGGTGGTTTTATTAGCCAGCAGCACTCTTTTTTAAGCTGTTGTGGAGAGAATTTTAACACCAAAATGACCATTTTTGAGCCTCTTTAATTTATTCCAACACTAATGTGTGTCTTAGTTACCCAAGTCTCTCATGCATTAACAACATAAAATTTAATAAATTGTAAGGCGTTCTTAACTGATATTTGCGTATATGCTCATATAATCCTTTTTCACAGATATTTTACAGATATATTAGCAGTAGAAGTATATATGTGAGTGTGCATAGTGGACTGTGGGAGTACATTGCCTCTAGTTGGGCTTTTATGGTAATATTAATGCTATATGCTGACTTCTCACCCACCTTTCACCTTCCCCTTTGGCTCTCCCAATACACACCAGTGAAGTAATTCCGGTATTGGTCAAGGATATAATGGATAAGGACTACAAAATTTGGCAGCCATACTAAGGTGAGGCAAGGGTAGGGGCTGGTGAATGTAGAAGTGTTTATTTAGATCTTTTTGTAAAGCAAATAAACCAGTAATAAAGAAAACTGGTTTGAAATAAATTTCTTCTTTTATTTGCCTCACTGGATATTTTTCCCTCTTAGAGCCAATGTGCTAAGACAGGCCTGGGATGAACCAGTTAGGAAGTACCCTTTGGAGGGTCAAAGGGAAAGAAGAGTGAGACTAAGGAGCTAGCCACTAAATTGATCTTGTTTATTACTGAAGTTTAAGGAGCAGAAATAGTCTTTTCAAAGGTCATACAAGGTCTAGTCACCTCGAGGGGGAGTTGGAGTCAACACTTTTAATAAAGATGAAGATACATTTTCCTATTGCATATTTTTAATTTTCCAAGGATTCAGGCATTTAAATTGGTCAATTCATAATAACATGAATTCAGCATCATGGTGGTTTTTTACTTTGAGATTTTTTACTCATTTACATTGAAGCATATGTACTTATATTCTCTGCCTTCCTGCTTGTTACTATAGATAAGCAATCCCTGCTCTAACTGTGCATGGAACCTACCCTATTTTATCTACTAAGGACGTAGCTCATGGAATTCTCTGAAATACAGTATGAGATTGGGTGGGGAATAAAGTTTTATAAAAATAATTATTATAGTTCAAATTTTTATGCTAAATGATATGGAATAACTGAATAACTTGAATAATTTTCATAATTTAAAGTGTCTTTCATATTGGGGATTTGACTTCTGCTTATTCTGTTTAAAACTAGTGTTATGTGTCAAATGTAAGACGTAACTTAGATTAAAGTGGTGGTTCTCAAACTTTTTGGTCTTGGGGCCTCTTTACAATCTTTAAAATCCTTGAAGACCTCAAAGAATTTTTGTTTATGTGGATTATATTTATTACTATTTACCATATTAGAAATAACTGATAAAAAAATTTAAATATGCATTTATTAATTTAAAAATAACAGTAAACCCACCATATGACAACTAACTGTATACAGTAGACAGAATTCTAAGTTATGTACAATGAGACTTACCCTTCCCTTGGGTATGTATAAAACCTGTGACTTGCTTCTAGCTAGTAGAGTATGGCAAAGATGTTGGGATAGTCAGTTATATAGTTATATCACATTGTATGAGATTATGTCTTCAATTGGAGCAAGAGATTCTTCTGCTGGTTTAGAAGTAAATAAACTGCCATGTTGTAAAAGGGCTGTGAGAGAGCCATGTGTCAGGGATCTGTGTGGGGTCTCTAGAAGCTGAGTAGTACATCTCTGTCAGCAGGTGAGAAAGTGAGGACCTAAGTCTTTGAGCCACAAGGAACTGAGGCATGCCAACAATCACATGAGCTTGCAAAAGGATCCTGAGCTCAGAAATAAACGTGGTCCAGTGGACATCTTGATAACAGCCTTCTCAGGCCCTGAGTCAGAGGATCATTTAAACCATACTTGGACTCCTGACCTATGGAAACTGCAAGAAAATAAATATACATCATTTTAAGCTATTAAAAATATGGTTATTTGTTTTGCAGCAATGGCAAACTAGTACAGCATATTTCAAAAAAAGTAAAGAAAAATTTAGTGAGAAAAGTGACATTATTTTACATTTTTGGGAAATTCCATTATTGTCTAACTTAGTGGAAGACAGCTTCTGTATTCAATATATTGAGATATCACACATACTTTAGCCTCTGGAAAACTCCACTGTACACCCAAGAGAGAATGAGAATCAAAAAGGCAAATAACATTTTAGTATTATGCATATAGGTTTGACCCTGCAGATCCTCTGAAAGGGATTTGGGGATTCTACTGAGGGCACTGGATTACACTTTTAAGAACTGCTAGATTTTGGAATAAATTTTCCGTAGTCTCCTCCTCTACCACCAACAGAGTATTGGATTGTATGTGGACAAGATTATATAAGGTAACATAACATATATGGAACACTCAGCTTCCTTGACTGTTTTTCACTTGATTTCTGCTTTTGTCCTTGAGTTTGTCTATGTGGTTTATTTTCTCTGCTCCTCCTGGTAAGAAAATGCAGTAGATCCTTACTGACTCTTATTTCTAGGAGGAATAGATAGGAATATGTTTAATATGTAGTGAATTGAGACAGAGTTTTTCTAAATCATCCTGGCATATTTTGACTGTGGTATTTACCTGCAAAGGTGCTGTAGCCATTGAGAGATTTGATTTAAAACCCAAGAGGAGTTTTTAAACTGTAGTTTTTCACTTATAAGGAGTTTGTAGAAATTGTCTTTTTTTTTTCTTTGAGAGTCTTGCTCTGTCACCCAGGCTGGAGTGCAGAGGTACAGTCATAGATCACTGCAACCCCTAGCCCCTGAGATCAAGCAATCTTCCTACCTCAGCCTCCTAAGTAGCTAGGACTATAGGTGAATGCCATCACACCCAGCTAATTTTTTATTTTTGTTAAGATGGGGTCTGACTATGTTGCCCAGGCTAGTCTCAAACTCTGGCCTCAAGCAATCTTCCTGCCTTGGCCTCTTAAAGCGCTGGCATTACAGGATGAACCACCACACCCAGCCTCATTTAAAAAAAAGTGTGTGTATCTATTTTTATGTATGTGTTTTTTTCTGTATGTGTAATACTTAATAATGGTACTAATTGTTATTTCTCTTGAGTGTTTTTGTTTAATTTTGTGTGACCTTTTTTATCCCTAGGAATCCTGAAGAGTGAATTAGTCCCATGAATCTCAAGATAGCTCAATATATGATAAATTCACTATTGTCATAAGATTTGGGATGCATCTTAGTGTTATTAACATTAATATGTTGTGTAGATTTCTTCTTTAGTAAGCTGCAGCTACTCTTGTTTTTTTAAATAACTAAGTCAGCAAAAATAAATAGTACAGAGAGTCAAAATTTTTGTCACATATAATCAACTATTTTTATTTCTGTGATACATACCTGAGAGTTGCTAACATCTATTATTTGACACAGTTGGAAATTTTAAGGTATGGTCTGGAACTCTTTGTTTGGAAATAAGGTCTTTCAAGGTTGGTTTGAAGGTTATTAGTAGAACAGTTCTCACTTTGCTTACCTAATTACACAGTGCTTGAGCTGGAAAATTAAACTTTATTTTGACTTCCCAATCCCTACTAATGCAATCTCTCTTCCACTTTTTCTTTTCATTTCTTCTTTTATTATATTTCCACCTGAACTTTTTTGTCTATTTCTTAGAGCTAGTTTTCACCTTATTTTTCCTCATTGATATTTTCAAATTCCTATTGAGTTTTCTGTATATTTAATCTCTTTAATCACTTTAGTCTTCCTTTCCTCTGCCTCAGACTTAATCAGTTGTGATAAAGCAGGATTAATAAATTTTAGTTACATCTCTCAGAAATATTTATAATATTCTTCATATAACCAAGATGGCAAGACTACAGTGTGTGGGGAGTCAAAATTGTTGCAATATAAAATAACTTTTTCATTTCTGTGATATATATCTGAAACTCACTTATATGAAAAATTTAACATAAAGTTTTGAGATATAACTTAAAACCCCTGTCTGGAAAGTGGTAAGACAACAGATTCTCTTCTATTTGACTTCGTTTAATAAGAATTAGAGTCATGAGGGTGGAAGGATTATGAAGATTTGATTTGTGCTCTTGCAATATTTCTTTTTTCTGTCTAAACATGTTTGAATCTATGCTTTATTGTTTTATTCTCTCAGAAAACATAAGGCTTAAGGGTTATGTTTATCTTCAAGGCTGAAGGCCTTGTTCTTTTTATCTGTATTTTTACATCACCTTTGGATTTTAAATTCCAAGGACCCTTAGAAACTATAACACTAACTTACATTTTAAATGAGAGTTCCATAAGAAGTTGCTGAATGACAGATACAGTAGTACCGTGGAAGGAGCACTGGACTATAAATCACAAGCTCTAGGTACTAGTTCTAACTTTGTCACCAGCCATTTGGTCCAAAAAGCCTTGGATGAAACAGTGCATCACATCTCTTTTCTGTAGACGGAGGAGGTTTAGATTCTATTTTAAATGTGATAAGATACTATTGTAGGGTTTAAACATGGAAGGAGCATGATATTATTTTGTGTGTGTGTGTGTGTGGGCAATCTTTGGTGGAGAATGGTTTGTAGAGGACAAGATTAATGCACCGAGAAGCTAGGAGATTATTGAAGTCATCCATTAGAGAGATGTTGGTAGATGGAACTAGAATTATAGTAGTGAGATGGAAAATGTTCATGGATTTGTGTTCCATTTTGAAGATAGAGTTGATAGAACCTACCGATAGATTTGATTTGTGTGGTGGAGTGTGAAAGCAAAAGAGATATCAAGGTTAATTCCTAGATAAATCATGGTGTTGTTTTAAGACAGAAAAAAAATGGGAGGAACAGGTTTGGGTGAGGAAATCAGGAATTCTGTTTGGCCTTGTTATGTTTGAGATGCCCTTTTGACTTCCGTTTGGGGATTCCAAATTGACAGATGGTTAAATGAGTCTGGAGTTTTAGGGGAAGATAAGGGCAAAGATATACAGAAGATATTTAAAGCCATGGGACCTAAGTCACCGGGAAGGGGGAGCTGTAAATAAAAAGAGCAGAGAGGGTTCACAACACAGCCAAAACAGGGCCTTGGACATTCCACACATTTAAAGATCTAAGAGAGGAATGAGAGCCAACAAAAGACACTGTGAAAAAATTGACACTGTGAAAGAAAATCAGAAGAATGTGTCTCAGGAATGAAGAGTAAAAATGGTTTAAAAGTCATGGATAGCATTAGTGTCAAATGATACAGATAAGTCATGGTAAAAAAAGAACAGAGAATTGTCTGTTTAGTTTGATAACATGCAAGTAATTGGTGAGAACAATCTCAATAGAACATTAGTGCTAGAAAATTGATTAGTATGGATTTAAAAGAGGATGTGAAATGAAAACATGGCCATAGCAACTAAAGACAACTTCTTCAAGAAATTTTGCTGTGAAGAGGAGCAGAAAAATGGGGTAGTACCTGGAAGGGAATATGAGGTCAAGGGAAATTCTGTTAAGATAGGAAATAATATAGTAATAAAATCACTGATAACTTGATTCACATATACAATTAATATTATTTGTTTATCATTACAAGTATCATTGGAACCAAGGGAGTTCTAAAATAGACTAAAGAGTAAATAAACTAGGTATTTTATGGAGGAGCTGGTAATAAAAAGGGTAAGACAGATGGAAAATTGATAGAATAGATCTTGTTTATATTATATTTTCCTTTCTTTTCTATTTTCACATTTGGTGCTTAAACACCTTTACTTTTAAGTAGCTAGGATCTTTGATTAATCCTGATCTCTGTCCATATTTACAGGTCAGACAAATTATATTTTTTAAGTTGATAAGATTAGATTGAAATACATTTAGATTTGCATGAGTTTATTTGCATCAGATCTTCTGTTTTGGCTGAAAAAAGACTAAAAATTTTATTTGCTTACCTTTCACCAAAGGAGGAAAGGGGGATGATGGAAGAGGCTAAGAAGATGTCTATTCCTAGACTACATTTCATAGGCTAGATCTGGGTTTTATGGATTGAGTGATTTCAGGCCAAAAGAGCTATTTTCCCGAGAGTTGTTTTGAAGCACAGGAAAACAAGCAGCAATTCTTCAGTTTCCAAATGGCAGAATATATAACAGAGTTGATCATAATATTTTTCTTAAAATACTGTCTTTTATTGTCTTCCGGGCTACCACACTCTCTCTCTTGACTTTTCTCTTACCTCTGTGGCTGCTCCTCTTCTGTTTCCTTCACTGGCTTCTCCTTCTTTAACTGATGAGTTAATGTGGAACTTAGCTCCTCAATGCTTTGTCATAAACCTCTTATTTGCGTGTTTTTCCTTTTAAATTTTATCTCCGGGTGATCTCATCTACTTGCTTGGTTGAAATCATTACTAACACGCTGATGCTTCCTAAAGTTATATCTTCAGTTGAGAACTCTCTTCTGAACTGCAGAGTGACATATTTAATTGCTTACTTCTCTGTCTTGTTAGCTGTCTTGCATGCACCTCAAATTCAGCAATCCATCATCTTCCCCTTTCTTCTCCCTCAACCTGCTTCTCCTTTAGCATTCTTTGTCTCAGCAAATTTTAAGACTGTCTACTTGGTACTTAAGAGATAAATCTAAGAGTTACTTTTTACACCTATCTTGACTGTGACCAATCAACGACTAAGTCCTGTTGATTCGACTTCTACCTTTTAAGTCTATTCTTTTTTCTCTATCTTGTTATGATCACTTTAATCCAGGCCAACTAAAATCTTGCCTGGACTATTACATTAGCTTTCTAAATGATCTCTCTGCATCCACATACAGTGAGATAATATTTTGGGGTATTTATGGTTATATGTCCTCCTATGTGTTTCTTGTTAACTCCTGAATCTTCTCCATTCTGACTGCTAGGACTTGATATATCTGTTGACTCAAAAAGCATTGCTACAGCAAAACACATAATTATTCATGGATTTGATTAAAAATCAGAATCTCAACAGTTTTCCATGCTCTATAGGATGTGGCTACTGTTTCTTCTCCAGCTATTTGATTTCTCCCTGAATTGGCCTCTTGTGGTTCTTTGATTATGCCATAATCAGTGTCATCTCTTGATCTTTGTACATCTTTATATATGAGTATTCCATATCTGGAATACTCCTTTGTCCCACTTTTGGCTTGGCCAATGCTTATCATTCCATGTTTCTCATCTTGAATCTATTTTTTTTTTTTTAGGAAAACTTCCTCTGAACTTCTGAACTCCAAGATTATTTCAAGGTAACCTGTTATTACAAGTTTTCTTAACATTTCTAATCTGAATTCTCAATAACACATATAATTTCTTAGTCTCTGTCTTCCCTGCTATATTACAGATAAAAACCCCTGTAAGGGCTGGATGGTGTCCTCCCTACTTCCCTTTTCCTTTTCTTTTTCTCTTCTTCCCTCCTCCCTCCACTCCTTTTTCTTTCTTTCCTGTGAGCTCTTTAGTACTTAGAAAAGTACCTATGATACTTTAGTCAGTATTTAAATACTTGTTGAGTGAATGAGTGAATTTTGAACAGTGATTTATTCTCCCAATACCTGCATAAAGCACAGTACCTTGAATTGCTGTAACCTTGAGATTCGTCACCTTTGGCTGAGGACTGGAATTCAGACTGAGGGCACCAACAAGTGGGGAGGCTCCATCCTCAAGTGGCTTTATAATCAGCACATATTACTGATGAGAGGATATGAGTAGACTTAGAGGACTGTGGAGGCATATTTGAAATGCCTGGGTACTTGCGCATTTATAGGAGGTCATTTAGCAGGAAGCTGACGTCCTGCTAAACACAGGTAGGGTAAAAAATCCAGGGAAATTTGAGATATTAGTCTTGATGTAATCCCTTTTGTAACTAAAGCATGATGAAGCAGAAGGCATTTGGGATTCAGCATAAAATTTTGAAGGAACTTTGTAAGTCAGATAATCTTAGCTTCTGCATAATTCAGTCTTCCTTTACACAAATCCCTTATGTCCTCTTCTTGAATACATTTAAGGGCAGCAAGGTAGAATCTAACAGCAATTGTTTGAGCCTTTGTCACAGGACTAATTCTAACCAGTTCACTCTTCAGTAGCTCTCCAAAGACTTCTGCCTATATGGGAATAGAAAAAAATGTTCCCATTAGAATCACCATTAATATTGCCTCTAAGCTGAGCCTCCTTAGAAGCAATTGTATTAGTTCTAGTGGCCTCCTGGGCTATGCTGACAAGGAAGGTGGGCAGGGAAAGATAAAAAAGAAAGAAAGGAGAAGGTAGGCAGTGGAAGAGAGTCAGCCAAGTACCTTCCAACTCACTGTTTCCCATTTACACTCAATCAGTGGCAAGCAGCTAGTCAGTACTTGCAGCATATTTAATTGAATGTATTATATAGCTGGCAATGACAATATATTCTATTTTATGAGAAGTGTTCTGTCATATGCAAGTTCTAGTGAAAACAAAGTACTTTAAACTTTATTGTTATACCTTTATGTAGATATTTTTTCTTCAGTATTGAACCTAATGTCCTTTAAAAATTTTTATTGTAAATATTTAAGGTCTACAACATGATGTTTTGATATACATATAGATACTAAAAAGGTTACTTTACTCAAGCAAATTAACATATCCTAATGTTCTTAAAGCTTCTAAAGCACTTTTTTCTGACAGCCAATGTCAAAGTGAAACAAATATTTGTATTTATAGAATAGGTAGCCTTTGGGAGAAAAGATCCCTCACCGCCTTTTTTCATAGTGTAATGAGTAGAGAGAGGAATTATATGAAAGAAAGGAATTATGAATGGGCACTCTTGGAGGCCAATGTTATTCCATAATATTTCATTTGTTCACATATTTTGCTGAAACACATTTATAGTTGTGCAAATGACTATTATTTCTAATATCTTATATAATAGCAATGTGCAGTCAATATTTGTTTCTCAAGGAATCTAGGTGTACTTGGAAGTTACTAGATAGCAGAGGTGACTTGCAGAGGCAGTTTGCAAGTTTAGGTGTGAGTTCTTGAAGTTCCAGGGCTATAAACATTCCTTATATTGTGGCTGTTGGTGAATGTAACTATTGGAGATGGAGTTGAAGCTTATTCATGTTGATATAGCTCCCTGAAATTGTAATGTTGCTTTCAGTGGTTCTCTTGTTAGTTACCAAGGAAATATATACTTGGAACAAGCAGTCCTAACGCTAAAAGGATTTTCCAAATTTTTTTTTCAGGGATCTTGGTCCTCTTTCTTTTAATTGGTAGAATCTTCAGGTGTCACTCTGGACATTCTCATTGTGGAGCTTAAATCTAGGTTTGGTACTCTATAACTAACTCTTGTATTCAACAAGAAATATATTTCTGCTGTTGCCAGCTTTTATTTTTATTTAATTAAATTAATTAATTTATTTTTGAGTCGGAGTCTCACTCTGTCACCCAGGCTGGAGTGCAGTGGCGTGATCTTGGCTCACTGCAACCTCTGCCTCCTGGGTTCAAGTGATTCTCCTGCCTCAGCCTCCCGAGTAGCTGGGATTACAGGCACCCGCCGCTACATCTGGCTAATTTTTTGCATTTTTAATAGAGACGGGGTTTCACCATGTTGGCCAGGCTGGTCTCAAACTCCTGGCCTCAGGTGATGCACCCACCTCGGCCTCCCAGAGTTCTAGGATTACAGGCGTGGGCCACCACACCCAGCTGTTGCGAGGTTTTAGGTGTGGGAACTGCTCTTGCAAAACCTGCTTTTGCACTGGATTATTAAAGCAACCTAGTAATACTTTTGAGAATAATGCCACTCAAACCAAAGCACAGTAGGATTAGCCCTTACACTTCTGGCTTAGAAAGAAGAGTGAGAGAGATCACAATTATGGTGTGGCTTCACACATTTGTGGTGGCTTCCACCATGCTTTCCCTTTCTTTTTTGAATTAGATGCCATAAACTGTTGTGTTATTAGTCTGTTCTGCAGCAATGGTCAGAATTATGGATAGATACAGGGTTTCAGTCCCTAAGAAATGCTATAAAATGTTTTTGTACATCAGAAAACAGCATGTTTTTTTTCAGCTGGCCATCAACAAATTTTTAAAACTTATGAAAACTGATGTAACAATTCTGAACTGTTTTCTGATTTTTATCTCAAATTTTGTGAGTAGAAATGTACTCGTCATCTTTAGATTTGTAGTGTGCTTATTTAGCTCCAGGCTGTTCTTCCTTTCTTCCATTCCTGAATGTATTGTATGGTTCATCCTAAGTTGAAGCATAGGTCAAATTATTACCTTATTACCTTGTTTTTTTTTTTTTTTTTTTTTTTGTTGTTGTTTTTGAGACAGAGTTTCACCCTTGTCCCCCAGGCTTGAGTGCAATGGCACGATCTTGGCTCACTGTGCAATCCCCGCACACTGTGCGATCTTGGTATATACCTCCGCCTCTTGGGTTCAAGCGATTCTCCTGCCTCAGCTTCCCGAGTAGCTGGGATTACAGGCGCGTACCACTACACCTGGCTAATTTTTGTATTTTTAGTAGAGGCGAGGTTTCATCATGTTGGCCAGGCTGGTCTCAAACTCCTGACCTCAGGTGATCTGCCTGCCTTGGCCTCCCAAAGTGTTGTGATAACAGGCATTAGCCACCATGCCAGGCCCAAATTACCTTTTTTGAATGCCTTCTTCTTCCTCCTTTTGTTAGGAATTCCATCATCTGCCTTTTATTTTTTGCTTATATGTTATCCCTGAGGTGAATTGTTCTATGATCCGTGCCTCAGGGAAATATAGAATACTTTACAACAGAGTACTTTAATTTGCAAAATACATGAAGATACTATTTTCAAAATGTTTGTTCTCTGGACTGTCTTTCTTATAGCCTTTAGATTTTTATCAGTCGGATGCTTCAAGTAGTCAGTAGAACAAGAATAATGCAATGGAAGAGAGAATGCAGTTGTTTCAATTATATAGATGGGACTACAGATATAAATTTTAAGAAAAGGAAGAATTCCTTTAGCATTTCAGGGATTTTTGTTATAGATGATACATATTGTGTATCTTATGATTTTAATGATTCATTAGCTTTGTTTAGTTATATGTTTATTTTCATGTATGGAATATTTTAATAGAAATGCTTTGGTACTCTTAAAAATGAAAACTAAACCTAGCCTGTAAAATCTAAGTATGTCATGAATTATCATGGCTTATCAGGTTAGAGGCTTGTGTTGTTATTAATTCAGACGAGCATAACTTTCCAATTTTGATTCTTTCATTTAATTTTTGAGTTTGTGTTAATTTTCTTAAGACATTTAGCTTAGCCACTAGGCATTTATAAACCAAGGTTCTTAAATAATTTTAAGAATTTACACTTCTTTCTTTCTTTCTTTCTTTCTTTATTATACTTTAAGTTCTAGGGTACATGTGCACAACGTGCAGGTTTGTTACACATGTATACATGTGCCATGTTGGTGTGCTGCACCCATTAACTCGTCATTTACATTAGGTGTATCTCCTAATGCTATCTCTCCCGCCTCTCCCACCCCACGACAGGCCCCAGTGTGTGATGTTCCCCCACCCTGTGTCCAAGTGCTCTCGTTGTTCAAGTCCCATCTATGAGTGGGAGCATGCAGTGTTTGGTTTTCTGTCCTTGCAATAGTTTGCTGAGAATGATGGTTTCCAGCTTCATCCATGTCCCTACAAAGGACATGAACTCATCCTTTTTTATGGCTGCATAGTATTCCATGGTGTATATGTGCCATATTTTCTTAATCCAGTCTATCATTGTTGGACAGTTGGGTTGGTTCCAGGTCTTTGCTATTGTGAATAGTGCCGCAATAAATATATGTGTGCATGTGTCTTTATAGCAGCATGATTTATAATCCTTTGGGTGTATACCCAGTAATGGGATAAAAAAAGAAACATGCACTCGTATGTTCATTGCAGCACTACTAACAATAGTAAAGACATTGCATCAATCTAAATGCCCATCAATGGTAGACTGCATAAAAAAATGTGGTAAATATACGCCATGGAATACTATGCGCCATAAAAAAGAACAAGATTATGTTTTTTTGCAGGGACATGGATGGAGCTAGAGGTCATTATTCATAGCAAACTGATACAGGAACAGAAAACCAAATACTATATGTTCTCACTTATAAATGGGAGCTACATGATGAGAACACGTGGACACATAGAGGGGAACAACAGACACTGTGGCCCATTGGAGGGTGGAGGATAGGAGGAGGGAGAGGTACAGGAGTAATAACTAATAAGTACTATGCGTGATATCTGGATGATGAAATAATCTGTACAACTGTTTGAAAACCTCCATGACACAAATTTACCTATGTAACATACCTGCACATGTACCCCTAAACTTAAAATAAAAGTTAAAAAAACTAAAAAAAAAAAACTTAAAAAGAAAGAATTTACACTTCAAAAATTTTTGAGGATGATGTAAAGAAGTTAGTGCTGAGTTTTGGTTGCTCTTGTCATTTGGATGTTTCATAGTACTAATTAAACAATTTGAATTATTACAGAATTTTAGGAATTACTGTTTAAGAAGGAGAAGTCAGGCACAGTGGCCCACACCTGTAATCCTAGCACTTTGGGAGGCTGAGGAGGGAGGATTGATTGAGGCCAGGAGTTCAAGACTAGCCTGGGAAACATAGTGAGACCCCCTCCATCTCTACAAGAAAATCAAAAATTATTCAGGCATGATGGTGCACACCTATAGTCCTAGCTACATGGGAGGCTGAAGTGAGAGGATCAGTTGAACCCAGGAGTTCGGAGTTACACCTGGGTGACAGAGCAAGATTCTGTCTCAAAATATCTATATCTATACTGATATAGAAGGGGAGAAACCATTGCTAATGATATAGCTAATCACATGAAAACTAATAATCTACTATTTTATTTACTTGAGCATTGCTAAAGAAAAGTTCATGGGCCAACATTATACTTAATATGTGATGGTTAAAGATTGTTATAATTTTAGAGTTCTCCACTGTTTGAAAATTAAATTTTGAGCTTTACTTGTGGCTAGTGTATCAAAAAGTATAAATGGAAAAAATTTGTCATGTTCTTACCCAGAGATAATCAATATTATCATTTTGGTTTGTATTGTTCCAGTGTGCTCTCAGATTTTGAACATTTAAAAACCTGAGATATACTACTAAATATTTCTCAAAATGTTGTACCAATGTACACTCCTACCAATAAACATGGTATGAGACTGTGCGTTTTTTGATCCTCTGGTCAATATTTTGCCAATTTAATAGGCAAAATACATTATCTTATTATTTTTATTTGCATTCTTTTGATTACTTTTAGATTGAACTTATTCAAGTGTTGATTAGTTTTTTAGATATTTTCTGTCACGAAATTGCCTTTGCTTCCAAAAGTTCCTTAACACTTCTTCTGTTAGAACTCTTATTATCACTGTCATTTCCAGTGAGACTCTAAAGATTCTAATAGAACATAAATAGAGAAACCAATTGCCATCATCTATACCATTTGTAATAGTTAATGTCTCTCTGCTGGACTCAATGTAAATATGGAGCTGATCTTGCTTGGAAGTTCTTTTGAGTTTATCTAATTTTTCTGGAAAAGGATAATCATAAGCCCTACATCCTATCAGCACTAACAGATAGAAGGATAGAGACTTGGACAAAGAAAATATAAATATTTGTCAAATGAATAAGCATGATAAATAAAAGATACATGAACATAATTGTTAGAATTCAGGTACCAGTAATTTGATTCCTTAAATAGTTCATACTGAGTTTACTTCCAAACACTGTATACTTTATAATTTATAAAATGCATTGGTACACATGAGATTTTAATACAGTAATTTCCCTATGAGGTGATATAGCTTATTTTACATTTGGTAAAACCATAGCTCAGATACATAAAGTAAATATGCTGAGGTAATACAGCTAGTTTGGGTTGGAGTCAGTACTTAAAACCAGGCTGCCCGATGCCAAATACCATGTTCTTTCTGTTCTGACAGAAGTCTCCAATATTTATGTTACATGTGAACCTGCACTATATTGAAAATTTAAAACACACGTTATCTATAAACATTCTTTATAATATTCAGGATATCCATAACAAATTACAGAGTCCATTCAAAGCACAATGTTTTTGATTGCAAATATTGGTTACTCTTGTATTTATGACCCTTATAGAAGATGATGTGGCAGGCTAAAAATAAACAAGCAAAAAAATAAATAAATAAAATAAACACTGTAGAAACTGAGAACCAGATGAAGTCCTGTGGCGGTTTCCTATCCTGTCTATGTAAGTGATTGAAAAAGAATTAACTTTTTGATAACATGTAGGCATCCATTTATTCAACAAATGTTTAATGAACCGCCTACCCTGTACTAGGCACTATGCTAGATGAATGAGACAAGAATGCAGGACTTAACCTCATGGAATTGAGGGTGAAAGATATTAAACATTTTTTCAAGTAAATATATGGTCACATATATCAAATGTTGTGAAGAATAAGCACAGGGTATAATGAGAATGTATAATAGGGGACCTAATTTAGGTCAGACAAAGTCTTTCTAAAGGAGGGACATTTGAAACCTTAAGGATGAGTAGGGGCAGGTGAAAGGGTGGTAATGGAGAGGGAAGGTGGAAGAGATCATTTCTGGGATACTGAGGGAACTAGAAGAAAGCTGCTCACTAGCATGGGTGTAGTATAGTGAGAGCTGGAAAAATAAGTCTCTGAGGAAGGCAGTTGATGTATCGTTGACTCTTTCAAATGAGTCATTTTTAAGTCTCATTCTAGTGTTTCCATTACTTAGACCACTTCGATGCTTTTTCTATGACTTAGTCTTCATATCCAATTTTGAAATATAAAAGAAACCTTTTTAACAGTAAATGTTGATTTGCAGTATAATCACCTTCTTACTTAGTAGACTTGTTTCTAAAGGGGTTCTGATTATTTATAAAAATTAAATCTATTTAAAAGGGGAAAATTTACATTTTTTCCCCTCACAGATAGTATGAGCTGTGAAATTGACTTGAAAATAAGAAATTTAAAAATGTTTGTTTACACTTGTAGAAATTGACCTTTCAAAGGTGTGAAAAATCAACTCATAATCAGAGGCTTAAAAATTAAAGCACCTCAGGTTGCTTCTGCTTGAGGTAAATGGAAGAAGCCCATTTAAAGTTACTTGCGAGTTAAAACATTTGAGATATTTGCTCTAACTAAAATACCCTTGATTAGGCCACTGGCAGGTAGTTTTCCTATTCATCTATTGAAATTGGCCATTTTACAATAGGTGTGCATTTGTGTGTGTGTGTGCATGTGCACATGTATGCACATATGTAAAAAAATAGAATCACAGGGAAGGAACATAGAAAATGGAGTCCAAAGCAAAGACAAAAGCAACAGGAAAATCAAAATATTTTTTCTATCTTTTATAAATTGTGTGATGTTTAATTCAATACAGCTTCAGGCCAGGCGCAGTGGCTCACGCCTGTAATCCCAGCACTTTGGGAGGCCAAGCTGGGTGGATCACTTGCGGTCAGGAGTTTGAGACCAGCCTGGCCAGTATGGTGAAACCCTGTCTCCACTAAAAATACAAAATTAGCTGGGCGTGGTGGCACACTCCTGTAATCCCAGCTACTCAGGAGGCTGAGGCAGAATTGCTTGAACCTGGGAGGCAGACGTTGCAGTGAGCACCACTACACTTCAGCCTGGGTGACAATGAGTGAGACTCTGTCTCCAAAAAAATAAATAATTAATTAATTTAAAAATAAATAAATAAAGCATCAGTTTCTTTTCATCCATAAAATGATGGTGGCATTAGCACATACAGTGTTTTCTGGATATTAAAAAATAAATTTAGAAGTGCTTTATAAACTAAAAATACTTTATGATTTTTAGGTATGTATGTGTGTTTGACAAATAGATTGGTGTATACCTATGAAAATCTGAAATAATAAATAATAGTGAAATAATAAAATAAAATAATAAACTGAAATAAAATGGGGGCACTCTTAGTTGAGAAGAAACCCATAATTGAACATCTTATTTTAAAAAATGGTTGTTTAAAAATTTATATTATTACATGTTTAATTTGTGTTGTTCTTTTGTGACATGATTATGCCAAAAAAGAATTCATAGCTTTTAAAAACTTAATGTATTTAAATGTCTATTTACTGATAGTGTATGGAAAGGGATAAAAGGGCAAAGAGTTAAGGTCAAAAGGGCAAAAAGGGCTGGATTTATTAAAGAAATGTCAAAGGTTAAGAGCTATTAAAAGTCAATGAAAATACTAAGCATCTCTGCAAGTGAGTTAATATTTAAAATTTGGTTTACACACTAGTTTTAGAGATCTGTTATGGAAAGATGGATGTACTTGGGTATAGAATAACCTAAATGTTTATCAGAAACAGAATTATTCACTGAGAATAGATGATGATGGGGTGGCTTTCCAAGACCATAGGAGCCTTCAGGAAACATTTTCTTCTACAAAATGCTATGACCACCATTATTGAAATAAATTAGTAATAATTGATAAAGTGTCTCTGGCCTTGACTGTAGGGTTTTTCCCCCACCTGGATTTGGAGGGAAGTTTTAATTTAATGTGTGGTGTTTAGGTGAATTTTAATTGAAAAGCTATAATGTTTTTCTAAAATTATGTGAATAACCATGTAGTCACTATGTATATAGCCTTTAGAAAGGACCAGATTCAACATTATCCACTTTTCTTTAAAAATAAATAAATGGAGAAATTTTAAAATAAGAAATTAAAACACCTAAGTACATGTTTTCCAAATGTACTTCTCTTAGAAATATGGCATTTTAAATGCAGATGATAAATGCTCTATTGTTGATCATATTTTTATTGCTTCATGACATCAAAAGAAGAATATACCACTTATTTTTAGAGTGTTCTGGTCCTTTGCAGCATCTTGCACATTGAAGAGATATATGCTGTTGCTGGAGTTGTTTTTCAGGAAAAGAGAAAAGGGTTGGGGAAATGCATAATTTCTCTTACTCTTACCCAGTAGTAGCATTGAGAAGATACCTTGTCCCCATTTTTATTACTTCTGATATTTTATTGCTGGCAGCCAGATGTGCTAAAACTCCTGACGACAGCATCTATTCATTGCATGTTTTTAATAGGCTTAGAGAAATATGAGTAGAGTACATGAAAGCAGCTCAGCTTCACACTTCAGCTGGGAATGCCCAAAAAGCTTACTGCTGTTTAGAATTCTTGCTACAGTCAGGAGAAAGCCGAAAGCTGCACGGGTACTGAATCTTCTACGACTGAATTAGAAGAATAATGACTGTACAATTAACTATCAACCTCTGTTCATTTAAGCACAGTTTTTACAGAGCTCAGGAGAAATATGGAACTTGATTGGCGTGTTTTTATTTGATGGTGTCAGCAAATAGATGATTTTAAAGACAGGTGGTAGGGAAAAATAAGAGAAGGGGAAAAAAAAAGAAAGAAAATGCAATTTGAGACATTGCGCCAGGTCTGCAATTCTGTTTTATCTCATTTTCATGGGGTTTTTTCATCCCCACCAAATATCTTACAAAATGAGCTTTTTGGACAAACACTGAACAATGCAAGGTGAGTAGAGCCAAACTATATTTTCTTTTAATATTGTTATTTTCAGAATAATCTTATATGCCAGTAAAAATTGTTTTGTATTGAAGTGCTAGTGTTATAAAGGTGTTATCTGTTTACTGTAAATATAAAATTTTATATAGCATTCTTAATTTGATTTTAAGAAGGAAAATAAGCTTACTTCAACCAGAAAAAGCATCTTAAATTTAACTAGCTTGACCTCTGAAACGTAATACAGATATCAGGCTGTTTCATTATTTTGTTTTCTAGATACATAAAATGACTTAAAAATGCCCGATAGATGTTTTCTTTGTGATCATGGCAGTGATTACATTGCATATATAAGGATGGGGCTATATAATCATATGTGATTTGTTTGAAAATGTGAATTAGCTCCTGTAAAACATGTGGAAGATGTTTTCTAGGTTTAAGACATTTCTCTATGCTGGGTAGCTCAATAATCACTTTTAAACAAGATATATTGTGGAACCGCGAATAATGCTTTGCATTAGGTCAGCTAATTTGGCAGGATTCTTTGTTATAAATTCCTATTGCTTTTTCAACCTGATCATTTTTCTATGGTGAAGGCTGTTAAATTATGAACATATCTCTCAGATGGTTTCTCTGGCTTACACTAAAAGATATTCTATTAAAGAATGTTTTTGGAATGCAGTTTTATCATCCAGTTCTTTCCTCATTTAAGTTGTTTGGCTTTTGAGAATTTCTCATGTTACATGCTTAGTAAAAAAAAGACCCCATTTAACTAAATATATGTGGAGAAGACTGAGAAAGAAATTCTGTGAACATGGCAATGCACTGAAACCTTCTGGAAACCGATGGGGAACTAATAGTGCATAAAATATTGAGTGGTTTTACTTGTCTCTTCTTCTTAGTATCTCTGAACAATGTGAGGCATCCTATTTTGGAGATTAAAAAAATACCGGTTATACAATATGTATTTTAATTTAGCAAATGAAAAAAAGGCTTTTAAAATTTGTTGGCATTTAAAATGTTTACTGATGATAAATATATTTATAACCTTTACTTTGAAAATGGGATAACATATCTATTTCTTATAAAATTTCACTTTCTTTCCTCAATCCAGTTCTGTTCAATAAACTAATTGGATTTTGTTTATATTTTATCTTGAGACAAATTAAAAACATCAAACAGTATATGAAATGTTAGGATATTCTAAATTGGATATCTGTATTTTAAGATGCTGTTTTCCTTTTTTAAAGTGATACATCACTTTAGTGTCTATAATTTATCATAAAAATATATATTTTATGTTATATTTAAATTAAAAAGCAAGTATTGCTTTCTAAAAATTTCCATGACCTGAAGCTACCAGAGTTTTAGGATTTGTACTCATCCTTTATAAACCTTTTCCTTGTTTTAGTTCCATCTTTTTTTTTAATGCCAAGAATTTGTGTGTAAATGTATTAATATTAGGGTTTAGGTATAGAAATTATGCTATTAACAGCATAGTAAGGAATTGGTTTTAAAGTATTAATTTAAAAATCTGAAAATAACTATTTTTTGAGGGAATTGTGTGCATCCCTATCACTGTGTACTTGCTTTGGCTTCAAGTTTCTTTTATTGTTGGCATGCCTATAATTTCAGTAAGAGCCTTTAAAGCTCTCATTAAAATCTGGACTTTTATGCTGCTGCTCTTAAACATAAGATTATGAAGTTTTTAATGCTTCTATACGACCAGTATGGTTTAACTTATATTGATTATTATCTAAAACTATCCCAAACTACCAATTACTCGATAAGTAATTTATCTTGCTTTAGGGGAAAAAAATCTCGGCCTTTATATGTTCTTATTAGTCTTTAAAAATCATTTGCCCTTATACCACAAATACATCTATGCATCTTCATAAATGTCCCATCAGCTACTTGATTTACTTTTAAGGTCAATCAAAAAGTTCTGCAAATAGTTATTGTTTTAGAAGTATGATGAGTGAAAAAATAAGTATATGAATTTTATGCTTCCACATATTTTAATTTTTTGGTTATTTTTTGTGTTCACTTTAGATACAAGGGTCTTTTAAACCTTTTATTCTGCTTATATTCTTTTAAACAATATAAATGCCTATGCATCCTGCATAGGTATTAACATTTTAATTAACACTAAAGTGGAAAGTAAAGACTTTCCACTTTAGTATAGACTAAAAAATTATTCTTGAAGAAAAAAATCATGGAAGAAGAATGGCCTGAATATGTCATCAAAAGATCTCATATGCAAGAATTTAGATTTTTTTTCTGAATAATGGACCTTTCAATTAGACATCTGTGATCTTCTTAAGCATCAATTATATAACTATCACCTCTGGAAAGAACAGTTTTGGTTATTAGTACATGAATAGTAATCATTTAATTGTTTGGACTAGTTGACATGGAATATTCAATATTTGTATTGTGACATTAACAATGATCTTTAAATTGATAGAAAAAAGCCATCAATTTGGACAATTAGATATTTTATTCTGAATTGCTTTCTAGTAGGGATTACTAGAATAGTACTATGCATCATTTGTAGACAATGTATTATTAAAAGGGGGCCTTTTCAAGTAGTTTTTAAACTAAGACTTTTGTTCGGTAGCTAATCTTATCCCCAAATCTGCAACTCAACTTTCATTAGGATTTTAGATGGTGAGGCAGTTGACTTCTATGACATATTAGCAATAAAACATTAAATGATGAAAATCTTCCATAACAACTGCTCCAGAAACATTTCCAAGTTCAACTTGTTAAAGGAGGAAAGATTTTTAAACCAACCAATAATACTGTATGTGTCATAAGTCCCCAAAGTGGAGATTAATATAGATTCTTAAGTGAATTAATTAACTAATGATTAAATGAAATTTATCTATGAGTAATAATTATTAAAATATTTTAGACTAACTTTTTGTTGGAAACCATATAGCACAAACCTTATTTTCATACTGAAAGTGTTTAGCTTATTCTCTTATTGTATGGTTCTTGAGTACCATTTTAGTGCATGAAGCAGGATTCTCTGTTCTTTTACAGCTAAAATGAAACAACTGGACGTCTAGCAAAAAGAAAACATGTGTCTGCATCCTGCATAAACTCACTTGACTCACTTGATAGGTTTTGATGAAATGCCACTTTAGTTTAATTTTTTGTTATCAAGTTTTCTCATTGTAAACTCTCTCTCAAGTGAAATTATTTAATCAGGACACAAAGATAAATGCTTTTGTCATTAGTAAAAAAATCAAGTACTGAGTTCAATATGAAATCTAATTTTTGTGAGCTTGTCTTTGGAAGCAAACATAAATATTGAGACGCTAGAAGATATATTTTTTAGCATTGTTCACTGCATTGAGTTATCAGTTGCTTTGGGCAATATTCAAATAAACATGCTAATGATGGCTATCTTTTGTGATAAAATTGATCCTCTGAGTTTTTCCATTTGCTAATTTTTAGCCGTCTTTTTTATACAACGAAGAGATCTGTATTTTCCTCTAGATGAAATTATTTTTTTGCCACTGAATGTGTGACAGTGAATTTGCTGTGACTTCTGGCCACACAGAGGCATAATAAAACTGGAATTTATTTAGAGTAGATATTAAAAACAGTCTTTCTCTCCGTATACGTACAATGAGATATGTAGACTTTCATATTTAAAAGTAAGAAAAGAAAAAATATTAGTAGACAGAAGAATATTTGGATTTTTTTTCAATTGCAAGTAAGATAACCATACGATCCACTTTGTCTGGAGTACTCCCAGTTTATGCCTGCAGTCATCCAGTGATTATTATTAGTACTATTCTCTCTAAAAAGTGTTGTGATTTGAAAATAAATTACAGGGCTACTCTAATTATAAAAGTGAAATGTAAAGCTTAAATTCACTTAGTTTAAGCGGATTCTTTTCCTTTGAAACATTGCCACTGTTCTAAAACATTAATATTTTAAGTAAAATCTGACTTGCTAAATAAATGTTTATTTAGTATTATTTTTGGTCAGAAATTCTTAGTTTTTCCTGTAGCATTTATTATTGCTTTGGTTTGTAATCAAACCAGTAATTTGTGTTCAGGAATTTTGGCACAGATAATGATTCTTCATCATGGTACGTTAATGACTACTTTGACATTGAAAGAACAGCATGCTTACTTTTCATAGTTCTCAGGGTGCAATCTACACAGTGTGCATTGTTTGGACTTGGTATGATTCCAGCACAGTTGATTTTTCATATTGCATGAAAAGTCTGTGTTATGAGGTATAAAGCATCCAATCATCTAATATACACATTTTATGTACATATATATATACTTTATTGAACATGCATAATTGTTATTATAAAATATTTTTATAACTATAACATTATTCATTATAGGCATAAAAGCTTATAACACAATTAATTATCTATTTAGATTTCTAATCAAAATGGCTTTTGATTTAGATATGTGTGTCATTAGTATTTTCACTAGAATATTTACTGTGGACCTTAGCAATATACTACAATTATTAGTATATGTCCTTAATCTGACACTGATCTACAGTCTTTAAGCATTTTCTTTATTGAAAGAAGTTTTATAAAGCTTCTGCTTTTGGTGATGACTGACAGGTAAATGTTAACTATAGTTTTAAATTATCAACTTCTGTATGATCATAAAGGATTTTAAAAGTTGAAAATAATTACTAGTAAACTTCTTTAATTCTGGCACTACTCACTAAATAGTAAAATGAATTCATTTCATATGGGCTATAGGCTTTCTTCCTATCCATGTATGAATTACTCACAAAAAATTCATGGCCCCAACAAAAGAATTCCTAGGACTCATCCACAATTTTAGTTTTGCTTTCAAATTTGAGAAATTGTAAGTATTTTAGAAAAATGTGTGAACATTTCTTATAGGGAAAAATGGAAAAACCCATTGCACGTTAAAAATTATAGTATCTTAAAATATGAGGGCTCTTTATTTTGCCTAGTGTGTTTTAAACTATGCTTTCTGTTTTGGGCAGAGAACGCTTTCAAGGTCTAACTCAATATGCAAAGCAGATAGAAGTAGAGCAGCTCTGGTATAGAAAGTGGGACATGGGACCCATGTTTGGTTCTAAGAAACACATTTGGAGACTTTTTTATTCTACTGCTGTCATTTTACTCTTGAACAAACTAACGTCCAGCTGCTTACTTAAACTCAGGACTTACGGTTACTCATATGGCTTTAAACTTTTCATTTCATCATAAGTCCTTTGAAATGTGAGACGTAGAGTTAATGGAAAATGATAAGGAAAACTGCTGCATTTAAGTAAGGATTTATTTGTGCCTGACTTTTCTGCTACACATTGTAGCTTTATGTTGGGTAGTATTGAACATAGAAGTCGTGCTCATATCTAGGGTCTGCTGCTTACTGGCTATGTGTTACTGGTAAAGTTGCTGTCCTATGAGCTCCTTGAATTAGGGGCTACATATTTATTAATCTCTGAATTCCCACAGTTATATTCTTCACACTCCTTCCCAGTCAATACCCACTCCCCTCAGCCTCCAGAACCAACTGTTGTACTGCTTCCCCACCTAGTGTAGATTAGTTTTGCTTGTTCTAAAACTTCACATAATGAAATTTTATAGAAGGTAATCTTTTTTTGATAAGGCATTTTACTCAGCATAATTTTATTTATTTGTTTGTTTTTATTTTTATTTTTTGATGTTGTCTCTCTCTGTCACCCAGGCTGGAGTGCAGTGGCGTGATCTCGGCTCATTACAACCTCCCCCAAGCTCAAGTGATCCTCCCACTTCAGCCTTCTGAGAAGCTAGGACCACAGGCATGTGCCACAATGGCTAGCTAATTTTTTTTTTTTTTTTTTGTTAGAGATGGGGTTTCGCCATGTTGTCCAGGCTGGTCTCAAGCTCCTGAGCTCAGGCGATCCACCTGCCTCACCTTCCAAAGTGCAGGGATTACAGACATGAGCCACTGCTCCCGGCCTACTCAACATAGTTTTAAAACATTCATCCATATTGTGGCATGTGTGAGTAGTTTTTTCCTGTTCATTGCTGAATAATATTTCTTTTTATGAATATGAATATACCATACTTTCACGTAAGTCTTTTTGTGGCCATATATTTTTATTTCTTTTAGGTAAATAACTAAAAGAGAAATTTGTGGATCATAGCGTGGGTGTATGTTTAATTTTATAATGCCACATCATTTTTAAAAGCACATTTAAATGATACTTATCTACAGTTTTTAAGTATTTTCTTTATTGAAAGAAGTTTTAAACTCCCACCAACAATGATTGAAGATTTTGGTGATGCCATATGCTTTCCAACATTTGGTGATATAGGTTTTTAATTTTTGTCATTCTGGTAAGTTTATAGTGGCATCCTCTTATGATAATTTTATTATATTTGCCTCATGACTAACAACTACAAGAACTTTTTCATACTGTTGTTGGCTATTTGTGTATCCTCCTTTGTAAAGTGTCCAATATTTTTTAAATTAGGTTGTGTTTTTATTAAATTCGCTAGTAAGTGAATTTATATATATAAAATGTATGTTTTCTCCCATTCTGTGGTTTGCCTGTTTATTTTCTTAACAATGCCTTTTGATGAGTAGAAGTTTTAATTCTGATAAAATGTAATTTACTAATTGTCTTCCATTGTGGTTTTTATTTTCTGTTTGCACTCTAAAAATCCTTGTTAACCCCTAAGTCAGGCAACTATCTTTTTTTTTTTCCTTCCAGAAGCTTGAGTTTTAGCTTTTTGGTTCACATATATGATCCATCATAAATTAATTTTTGTGTATATAGTGTGAGGTAGGGGTCAAGATTAATATTTTTTCCATTTGGTTATCCAGTTATTTCATTACCATTTGCTGAAAAGGCTTAAAGGTTTCTATTCTTCATTGGATGGATTTATCACATTTGTAGAAAATTGAATAGTTGTATAAGCATGGTTCTATTTCTGATCTGTGCAATATGCCAGTCTTACTTTATAGTAATTTTGATGTCAGGCAGTGTAAATCCTCCACCTTTGTTCTTTTTGTCCAATAGGTTATATAGTCCAGGTCTTCTGCATATATATATTTCAAATATATATATATGTATATATTATATACATATATATACTCTCTGTCACCCAGTGGTGTGATCATAGCTGACTACAGCCTCCAACTCCTGGACTCAAGTGATCCTTCTTCCTCAGCCTCCCAGTAGCTAGAACTATTTTTGTAGAGTTTTGTAGAGACAAAACTTTTTTTTTTTTGTCTTGCTATATTGTCTAGGATGTTCTGGAACTCCTGGCTTCAGGCTATCTGCTATACTTCTGCCTTGGCCTCCCGAAGCACTGGGATTACAGGCATGAGCCACTATGCCCAGCCTCATATATTTTTTATAATCACTTTGTTAATTTTGATTTGAAAAGTTTGCTGGGATTAAATCTCGGATTGCGATGTATTTTTGTAGATTGATTTGGGAAGAAATAACATCTTAACATTGAGTCTTCCAGTGGTGTATCTCTTCATTTATTTAGGTCTCCTTAAATTTATCCAAACAGTGTTTTATAGTTTTTAGAGTAGAGATCTTGTATGACTTTGTGAAAATTTCCGTAAGTATTTTAAGTTTTTTATCTCATTATAAATGGAATTCTTTTAAAAACTTCAATATCGAGTTGTTTGCTGCTAGTATATTAAAATCTAACTTATTTTTAATATTAACCTTTTATCTTTTAACCTTTTCAAATTCACTTACTAGTTCTAATAGTTGCTTTGTAGATTTGTTATGCTATTCTGTGTAAGCAATCATGTCATTTGCAGAGACAGTTTTATTTCTTTTCCAGTATTTATGCTTTTTATTTCTTTTTATTGCCTTATTATAATGCATAAAACCAACAGTATGTCAAACAGAAGTTGTGAGAGTCTCTTTGTTAAATAATAGTTTTTAAAAAATAATCACGAATGGGTTGGGCGCAGTGGCTCACGCCTGTGATCCCAGCACTTTGAGAGGCTGAGGCAGGCAGATCACGAGGTCAGGAGTTTGAGTCCAGCCTGACCAACATGGTGAAACTCTGTTTCTACTAAAAATACAAGAATTAGCTGGGCGTGGCCGTGTGTGTCTGTAATCCCTGCTACTCAAGAGGTTGAGGCAGGAGAATCGCTTGAACCCGGGAGGCAGAGGTTGCAGTGAGCTGAGATCGTGCCACTGTACTCCACCAGCCTGGGTGACAAGAGCGAGACTTTATCTCAAAAAATAAAAAAAAGAAGGTGCAACGGTAGATAACTAACCAGATAGAAGACACTCCATCTCAAAAAAAAAAAGGTGTGCATTTTGTGAAGTGCTTTTTCTTCAGTAATTGAAATTATTTTGTAATTCTTATTCCTGATTCCATAATAATGCTAATTTTATTAGTTTAGCTTTTGAATATTAAACCAACTTTGCATTTCTGGGTTAAATACCACCTCATGGGATACTTACAATTTTATATATTGCTGGTGTAGATTTTCTGTGATTTTGATAAGGTTTTTTTTGCATCTATGTTCATGAGAGATTTTAGTTTTCTTAAGTTGAAATGTCTATGACAGGTTTGGGCATTAGGGTTATTCTGACCTCATGAAATGAGTTTGGCATTTACTTTTTCTCTATTGGATGAACAGTTGGTATCAAGATTGGTGTTATTTATCCCTTAAATATTTGATAGAATTCACCAGCAGAACCATCCGGACTTAAAGTTTTCTCTGTGTGAAAATCTTGATAAAGTATTCAATTTCTTTGGCTACATGTATGTCTTCTTTTGAGATGTGTCTGCTTATGTGCTTTGCCTATGTTTTAATGGGGTTTTGGGTTTTTGCTTGTTAATTTGTTTAAGTTCCTTATAGATTCTGGATATTAGACCTTTGTCAAATACATAGTTTATAAATATTTTCTCCCATTCTGTAGGTGTCTGTTGATAATTTCTTTTGCTGTGCAGTGGCTCTTTAGTTTAATTAGGTCCCACTTGTCAATTTTTGGTTTTGTTGCAATTGCTTTTGGAGCCTTTATGTCATGAAACCTTTGTCAGGTCCTAGTCTAGAATGGTATTTCCTATTTTTTTTTTATAGTCTTGGGTTTTACATTTACGTCTTTAATCCATCTTAAGTTGATTTTTGTAGGTGGTGAAAGGAAGGGGTCCAGATTCAATCTTCTGCATATGGCTAGCCAGTTATATCAGCATTATTTATTGAATAAGGAGTCCCCTTTCCCCATTGCTTTCTTTGTCAACTTTGTTGAAGATCAGATGGTTGTAGTTGTGTGGCTTTACTTCTGGGTTCTGTAATCTGTTCTGTTGGACTTTATATCTATTTTTGTACCAGTACCATGTTGTTTGGTTTACTGTAGTCTTGTAGTATAGTTCAAAGTTGGATACTGTGATGGTGCCTCTAGCTTTGTTCTTTTTGCTAAGGATTGCTTTGGCTATTTGGGCTCTTTTTTGGTTCTATGTGAATTTAATAATAGGTTTTTTTTTTTTTTTTTGCTAATTTGGTGCAAAATACTGTTGGTAGTTTAAAAAATGTTCAATAGCTCTAATCATTAGAGAAATGCAAAGCAAAACCAGAATGAGATACCATCTCACACCAGTCAGAATGGCTATTATTAAAAAGTCAACAATAGCAGATGCTGGCAAGGTTGTGAAGAAAAGAGAATGTTTATACACTGTTGTTGGGAACATAAATTTGTTGAGCCACTGTGGAAAGCAGTTTGGAGATTTCTCAACCCAGCAATCCCATTACTGGGTATATACCCAAAGGAATATAATTGTTCTACCATAAAGGCACCTGCATGCATATGTTAATTGCAGCACTATTCGCAATAGAAAAAGCATAGAATCAACGTAGATGTCCATCAATAATGGACTGGATGAAGAAAATATACACATACATCATGAAATATACAGCCATAGAAAGTATGACATTATCTCCTTTGCAGCAACATAGATCGAGTTGGAGGCCATTATCCTAACCAATTTGATGCAGGAACACAAAACCAAATACTGCATGTTCTCACTTACAAGTGGGAGCTAAGCTTGAATACACATGGACACAAAGAAGGGAAGATTAGACACTGGGGCCTACTTGAGGATGGAGGGTAGGAGGAGAGTGAGCATGGAAAAACTACCTATCAGGTACTATGCTCATTACATGGGTGATGAAATAGTCTACATGCCAGATCCCCAAGTTTACTCATGTAACAAACCTGCACATGTACCCCCAAACCTAAAATAAAAATTGGAAAGAGAAAGATAATAACACTATGATGATGAAAAATAATACAAATTTTAAGAAGAATTCAATTTCTTTAAGATAAATAGGATTGATGAGGTTTTATGTTCAATCTTTCTCAATATGGTCAGTTATGTTTTTCAGTAAATTTAATATTTTTATTTAAGTTGACTAATTTGTTGTTATAAATTTCATATTTCTTTATTATCTTGTTAATATCTATGGATCTAATAGTGATGACTCTTATTTTATTCTGATATTGTTATTTTGTGATGTGTGATCTTTCTCTCATTTGCCTATTAGTTTACCTAGGAGTGTATCATCTTTTTCTTTTGATTTTGTTACTTTTCTCTCGTTTGTCTACCATTTCAATGATTACTGTTCCTGTCTTAATTACTCCTTTTCTTCTACTTATTATGGATTTAATTTCCTCTTCTTTTTAAAGCTTTGGAAGGTGGAACTGTATGATTTCTTCTGATTCATTGATTATTTTAAAGTGTGGTCATTTCTAAACATTTAATTTAAAAATAAAATATCTTATTATTTTTTATGATGACATTTTATTCTGGTGAGAGAAATATCTTATTATTTTTTATGATGACATTTTATTCTAGTGAGAGAACATACCTGTATAATCTCAATCAGTTTAAATTTATTAGGATTTGTTCTACTGCCCACTGTGAGGACTATCTTGAACATTCCACATGTATTTGAAAGGAATGTGTATTCTGTACTTGCTGGATGTTGTGGTCTATAAATGTCAATTATGTCATGATGTTTAATAGTGTTGTTCAGATCTTCTGTCTCAGTGATTTTTTATCCTATTTTTTCTCTCAATTGCTGAGAGACGTGTTAAAAATTTTAACTGTGATTATAGAATTTATTGTCTTTTTAATTCTGTCAGCTTTTGCTCTATGTGCCTTAAAGCTCTGTTACTGGATATCTACACGTTTGTGATATTTATGTTTTCTTTTCTTGAGACAAGGTCTTGCTCTGTTGCTCAGGCTGCAGTGCAGTAGTGCAGCCTTGGCTCACCACAGCCTCATCTTCCCATGCTCAAGCAATCCTCCCACCTCAGCCTCCTGAGTAGCTGGGTCTCAGGTGCAAGCCACCGCACCTGGCTAATTTTGTTTGTTTTTTGTAGAGATGAGGTCTCACTGTGTTTCCCAGTCTGGTCTCGAACTCCTGAGCTCAAGTGATCTTCCTGCCTTGGCCTCCCAAAGTACTGGGATTACAGGCATCAGCCATCGTGCCTGGATTATGTTTTCTTGATTAATTGACATTATAGGAAAAGCTTTGTGAAATGTTTCTCTTTTCCTTGGTATTACTGTTTGTGTATAAGTCTTATTAATATTAATGTTTTTTGTACTTGTTCTGTGTTTATTCTTGGTTTACAGCATTTACTCCCCCTTCCAAATATGAATAGTCAATGATTTTTTAAAAGACACATACCAAAGTAAAGAGAAAAGGGGTGAGAAGCCTCATCTTTGACCTGAAAGAGGGCTTTTCTTTTCTTTCTGCGTGGCTAATAACACACAGTGTCAGGAAACACTCATTGGAGAAAAACCAGTCTCAGAGTGACTCGAGGTCAGTGGTCCTTTCTACTTGTGTAACTGAATAGTCCAAGCCAGACGCTAGGCTTCACTGAGCACTGACCTCGGCCAATTGGCCTTCTCTGGACACAGAGGAGCTCCAGAGAATTTTCACACCTTACTTTGCTTCCTTTGCTTTTTGCTTTCATAATGATATGAAATCTAATTTTTGTGAGCTTGTCTTTGGTAGTTAATAGTATTAACTACCATTTTGGGGGCATCTATTCTGGGCTTTGTCCTTTACATTAATTGCCATTTTTTTCTTTTCAAACCCTGCAAGGTGGTATTACAAGCTTCATTATACCATTAAGGAAAGTGAGGCTCAGGCAGAGTCCTGACCAGTGATTATTCTTTTGCTGAAAT
Organism: Homo sapiens; assembly: GCF_000001405.40. NCBI lineage: Eukaryota > Metazoa > Chordata > Mammalia > Primates > Hominidae > Homo > Homo sapiens. The sequence continues at coordinate 103,831,805 of NC_000008.11, forward strand.
GGAAAACCCAACTAAAAATGGCTTAAGGAAAAAGAGTATTTATCAGTTCACATAACTGAAAACAGAACAAAACAAAACTGATAGTACTAGTTTCAGCCTCAGCTGGATCTGTGTGCTCACAAAGAGCCTCAGAGTCCTGTTTTTGTCTCATGGGTCTAACCCTTAGTTGAAGGTGCTCAGGGAGATCACTAGGATAGCTCAGCACCCTATGTCTTTTCCTTTTTTTGTCTCAATAGTGAAAAATGCTCCTGTTACAAAAACATCTTATTTGATATTAATATAACCATGTGTGCAAATACTGTTTCTCTAGTGTGTCTTTTTGTAGTCATTTACTTTCAATATATCTGTGGCTTTAATATAAAATGTATCTTTTATCACTTTAAGAGCATAATTGGCTCTTACTTTTTTCATCAACTTTGACAATTTTTGCCTTTTACATAGAGTATTTAGTTCATTAACATTTAATATAATTATTGATATATTTGAATTTAGGCATTTGTTTTATGGGTTTTCTTCTACTTTTGTTTCTTCCTGCCATATTTTTTGAATTACATGAATACATTGTGGAACTCAATTTTTTTTAACTTTTATTTTAAGTTCAGGGGTGCATGTGCAGATTTGTTACATAGGTAAACTTATGTCATGGGGGTTTGTTGTACAGATTATTTCATCAACTGGGTATTAAGCCTAGTACTCATTAGTTATTTTTTCTGATCCTCTCCCTTCTCCTCCCACCCTCCACCCTCCAAAAGGCCCCAGTTTGTGTTGTTCGCCTCTATGTGTCCATGTGTTCTCATCATTTAGCTCCCACTTTTAAGTGAGAACATGAGTATTTGGTTTTCTGTTCCTGTATTAATTTGCTAAGGATAATGGCTTCCAGCTCATACATGTCCCTGCAATAGACATGATCTCATTCTTTTTTTATGGCTGCAATTTTTAATTTATCTATTTGCTTATTAGCTACATCTATTCTTTACCATTAGTTCTTATTGGTTGCACTTTCACAATCTATTTACAATCATTCACAATCTATTTAGTGTTTATATTGTGCAAATTTTATGTGAAATGCTTTAAGCAGTCTTATGTATTTTAAACAAATCAAGAGAAATGAGTAGTCTTTTACATTTATTCACATATTCCTTGTTTTAAGTTTCTGTTCTGAAGATCCAGATTTCCATCTGATAGACTTTTTCTTCAGCCTGGAGAACACCCTGTAATATTACTTGAAATGCAGATATTCACATCTCCATTTGTATTTACCTGAAAAAATCTTTTCTTAGTCTTCATTCTTTGTGAATATTTTTGGTGGAAATAGAATTCTATGTTGACACTCTTTTTTGTTTGTTTGTTTTTAAATTTACGTTTCTGTAGTTTAAACTGGCCTTCATAGATTTTTGATGAGAAGTAAATGGTTCGTGATGACAAGTCGTTGGCACTTGATTGTCTTTCTGTATTTAATTTGTTTTCTTTGGTTTCCTTCAAAAATTTATCTTTATCTTCTGTGTATAATAGTCTTGTTATGTTATGCTTACATGTGTGTTTTTATTGGATTTATTTTGCTTGGGTTGGCTGTGCTTTGTATGTGTATAAATTTATGTTCTTTTTTAAACCAAATTTTAATTTTTAACTTAATTTAATAAGTTCGGCCATTGTTGTAGCATTTATTCTACCCTATTTTCTATTTTTCTTTTGATTTCTCAGTTATTTGTATTTCAGACTTTTTATAGATTATCCCATCGGTTCTTGGAATTTTTTCAACTTTTTTTGTGTTCTTTAGATTAATTTTAAATTTTATTGATTTTATTTCTTTCAGAATCTCTTATCAGAGGTAAAGCTCATCTAGTGAATTATTAATTTCCAATATTTTATATTTTGTTCTAAAATTTCCATTTATTTTTTATAGCCACTATATCTCTGTTGAGATATCCTATCTTTTTACTCATTTTGAGAATCTTACCTTTATTTCCTCAAACATAGTTGTTATAGTGGCTTTAAAATCTTTTTCTGCTAATTTTAACATCTGGGTTTGTTATCTCACAGTCTTCATTGATTGCTTTTTCTCTTGAGTATGGATCTTGTTTTCCTATTTCCTGATATATCAGGTAAGTTTGAAGTGTATTTTGGACATGACTAATAATGCTTTATAGTCTCTGAAATTAGTTTGTCCCTCTGAAGAATGCTGATGTTTGTTTGTTCATTTATTTATTTATTTATTTATTTTTTGAGACAGAGTCTTACTCTGTTGCCCAGGTTGAAGTGCAGTCTGGTGATCAGAGTTTACTGCAGCCTCAACCCTCTGGGCTCAAGTGATCATCCCGCCTCAGCTTTCTGAGTAGCTGGAACTACAGGCATGCATCATTTTTTTAAAAAATTTTTTGTAGAGACAGGGTTGATTGTTTTTATTTGAGCTTTAGCTATTAACCCTGTTTCCCTTGAGATGACAGTAGCTTAAAATATAATTTAATTGTTTTAATTTTATCTGAGCTTTTATTTTTTGTAAATTAAAAATCTTTTCTTTTTTCTTTTTCTTTTTTTTTTTTTTTTTTTAAGAAATGGGAGTCTCATTTTGTCACCTAGGCTGGAGTGCTGTGGCACAATTATTGCTCACTGCAGCTTCAAACTCCTGGGTTGAAGGAATCCTCCTGCCACGGCCTCCCAAAGTACTGGGATTGTAGGGGGCATGCCACTGTGCTCAGAAGAGCTCCTTGAAGTCTTCTTATGTATGCATGAGATTTTGGCAGTGTTTTTAATACACATAATTTTATTTTTCCTTTCTTTAGCTTTTTTTTTGTCATATCTCCCTCACTTTCCAGTCTGTTTTTGCTCGAACTCCTTCCTCAGGTTTTTCAAGCCAGCAAGCCTCTGAGGTCTTTTTCTTTCTTTCTTTCTTTCTTTCTTTCTTTCTTTCTTTCTTTCTTTCTTTCTTTCTTTCTTTCTTTCTCTCTCTTTCTTTTTCTCTCTCTCTTTCTGTCTTTCTTTCTTTCTTTCGAGACAGGGTCTCACTGTATCACTCAGACTGGACTGCAGTGGCGCTGTCTCGGCTTACTGCCACCTGCTCCAGGCTCAAGCAATCCTCTCACCTCAACCTCCTGAGTAGCTGGGACTACAGGCATGCGCCATCCTGCCCAGCTAATTTTTGTATTTTTTGTAGAGACAGGTTATCGCCATGTTGTCCAGGCGGGTCTTGAACTCCTGGACTCAAGCGATCTGCCCACCTCAGCTTCCCAAAGTGCTGGGATTACAGGCATGAGCCCACTGCATCTGGCCAAGACTGAGTTTTCTTTTTTTCTTTTCTTTTCTTTTTTTTTTTTTTTTGAGACAGAGTCTCACTCTGTTGCCCAAGCTGGAGTGCAGTGGCGCGATCTCAGCTCACTGCACCCTCCACCTCCCGGGTTCAAGGGATTCTCCTGCCTCAGCCTCCCGAGTAGCTGGGACTACAGGCACGTGCCACCAGGCCCATCTAATTTTTTGTCTTTTTAGTAGAGACAGGGTTTCACTATGCTGGCCGGGCTTGTCTTGAACTCCTGACCTTGTGATCTGCCTGACTCAGCCTCCCAAAGTGCCGGGATTACAGGCATGAGCCACCGTGCCTGGCCAAGACTGGGTTTTCTAACATATATTTAGCCTTCAGGCATTGATTGAATTTGGTTAAAATCATAAAAATGAGAAATTCACTTGGTGTCATCTTCCTCGAAGAATCAGTTGGTCTCCAGTATCTTTTGTCTTTTTGTTATTGAGGGCCTCAAATAGTTGTATGTTCATACTTTGTCCAGGATTTATACTTACCATCTCTGCAAGGTTAGCTTGAGTGGAGCTGGCTGGCCATTATCAAAAAAAGGAATCTGTTCTTTTATATTTTAAGTTGTATTGATCCTATACTTGCTGGTAGGAATTATATATGTAGCTTCTTCTGTAATCTTCACTTTCATTCTTTATAATTTATTGTGTATTCTAAATATAATTGGTTAGCCTGTTGTCCAGTGGCTGATTTGGAACTGTATGTCCTAATTAAATAATCACTGTATTATCAGAGTATATTGAGAATATATAACTTTTCAATATTCTTTCTTTACTACTTTACTTCATCTAGATTCTAATGACTATTGGTAATGACAAAACATGAGCAAGATGTGCAAGGCTTTCTTCACAGAAAATGCAAGATTGGTATGACTGATCTAATTTTAAAAGAAAACTTCTGATCAGATAAAATAAAGAGACAAAAGCTATCATACTTTTTCTTTACCTTCTAACTGGGTGGGCATCTATTACAAAGACAATTTACAGAGGGAATTTTTAAAGGAAATTTGATTTAGGGTTGTAGTGAGAATGAGTAGGTTAAAGATGAAATTAATTGATCAATTGATTCTTCAACTCGTGTCCGTCACAGTATAAGAAATGAAAAGTGTGTGCTGAAGAATTTTATGATAATTATTTATAATCATGGCTGATCTTTTAAATTAATAAGTTTTCAAGCTGGGCATGGTGTTTGTAACCCCACCCCTTTGGGAAACCCGGGCAGCAGGATCCTTGAGGCTAGGAGTTTGAGACCAGCCTGGGCAATATCGTGAGATCCCCTTCTTTACAAAAACAAGGAAAGAAAGAAAAAAAATAGCCAGTCATGGTGTTGCACACCTGTCATCCCAGCTGCTTGGGAGGCGGATGCAGGAGGATCATTGAGCCCAAGAGTTGAACGCTGCAGTGAGCCATGACATGTTTGCACCACTGCACTTTAGCTTGAGTGGCAGACTGAGACCCCATCTCTAAATAAATAAATAAATAAATAAAATTTCCTATGCCAATGTATTTTTTTGCAGTAAGTTTCTCAACAATAATTTTTTGGGTCTTTCTGAGTTATATCTTAATTTTGGAACAAAACATGATGAACATAAAAATAGGACACACTACCTTTTCTAGAGAAGTTGAACAGCTTGTTATAAAAACTATTTGCACAAAATGTAAATCTGATGATGAAAATACACATAGAGAAATGTGTGCTTTAAAAACTATTACCATATTTCCCATGAAACACACACAGCTAAGGACATTCTTATTTGTATTTTTTAGTGTTGGCATTGCAACAAATGTATAGATGAGCAGTTTCAATGAAAAGTGGTACCACAGTTTGATAGTACAGTGCAAAGATTATATGGAATTGTTCACCTGCATGAGCATATGAATCTTTTAATTTTCTCTACGTATTTTTTATGACGGTTAATACAAAGAAGATTCATTACTTTATAAAATGCTTAATGCAAATACACTATATGTTAGTTGTCTATTGTTGTCTAATAAATTACCATAGCTTAGTGGGTTAAAACACTCCACCTATTTACTGTCTTGCAGTTCTATAGGTCAGAAGTCCAGGTGGGCTTGTTTGAGTTCTCTGCTTAGGGTCTCACAAGGTTGAAATCAAGGTGTGGACTAGCATTGGCACTTATCTGAAAGCTCTTGGGAAGAACGTACTTCCAGACAATTCAGATTGCTGCCAGAACCCAGTTCTTCGCAGTTATGCACTGATGTCACTGTTACCTTATTGGCTTTTAGCTGGGGACAGCTCTCAGCTTCTAGAGGATTTTTTTAAATTATATTTTAAGTTTTAGGGTACATGTGCACAACGTGCAGGTTAGTTACATATGTATACATGTGCCATGTTGGTGTGCTGCACCCATTAACTCGTCATTTAACACTAGGTATATCTCCTAATGCTATCCCTCCCCCCTCAACAGACCCCAGTGTGTGATGTTCCCCTTCCTGTGTCCATGTGTTCTCATTGTTCAATTCCCACCTATGAGTGAGAACATGCGGTGTTTGGTTTTTTGTCCTTGCGATAGTTTGCTGAGAATGATGGTTTCCAGCTTCATCCATGTTCCTACAAAGGACATGAACTCATCCTTTTTTATGGCTGCATAGTATTCCATGGTGTATATGTGCCACATTTTCTTAATCCAGTCTATCATTGTTGGACATTTGGGTTGGTTCCAAGTCTTTGCTATTGTGAATAGTGCCTCAATAAACATACGTGTGCATGTGTCTTTATAGCAGCATGATTTATAATCCTTTGGGTATATACCCAGTAATGGGATTCTTAATGTTACTTGCCTCATAGTGCCCCGCATTTTCTTTTTCTTTCTTTCTCTTTTTTTTTTTTTTTTTCTGAGACAGTGTCTCCCTCCCAGGATCCAGCCAGGCTGGAGTGCAGTGGCAGGATCTCCACTTACTGCAGCTTTGACCTCCCTGGCTCAAGTGATTCTACCGCCTCAGGCCCCCCAGTAGCTGGGACTATAGGTACAAGCCATCATGCCTGGCTAATTTTTGTAGTTTTGTAGAAGTAGGGTTTCACCATGTTGCCCAGGCTGGTCTCAAACTGCTGAGCTCAAGAGATCCACCCACCTCTGCCTTCCAGAGTGCTGAGATTACAGGCATGAGCCACTGTGCCAGATCTTGTTCCCTCCATTTTCAAAGCCAGCAATAGCATATCAAATCCTTCACCTGCTTGGAATCCTTCTCACTTCCTTTTCTGCTAGCAAGGTTTAAACCACATGTAAGCAAAAGTCATTAGAAATTGTGATTTAGAATTAATACAGCTGTTTTCTTGAGGTACGTGACCCTACAGCATTATAGCAAAAGGAGAAGCCAAAGAAAATAGGCCCAATTTTAAAGTAATATTTCCTGCCTCTTAGCATAATTTATTTTCCATATTGGTTTCAACAAGGCTAAACTATTAGGTAGCTTTTGTTTTCATCATGTGATTTGTGAGAGCACAGATACCAATCTCAACATCTCTCACTCTATTATCTAATAACGTCAGAGTGTCTACCATTCTATTACTTCTCAAAAGTTACGAATATTTTGGATAAGCAGAAGGTGTAGGATAGGACACCTCTGATTTTATTCCATTCTACTGTTAATCATGTGCAGTATATTCTACGCTTCTATTATTGCGTGTTTCACTTCAGAATTGCCATTTATTAAAGTTCCTGGCCGGACTCGGTGGCTCACGCCTGTAATCCCAGCACTTTGGGAGGCCGAGGCGGGCAGATCACGAGGTCAGGAGATTGAGACCATCCTGGCTAACACGGTGAAACCCCGTCTCTACTAAAAATACAAAAAATTAGCCGGGCGTGGTGGCGGGCACCTGTAGTCCCAGCTACTGGGGAGGCTGAGGCAAGAGAACGGCGTGAACCCGGGAGGTGGAGCTTGCAGTGAGCCAAGATCGCGCCACTGCACTCCAGCCCGTGCGACAGGGCGACACTCCGTCTCAAAAAAAAAGGCCTATTAATCTGCTGAAATTCCCCCATCAGTTTTCCTACTTTATCCACTTTTCCACGAAATCCTTTTACATATTCATTGTGTTATTTTAAAGCTCTTCTCTGCTAGTTGCAACATTCTGGTCATCTGTAGGACTGTTTCTAATGTTT